>NC_000023.11:10887488-11512488 GCF_000001405.40 Homo sapiens | reverse complement strand
GTGCAAAGTCACATTTCAAAGGTTGTATATATGGAGAAACTGTTAATAGGCTCCATCAGTAAGATAAACTCACCACAGTCTGGGAGGAGGTTGCTACATAGTGTGGAAAGAGAGAACACTAAGCTTGATTTATTCACTTCTGAGCATCCTGATCTCCATGGTAATTAATGAGATTTCTAAAATAATTTCCAGGTTATGTTTTTATTACTCTTGATCAGTGAAGAATTAATTTGAAAGGCCTAAGGTTTACCCTGCACTTTAAAAGTAAATAGCTATCACACAAAACTAATCTCCTTATAGGTTAAATCCTGTCACAACTTGCCCCAAATGTATCCTATCCATTTTCATGTCATGGTGCATAAAGAAAACGCGTGGTGGCTCACACCTGTAATCCCAGCACTTTGGGAGGCCAAGGCGGACAGATCACAAGGTCAGGAGATCAAGACCATCCTGGCTAACACGGTGAAACCCTGTCTCTACTAAAAATACAAAAAATTAGCCAGGTGTGGTGGCAGGCACCTGTAGTCCCAGCTACTCAGGAGGCTGAGGCAGGAGAATGGTGTGAACCCGGGAGGCAGAGCTTGCAGTGAGCTGAGATCATGCCACTGGACTCCAGCCTGGGTGACAGAGCGAGACTCTGTCTCAAAAAAAAAATCATAATTTTGTGGCACGCTAGAGTAAAAGGACAAGGCTGCTTGTGATTATGGGGCTCTGACTTCCCCAGGTCTGTTTCACCTGGCTGGTTCAAGGGATGAGTTGATTACCACCTCCACACACCTGTAACCCACCAGCAGAGTGAGCCAGGTAGGATGTTCTGCAATGGACCAAAATATCAATGGGTCCAGGGAATCCTATGACTTAGTTGCAGGATCAGGCATAGAGGCCAGGTCTCTAGACCTTCAGTCCCATGCCTTCTTTATGGAACGATGTTGTCTTCAGAGATATGTCTTTAATCAGCACATGTTTCTCAGTTATCTGCTGTTAGCCTTGAAATGTGCAAGACACCTGAGGGGAATGTATACACTGTACAAGGCATGGCCACTGTCCTCCCAGGGGTTAGGAAAGAAACTCTCGTACACCCATTTTGATTTCCTCTCTGGGTGCAGTATCAATCGGTATAAAGTCTAATGCAAGGTAAGGAGGCAAGTGCCATTTCTTCTGGAGTAGCAAGCATTGCAAAAATGTCTCCTTCCTCTATTTTAATCACTGTATTTGGATGCAAAATAATCCAGCATAGCACAGGAAATATAATCAATTTACTCAAGAATCCCTGGCAATATGATACAATAGCAGGCTTGTATAACCCATTCAGGAACCATAGATCCTCTGATTCTTCTACGTTTGTGTCATTTTAATTATGCTCATTTCCTGTAATGCAATTACTAATAATTATTTGCCGCTCTATTGTAGGGGAAAATCACTTACATATTGCTGCATAGTAAACCACTTCAAAACTTGGTGGCTTTAAGGAGAATCAAAAAGCTCTTTTTGGAAAGAGCTAGGTAGTAAATATTTTCAGGTTTGCAGGTCATATGTTCTCTGTCCCAACTACTCAACTCTGCTTGTAGGGCTAAAGCAGCCATAAGCAATACATAAATAAGAATGGCTGTGTTTTAATAAAACTTTATGTATAGATGCTGTGATTTGAATTTCATAAAATTTTTTAGGTGCCACAAAATCTTCTTCTGATGTGTTTTCTACCCTTAAAAAATGTCAGATCCTTGAATGGTTTGCTGATAGAAGCTGGATTTGGCTCGAAGGCCTTAATTTTCCATCTCCTGGCTTAAAACGGCCATCACTATCACTCCGTAGTCTTCAGATTGGTTGGGAGTGCACAATGCAAGCTTGGGCTTTTTTACTCTGATTCAGGTTCTAGATCCATGTGACCTTGGATTCTTACCAAAATGGGAATAACTTTTATCCTTGTGTATTCATTCTGGGACCCAGGATGGGTGGCAGCAGCTTTTTTCATAGCTGTGACACGGAAAAGAGTACAAGCTCAATCATCCAAGTGCATCTGTGGCCTCAAGCTGGCTACCATGTCATTGGCCATTCCATACTATCGCATGGCCAAATCCAAAATCAGCAGGCAGGAAAATATCCTCTTTAGTGATAGAAACTACATAGGGTATGAATTCAGGGAGCCATGAAGAATTGGGGCCACTGGTGCCGCCTATCACACTCACCTTCCCTTTTCTTTATTGAAAAATATAATGATCTCCTTATTTTTCCTCCAACTTTCTTCTAGACAGAAAAGAAGGGCATATATAATCTATTTTAGATTATTTCTGGAGGGGATAACTTCCTATGAGTACTTCTCTTAGTCATCTGCAGGAAAATGCTGTTTATAATTTTGCCCTGATCCGATATCTGTCATGCAGGAAAGTACACATTACATATCTTTGGACATTCCACAGCTTAATCTGATACACCAAAGGTCAACTGAATGTTTTCCTTGAGAGAATTTTGAAACACCAACTGCTATCTCTGAATTTTCTTTGTTTGGCATCTAAAGGTATCCCTGTTACCCTAGAGGTCCTCTCATTCTGAACACAGGGAGGTGAGAGGAGTTATTCCTGGAAGTGGGGCCTATGAAACCACTGGACCTTTTCCTGACAATTGCTATACCCACGTCACTGAGCGAGGACTGTTTAACCTAGCTTTTCTTGCCTTTAGCCACATTCCTTCCACTCACCATTTGTTGATGCAACTTTTAACACAGGACAAAGTGTCTTATGTTTTTCTAACCATCTTTGCTTTCTGGATTTTCTTTTCTGATAACCTTCTGGATTTTAGACTTACGATTTCAAATTCCTGAATGGAACATTTCTCAAAACAAAAACCACTTTTTAAAAATATGTACCCTGAATTTAAAAAGTAATAGTGAACAGAATGTAGCAAAATATCAGGGAGGACTGAGAATGTGAAGGTCCACCTGATAGGCTAGGAGGGTCACTTAGCTTGGCAGAGCCTCAGTGTTTGCATATGAAAAGAAAAGTCACTCCCAACTTGGAAATAATTTGATTCTGAGGTTCCACAAAATGCATATATTCAGAATTCTGTGTAGAATTTGAGGTACAACTTAAAGAAGACATCTCTGTCTTCTATATATAGGCTGTATATTGGGCCCCAAACATTATTTTTCAGCTCCCTAGCTATCCCCCTTCTTTTCTACTTCCACCCCTTCCTGGTCCTAGGTACAGAAATCTCAAATTTTATTTTGTTTAGCTGAATAATATTAGTTGTGGAGATGCTCTTAAATATATGATGAATGGCAAATAAAGAATTTGGGGGAGTTTCCCCAGTATGATGAACTCTGTTAACTGTCATTGTAGGGATGAGATATTTTGATCAAAAGATCTTCTCATGGGATTATGATCAACACTGTAAGTAGATCGATCACTTGTTTGCAGAGGTTTAGAATCAATAGCATAACTTAGTACCCAAACTCAGATGGGTATAATTTGAAGTTTTCCTTAATGATTCCAATATCAAGGTTATCACTATGTTGGTGAGGGATGGTAAATAAAGAAACCTAAATGATAAAATGCCAAATGGCCAAATGGTGACTAACTTACCATATAGATCGCATGTGTGATGCGTGATATGTGTGTGTGTGTGTGTGTGTGTGTGTGTAGTATGAGTTGGCTCAGGCATGAGGCACATTTTGGAATTTCATCAGCATTTGAAGTAGTGAAGAGACGAGGAAGCTGAGATTCGAAAGGGGTGGGGCTGAGGAAGTGATGGTTGAAGGGATATCTTTGACTCCAGAGACTATGCCAAGCACAGGAGGCATACAGTGGAAGACTGGAGAGGTGAGCATATTGCAGAAGGACTCCAGTCCTTGGGTGGGTCCAAAGGCAGCTGGAGTCAGTCCTTGGGAGCAATGAAATTGTCAGGCTAGGAATACCCCAGCCAAGTTGACTGGTATGCAGCTTAGAAGGAAATGGAAAGACGGACTTAGTGGCATGGAGTTAGGAGTTGGGGTTACAGTCGGGGTCAGGGCAAGCCTGCATCTCTGAAACTACAGCTATTTCTTTTCTCCCTAGGGTTGCCAGGTAAAATACAGGCTGCTCAGGTGAATTTGAATTTCAGATAAATAATGAATAATATTGCCAGTATGAATCTGTCCCAAATATAGCATGGGACATACTTATGTTAAAAATTAGCCAGGTGATGTGGCTCACTCCTGTAATCCCAGCTACTTGGGAGGCTGAGGTGGGAGGATCACTTGAGCCCAGGAGTTCAAGGTTGCAGTGAGCTATGATCGCACCATTGTATCATAGCAACAGAGCAAGACTCCGACTCTTAAAAAAATACTCATTTTTTATGTAAAATTCAAATTTAGCTGGATGTCCTGTACCTTATTTACTAAATCTGGCAACCATACCTACCCACATCCATGCTAGGTAAACACCCTGTACTTTTCTTTCCTTGTACCTTTCCATTATTTGGGTGATTTCTTCATTTAATAATTGTCTCCCTCTTGAGAAACCAAGTTCCACGAGGGTGTTTTGACTTTCAGCATACTTTGTGCAAAAACATAGGTGAGGCTCAAGAAATATGTGTTGAATGAGTGCATACTACTTTATTAGCAGTGGGACTATAAGTACCACTAGAAGTCTCTCTGAGGCTGCTGGCCAAAGTTCTACTCTATAATAAGGGCTTTAGGATTTTGTCAGTAGAGGCAACTGCAAGGAGCTGGGGGCAAAGTGGGGGATTGACAGTCCCATAACTTCATCATTATTCTCATATTTAAATACACATGTCTGCCTGGGGGCACAATTGCCTCTGTGGAAATCCACAGCCCTAGATGGAAAATCAGATGGCTTGCCCTGTCATTAATTGGCACAATGGCTTTAGGAAGGTTCCTCAACCTTTAGAAGCCTCAGTTTCTTTCTACAAAATAGGAGTGAATCTCCTGACTCATGGGCACTCACAAGGATTGAGAACTCATGAGGTGAAAGTGTGTATTGGAAATAATTATGCTGTTTTTTTAAGAAGATACAAATGTACACTTTATGCCGCAGAAACAGTAGAGGCCCCTGAGATAAATTTCCCTGTCACCTGAGCAAATATCCCTTGTTTTAAAGACACGGAGACTGAGATGTGGAATCTTTCTTATTCAAGCACACCCTCAGTCACTGTTCAAAAGCTGTGCTGCCATGTCCATCCCAAGTGTCACTGGAAGGTCACATCCTGGAGAGTGTAGGGAAAGGAGTCCCCCTGCAAAGAGCCAATAACCGCCCTTATTTCTGAAGGGTCACAGAGTCACAAACCTCTAGATATTTCTTAGGAATTCCTCTCCCCTTCAGAATGAGGCTTTAATGACTCAACTTTCTCTACTGAATAATCAGTAGGGGTTCAAGAGTATATTAATAGATCAGGCTCAATTAAACAAACATTTCTGGAGTCCTACAAGGCTCTGTGCTTAGGGAAAACAGTGGAGAAAATAAAGATGATTAAGACACTATGTACTATGAAAAAATGCTCACCATCACTGGTCATTAGAGAAATGCAAATCAAAACCGCAATGAGATACCACCTCATGCCAGTTAGAATGGCAATCATTAAAAAGTCAGGAAATAACATGCTGGAGAGGATGTGGAGAAATAGGGACACTTTCACACTGTCGGTGGGACTGTAAACTAGTTCAACCATTGTGGAAGACAGTGTGGCGATTCCTCAAGGATCTAGAACTAGAAATACCATTTGACCCAGCCATCCCATTACTGGGTATATACCCAAAGGATTATAAATCATGCTGCTATAAAGACACATGCACACGTATGTTTATTGCGGCACTATTCACAATAGCAAAGACTTGGAACCAACCCAAATGTCCATCAATGATAGACTAGATAAAGAAATGTGGCACATATACACTATGGAATATTATGCAGCCATATAAAAGGATGAGTTCATGTCCTTTGCAGGGACATAGGTGAAGCTGGAATCCATCATTCTGAGCAAACTATCGCAAGAACAGAAAACCAAACACCACATGTTGTCACTCATAAGTGGGAGTTGAACAATGAGAACACATGGACAAAGGGAGGGGAACATCACATACCGGGGCCTGTCGTGGGGTGGGGGGCTAGGGGACGGATAACATTAGGAGAAATACCTAATGTAGGTGATAGGTTGATGGGTGCGGCAAACCACCATGGTACGTGTATACCTATGTAACAAAACTGCACGTTCTGCACATGTACCCTAGAACTTAAAGTATATATAAAAAAGGAGACTATGTACTGTCTTAGGAAGAAAAAGCCCCCACTCAGATAATGCTAATGTAAGAGCAAGACAAAGGCTGAAGAGAAGAAGCAAACGCTTCTGACTGAGAGTTGGGGAGAATCGTGGGAGACTTCAGGGAGGAGGGTCTTGTAGGTTGCATAGAATTGATGTAATCCCCGTTCAAGCTCTTCTGTGTTCTTTTTTTAACTTTTATTTTAGGTTCAGGGGTACATGTGCAGGTTTGCTATATAGGTAAACTCTTGTTATAGCGGTTTGTTGTACAGACTATTCCATCACCCAGGTAATAAGCATAGTACCTGCTAGTTATTTTTTTCTGCTCCTATACCCTCCATCCTCAAGTAGGCCCCAATGTCTGTTCTCTTCTTTGTCTCCATGAGTTCTCATCATTTGGCTCTCACTTATAAGTGAGAACATGTGGTATTTGGTTTTCTGTTACTGCATTAGTTTGCTAAGAATAATGGCCTCCAGCTTCATCCATGTCCCGGCAAAGGACATGACCTCATTCTTTTTGTGTCTGCATAGTATTCCATGGTGTATATGTACCACACTTTCTTTATCCAATATGTCATTGATGGGCATTTAGGTTGATTCCATGTCTTTGTTATTGTGACTAGTGCTGCAGTGAACATTCACGTGCATGGGTCTTTATGGTAGAATTATTTATATTCCTCTGGGTATATACACAGTAATAGGATTTCTGGGTTGAACGTTGGTTCTGTTTTTAGCTCTTGGAGGAATTGCCACACTGCTGTCCACAATGGTTGAACTAATTTACACTCCTGCCAATAGTGTATAAGCATTCCTTTTTCTCCACAACCTCACCAGCATCTTGGTATTTTTTGTCTTTTTAATAGTAGCCATTCTGACTGATGTGCGATGGTATCTCATTGTGGTTTTGATTTGCGTTTCTCTACTTATCAGTGATATTGAAGTTCTTCTGTGTTATAACACTCAATAATAGTATGAAACCTCAAGTTCACGAATCTGTGCCATTTACATGTTTGACTAACCCAAGCATAAAACAAGGGGAACACAACCTGCCTAGGCTGCCACAGAGAGCCAAACGGGAGCTCATAGGTGAAAGCGTAATGCACTATACTGGTGGGAGGTTGGTCTTATTTACTGGCTTGTCATCTGCCTAGTTTGGACTCTGTTGCGCCTTCCTTCATTATGTTGGTCTTTACGGGGAAAATTTCAGGGAAGCTCCCAAGTTTGCTCAAGAAAAGCCACCCAGACTTTACAGTCATTTTTTACTTTGAAAAAAACAAATCCAATCATCTTCCAGATGTTTTCATTTACCAGGTCTAAGGAGGAGAAGTACAAAAAGGAAGACATGCTAACTTTTGGGTTTACTCTTCCCATTAAAACTTCTCCAATGTGACATTGAAATATCTTTCTAGCATTGTTGGTGGCTGTTAACCATTTTTGTTCATTTTCTCCCCATGTGTTTACCTCCAGGAAAGGCATGAAACCACCATTGTCCATTCCCTGACTTTAACTGTGTGTCTCTTCAGTCTCAGTCTTCTGGCTCAGTAAGCCAGTGGGTGTGTATGTGTTTTCCTCATTCAGCTAAAGACCTGCTTATTTGCACTTAATGTGAGTAAAGATATAGTTGGGGTTTTAATCAATAATTTTCATTGCATCTTCTTTAATAGCTTTTTGGTGAACAAGTTTAGATATGAGGGTTTAAAAGGGTTCTACAATATTTATTTATATAGTTAAGAGACGGATTCTTAACGGGGGTAATTTTATCCACCAGAGGGCATTTGGCAAGATCTGGAGACATTTCTGACTGTTACAACTGGGGAGTGGTGTTGGTGACACTGCTGGCACCTGGGGGGAAGAGGTCAGGGATATTGCTAAACATGTTACAATGTGCAGCACAGCCTGACAACAACAAATTATCTAGTCTAAAATGTCAATAGTACAGAGGTGGAAAAACCCTAATTTAAGATATGTACTCTACCTGCTTTCCAAGGAAGCTTAACAAATTAAACATAATAACAAAAAGTAATTACAAATAAAAGTAGAACTGAAACAGAATAGAAGGAGCAGAAGCAAGGATGTCACTGGAGTCCTGAAATGACTTAATCATTAGGGTTGAATATTTGATTGAGTTCTGTATTTCCCAACAAATGAGAAAAAAAGAAACAGTTCTTGGGTAGCCCCCCCCCAAAAAAAATTGATACATAACTCCATCAGCCAAGACCACTTTTTTTTCCTGCCATTGATTTTAAAGAGAAATATATCTTGTAGGGCATTATATGTGGGACATTGTATAAGAAAATAGATAATTTTTCAACCACGGTTTTGCAAAAGACACAGATGTGTGTGTGCATGTGTTTGTGTGTGTGTATGTGTGTCTCTTTGTGTGTGTGTGTGTGTGTGCAAATGGATATTTCTGGTCTAAATTCTCTACTAAAACGGTAGCAGACAGTATAACATTAGGTTTTGTGAGATGAAATTCATTTCTTTGAGTTGCAGAACTAATACATTCTGGGTATTGTCTTTGCTTGTGATCAAATGAATAAAGAGTCGTGTCTCTGAAGATCCGAGAGAGAGAAAGAACGTTTCCATCGAACTTTGGGAATCTCTCCCTGGATTATCAAATGACTGCAACGAGTCTTTGGCAAGGGCTAAAGAGTAATCAATTCATGGTAGCATTTTCCAGTGATCATCCAAAGTGTTTGAAATCATTTGATAGTGTTTATTCCTAGTCTGCTGTGGATCAGTCTATTTGTTAGGCTTTGGGGACAAAAAGATTATTAAAATGTAGTCCCTGTTTTCAAGTAGCAGGAGTCTAACCCTGGCAAGAACATATATAAATAATCATGAATTAATACACACAGTCGAGGAATGTGCAGTGTGCCATGGGAACCCAATGGAAGAAGCGAAGTTTCACTGAGGAAACAGGAGATTTGAACTGTGTGGGTTATTGAAGAAGTCTTCACAAGTCTTATTTGTAAATACAGCTGATCCTTGAACAATGAGGGGTTAGGGGTTCCTACCCTCTCTGCAATATAAAATCTGCATATGGCTGGGCACGGTGGCTCACACCTGTAATCTCAGCACTTTGGGAGGCTGAGGTGGGTAGATTGCTTGAGGTCAGGCGTTCAACACCAGCCTGGCCAATATGGTGAAACCCCGTCTCTACTAAAAATGCAAAAATTAGCCAGACGTGGTGGCGCACGTCTGTAATCCCAGCTACTTGGGAGGCTGAGGCAAGAGAATCGCTTGCAATCTGGAGGTGAAGGTTGCAGTGAGTCAAGACTGCGTCACTGCACTCCAGCCTGGGTGACAGAGCAAGACTCCATCTGAAAAGAAAAGAAAAGAAAAAAAAGAAAATCTGCATATAACTTCTGACTCCCCAAAAACTTAACTACTAATAGCCTACTGTTGACCAGAGGCCTTGCAGATAACATAAACAGTTGATTAACATGTATTTTGTATGTTATATGAATTATACCCTGTATTCTTCCAATAAAGTAAGCTAGAGAAAAGAAAATGCTATTAAGAAAATCATAAGAATAAAATATATTTAGTATTCATTAAGTAGAAGCAGATCATCATAAAGGTTATCATCCTCATGTCTTCTTGTTGAGTGGGCTGAGGAAAAGGAGGTCGAGGAGGGGTTGGTCTTGCTGTCTCAGAGGTGGCAAAGGCAGGAGAAAATCAGCATATAAATTGACTTGCATATTTCAAATGCATGTTGTTAGAGTCAACTGTATTTTATAAATGTATGAAATGGGTGCAGAAAAGTATACAAATCATAATACACACCTCACTTTGTTTTCACAAAGTGGACTCACCCATGTGACTATCATCAGATCAAGAAATAAAGCATCATGAGAAATAGAACTCCAGAAACTTCTCAGGCCTCCTTTTCCAGGCATTATCTGCCCCTGTCTGCCAAAGGTAATCATTATCCCAACTTGTAACTCCATAGATTAATTTTGCATTTTATACAAATGTAATCACATGTTATATATTACTTTGTGTCTGGCTTTAACATTTTTGTGACGTTCAGATTGTCACATGTAGTTGTAATTAATGTACTTTTCATTGCCATGTAGTATTCCATTGTATGAATATACAACAGTTTATTCCATTGATGAACATATGAGTTATTTCCAGGTTTTGGCTATTGCAACTCATGCATTGTTGTACATGTTTTTAAATAAACACACTTGTGTATTGCATGTGTCTATACCTGGAAATGAAATTGCTGAGGCTTCATTTGTATATAAACACACACACATGTGCACACACACACACAGTTGATCTTTCAACAACACAAGTTTGAACTGTGTGGGTCCACTTGTATGTAGATTTTCTTCTGCCTCTGCCACCCTCGAGACAGCAAAACCCAACCCTCCTCTTCCTGCTCCTTCTCTACCTACTCAACATAAAGATGATGAGGATGAAGACCTTTATGACTATCCACTCCTACTTAATGAATAGTAAATATATTTTCTCTTCCTTATGATTTTCTTAATAATATTACTTTTTTCTAGCCTACTTTATTGTAAGAATACGGTATATAATACATGACATACAAACTAAGTGTTAATCGACTGTTTATGCTGTTGATAAGGCTTCTGGTCAATAGCAGGCCATTAAAAGTAAAGTTTTTGGGGAGTCAAAAAGTTATACACAGATTTTTGACTGCATGGGAGTTTGGCGCCCCTACTCCTCTCATGTTGTTCAAATGTCAGTTGTAATTTAGTTTTAGTTTTCCAACCTGCTTGTACAAATTTATTCTAACCAACAATGTATTAGAGCAGGAACTGGCAAACTATGGCTAGAAGACCTGTTTTGTTTTGTAAGATCACAGCTCACTGTAGCCTCAAACTCCTGGGTTCAAGTGATCCTCCTACCTCAGCCTCCCAAGTGGCTAGGACTACCGGTGTGCACCATCACACCCAGGTAATTCTGTAACTTTTTGCAGAGTTGGGATCTTGCTATGAGAGAAGGGTGGTCTCAATTTCCTGGTGTGAAGCAATCCTCCCTTCTCAGCTTCCCAAAGTGCTGGGATTACAGGGGTGAGTCACTGTGCCAGCTTGTAAGTAAAGTTTTATTGGAACATAATCTCAGTTTCTTTTTAATGTATTGTCTATGTCAGTTTTCCTGTGGCAAGGGCAGAGTTGAGTAGTTGTGAAAGCAACTGTATGGCCCACAAAGCCAAACATATTTACTATCTGGCCCTTTACAGAACTAATTTGCCAACCTCTATATTAGAGTTATGAGGGTTTCAAAACCTTGCCAACAACCACGCTGTTGACTGTTTCATGTCAGCTCTTCTAGTGTGTGTTCTGGTGGGTGTTTCATGAATCATGTTATGGCATTAATGTCCATGATCCTATTGAAATCTTCATATACATTATAAATAGAGCTTACAAGAGAGAGTTGTCATTATGGTTAAATGCTGAGCTCCACTTGAGATTCTATAACCTTCCCCCCCAAAAGACTTGATTTATTTTATATGATTTTTCTAAAGTGTATACTAGTAATTTCATTTTGAAAAAAAGGTTTCTCTTTGCTTCTTCTTTTTTTTTTTTTTTTTTTTTGACAGAGTCTGGCTCTGTTTCCCGGGGTACAGTGCAGTGGTGCCATCTCGGCTCGGCTAACTAAAACATTCACCTCCTAGGTTCAAGCAATTCTCCTGCCTTAGCCTCCTGAGTAGCTGGGATTTCAGGCATGCATCACCATGCTTGGGTAATTTTTGTATTTTTAGCAGAGACGGGGTTTCACCATGTTGGCCAGGCTGGTCTTGAACTCCTGACCTCAAGTGATCCACCCACCTCGGCCTCACAAAGTGCTGGGATTACAGCGTGAGTCACCGCACCTGGCCTTCTCTTTGCTTCCGAAACTTAAGTTGTGGGATTTAGTGAAAAATTATTAAAATGTACTTTGGAAAAGGGTATTTTATTCTCAGTGGAGTACAGCTTAGTAGGCAAGTCAATAAGGAGAGGGAACCCCCATGGATGAAGCAGGTAGATGACCAAGTGACTTGGGAAGTACCTTCCAAAGAAAGGAAGGGTCCATAAATATTTATTGATAGAATGAAAAGAAGAAACAGTGGTTCAGGTGGCTCAATGCCCTTTCAAGTACTTTCATTTTATAAAATCACAGAAAAGTTTCTACATGTGACTAAACAATTTTCTCCCTTCTTCAGATATCCTCCTAAAGACTCTGTTAGAAAATAGTATTACTCTTCCAGTAAGAAAATTATGCAAATAAAAAAACCCACGAGACCTAGGTATCTGAATCAGTCTTTGAGAAGAAAGCTGATGTGCACACTCATTAAACTGCAGAATATGGCTCAGTAAGTCTTTCTGTCTCAAGATTGTTTCCAGCTGAAGTCACACTTGGCAAATCTGAATGCCTCAGAATGTAAAGATGGCCCTTGTCCAGGGGCAGACCTCCATGCCGCTGCTTCCTCTTCCCATTTGCATCCAGCAGTGCCTGGGAGAGGCAAGGATCAGAGTCCCTTCAGGCAGTAAGGATGAAATAGATGAAAAATGAGAACATTAACACTGGGAACCAGAAGTCAGGGAACCTAGAGCCCAAGATAGCAAAAAGATGTGAGAAAACAGTCGTTATATAAACACCTAAAAGTTGGAGAAACCTTTGCTCTTTGGAGAGGAATTACTGCAAGAAGACTATTGAGAGGATCTTTAAGTCCTGGAGGCCCCAGAGGGGAATGGAGAGGGAGAATGAGGAGACACCATTTTGTTTAAGAAAGCAAAGGAGTGGAGAAATACAGGACTACTATTTTGAAGATAAACAAATTAATAGAAAAAAAGTCCTACAGTGTGTTTAGAAGGGGAAAAAAAACTGCTTGCCTGAAGTTGAGAAAACATTTCCATAAATGTAAACTTCACAAATATCTTCACATCAAGCACATGACTGACTAAAGATGAATGACTCCCAATTCCGCAATAAACATTAGGGTTCATCTACACACACAAGTCAGCTTGACTCAATGTATTAGAAGGAGAAAAGGTCAAGTCAATGAAACAACCAGTCCTTAGAGTGCCAAGTACCTGATTTGCCTGCATGTTTTCGTTTTCACTTGTTTTGGCATTCTTAGACATAGCCAGAAAATATTACAACAGAAACATCTCATTCCAGGATGTTATTTTAGTTAGTGGGACAGGGAAGGGGAGAAGTGCTTTCCTAGATATAACTTAGTTGATAGGTACCCTGGTTCTTAAAATCTGTATTGGAAGTTACCAGAGACCCTGACCAAATGCAGCATAGTATGTTCATGCCAAAATGCCTCCTCATAAATATGTACAATTATATGTCAAATAAGCAAAAGAAAAAATGAAATAAATTGCTTCCAGATATTGCTCTTTTACCAAATGGTTTCAAAACATGGACAGGATTATTGAGGTCACCTCTTCTACCTGTGTATAATTGTTTTATTTCAACAACAACAAAAAAGTATTTGAGAATTGGGACATTATTTTATTTTTTTTTAAATTCCCTTTGCCCACAGATGCTTCGATATACTCAAACTTTGGTTTACTTTTTACTATTTACTCTGTGAGGTAAATGTTACCCCACTTTGATTAAAATAAGACCAAAGTTCAGGAGGCTGAAATGAGTAGCCTAAGATCTTATGGTAGGGAGGGCACAGACAGGTTTTCCTACTCTGACACCCCCACTGGACTGAGCACATAGTGGGCCCTTTATCAATGTCTTTTGAAGGAGTGACTGACTGAATGCACAGATGGTGAGAGTGGAATGAGGTGGAGCTGAGTTTGTGATATAGATACTCCTCCTTCTTTAGTCATCTGGCAACAGGCACAGATAAATTTTTGGAGTTAACGAAAGTGAAAGAAAATGAGAGTATGTATGAAGTTCTCATCCATTGCATGTAAACATGAAAGCCTATAAATTGTACCACCTCTATGGAGAGCAATATAGTGGTGTCTATTAAGGTGGAAGATTCCAGGCTCTTGAATCATCAGCTTCACTTCTAAATACATACTCTAGGGAAATTCTCATATACGTGCATGAGACTGTTCATTGCAACATTATTTGTTATGGGAAAAAATCAGAAAGAACATACCCTTATGAGAATAGATAAATTAATTATGGGATAATATTTCAGTAAAAATAAGTGAAATGGGCCAATATGTGTCAACATGGATAAATCTCAAATTTTGGCAAAATATAATTTATATATTGAAATTCAATCAAATTCAAGCTTACAGCAACAATAATGATATGCTGACTTATATTCTAGTATCCTATTCTGATTGCAAGATAAAGAGGTGGCAGCCAATTGTGCACAACTTTGGGGATTATACCCGCATGGAAGAATGTCGTGTATGTGAGCATCATTGTTTGGTGTGTTAAAGTGAAAAAAGGAAGGTTGAGAACCATTACTCTAGAGTTTTGTTGTTCAAGTAGTGATCAATTAGGAAGAAAAATTTTCATGAACTCTGTCTTAGCTCAGGCTGCTATAACAAAATACCACGGACTGGGTGGCTTAAACAATGGGAATTTATTTCTCATAGTTCTGGAGACTGGAAAATCCAAAATCAAGGTGCTGACAGATTCAGTTCCTGGTGAGGCCTCTTTACCTGGATTGCAAATGGACCCTTTCTTATTGTGTCCTCACATGGCAGAGAGAGAGAGAGAGAGAGAGAGAGAGAGAAGGAGGGAGGGGGAAGGGGGTGGGAGGAGGGAGGCACACTCTGGTCTTTCTCTTCTCATAAGAGTACTAATCCCATCATGGGGTCCCACCTTCAAGACCTCATCTGGACCTAATTATCTTCCAAAGACCTTGCCTTCACATTCCATTACATTGGGGGTTAGGGCTTCAACATATGAATTTTAGGGGGATACATTCAGTCCATAACAGATTCCCAGTGTTGACTTACTCTAATTTTACTGAAATAGGGCTATAGTTATTTATGTAAGACTATGAATAAACTTCTTATGTTCAGAAATCTTATCTATATAATCCAACTAAGTTATTTGTATCACACAAACATGGCTGGATGTATTGCATTAGAAATTTATGTTTCTGATGATCTTACTTAAAATACAGGCTTCGTAGCATACAGTAAATTCACTTTGATGGCCCTCAGGGAACCACAAAAAGTTAAGTCCTCCTCCTCCACAGCAGTTGAAGCCAAAGCAGAAGAAAGAAGATCTGGTGATCACTAAACCAATAAAAGATGTATCCATAGCAGAGAAAATAAACAGAATTTCAAATATGGGCCCCAAAAGAAAGTCACCAAAATAGTCACCACAACTTGTAGGGCTGATGTGTGATACAGCTTCCCACTAAGCAGCTCTTTGGTGCTACAAAATAAGGGGCAGGAGGATTTATGTATTTTATGGATAATGATTCTCTGGGATATTCCTCTATTGCATTGAAACCACCTACTACTAAATCTATTAATCAAAACAAATACTTTATATGTAACAATCAGTAAGTTTCACAGTAGTAATATTAATTTAATTTGACAGATGATTTGGCTTTGTTAAAATCCAGTGATGGATGTATGGTTAAAAAAAATGAAGACTTGGGTCCAACTCCATGCTTTGATTTCAATAACACAAATGTAGAAAATGTCTGTCTGTATAAGAATGCTTTAAAATGTTACAAATAAGCACAATAATTCTTTTTTTTTCTAGTTCAAAATAATCTGAATACATTTAACTGAAATGAATCACTCTCAAATGTCAACTGTAATGAGGAACACTTGATAATTTTGTGAATGTCCCTCATTTATTTGAATATAAAGATAACACACAGCTTTTTTTAGAATCTTATAGTAGCAGATATATAAGATAATAAATTTTGTAATAAGCAGTAGCTCATTCTTGTGCTAATAAAATATTACAAGCACAAAAAGATAGGATATACACAAGAAATCTTCCTGTGTATCAGCTAGGCTACTTTTGGCTGCACTAACAGAGTACATGATTGAAAGTTGCTTAAATAGTAAGAACATTTTTTATCTCACATAAGCATGGCATTAGATATTACTGTGTAACAAATTATCACTAACTTAGTGGCTTAAGACAATACATATTTATTATCTCACAGTTTCTGTGGGTCAGGAGTTCAGACACAGTTTAGCTGATTTCTTTGCTTCAGAAGTTATATGAGGCTGCAGTTAAGGTGGCAGCCTGAGCTGGGGTCTTATCTGAAGGCTCAACTGGTGAAGGAAGGCCCTATTTACCAGCTTACCCTAGTTGTTTGCAGAATCTCCTTAAAGGCCATTTGACTAAGGGCCTCACCTTCTCATTGGCAGTTGGCTGGAGGCCACCCTCCTCCACTCCTTGCCTCATGGGTCTCTCCAATATGGCAGCTTACTTTATGAATGCATGCAAGCCAAGAAGGCAACAGCAGAATCAACTGTCAAGACAAAAGTTACAATTCTGGCAATGACGTCCCATCACCTTTGCCATATTCTATTTGTTAGAAGGTGCTATGGAGTCTATTTGTTACAGCACCTTTGCCATATTTGGGTAGACCAGCTCACGCTCAAAGGGAAGAGATTGGGTAGGGGCATAAATACCAGGAAGGGAAAGAGGAGAATCCTTAGGACCACCTTAGAGTCAGCATGCCACAGACATAAACCTGGAGCATGGTTCCAGGATTACCTCAGGGACTCAGTGACTACATTTACCCAGATACAGTTCATCTCTCTTCCCTGGCTCAGAGATGTCTCTCTCCATGTAGATAGGCTACAGCCTTACCAGGTGCTGTGTGAAAGAGCATACTCAGGTGAAGAAAAGAGGGAATTTCAATTTTTGTTATTTTGGAAAAAAACCTTTCCCAAAAGTCTCCTGGGAGAAGTCCCGTCAAGTCTCATTTATCAGGATTGGGTTGTGTGTCCATATCCACATTGCAAAGGAGTCTAGGGAAGTAAGGGCAAGGATATGGCATTTTTGCCCTCAGTAGGAGGTAAGTCTCTGCCAGAGAGAAAAGGAAAGGGGTGGGTGGGGGCAGAGGCTGGGAATGTTCCACCAACTACTAAAAGACAGACTTCTTTAAGGGCTACCTTGTGTTAACATGATAACTGAATTTTCTGCCTCTATTCTCCTTACTTGAGATGTTCATTCATATAGTGCGCTATGATGTCATTGGGTCTTTACTTGGCTCAAACATTATTGTACAGACAAATGCAAATATAGGTCCTGAGACTGCCTGAGGTTCTCTATTACTGATATGATTATTTTTGTTCCAATATTTCCTAAATATGTTAAGCTAGTTATAAAATTCTTATTCTTAAATCTCTTATCTGTAAATGTTTTTCTTTTTGTACTTCTTCAAACAAAAGTGACTGGCTCCTTAACTTCCAACCATCTAGAGTCATTTATTTAGATATGCAAAGGTAATCATGAAAATAAAAATAGATGGTAGAATGAGCCTTTGATCTACCCTGGCTTTTCTGCAAAACTCCCCAGATAAGTACACAAAGGGTGAGTTGTTTACAAAAATCTCTCTGTAATCAGAGCAGGACCTGTGACCTTCAGCACCTTAGACTATGAGGGTTCCAGACTTCCTTTCAGGTTCCTCAAAGCCTGGTGACCACCTCTCAGAGGTGAACTTACTTCCAGTCAACCTAGCTGACCACTAGGAGTATGTGTGAAATGACTCTGAAAGCATCTGCTCTTGCAGAACTTCTTTTCAGGAACCAAATCTCTACTCTTTTATCCTATAATTTGCTGTTGTTGATTTGGATTCAAGTGAATAAACTTACATTTATCCTTTTCAAATACAGTCTTATTTATTAGGTCCATTTGCCATGACCTTCTGAATCTTGCTTCTGTAATCTCTCTTAATTAATGTAAGGCTCCATGTTGTGTTGACCACAAGTTTTTATAGCATGTCCAGGCATGTTTACCAACTGAGCCAATGCTCAGTTACGTCCCAAAGGATCTGACCATTTTGTGTGGATTTTAAAAGAAAACATATTAGAAGGAATACACTGATTTTTATTTGTTCATTTAATGCAGTGGTTCTCAACCTGGGTTGGAGGGGAGGATTTGTCCTTCAGAGGACATCTGGCTATGCTGGAGATGTGTTTGTTGTCACAGTGGAGGAGGGAGGCATGTTACTTGTGTCTAGTGGGTAGATACCAGGGACACTGATAAATATTATCTAATGCACAGGATGCCACCATCCCTGTAACAGAAATGGTCCCAAACATCCATACTGCTGTGTTGAGGAGCCCAGTTTTCATTTCAGAAATGGAGCTGGGCATGGTGGCATGTGACTGTAGTGCCAGCTACTTGGGAGGCTGAGGTGGGAAGATCACTTGAGCCCAGGAATTTGAGGCTGCAGTGAGCTATGATCCTGCTATTATACTCCAGCCTGGGTGACAGAGCAAGACCCATCTCAAAAAAAAAAAAAAAAAGGCATTCTGTTTTGTATGGGAAATCTTACATAACCTTTTTCTGTCAGTTTGATAGGAATTTTTACGAAATATTTTGATGCTTGAATGTAGAGCCCAGGTCTTACTATATTTACGTGCGTCTTTGTTCTATTTCTCTGTTGAGCAACTCTTTTTGCTCTTACATCTGGACTCCACAGCTGAATCCTCTGCTTACTTGTCTGGGGCCCAGATACCCTCAGGAATCCGACCCTATTGTCCATACCCCAAACCACTGGCAGTTGGTAACACAAACACAGTCACACCAATGAATAGTAAGGTAAGGAAGTGTCAATGGACACCTACCACCACTCCTGCTGGCTTCTCAATGCTATTTTGGCCACCATGAATTGTGCCATCTCATTGTCCTATTGCTCTGCGTCACTCTCCACGCATTTAAAGTGCTGGTCAGGAGCATTCAGCTGGCTAAGCCTAGTTCCCATGATGCAGTCTGAGCTTTTGGGATGGGCTCTGGACCAGAGAATTCATGTGCATCACTCTTTGAATCTATTCAATAATTACTGCCCCTCATTGCCATGTTTGTTGATTCTCCAGAAATAACCACTTGTAACAGTTTGTTGAGTGTTTTTGCAAACATTTTCAGTGCATATACAGACACATACATAGTATGATATACTTTTTATATTATAATGTGCATATAAGTTAGGATTGCTTAAGCTGCTATAAAAGGCCTCCGTGATTCAGTGGCTTAAAAAAAATGAGATTTGTTTTTTCTCTGCATCGTGGCCCAACATGTATAGTCCAGGTTGATAGGAAGCTGTGCTCCAGGCAGTCAGCTGGGGACCCAAGATGACACTGGCTTTGCCATCTTCAACATAGTCCCTCAGGTCACTCTGGTGGTCACCATTTTGTCTAGTGGTAAGGAGTGAAACTGAGTATGAAGAAGACGTGCACCTTGACTTAAGAGACAAGGCTGGGAAAAAGCTTACTTACATGGCTATCCCTAACTGTTAATGGGGCCGAGAATTGAAGTGTAGCTGGGAGGCCATATGCCAAGCTACAATTCTATTGTATACAAGAAATGAAGAACAAATTTTGGTGGATAGCGACCTAATCATCTAGTTCATTCTTTCTCTCTCCTCTTTCTCTCTTAACATAAATAGGACTATAGTATACAAGCACATTTCATTACCTTCAACATTGTCCATGTTAGTATATATAAATATTCCTTTTTCCACAACTATATTAACTATATTATTCGTGACTCTTATGAGAATCGTGTATAACTTTCCCCTATCAGGTTTATCAAGTTGGTCTTTTGAGTACCTCTGTTTGTTTAGCTGTTCATTAAATGCTCAGCACGTATAGGACTTGGTCAGTAGATAGCAGTGCTCTTTGAATGGCTCACTAGGGTTTTCTTTTTAAGCCATTCTTTTCTAGTATAGAAATTTGCATTCTGATATAGAATGTTTGGTTTCTAATTATTTAAAACCATATATTGCCTAGGTTTTCTTCTAGGGTTTTTATGGTTTTAGGTCTAACGTTTAAGTCTTTACCATTCAGGACATAGGCATGGGCAAGGACTTCATGTCTAAAACACCAAAAGCAATGGCAACAAAAGCCAAAATTGACAAATGGGATCTAATTAAACTAAAGAGCTTCTGCACAGCAAAAGAAACTACCATCAGAGTGAACAGGCAACCTACAAAATGGGAGAAAATTTTCGCAACCTACTCATCTGACAAAGGGCTAATATCCAGAATCTACAATGAACTCAAACAAATTTACAAGAAAAAAACAACCCCATCGAAAACTGGGTGAAGGACATGAACAGACACTTCTCAAAAGAAGACATTAATGCAGCCAAAAAACACATGAAAAAATGCTTACCATCACTGGCCATCAGAGAAATGCAAATCAAAACCACAATGAGATACCATCTTACACCTGTTAGAATGGCAATCATTAAAAAATCAGGAAACAACAGGTGCTGGAGAGGATGTGGAGAAATAGGAACACTTTTACACTGTTGGTGGGACTGTAAACTAGTTCAACCCTTGTGGAAGTCAGTGTGGCGATTCCTCAGGGATCTAGAACTAGAAATACCATTTGAACCAGCCATCCCATTACTGGGTATACACCCAAAGGACTATAAATCATGCTGCTATAAAGACACATGCACACATATGTTTATTGCAGCTCTATTCACAATAGCAAAGACTTGGAACCAACCCAAATGTCCAACAATGATAGACTGGATTAAGAAAATGTGGCACATCTACACCATGGAATACTATGCAGCCACAAAAAATGTTGAGTTCATGTCCTTTGTAGGGACATGGATGAAATTGGAAATCATCATTCTCAGTAAACTATCGCAAGAAGAAAAAACCAGACACCGCATATTCTCACTCCTAGGTGGGAATTGAACAATGAGAACACATGGAAACAGGAAGGGGAACATCACACTCTGGGGACTGTTGTGGGGTGGGGGGAGTGGGGAGGGATAGCATTAGGAGATATACCTAATGCTAAATGACGGGTTAATGGGTGCAGCACGCCAGCATGGCACATGTATGCATATGTAACCTGCACATTGTGTGCATGTACCCTAAAACTTAAAGTATAATAATAATAAAATAAAATAAACCATATATTAAAGAATTTTTGATTTGTTCTGTTTATTATTGCACTGTTAAATAACAAGGGTCATTAAAATGATACACTGCAAATTGCATTCTGTTTTCCAAGTCTAGAGACAAATTTGAATTCCCCCAAAGCCTGTTCTGGCTTGCTTTTACACTGTTGACATTCCTCAGAAGAGGCAAGAATAGGCAAATAATTATGTGATGCCCATTTCAATTCCAACCTCTTGACTGCTTCATTCTCACCCTTCACCATTCACATTTGGCATTACAATTCCAACATTAAATATTCTTTTTGAAAAATGGTTAAGTTTTTATCTGATGTTTCAATGTTGATATACTATGATTGGGTCTTATTGTCCAAAGTGAAGTCAAATTCGTGTTTAAGTAAAATAATTCTAGCATGGTTTCCTCCTACCTCCCACCCATTATTTGAAAAGTGACAAGAAAATGTATAAAGCTGGTAATAATTGAGGCATTTCTAGGCTTGGGATTTCCAAAAACTGTGAATAGCCATAAACTGGCAAATAGAAGGAGACCTGGAAACGAATTGCAGTTTGAAATCACAGCACCATCTGGGACACCATTTTCCTAATAGTATTAGTTTTCTATTGCTGCATAACAAATTACCACAAACTTAGAGGCTTACCATACACCTTTATTATCTCACAGTTTCCATAGGTCAGGAGTCCAAGCACAGCTTAACTGGGTCGTCTGCTCAGGGGTCCCACAAGGCTGCAATCAATGTGTCAGCTGAGCTGCATTTCTCTCTGGGGCTTCAGTTCAACTTCCAACTCATGTGATTGTTAGCAGAATTCATTTCTTTGTGGTTGTAAGATCAAGGTCCCTATTTTCTTGCTGACTGTTGGCTGGGGGCTACGCTCAGCTTTTGGAGTCCACCCTCATTCCTTGCCTCCTGTCCCTTTTCCAGACCTCTCAACATGGCAACTCACTTCCTCAAAGTCAGCAAGGGAGAGTCTCTTAGCCCAGCTTGCTAAGATGGAGTCTTATATAATGGAATATAATTATGGGAATGGAATCGTATCACTTTTGCTGTATTCGGTTGGTACAAAGTAAGTCACAGGTTCTGCCCACACTCAAGGGGAAGGGATTGTATAAGGGTGTGATTCACTGGAGGGGGGTCATCTTAGGATATGTCTGCCACCCGTATTTCTGGTTTAACTCACTACCTTGTTTCCATTTCACCTTCAGTGCCCTTCTGATGCCTGTCTGGTGCCTGGTTTCGAATTCCTACCTGTCTGGTCCTCACATTCTCATGGTTCTCACATGCTTCCTGATTACCTTTTACCTTACATTTCCAACACCTTCACAGAATGCATCCTGCTACCTGTCTCTATGGCCTTCTTTTCTCTATGGTCAAGTCACCAATCCCTTGGCTCTGCTAGCCCTCTCCTTTTAGTGTTCAAGCACAGCATGGGTAAATGAAACTGATGCTGTTATGTTGAATACCTCCTCCTCCTGGCTTTTCTACTCATTTCAGTGGTGTGATCATTCTTCAAGTCACCCTAAGTCAAAACCATACAGTTATTCATATCTTGGACTTCCCTAAACCAGGGGTTGGCAAATTATGACCTGTGAGCCAAATTTGATCCACATGCCTGTTATTGTAAATAAAGTTTTATTGGTGCAAAGCCATACCTATTTGTTTAAGTATGGTTTATGCCTGCTCTTGCACTACAGTGGCAGAGTTGAGTTGTTGCTACAGAAACTGGCCTAAAAGCTGAAAATATTTCATATCTGGCTTTTTGCAGAAAGCATTTGCCAACCTGTGCTCTAAGCTGAAGAAGACAGATTGTTTCTTTTGCATTTAAAATTCCAATAGCGTTCTTTCCTTACCTTCTTTTCCTTCTGCTATTGTTCACCTTGGTTAGTGCTTTTGTTGTCATACACCTGAATTGACTCAGCCATCTCCTAATTGGGCCTCAGCAGCTATTCAGAGCTTCTCTTCTCTGAAGCCCTTGGTTCATTGCTGTTGTTTGAGCATCTGAAGATCTTCCTTGTCTAGTTCTAAATTCTTTCTCTTTATTTTTCTATGCTTTTTACAGAAACTCATCTTCCCTGGGTGGGCTGAGAGCAAACACTGGCTCAAATACTTTACCCAGTTTTGCATGTATGATTCATTAGGAACTTCTCATAAACTATCTGGATTTAACAGTTATGTCTTACTCTACATAAGACCTAGATCCTCTATAGATTATTATAAAATCATTGCACACAAGAATTATGTCTTACACGTTACATCTGATAAAATGCTTAACGTTGAGTTGAGCTGGACAGAGAGGTATAGAAGGTGTAGACCAGCGGTCCCCAACCTTTTTGGCACCAGGAACCTGTTTTGTGGAAGACAATTTTCCTACAGACCAGGGTTGTGGGGGGGATGGTTTCAGGATGGAAGTGTTGTTCCACCTCAGATCATCAGGCACTAGTTAGATTCTTATAAGGAGTATGCAACCTAGATCACTTGCATACACAGTTAACAATAGGGTTCACACTCCTTTGAGAATATCATGCAGCCGCTGATCTGACAGGAGGTGGAGCTCAGGTGGTAATGCTCGCTGGTCTGCTGCTTACCTCCTGCTGTGTGGCCCGGTTCCTAACCATACCAGTACCAGGCCATGGACTGGTACTGGTCTGCAGCCCAGGAGTTGGGTACCCTTGGTATAGACTGTTGATAGGTCTTTGTGACAAGCTGCTTTACTATTTAAAAATGAAATAGAGCTTTGTTTCATTTTATATCGTTTTTAATGGTGGTGATTAAAGATACTTTAAATAAATTTAAACTTACAAAAAGGTCGAAGTAATGGTATAAGGAACTTTTTCTCTAAATCATTTGAGAGTAAGTTTCCAACCTGATGCCCTATCCCTCCTAATAATTTATTGTGTAATTCCTACAAAAAATAACCAAAATACTACCATCAAAATCAGTAAATGAGCATGGTTCCTGATAGCCATTTAGTCCCTATGCTCTAACAAGTTTAACTAATTGTCTAAGTAATCTCCTTTGTATCAAAAAGATCTAGTCCAGGATCATAAGTTGTACTTGGTTGTCATATCTCTTTACTCTCTTTATATTTGGAACAGTTCTTCAGTATTTTTTGACTTGCATGACTTTGGCATTTTTTGAAGAGTATTGGAGAGCTGCTTTGTAGAATGTAAAATTGTATTTGTCTGATGATTCCTTATAATTAACTTCAAGTTATATGTTTTTGATATGAATATCACATTTGAAGAGGTATAAATATCCCATTCGTCATCAAACTTTCACTCACTAGTTTTAGTGGTGTTTCTTGGCTAAATTAATTATTACTGTGTTAGTTGACATTTGATAATTTTCTATTTCCATCACTCCTATAATTATTATTTGGCATTCCATTACAGGGAAAACAATTCATCTCTTCCTATTTGTTCATTTATATCACCATGGACTCATGGATTCCTATTCTATTCAGTGGGTTAGAATCCTTTACTTTCATTTATTTTGATGCTCAAAGGGTCCCACATTTAGCAGTGGGATAAGGTTGCCTGATAAGATATAGAACACCCAGCTAAATTTGCATCTCAGATAAACAATTAATAATTGTTTTAGTAAAATATGTCTAAAATCTTGCATATACATGCTTAATATTGCATGGACATACTTAAATTATTAGTTGTTTAACTGAAATTCAAGTTTAACTGGGCATCTTCTATTTTTATTTGCTGAATCTGAAGCCCTGAAGTGGGAGCCCCTTCAAGATGCTTACTGTGTTCTTTCAATATGTCCCCATCATTCTTTGAATACTTCCTTGATTTCTGGCCCAACAAAATGCTGTAGCCTCACCTCGTACCTTTCTTGCTCCAGCTCTCAAGCCACTTCCCCAAAGAAACCTGGCTCTGTTTAGTGTAAAATGGTATTTAGAAACCAAGATCTGTACACAGAGTATACTCATTACTGTTGAATGTCACAACTCTTAGACCTTCTCAGTGGAGAGATCCAGGGCAATCTATGTATTTATCTATTTACACATATGCATATATGTACATACATCTACATATGTATTTACTTCTGTATCTATCTCTATGTATTGAAAAATCATGACTTCACACCAATGCTTCTAATTCCAATCTAGTACCACATGAACATTTCTCATTTTCCTTTTCTACTTCTCTAACAGTGAGAAATGTGGTCCTCCCACCCTCCATATAACCATAATTGATCAATTACCCCCATATGTACCCAATCTCCCATTGCCACCACCAGCCTCCACATCCCTACACGGATGCTTTGCTCACCTTTCTTGGGCTCTGACACCCCACCCTGTGCTTCCTCTCACTGCCTCAGGCTCCAAAATCCCATACCAAGCCACTGCCAGTACCACTTCTGCCAACGTGGCACATGGGCACCTTATTCACCTGATTCAGGCTTCAACATCCCATGCCAGGCCAGCATCATCATTCCCCTGTGTGGATGCCCTCTTCATGCCACTTGGGCTTGATCCCCAGCAACAGACCACCCTGAGTGAATGCCCTCCTCATGATACTTGATACACTGTGCTGAGTCACCACTCCTGCCCCACCTGATGCAGATACCTGTCCTGCAAGGCCTGATGTCATGGGTCTTGGATTGAATTGTTCAGGAAAGGAAGGAGGGAAAGGAGGAAGGCATTTCTCACCATGTAACATTATAACTGATTTATTATTTTTTATAATTGATTTATGTTTTCATTCTGTTTTCCCCTCAACCTGGCTCATTCACTGGCAGATTACCTTATTACAAGAACAATGCTTGCTTTATCATAAGCACTCAGAGATTATCCATCGAATGAAAAAGTGAGTGACTTAATGAACAAATGAATATGTAGAGAGCTAAAGTTTCTACATATGCAGAAAATAAATTTTAATTCTCCTAAAAAATTATTTTCTCTTGGCTCTTGAACTTACTTAACATCTGATTTAGGATTCACCCATGGTAACCCAATGATTGTTTGGGGTTTTCTACCTCACCTAGCATGACATCTGGGCAAGTTTATTTTCAGGTCACTATAACCCAGAGTTTTCTTGCAAGAGTATGGTCAAAACATCATTTTTCCTTATTAGGAGGTGGCTTGTGTGTGTTGAGCTCACATTTCTTTTCTCACAGGCTTCTCTTGCTCTCATCCCCTGTGCAGACTTAATCATATGCCTACCGGTGATTTCTATATACTGAGATCAAAATCAGCTTCTGTTTCTTATGCTATCAAATAAAATATCTGCTCTGTAAAACTGCTTCTACATATAAAAGAAAGAATCGGGGACCAGCTCTTCAATTGGTATGAATGAGTTGGAGAGAAAAGGCAGTAAGGCACCCACCCATAGGCCCCCAGGGGTCAGGAAGCAATGTTCGATGTTTTCCTTCTCTCACCAGCTAGCTAAATTCTTGTGGAAAAAATCCCTTCCTCACGAACCTGCAAATTGAAGAGATGTAGCAACTGGGCTCACTGATCCTACCCACCCCAATCCTGCCCCAAGTCATCACAGGGAAAATGAGCAGTGCATGTGTGAATGGGTATGGCATATAAAATTATATTTTCATTTAGCATTTATTAGAGCTGATTCAAAAAATCACATGAAACTATTATAAATTGCTGAACAGTTTCAAAGTTTATTTTGCTTATGTGTGTGGAAGAGAGACAAAAGTAGATGAGAACTTTAAAAATAATGTTTATTGCATGACTAAAAACTTGGGAGCTGAGAAGGGAGACCAACATTATGTAAGCTCAGAATATTTTTGGAAGTTAAATGGCATTTCCTACAATTTTACTTCCAATGCATTCAGCTGATCACCTCTCTGAAAACACCTTGTGCCTTGCATACCTTTTTTGGAAGCTTACTTCTCCCTCCCTCTTCTCTTCTAATACTCTTTCCGTGATAAATCCTCATTCATCCTGGAAGACTAGGCATTAAAAACATTTTCTGTATGAAACTTGCAGTGGCTTTCAAGTGAGTTCATTAGAACAGTGGTCATGCATTAGAACTACGTATTTACACTTTGTCTCCACTATTGGCTGTGAACTTCCAGACAGGGGAATGTTACATCTCATTTTGTTTTCTTTTACTTAATGTTAAGGATCTCATATATACATAATTGGGTAATTACACTGGCTAGCTCATGACACCTGAGTGATATGTTTTTTTTTTGTTGTTGTTGTTTGTTTGTTTTCCATTCTCAGTGAATGTCTTCAGTGGCATTGAGCACAAGAGTGGCTAAGAATGGGGCTAAGGACTTAGGCACACCTGGTCTGAATCCCTGCTCACCCACTTAACTGTGTGACTTGGGGCAATTTATGTAACTTTTTGAGCTTCTGTTTTCTCAAATGTAAAGTTAGAAAAATAAAGCCCCTATTTAATAGTTTTTCTTTTTTATTTCTGAGTGTTAAATGTAATATTGCAAACTAAATGCTAAACATGATTTATATGACAAGAAGCAGCCAGTAAATTTTAGCTTTTTAATTTTTTAATGGAGTGGGGCTCAACAGATACTTAATGAATGATACAGCCATTAAGCTTTTTAGAATCCCAATTATGTATCCAATTTGTTTTATTTATTTTCTTTTTCTCTTTTCTTTTCTTCCTCTTCTTTCTTTTCCTTTTCTTCTTCTCCTTTCTCCTCTTTTTCCTCTTTTTCCTTCTCTTCTTCCTCCTCCTCCTCTGCCTCCTTCTTCCTTTTTTCTCTTCCTCCTTCTCCTCTGCTCTCATTTTTCTTCCTCTTCATCTTCCTCCTTGTCCTCCTCTTCCTCTTTCTTCTTTTTCTTCCTCTTCATTATCATCTTCCTTCTCTTTTTCTTCTTCCTCCTCCTTCGATTCTCCTTCCTCTTCTTCCTCCTCCTCCTCCTACTTAATCTTCTCTAAAATTCTCCTCTCTCTCTCCTTTCTTTCCCCTTTCCCCTCCCCTGCCCTCCTCTCTTTTTTGGACATCTCTGAGCACAGCTGCTGCACATACCAGGGCAAAGCTGCATCAGATGCCAAAGTCTTTTCAAGGGAAGCCAGTTTTCAAGCTCGGGCACACTGACTTTTAGGATACAACCCAAATACTATTAAATAACAAAACATTAAGCTTCTTTGCAGATAAGCCTGGAATACCTTATTCTCTAGGTTTTTAAATTTAAGAGAAGTGGAACCAGGCACTTTACAATTTGAAATGTTATTTCAAATTATTCTCATAGCAGCCCTGCATAATAGGAATTATTATTCCCACTTTACAGATAAGAGAGTTGAAGACGGTGTCACTATAAGAATTAACATTAGTATAAGAGCAGTCTCTCAGCTCTGTTTCCCTCCCTGCTGGCTTTAACTTCTTCCACTAAATATGTCTTTCTCCCTATAGTCATAAAAGATAATCACAATCCAACAGAGACATCCATCCCTACAGCTCATGATCCCAAAGGAAGTGAGACCATTTCTATTACAACATCCAATTTATTAACCAGTTTCATGGGAGGGCTATGATTGCCTTTCATCTCAGGATATTTTCATTGGTAAGCAGAAGAGTAATCAGCAGTGGCTTAAGTGAAAAGAAAAGAAAAAAAAAAAACATTTGATTATCTCACAGAGCTAGAAGTTTGGAGGTAAGGGGCTCTTGGGTTGAGTCAGTGACTCAGTGATAGCAGGAGCTGAGCAGTGTCTTGTAACCCTCTTGAGTTCATGCTCATGATTGCAGCTCCAAGCATCACTTCTTCACCTCAGCATCATAAGGAGGAAGAAAGGATAGAAAAGAGGTCATTCCTCTGACAACACTCTTATTTTGGGGGATAGAAGATCTCTACTCTAAAACCCCCAGTGGACTTCTCTTTATATCCCATTGGCCAGAAGTGGGGCACGTGTCCACTCCAAGACCAATTATTGGCAAGAAGCGACGGAGTTAACATGAGTGGTTTACAACAATCATGGCTCGGCATCTGAGGCTAAGTGAAGGGACAGCTTTTCCTGAAACCAAAGGTTCCTGCCTCTTGAACACATTGCAAGTTCTGTGTGCATGGCAGGAGAGGGTGTGTGTACAGATGGTTGTTGGTAAGGCAGTGGTCAATATCTGCTGCAGCCCATTTTGGGTCATATGTCTATCCCTCATATCTGCTGAGGGCAGCACGAAGAGTTCTGCCTTCGACTGTGTTCCTCTGGTGCAGTCTCTGAGAGTAGGATTAACAGGAAAAGGATTGGTCAGGAAATATTCTTGGGAAAAAATGGTAGAGGAAGTGGGATGAAGAAGAGAGGGAGGCTCCACAGAGTTCAAGGTCTCATAAAATTCACCCCCCAGAGGATAACTTAAGTGCAACTCCACAGAGAAGTACTGGGGACAGTGTAGACCCCACTCAGTGCTGTGTTCCCCATCGGGATTACCCCACCAACACTGTGGGGAGGGGATATAAATTTCTGGGCACTCCTGGTTCTTCACATGTGCAGGCAAAAGAGATTCTGGAAGTCTGTGGGTAGTTCTCTAACCAGGAGACACAAGGCTGGCCGTTTGGAGTAAGAGCCTGTTAGAGCCACTAAGCATAACACTGGGGACTTGGAGGGGATATGAGCTGAGCCCCAAGGACATCTGCCACAGGGTCCATGACAGTCCAGACCAGCATCAAGTCTGCACCCCAGAGCCACGGTGTGGGTGGGCATTGCTTGATGGTTGCCAAGTGAACCAGGACAGTATGAGCACAAGGAAGGTGGCCCCCTATGGAAAGAAAAATGCTGAGAGGTCAACATCTCAGGACACCAACTCATCAGCCCTCTGCACATTCCCCAAACTCATTAGGGTGCCTCCAGGAGAGGTCTTACGTGAGAACGGGAATTTTGGCTGCCCAGGTACTGTGTGGAATCTGCTGGATTCTCTTTATCTGCAGCTGCTGGGGGTACGCCAGCTGTCAGTGATGACTTCTAGTGCCATTCCTCTTTTCCCCATTTAGGCTTTTCTTACTTTTTAGCTGAGAGTAGAGTTTCTCCTCCCCAAGTACTATTGATATTTGAGGCTGAATTATTCCTCACTGTGGGGGACTATCCTGCGCACTGTAGAATATTTAGTAGCATCTCTGGCCCCTCTCCACTTGAAGCCAATTCCACCAGCATTCCCCCACCAAAGTTGTGACAGATATCCCCTAGACCTTGTTAAAACCACTCCTGGTGGAGAACCACCGGCTTAGAACACTGGGCTCCTGCAACTGTAGCTTCCAGGTTTCACCTGCTAAATTGGGGGAAATGCCCTCTAAGCTGTGGAACTCTATGAACTTCATGGGAGTTTGCCAGATTTAGTGTGACTCTTATTCTTAGTGAGTTAATTTGTCATTTGTGTCTTGTTTCCTCTGTGCTAGGGGAATAAAGAATACTGGACCTGTATTCAGAATTTCCTCTCCCTTCTCACATTTACCTGCCATTAGTGAGCTGAGGCTTTCTTTCCTTAGAATTAGGGTTGCCAGATTAAGCAAATAAAAATACAGGACATCCAGTTAAATTGGAATCTCAGAAAACAAACAATGTTTTAGTAAAATATATCCTTTGCAATATTTGGAATATAGTTATACTACAAAAGTATGTGTTCTTTATCCAAAACCAGGTTTAACTGGGTGTCTTGTAGTTTATTTGGCCACTGTACTTGGCACACATTCTTTCTCTAAGGACTCCACTAGGAAATGCCTGCATTACTGTATTCTGGTGCACTCATCGTATCCTTCAATCATGGAGTCCCCACTCTGCCTGTTGGTTAGCTTGTACTCCACTCACCGTGGCACCACAACTTGGGCTGTTTCTATCACAGCACTTTCAGCATTGCTGCTACTTTCCATAGTGCCCTGTCCCTTCTTTTAGCTTTTGTGTCTTTCTGCAAATTGATTATATGGAGTTGGATTAAGGCCTGCAGTCATTATATGTGGGTGTGCGTGCATGTGAAAAAAAATTACTCTTAGCTTCCCTAAGAGAAGCTCATGGGAATCGAATCATTGAGTAATACAGCCACGGAGGATCCTGGGGAAGGAATTCTCCAGCATTCCACAGTAGCCCCTATTCTGAAAGCCTCTAGTTAGTATCACCATGAAAATATTAGAGGGAGAGGAAAAAAAATCCTCTGTAAATAGTAGCACTCCAGGGGAGATCCTAGTAATTTGCATTTTTAAGACCAGATGCAGTTAACCTTTCATATATTGTACATATTTTAGGATGATTTTTTTCTAAAAGATTTATTAATACTATCATTGCCTAAAAGATCAGCTGATTTGTGAGTTATTTGAATAAAACAAACTAAAAAATAAGGGAAATAAATGTTGCTTGTCATCTTCCTTACATTCATTGTGGCAGAAAGGGCAGCAATGAGCTCTTGCTAGATAAGAGAACTACAGCAGAGGTACAGGATGCAGCATCATGGGAACCAGAATTCATCTGAGAGACTCAATAACTCTGATGATTGTTTATTTAGTAACCCAGGGGAAATTTGGCTTGAGTTACAGTGTGTGTATTGCTGAGTTCTTTCTGTGTGTCTTGGTTATTTCAACTAAAAAAGACTGGGGGGAGGAAAAGCAGCTAACATGCTAAAACTGTAATGATTACTTAACATTACATTTTGGAAAAATGGCTTTACTGAAATGTAATTCACTTATACAATTCACGCATTTGAACTGCATAATTAAATGGCTTTTAGTATATTTACAGAGGTGTACAACCATAACCACAATCAATTAGAACATTTTTATCACACCACAAAGAAACTCCATATCCATTAGCCAGCCATCACTCCCCATTTCTCCCACTCCATACCTACTCATCCTCAGCCCCTGGCAACCACTAATCTACTTGCTGTCTCTGTGGACTTGCCTATTCTGCATATTTCATATAAATGGAATTATACAGTATGTGATTTTTTTTGGTTTCTGGCTTTTTTCATTTAGCATAATGTTTTTAAGGTTCATCCATGTCGTATCATATATCTATACTTTATTCTTTTTGTTGCCGAATAACATACCATTGTGTATATCACATTTTACATTCATCAGTTGAAAGTCATTTGTGTTTTCAGTTTTGGGCTATTATGAATACTGCTGCTATGAAGATTCACACACAAGTTTTTGTGTGGATAGGCAAAACGGGCAGGGAAACAAACTAGAGAAAGAATAAACTGCAGAAATCCAAGTGAGAACAATTAAGAGCTCAACTGTCGTACATTTCCCTTTCCTTTCCTTCCCTTCATTATTACCCTGACTTAATCCTTGCCCAGCCTTCCTTTCATTTTCACAGTATCCTGCTCCCACCCTAAGCATGTGTATTTCAAGGTAAGGCTTTTTGTGGAGCCAAATTGAAGGGGGATCACCTGGCCAGATTTGCAAATGTAAAGGCAGACTGGTACATAGATTCTCCCTCCACGGTATACCCCCGACCCCCAGTGAATTTAAGAACCAAATTTAATATATAGATTAGCTCTTGATTAAGAGCAGTGGGGCCAAGGTTCACTTTTAGTCTCAAGGTCCAGGAGAGATGAGCTTCTGTAGCATCAGCTGGGACTGGCTACATAATTGGCAGAACCCAGTACAAAATGAAAACACGAGGCTCCTTTTGAAAAAATTATTAGAATTTCAAGATGGCGAGAGATGAGCCTTAAACCAAGTGCAGAGCCCTTCTGAGCATGGGGCTGTGTGCACAGGTCATGAACCCATGAAGCCAGCCCTGAAAAGAGTTCTAAGTTTGAAAATATCTAGATTCCATCTGCCATAGAGTACCAGCCTGTAATCAGAATGTCACATTTGCAGATACTTCCTAAGCAGCTGAATGTATACAATGACCTGTTGATCAGAGGGATGCTACCCTCCAGAAATGAATGTGTTACTAGGTGTCTCCAACATTAAATCTCTTTGGAGCTGTGTTCTGATGAGCTGAACCGGGATGTTGCCCTTGCTGGTTGTACAGTCATACCACTTCACATTTCATGATAGCAACAATAAAACACCATGAAAGATGTGTTGCTTCTTGTGCGGCAGGCACTGTTTGTCTCATGGCCTGTGAGAAACCTTCCAAGACACAGCCCTTCAAACTCAGGACCCTGTAAGTCAGATTAACTGTGACCACAGACTACATGAGTTGTTATGAGTAACTCTGGGAGAAAGCCGCCTTTCGTTAAAGTGGAGACTGAGTGGATTCAAATGCATTTTAAAACATCTGTCATGGCCAGATTGCCATTTCAATAGCCCCATTGCCTGCCTGGAGCTTTTGCATGCATGAGTATTTCTGCTAGGAAACAGAAAATGTTTGGATTCCCAATTTAGAATCCCTTCTATGAGTTCAAAGAGTTTGGGCTTACACTGCTCAGCAGTCTCCTGGTTTTGTTTCTTTGTGCCCTCATGAAACTAGAGCTCTGTGTCACTTTGCTCTAGGAAGAATTTTGTTGTTGGTGAAGAATATTCTTGATAGTTAGCATCTTTGAAATCTCTATGAAAATGAGAAATTAAGCACAAATGAACACAAGCTCTGCTGAACTCTCAACCCCCCAATCTTTCTGGCTTCAAATTTTATTTTTATGGGTTTTTTTTCATGCTTTGCAAGGCACAATTTAGTAAAACACAGCAATATTAAAGTGTACGTCTTGAAGAAATTTGAGAAATGCACATGGCCATTACCCAGATTAAGATATAAAACATCTCCATCACCCCAGGAAGTTTCCTTATGCCTCTTCCAGTTAGTTCCCCTGCTCAGAGGCAACTGCCATCCTAATTTCTATCCACATAGATTAGTGCTGCCTGTTTTTGAAATCCATATAAATGGAATAATACTGTATGAGTTAATGTGTCTTTCACTGTACGCAATGCTTTTGAGACTATAAGTTGTTGTGGACATCATTAGTTTGTTCCTTTATTGCCAGGTAGTTTTCCATTGTATGAACACACCACAATTTGTTTATCTACTCTCCTGTTGATAGATATTTGGGGAGTTTCCAGCCTTTGGCTATTACAAATAAAGCTTCTGTGAACATTCTTTTACAAGCCTTTTTGTGGACATACATACTCATTTCTCTTGGGTATAAAGCTAGGAGTGGAATTGCTGGTTCATAGGGAAGCTGTTTATTTAACTTTAACTGCCAAAGAAGTTTTCCATCAATGTACAGGAGTTCTAATTATTTATATCTTTGCCAACACTTGGTCTTGCAGTCTTTATAATTTTAGTCATACTGAAGGGTATGCATTTATATCTCTTTTTAAAAAAAATCACTTTTATTGAAGTATGATTAGCATACAATAAAATATGCCATCTTAAGTGTGTAGGTTGACTAAGTTTGGCAGGTATATATATCCATGTAACCACCACATCAAGATATCAAATATTTCCATCACCATAAAAGAAACTCTTCATGCCCCTTCCCAGTCAGTGCCTGGTAGCAGGCAACCACTGATCTATTTTCTGACCCTACAGATTAGTTTTGTTTGTCTAGAATTTCTTAGCATTGGAATCATATTGTATGTGTATTTTTTGGTCTAGCTTCTTTATCTCAACATATTTTTGAGATTCATGCATGTCCTTGTGTATTTCAGTAATTTCTTTTTATTGTTGACTCATATTCCACTGTACAGACATATCACAATATGTTTACTTGTTCATCTGTGGATGAATATTTGAGTTGTTTTCTGTTTTGTGCTATTATGAAAACAGCTGCAATAAGCATTTGTGTACAATTCTTTTGGGGACATATGTTTTCCTTTCTCTTGAGTAAATACCTAGAAGTAAAATGGCCGGGATATATGGTAAGCGTATGTTTAACTTTATAAGAAATTACCATACAGTTCTCTAAAGGGTTGTCACATTTTATGCTTCCATCAGCAAGGCATGAGAGTTCCAATTGTTCCATATTCTTACCAACATTTGTCATTCATACAGTAATCATACAGTATAGTTTTAAATTCTAGCAAGTTTAGTGGTATCTCTTGTTTTAATTCACATTTTCTTGATGAATAGTGCTGATAAATATCATATCTTATGTGCCTATCAGCCATTTATTATCTTATTTTGTTAAGTTTCCAAATCTTTTACCAGCTTGAAAAATTGTTTTTTTTTTTTTATCATATTTGAAGTTCTCATAACTGAAAAATTGTCAATTTTTGAGTTGTAAGATCTCTCTGTATACTCTGGAAACAAGTCACTTGTCTGATATAAGTATTGTGGATATTTTTTTCCTAGTCTATGTCTTGCCTTTTCATTTTTTAATGATATCTTTCAAAGAGCATGAATTTTAAATTTTGATGGAGTCCAATTTTTAATATTTTCATCTGTTCTTGTTGGGTTTTTCTTGTATCTTAAGAAATCTTTGTATACCACAAGATTGCAGAGGTTTTCTTCTATATTATCTTGAAAACATTTTATAGTTTTAATAATTACATTTAGGTCTATGATTCATTTTGAATTCATTTTTATATATGGTGTGAAGTAGAGGGACAGTTTAATTTTTTAAGAAAACATTGTTATACCATCATTTTTTGAAACTCTCTCCTTTCCCCATTAAATTACTTTTGACACCTTTGTTGAAATCAGTTGACTATATTATGAGTCTGTTTGTGGATTCTCTATTCTGTCCCATTGTTCTATATGTCTTTCTTCATGCAATTATCATCCTGTCTTTCACTGTACACAATGTCTTGATTTTTGTAGCTTTATAGTAAATCTTGAAACCAGACACTGTAAGTCCTATAATTTGGTTATTCCTATTCAAAATGTATTGGCTAATCTGGGTTCTTGGTATTTCAATACAATTTTATAATGTCTGCAAGAACTGATGATGGGATTTTGATTGAGATTACACTGAAATTATGGTTTGATTTATTTGTCTTTTTTCTTTCCTCAGTAATATTTTTAAATTTTCAGTTTTTAGGTTGTTGTGTATATCTGGCTAAATTTATTCCTGAGTGGTTTGTGTGCTTTGATTAAATTATACGTTGTATTGTTTTTCTGGTTTCATCTTTCAATCCTTCATTGATTACAAATAGAAATTCAGTTGGTTTTGGATATTAACCTTGCATCCTGAGGCCATGCTCAATCTACTTATAGCTCTAGTGGCTTTTTAAAGTAGATTTCTGGATTTTCTTCCTACATAATTAATACATGATTGTCTTTTCTGGGAAAAAAAAAAGCTTAGTATTTCTCCTTTGTTTTCAATGTGTATGTCCTTTATATCTTTTGATTGCCTTGTAACACTGTCTCAGATATCTTATTCAATCTCTCTGTGGCTTTAATATGCATCTCCTTGCTGAGCACCTTTTCATATTTATTGACAGTTTGAGTATTTTGAGAATTTCTCGATCACGTCTTTTTTCCCATTCCTATTGTTTTGTTTATTTGCATTATTTGTAGGAATTTTAAAAATCTAAATACAAGTCCTTCATTAGACATGTGTTTTTAAAAATTTCTCCTAGTCTGTGGTGCTTTTTTTTTTTTTACTTCAGCAATGATGTCTTTTCATGAGCAAGAGTTGTTTTTGTTTTTAATTTGATGAAGTGTATCAAATTTTATATTCTAGGAAATGTTTTCCTACCTCAAAGTCGAAAAGATATTCTCCTGTGTTTTTGTCTGGAAGCTTTTAAGTTTTTAGATCAATGATTATTTTCTTGAAAGCTCTGTGTGTGTGTGTTTGTGTGTGTGTGTGTGTGTGTGTGTGTGTGTGTGTGTAGTTTCTTTAATATTACACTCAAATGCTTTTTACCATTTTTATGGGTAACTTTGGCAAAGATGAAAATTGTATAATATATAATGCTGGTAATTGGATTGGGAAAGAAACACTCAAGATATGCTGCTGGAGGTGCAAATGCATACAACTTTTTTGGCATGGGTAGGAAAAAATTCAGTAATAAGAATCAAAAGCTGTAGGAACCAAAAGCCTTAAAGATGTTAATTCCTGAAACTCTATAGGTTCATATCAAGACATTTATCCTGTAGAAATAACCCTGGGTGTGTGCTAAAATTTAGCTTCAAGGATGTGTTATCACAGTATTTTTTAAAAATAGGGCACAAGAAGAATGGAAACAGTCTATAATAGTGGATTGATTAAATGATCATATAGCGCTATTATGGAATACTGTTAAACCACTGAAGATAATACTGCAGAATATTGAATGCCTGTCTTTGTCTGTTTTGTGTTGTGATAAAGGAATATGTGATGCTATGTAATTTACAAAGAAAAGAGATTTATTTAGATTATGGTTCTTCAGGCTATAAAAGTACTATGGTACTGGCATCTGCTTGGCTTGTGGTATGGGCTTCTGTGCTGTGTCAAAACATGGCAGAAAAGGTCAAAAGGGAAGTGGGCACATGCAAAGAGGGACCAAACCCAGGAGTATCCTGGATTTATAACAACTCATTTTTGGGAAAAATAATTCATTCCCTTGAGAACTAATTCCATTTCACAAGAGCTAGAACTCACTACTGCAAAAATGGCACCAAGTCCTTCATGAGGGATCTGCCCCTATGACTCAAACATTTCCCACTAAGCCCCACCTCCCAACACCACCACACTGAGGATCAGAGATCAACATGAGATTTAGTGAGGGCAAACAAACTGTATCCAAACCATAGCCATGCCATAGAATGCCACACTTTAAAATGAAAGGCAAATTATTATTGCCATTTGTTCACTGCTTTATAATTTTAATTTGTCCCTTTGATTGCATATTTTTATTCTTCTGTATGACTAAGAAAAAGGGCTTCTTGTCCCCTGCCAAAGAGTTGAAAGCATGCCAGAGAAGTGCCACCATCCAAAACATTTCTCTTGCTGTCTAGCATTCCATCTTCTGAGTTACAATGCCTTGGTCCACTTATAATTTGGTGAGATTTATACATCCATTTAAATTTTCATTAGCTGGATATGGAGGTGGATGTAAACAAGAAGCATTGATTAGATCTAGAAAAGGTGGTATGTGGACCCAAAGAAGCACCAATAGATAACGCTGTAGACAGACTTGGGGATGAAACTGTTGTGTACTCCCTGGAATTTTGCTGACTCAGCTGTGGTGTGGTGTGAGGGTGACACCTTTAGAAGACTGTCCAGGTCTCTTTGGAGTAGTGTGTGCTTGTCAAGTTTACAGCTTGTGGGAAAGGGTAATCAGAACATGCAAAGGCTCAATCAACCTTTACTGAGGCTCCCTCAGGCATGGTACTCAGGCTTCAGGGCCCAGAGGGTACATATTGAATTTCACTTTGCAAAGAACCCAGCATTAGAGCCTGGACCCCAGGAGCTTGGGTCTAGTGGAGCAGTTGAGCAGCCAAAAGGAGTGTTGAGAAGGCAGCTTTAACAGGGCATATGTGTTCAATATCAACTGAATTCAGAAGGTCAAGCTGCTGGAGTTCTTCATCTGATTAACCTTCATCATTCAAATATTCTGTGCTATAGCTTTTCAACAGGAAATTCACATGTACTTAAAATGTACTTTTTTTGGCCCAAACTGTCTAAATGTGCATTGTGTTAGTTTCCTAGGGCTGCCAAAACAAATGACTACAAACTGGGTGTTTTAAAACAAGAGAAATGTATTCTCTCTGTCAGTTCTGGAGGCCAGAAGTCCAAAATCAAAGTGTCAGCAGTGCCATGATCCCTGTGAAGGTGCTAGGGGAGATTCCTTCCTTGCCTCTTCCTAGTTTCCAGTGGCTCCTGGCAATCCTTGATGTTCCTTAACATGCAGTTACATGACTCCAGTCTCTGCCTCCATTGTCACATGGACTTCTTTCCTGTGTGTGCTTGTGTCTGTATGTGTCCCCTCCTTTTTCTGTAAGGACACCCTTACAAATTTAGGGCCCTCCCGAATCCAATGTGACCATCTTAACTAATTACATCTGCGAAGATCCCATTTCTAAATAAGGTCACATACACAGGTAACATGGGGTTAGGACTTGACCATATCTTTTTGGGAGACACAATTCAACCCGTGATTTCAATCACTGTTTAAATATCCCTTTTGGGGTTACTATGTTGTACTGTACATTCCTCTTTCTTGCATTTTTGACCCCTGTATGTACCATGTCTTTTGTTCATAAGATGACTCTGAGAAACCCCCTAGGCTCTTCTCTGGAATTCATGATGAAGATAATTCTTGGGTTTCTATAATCATAGAAACAGAATGTTCAGCTTTAGCTCCCGAGAGACTTCAAGTGCTGGCAATGTTTGGAGGGAAACCGGATGTGAGAAAATGGTAGGGAGGCTAAGGGAAGATGAGGTTTCTGGCCATGGAGCTGACTAGGGCAGCGGTCAGGGGTGACCTATTAGAAGATGAGGGTACAGAGTGGGGCCAAGAATTAGAGATTGAGCCCAAACAGGAATGCAGCACATCTGGCCTAGTTGGAGGCAGGGGTGGATCTCCAGCAGAATATAGACAATGGGACCCATCTTGGCAGACACCTAAAGGAGAAGGGGAACTTGTTGTCCATGTCCAGTCTATTAGCAAGGCCTCTTACCTCCACATCACCATGTGACAGATCTGTTCAGTGACTCCCATTTCCTTCACTAAAACCCTATTTCTGCTCCCACAGTCTTTCTCCTAGACTACCAATTTCCCCTTCTATTCAGGCTACCTCAAATTGTTCTCCAAAGAGCAACTGAATCATCTTTTCAAGCATAAACCCTAAGTTGCTGTATGATCTGGCCCCTGCTCACGCATTCTGTGTCATCACACCTCAGTCACTCTGTTTTCTTTATGTTCCTTTAACACACCAAGCTCCTTACCACCTCAGGAACTTTTCACCCGCTGTTCCCACTGCCTAGAACTCTCTGCCCTCATATGTCAATGCCTGATTCTTGGCCTTCTCCCCTTGAAACAACCTTCTGTGACCCTCCAGTCTAAAGTGGTGCCTCTCCATCTCTGTCCATCATCCAATTTTATTTTCTTCATATTGCTTACCACTATGTGAAATTATTGAATTCATTTATGTCAGTGGTTCTTAACATGGAGGGATTTTGTCTCCCCAGGGCAAATTTGGCGATCTGGAGATTTTTTTGTTCTTACAACTGGGGTGGAGGGTGCTACCGGCATCTAGTGGGTGGAGACCAGGGATGCTGCTAACATCCTACAATGCACAGAACCACCCTCACAACAGGGAATCATTCTTCCCCCAGTGTCAGTAGTGCCAAGGTGGAGAAACCTATTTATTTGTTGCTTTTGTATTCTCAAATCTGTGCTTAACCCTTTTGAATGTATATCCCAAGAAAGCAGGAAAGCAAACTGGTATGTGTCTTGTTCGTTGCTCTGTCTCTCCCCCAGAACAATGCCCTGGTCAGAGTTGGTGATCAAAAAATAATTGATGGATTAATGAATGCGTTAATGACTGAATGAATGGTCTCAAGCCCTGGATCTGTCCTTTCCTAGCTTTTTGAGCCTGGGGACATGTTTTTAAGTGAATTAAGCCATTGCTGACCTGGTTCAGCCTCAGTTTGAGGTAGGCCCTGTATCCCTGGGTCTCAGGATCAGACTATTACATTGTCCTTCCCCCAAGGATGATTCCCTGCATCCCCCAGGGGTACAGAGATTTTTCATTATCTTTTTCAGATTACAGAAAGAATTTTAAAAATGTATTACTTTAGACAAGTCTGATATTTTTATGAAATTAATTATTTCCATCCAGCAATAGGATATGATTCATTTACTTCAGTCTTCTTTAGTATCATTTAGCAAAATTTTATAATTTATTCACATACACAAACACATGCACATATCGTTAATGCACATTTCTGAATAAAGGGATTTTCATTTTTCCTATTGTTGTGGTCCAAAAGTAGACTGTTGAGTTTTAAACATATTTTTTGCTATATTTAAACAATTCTAATTAAATCCTTTAATGGTTATGAAAATAATAGTAATATATTTCCAAGTTTACAATTTCCATTTTTAATTTTCTTTGATCAAGTGATTTTTTAAGAAGAATACTGTTGTTTCTTTTTTATTTTTAACTTTCAAGTGTGAAAGGCTTTTGTTACTGTTGTTGTTTCTGGTTATTTTACAATTGTCTCTTTATAATTACTACATTCTTTTTAAATTGATGATGAGCTGGTCTTTATATTTTAGAATAATTTTAGATTTACAGAAAAGTTGCAAAGATTGTACAGATAATTCCTGTATACCCTGTACCCAGTTTCCATTTCTTCTAATGTTATCATTTTACTTTACTGTTCTCTCATCCTGTTTTTTATCCTTGTGGTGGGCCAAACCTTTCAGAGACTCAGCTACTAAAAGATACATTTTATATTTAATATGAATAGAGAAACCTGTATATGCAAACAAGAAGGAAAGTTGTCTAGGAAGGAGGTAGAAGTAAAGCCACATTGCTGTTTCCAGGTTTGCAAGGCCCAGTTCAAAATGAGAATGCAGAGCCCCTTGTTCAAGAAATATTAAGAATTTCAAGATGGCAGCAGCAGAGCATTTAACTCAGCACAGAGCCCTTTGTACTGTGAAGCCCTGAGCCACTGCCTGGTTTCATGCCTGTGAAGCTACCCCTGCTGTTCCTACAGTTGAAAGTAATCTTTCAACTTCTTCCATGATACAAATACCTCAGTAAGTTAAGGGAAAGTGTCCTGCACGACCAAGCTAAATCTACTCATATTTGAGTTTTTCTAGAACACTCAAAGTCACAAGCTTTGCAGCTTGCCTGCCTTCTAAATCTAAGTTCAAAAGGCTTTGAGTTGAGGACAATAGTATTAGCTACCCTGAAATGGCAGTGAAGCTAATTCTAAAATAACATCCACATTAGCTCACACAGGCTGATATTTTCTTTGCTGAAGATCAGGCAAATGGAGTGTTTGTTTTGAGTGCCTTCCAATAATACTTACAAGTAGCCAAGAATGCTTGGGCTCTTGGAAACTGTACCTATGCCCAGAGGCTCTTGGTGAATATATTTTTTTAACCAGGTTTACTCATTTAACTTGTCCAAATGGGGCACTTTCACAAGGGAACCCATCAGCCAGTCATTTCTGATGAAATACCAAAAGGACCTGTGAGGAAATGAAATACGAGAGGTCTTGGTAAACTGACATTTTGAAAGTATCTGGGAAATACATTGCTGGAAATTGGTTTAGCTTCATCATTTATTTATCAATGTTCAACAACATTGTATCTTGAAATTTGAGGGTACAATGTCCACTTACAGTATTTGGTTAACTGTGCTAGCCAGATAGCAACATACCTACAACTTACAACATACACACCATATGTACTACATAATTCCAGTTAGGCCCATCTTCCCTTCTGCATCCCTTCTGCACTGATGTTCTATTCATCATGGTGAAAAAAAGGTATCCTGGATCTGAGGCTGCTTCCTCCTGTTTATGCAACATGGGCACTGGCTCTACTGTGGAACCGAATCCCATTAGATAGAACAGATGTACCCACCTCTCTCTCCTGCCTCTTTTGACTCACAAGTGTGCCCCCCTAGTTTCTGGGAATTAACTCCCACTGAGAGCAAATGGACAGGTGACCTATGAGAATGACATTGGGATAGGCTTTTCTTCTGCTATTATTCCCTTCCTTGTATGTAGGCATTGTGTGCAATTAGCGTGAAAATCTAATACTTTACATCCTCCCACCCTTGGACCTTGGACCTTAGTTCCTGGGTTGCAAAGAGGTCCCAGGTTGGACCTTAGTTCCTGGGGTGCAAAGAGGTAATTGTCACTTATAGTTTTGGGCTGTATTTTAGTGGATTAGAGTTGTTAGAAGTCTGCAAGAGATTTCAAGTAAAAGACTCCTCAGGAGACTATGTCAGCATTCTATGGGCATATATGCATGCACATATCTATGTAGGTATGCACACATTTGAGTATAGTATGGTACTTGTGTTTTTAAAAAATCAAATTTGTTTAAAACAGTACAGAATACGTCAGTTCAAAGAGCAAAATAGAAAAGTAACTAATTAAGTTTCTAGAATTAGAAATAGAATTGCCTTAAAGATTGCTTTGAATCATTTATTTTTAATAACATCATCACATTTGTTTTCTAAGAAAGGCCTGATTTATGTGCAGATTATCTTCCTAGAATTCTGACATAGTTTCTTAAAAAGCATTATCATATTCTAAAAGACTTAATTTTTGTTGTGTCTTAGCCAGTTCAGGCTGCTCTAGCAAATGCCATAGACTGGGTGGTTTGAACAGTAAACATTTATTTCTCACAGTTCTGGAGGCTGGGAAGTCCAAGATCAGGGTGCTGGCAGATTCTGTGTCTACTAAGGACCTTCTTCCTGATTTGCAGATGCCTGCCTTCACTCATATCATCATGATCATCTCTCTCATGTTTCTTCTACATTAGTGTCTTTATAAGACATGAATTCCATTCATGAAGGCTCCACCCTCATACCTAATTACTTCTCAAAGGTTCCACCCTCAAATACTGTCACATTAGGTATTAGGCCTTCAATATATCCACTTCAAAGGGATACAAACATTCATTGCATAGTACCTTGACATAACTACATTTTTGTGGCTTTCCCTTTTTGTCATTTAGAAATTGCCACTTAGCATCAATTCTGTGTTTCGGACTTTGTTGGAAGAAATTTTCTCAAACTGGAAAGCAAAAAACAGATTAGAAAATGTTTTCTAGAAGTCATTTCAGATATTTTAAGTACTTCTGCTACTAAACAGATACCACTTGATTAATATTTTTGCCAACAATGTCCATCTCAGATAAATGTTCTTTACATTTTAAAAATATTACTTTTCATTAACTATTGAGTAGATTCAAAATAAAATTTGTGGTTAAGAAAAGAAGGACGTGATGGCTAGAACACTAGAAGGTACCAGGATTTAAGGAACAGAGGTGGAAGAGAAAAAGCCGATGAAAGAGAGAAGGCAGAAGGCTTTAGAAAGATTACTGTGAAATGAAGGGGCAGGGGCTGAGCTGCATTCAGCATAATTTCTTCAAATGTATCATCCAGGTTACTGATTCAGCTATGCTTAATCTACCTTTGAAACTGTTCGTTGAGTTTCATTTTTGTTTCATTTCTTATTATATTGAAATGTATACACACAAAAGTATACAAATTATAAATGTACAGCTTCATGAATTTGCACCAAGTAATAACAGTCATATAACTAGCACCCTGATCAAGAAATAGAACATCATTGGAATCCTACAAACCTCCCTTGTGCCCAATCATGATCTCCAACCCACCATCTCCAAAGGTTGCTAATATTCTGACCTCTACCACCATCAGTTAGCTTTGGCCATTTATTTATTTATTTATTTATTTATTTATTTATTTATTTATTTATTCATTCATTCATTTAAGACAGAGTCTTGTTCTGTTGCCCAGGCTGGAGTGCAGTGGCACAATCTTAGCTCACTGCAACCTCTGCCTCTCGGGCTCAAGTGATTCTCCTGCCTCAGCCTCCTGAGTAGCTGGAACTACAGGTGCATGCTACCAAGCCTGGCGAATTTTTGTATTTTTAGTAGAGATGGGGTTTTGCCATGTTGGCCAGGCTGGTCTCAAATTCCTGGGCTCAAGCGATTCACCCATCTTGGCTTCCCAAATTGCTTGGATTACAGGCATGAGCCACTGTGTCTCACCAGCTTTGGCCATTTTTGTACTTTATATAAATGGATATCTACAGTGTACCCTTTTGTGTCTGATTCTTTGCTTATCGTTATATTTGTGAGTTTCAGCCTCAGTGTTGCATTCATCTGTAGTCCATTGCTCCTTGTTGCTTTGTGGCATTTCATTCTATGTATATACCATAATATATCCATTCTACTGTGATTTGTGTTAAGAGTTGTTTTCACTTGCAAAGTTTAAGGTAGGAAATTTTCCTGCCTTTGGTTGAGAGAGGGCTGTTCTCCCTTACCATAAAGATACATCCTTTTTAGAGACCCAGAGTGTTTTTTTTTGTTTGTTTGTTTTGAGACAGGGTCTTGCTCTGTTGCCCAGGCTGGAGTGCAGTGAGCCATGATTGTGGTGAGTGCTACCACATCCAGCTAATTTTTAAATATTTCGTGGAAATGGGGTCTCATCATGTTGCCCAGGCTGGTCTCGAACTCCTGGGATCAAGCAATCCTCCCGCCTAGGCCTCCCAAAGTGTTGGGGTTAGAGGCATGAGCCACCATGCCTGGCTGAGTCCCAGCTTTATGGGAAGGACTGTCCCATTCAACTTGTTACCATGGGCAAGCCTAGAATTCGCATTTTGTCCACTGAATCCTGTGAGGTCAGGAAAACAGAATTTAGATTCACCACATTCAACAAATGACTTCAAGGCAAGCACTGGCTGTAGGGCTGCAATGTTCTTCCTGATTATTTTGAGACATAAGTGTTCTTTACTTTTTTGTCCACTCATGCATATTTTAAATAGGGCTTTAAAATACATTATCCAACATCCCTAGTTGTTTTCTGTGGAAGGCTGGTGTGGGTATTCATTCTGCCTTACTGTAAGAAACATATATAGACATGTACTTTAAAAATGCCCCTTGTGTTTGGGTGTGGTGGCTCATGCCTGTAATATCAGAACTGGGGGAGGTTGTGGCAGGAGGATTGCTTGAGGCCAGGGATTCAAGATCAGTGTGGGCAACATAGAGAGACCTCGTCTCTACAAGAAACAAAAAATTAGCCTGGTGTGGTGGTATGTGCCCATAGTCCCAGCTACTCAGGAGGCTGAGGTGGGAGGACAGCTTGAGTCCAGGAGTTTGGGGTTACAATGAGCTATAATTGTGCCACTGCACTCCAGCCTGGGTGACAGAACAAGACTTTGTGTCTATAGAGAGAAACAAAAAGGCCCCTGGATTTGTGAAACCAATGTATCTATTATAAAATTTAAAACAAGTGAGGTGTGGTAATAGTTTTTTTTTTTTTCATATTCTTTCTCAACCTATATAAGGATACCAAAGAGGTTATAATTTTTTACCGAAGTTGTCCTCTTCTGGTTTTGTTTGTGGAGAGTAAATAGTTTATTTCAAAGGCTTAGACTTGTGTCATTTTAATATTTCCCTCACAAATCATTTTGAGTGATTCATGCACAAAATATTTTTAGGAGCTACTTTTTACATTGTTTTGAGGTAAGCCTTTATGGGTTTCCAAAGATGGTAGTACAGGAGTCAGGAGTGAAAGGAAATGTGTACTCTACAAAGAGAAATATGATCATTGACATTCAAGAGGCCCAGAAAAAGTGCTCTGCAAGTTCAAAGGAGAAGTTTACTTCCTTTTGAGTGGATCAGGAAAGTCTCTGTGTAGGAAAAGACATCTGAACTGGGCCTCGGAAGATGGGCAGGGTTAACTGTTCTCATGGAGGAGGAGGAAGAGGAAGAGGAGGAGGAGAAGGAAGAGGAGGAGGAGGAAGAGGAGGAGGAGGAGGAGACATACTCGTCTGCATGAGTTCAGGTAGGAAAATATAGTTGAGTTTGTCTGGAAGAATGCATTCATAGATTTAGAACTGTGCTATCCAACGTGGTAGCCACTGACTACCATGTGGCTTTTGAGCACCTGACATATGGCTCATGTGACTGATGAATTCATTTTAATTTAATATAATTTGCAATGAAGTGAAATTTAAACTTTTAAAAAAGTGATGCTGTGTTCAGTTTTTGGAAAAGTTTTAAGTACGTTTGGAACAACTTGGGTATGTGAATCTATTCTTGCAATCATATATTTTATGAAGTCTAAGTCCAGATCAAGTATTTCTAATGAAAATCCACTGTCCAAATTGAGATGTGCTGTAACAATGTAAAATATCTTATTAATAATTATTTATTTACATCAATTCCATGTTGAAATACGATTTGGGATATTTGGGTTAAATGAAATATATAGTTAAAAAGTCAGTTTCAACTACTTATTTTTACATTTTTTATCTGACTACCAGAACATTTTAAACTACATATATGGCTTGTATCACATTTCTATTGGACAGTGCTACTCTACAGAGAAGGTTGAAGCATAAAATGAGAGTGTCTTGGGAACTTTAGCAAGTTACTTATCTTCTCTGAGCCTAAGTTTCCTTATCTCCTGTGGTTTTTGCTTCATACAAGTATTGAGAGGGCAAAATTAGAGTTGCACGCAAAGCCCATGTTAACACAGTAACAACGGGCTCAATAATTGGGTATCATTATTCTTTTATTTAAAGGGATAAAAAGGTAGACAAGTAAGTTCTGTAGAAAAGGGAAGGGACAGTGAGAGTATCTGATTTATAAAGTATGTAATGGCATGGGCAGTTATAAGGATCATAGACCCGAAGATCAGTGAGTAATGAGTGATGCGTGGCGACCTGGCAAACAAGATTAAGAAAGCTGAAAGATAACAGATGAACCGTGAGGGATGAAGGTGGTGCAGTCAGAAGATTGTTCTAGGCTTGGAAGCCGGTTCTGACTTTGCCGTGGATAGATGGGGAAGCCAGCTCACTTACTATGTCTCTTTGTAGCATCTGAAGAATGACATGGCCAGACCAGGTGGCCACCCAGATTACTTTAGGGCCAGGTATTTAACTTGGTAGAAGAAATGGAAGACAAATTTTTCATAAATGTTGGTGTTGCTCCTTACATGAAGCTCATTATAGTTAAGGAAACAGAAGCATTTTATCTAAAGGTAGGTCTAAGGAACTTGTGATGACGTATTGAAGAAAATGAGCAGTGAAAACAAAGAGGAATAAAGTCTTGAAAGAAGAGATTGGCACATTCTTTAGCTTTGCAGTTGAACTTGCTTGGCAATTACTGGAGATAAGGAAAAGAAGAAGGGTTTGGCCAAGGTTTGTTAATCTTTATAAACAGGCAGGAACATCCTGTGCCTTTTCCCCTGTAATTACAGTTTATGAATATTTGTTTGAGTGTTAGGATACTTTTTTCTTTGCCTTTTGATACATCCTTGTGTGTACTCCTTGTTTATCTGTGACTTAGTTTCAGTTTTCATGTCTATGTGCTTCAGAAAGTCAGAAAAATTAATCATATGAGCTTAAAATGCCGATCAAGAAAAGCTCAGCAAGATACATTGTATTGAATGCAGTGATTTCTTTTAAAATAAAATATTAAATAATTTCTGCTTACCTGGAGGTAAGGGAATAGCTTTGTAAATATTCCTTTTTTGGAGAAAGTTCCACTGTGGTTTATATTCAGCCACAAAGAGGGCATGCTTCTTATATTATATCTCAAGGTGGAATTCATTTTGCATGTAAACAATGTGTAGATGAGGATGAGGTTTAGCCGCATCTATCCAAAAACTCAAAGTAACCATAGCTGAAAAAGATAGGAAGTTATTATTTTCTGATTTAGATGAGACTGGAATAGTGACTTCACATTTACCTGGGACCCAGGTTTCTTCAAGCTCCCTCCTCCATCTTCCTAGCACATGTCTTTCTTCTGAAGGGCATTTCATGGTTTAAGATGGCTGTTGCTTTGGCAGCCAACTACGAAGCAGTTGACTTATAATTGAAGGCCATGTTGTATTTAAAGAATGTATGACTTCGAACACTAAATGCGGTTCATAGTTTAGCTTAGTGAGGTGCTGTCTGTGGGAAGCACGCAAAGACAGACACCGACTGAACAGGCAGTTGTGATGACTTTAATGGAATCACATTTTCAAAGTTATGTGCACTCCCAGGGGGACACACTCATGAGTGCAATGTAGCATGTAATCAAATGTTTGAATTACAGGCTGGGTTCAGTGGCTCACACCTGTAATCCCAGCACTTTGAGAGGCCAAGGCAAAGGGATTTCTTGAGTCCAGGAGTTCATGACACCAGCCTGGGTAAGATAATGAGACCCCATCTCTACAAAAAATCAAAAAGTTAGCCAGGTATGGTGGTTAGTGCCTGTAGTCCCAGCTACTTGGAAGGCTGAGGCAGGAGGATCACTTGAGCCCAGAAGTTTGAGGCTACAGTGAGCCATGATCGTGCCACTGCACTCCAGCCTGGGTGACAGAGTGAGACCCTGTATCAACAAACAAACAAATGAAAGAACAACAACAACAACAGAAAACCACAATAGTTGAATTATGTTTTTTCATAGGCATTCTCCCATTTTTCCCTCCATCCTCCCTCTCCACACGCCCCACCCACACCTTTTCCAGAACACCCATAGTTGAATTCAAGGTAGATATATTTGCACGTTACGTAACTTCACTGTATAGTGAGGTCTCCCTACTCCTCCAACACCACCTTCCACTCTGCTCAGGTGATCTTTGGATCCTGCAGTTCTGTACTGGATGCAGAAAGAGAGAAATCCACCAATGCTAATGGGAGACACCTAAAAGGAATCATAAAGTAAAAAGATGGATACCCAGATTTCTGGCTGGGACAGACTGCATTTCTCAGCCATGGGGCAGACTGCAAGAGGAGAGATACAAGAATACACTCAAGTACTTTCAAGGGTCTCGCCACTACCTTTTAAAAGCCATTTCAGTCAGCCATGCAGTTAGTGGAAACGCCTGTGACAGTCTAGCAAAGTGCTGGCAGAGGTCCAGTTTTTGCTCACACTTTTTAGCTTTGATGGTGTCACCATAGGTATTTGAGTTTAAAAGTTGGAAGCAAATGCATCATAGAATCCTTACCACACAACATTATAAATTTGAATCCCATGCAGGTAAAGCCTTTATATTGGATTTGAGGGATGAAATGGCTGCTTTCTAAGATTTGGAGAATCAGAATGTTATCCCAAATCTCATTATAAAAATCAAATTAATCGATTTGGAGTGAATTGTCAAACACAGCACGATGGTAATGTTTTCTTTCTTGATTGAGTCATTAAACTACAAAATCGCTGCTATGTTTCTATTCTGTTATTCCTTAACCACAGCTGAAATAAATTTGGAAAGTGTTTTCAGACAGTTGGGATGGAGGAAACACAAGGACGCCATTACTACACTGTACAAACAATGCAAAGGTCGCTTTCCCACATCATCCCAAGGCTTGCTGTTAATCTGGGACAAACACAGTTAGATATTTTTTGATGGAGAGGGCATTGTCGTGGGTGGAGAAGAGATGAGGCAGTTCCCTTCGACCCAGCTGTGACTCAGCTCAGGTCACAACTTGTGGCCTTAAATCTCAAAGAGAATTAGATGTGTGTGATTTCACAAGTTGGACTTTCTTTTATTGAACCTATTTCTAAAGCACAAGAAGGAAATGTGCAGCCTACCGTGCATTAAAAGGCCAGTAGACACTCTTACTATCTGTATCCCCTGGTTCCTTTTGTGTCTCATAAATAAAATATCTCTACAAAAATATGGAAAATATCCTCGCTCTAAATTAGGAAAGCAGCCTTGCTTTAATTTCCTTCTCTGCAAGTTGGCAGCTGGGTAAAAGAAAATATTTTGACTTCCAGAGATGCTATTGTCCCTCCTTCAGCCTCCCTCCTAGCCCTGGGCTTCAGGCAGTCTGCAGGGTGTTCTTTCTGGCCAGTCTCTGGTCAGATCTGATATGCTTCTTCTTGAGAGAGGCCCCTGTTTCTCAGCCAGCAGAGGCTGCAGTGGGGAAGAGTTGCTGCCTGCAGGAAGTCTAAAGTCCAGTCACATCTTTCAGCTCCATCCTTAGCCTACAAGATAGGAATGTGGTTTCCTTGATAATGTTCTGCTGAACTGTCTTGTACACAAGATAATGTTTGCTTCATCATCCCTGAAATATGTTTCCAAAGCTTCGTTGTGATGGTCAAGAAGCAGTCCGTACCTTGGAGAGAGGCCCGGGGAATGAAATTCAGAGAGACAAGTATGTCAACCCCACCACCTCATTCATGTATTCATTCAGTAAACAAAGTGTCTGAGGTTCTACTGAGTGTCCAGCAAGTGTGTTAGGCACTTGGGGGATAGAAGTGACAAACACAGATAGCTCCCCCCTTTGTGTGGCTACGAGTCTAAGAGGTGACCCAGACAGCACTTTCTGTCTCTCTCACTCTCTTGCTTTTGCTCACTCTGTGTGATCTTGCCCCTCCCTATCTCTCCAATGATTTCTTCTATAACTCTTGTCCTTAGTCACCACACAACTGTCACACTGAGCTTCTTACTCTTTCGTGAACATGTCAGTAATTCCTTCCCCACAGCCTGTATACTGGCTCTTCTCTGTATATGAAAAGATTTCCACAGGGTGGGCTCCTTCTTTGTTTGTCTCTTCCCAACCAGCTTGAGTTACGTGAGATCACTTGACTGGTTTTGCAGCATGGACTGTGAATGGAAGTAGCATGTATTACTTTCTGGCCAAGAAAGTAAATGACCCTCCAGCTCTGTCTAAGCAATCTGTTAAGATGGTGGCATCTCAGTTTGGAGGACCCTCGCTCAGCTGGAGTCCATTAGTAACTACAAGAAGTAGAGCCCCCGAAAACCCACAGCATCACTGAAAAATATGTTTCCATTGCATTAAGCCAGTGAGGCTCCATGGTTAATTTGTTACCCCAGCATAACCTTACCTGACTAATAAATAAGCTCATTTGAGTGGAGTAGACACCATTATTATTCTCACTTTACAAATGAGGAAACAGGCACACAGAAGTAATAATCTACCTGTAGTCACACAGCTAGTAAACAGTAGAACTGGGATTTGAACCCAGGTAGTCTAGCTCCTAGGACTGTGGTAAACTGCACAAACAATGCAGGAGGAGGCACTTAAATATAATTAGGTCCAACCAAGGGAAGTACGGTGGAAAATTCCAGCCTGAGGAAGCTATTCTGGAGTGGTACACACAGCAGGATCTCAATAAATGTTAAATGAATGACTGGATCTTTTTAAGGAGCAGTATATTCAATTGTTTTGGCTGCATAAGAGAGTACCACCTAGTGGCTTAAAATAGCACACATACATTATCCCACAGTTTCTGTGGGTCAGGAGGCCAGGAACACCTAACTGGATCCTGCACTCAGGATCATACAGGGTCATACAAGGGTCCTATGACCCTAAGTGAACGTATCAGCCAGGGCTGCTGTCTCATCTTCAGCTCAGGATCCTCTTCCAAGCTCATGTTGATGGCAAAATCTAGCTTCTTACCATTGCAGAAATAAGATACCCTTTTCTTGCCAGCTGTCAGCCAGGGGTTGCACTGTGCTCCTAGAGTCCCCTTGAAGTTCCTTGCCATGTGACCATCTCACAGGCCCTCTCACAATCTGGCAACTTACTTCTCAAAGGCCAGCAGGAGCATCTCTCTCCTGTAGGCTACTATGGAGTCTTACACACTGTAATATAATCATAGGAGCAACATCCCATCACCTTTGCCACAGAAGGTAACCTAATCAAGGGGCAGACTGTTCCATCATATTCCCAGGTCCTGCCTACACTCACATGGGAAGGGGTTATACCAGGTGTATATACCAGGGGATGGGAATCTTGCAGGCCATCTTTTAATTCTGCCTATCAAAAGCAGTGAACAAGGATCAACTATAACACTTTTTTTTTAACACTAATTCATTGGCTACTCACTATTAAATGCACAACCTAGGGCTGAAGTCTGTGAATGGTCACATATTAAATAGACCATGTAAGTCACACCTCAAGGAAAAGTAAGGGAGTTAAGACAAAATACAGAACTCACACTTGGCCCATGAATTAGAAACTTGAGTAATTAAAGACAGATGTTCTGTAGGGTAATTGGGGTGAATGAAACTGGTGATTTCAGTATATGCAAGCTAATCTTTCCAGAACCCCTTTTCAAAGTTCATTTTATTGAGCAATAGTTTAATAAACTGCATCCATTTCAAGTGTACAAATGGATGAATTTTGATAATTGTTGTGAAACGACCACCACAAAACAATAGCTAAACATTTCCATCACCCCAAAAATATATCTGATGCCCCTTGATAGTCCAGATATTTCTCTACAACCCCAACTCCCACCAGGTAGCCTTTCCAGCCCCCTTTAACTGTCCTTTTAATTAAATAAAGGCAGTATGGTACAGTGGTTTGGCACTCAATACTTGAGTCAGAATGTGTTGTTTGGATCTTCCTTTCCCTACTTTCTTGCTGTGTGACCTTAAGCAATTTACTAATTTCTGCCTGCTTCAGTTTTATCTAAAAAATAAGATAGTGCTTCTCTGAAAGATAGTCATATCTCGAAGAATTCCTATGAGAATCGATGTAGTTGATAGATGAGAAGCCTAAGTAGTTCTTGGCACATCATGAGCACTAAATAAATGTTTACCGTGTTTTTTATTGTTATTGTCAATATTGTTCAGTTCAATTAAAAAGCCACTATAAAGATGGCTAGTAGAAGTTAATGTTCATTAAAATATATTTATGTCTTTTCCTGGAGCACTCTTCCCCCAGATATAAGTACTCCAACTCCCTCCTCTTCTTTGAATATTTTCTCTAATCTCAAACTCTGATTGAAGCCTACCCTGACCACATTATCTAATACTGCAAGCTTCCTCACCCCACCCCATCCCACCTCCTCTTTCCTGATGTTTCCCTACCCTGCTATAGTTTTTACTTCTCCTTAGAATTTATCACCATTAACATCCTAAATAATTTACTTATATATTATATTTACTTTTTATTACTATCTCTCCTTATTAGAATGTAAGCTCCATGAGGACAGAAATCTCTGCCTGTTTTGTTTGCTGATGTACCCCAGGCTCTTAGAACAATGCCTAGCACATGATCAGCGCTCAGGAAATACATGCTAAATAAAAGAAATTGGAACCTGTGGCCTAAGCTTTATTTATATTATCACATATAACTCTTAAAACAAAACCATGAGATGTAGATATTATCACTACCTTTTGATAAATGAAGAAAATAAATCTTGGAGAGATGTAGCTTGTCACAATATACACAGTTTAGTTGGTGCTACTCCAAGACATACTCTTTTTGGCTGTAGTATACCATATGGAGGAGCTTGGAGGAACCCTAGGGTGGATGTGACGAGTCAGACATTGTTGCCCAGCTCTAGTAACCCACAAGCAATTTGTGTGTTTACATGCACTGGATTTTGGATCCACTGGCTTATGCCAAGCCAATTCCTTATTCCTGCCCTGCTGCTTTTGAAAGTACTGGAGTGGCAAGAGGCCGAGGCATATTTTTGAAGGATGAGCTCATTCCCTGGCCCGCAGCCTTACTAAAGTCTTCAGTAAATCTATTGAATCTATGGCAGGAGGTTCAGCTGCATCAAATTTAGGATTATCTTGCTTTAATACAGCTAAGACTGCAGAATAATGAAGATTTGGACCATCATATAACTCTGAATCAGGGACCATCTTAATACAGGAAAGATCTTTAAAGTATGACTCCCTTCCATTTTTTTAGGCTGTGTCTACACATCACAAAGTAAAGATGTCAGTTATGGACACTAACTGATGTGGGTTTATTTCTTTGCTCTATCTGTCTTGGTATGGATTTTCCAGAACTAGACCCTGGGACCAGGAATTGAGTTCAGGTAGTTTATTTGGGAGGTAACTGCAGGAACACAGTGAGAAAGTAAGGAAGACAAGGAAAGGAGGAAAGCTAATAGAAGCTATGTTAATGAGTTGGTTACTGCTGTGGGAAAGTGGGGCTAAATGCAGCTGAGGGCCTGTGTAGAACACAATTCAGAAATGTCCCAGTGAGGGGTGATGATGCAGGGGTATTATGCCATCATCTGTAACCTTTTCTGGGCCCTTACCTCCCCTGCACTTCCAGCCTGACCAGTGCAGGTGACCTAGTAGACTTCCATTGCCGGAGATCGCCCTGGAGCAGTTTGAATTTAGGGGAGCTGTCTGCAGCTGACCTCTATTGAAAGGCAGTTCTCCATGTGTCGCTGGCATTTCTAACATCTTGTGAACAGAGGCACTCACACTTTTGGAATATCTTTTCAAAAATATTTGTTTAGTGAACAGTCTCAAGAGGGATAGAGGTCATGTCTCCCTCTAGAGAGAAGGGCAGGTTTGTTTTCTGTCCCTAAGGAAGAGAATGTCTTCCTTAGGGACAAAGGTTAGGCAAACTTACCATCCATCACAAAAGATTTCGGTTCTCTAAGCTCAGAGATGATGTCCTGTAATGCAGTCCATTATGTGAGCAGGTGTCACCTGACTCCCATAAGTCACCTTGTAGGGACTGGGGCTTGGAGGGACTGGAGCAAATGGTGATGCTCTGGCTATTACTATTGTTGTGAATAATATATTGTCCTTGATCTTGGACTCAGGTGTCTCATGTCTTCTAACAGCATCCATGAAACTGGCAGAATGACTCATTCGCTTGAAAGTAGAGTAAAATTTCAGACCTATCACAGTTTTTGGGGACCTCCATGGTGGATCTAGGGGATATGCACAGGGTTCCAGCTGTGACTACCAAATGCTATGCTTCGCTCTATTGATAGCAGTATTAACAGGATAGTACAAAATCTCTGTTATGTCCTGCATGTTTGATTGAGCCTCAGACCTAAGCATTGTGTTCCTCTAAGTAGACCAGCCCTCTTTTAAGGATAAAAATAATATTAGGGGCAAAACCTATGAGTGTGTAGAAGTATATTGCCTATTGAATACTCACTATATATTTCATTTTTTCAAGGCAAGACACGTTTTCTATTTTGTAATATTTGGAATAGAATAGATTCACTGATTAGTGAACATTGTAATTATTCTTTTCTGAATTAATTATGTTGAACACATTAGAAAATTGCTAGGATTGTCTTTTGTAATGGAGGTTTCATGTTGTTTCCATTTTCAAGGAGTTCTCTCACGTACTGTGGTATGCAGAGAAGGGTTGTCTTCTGCTGGGCCCAAGGAGGCATCAGTGGGCTTGCCCCACCTCCACCCCTTGCCACTGGTTAAGTTGGGTAATTGAAGTTCTTTATTCTATGAGGCCAGGTCTGTCATATATCACAATTTCACCAATATGATCTGGATCTGTAGCTAAATTCTGTCCCATTTCAAAGTTTTCTTTGTTCTTTCACCCTTGTCACATTCTTTTAATGACATTGGGCAGGGCAGGTCTCTCTACCTGTTTTTTGTTTTCCTCGAAGAAAATCTTGGACACTTGGACCCTTTCCTTAGCAACTTCAAAGGAAAATAATTAGTTTGGATTTTGATTGAAATTGTAAAAAATCTGTAAAAAATGGGGAAGAATTAACATCATTATTGATATTTTGTCTTCATATTCATGAACATGTTATTTCTCTCATTTTACTTCAGGCTTCTTTAGTGGCTTACGATAGTTAAAATGTGTAATTTTCTACATAAAATATTGCATATTTTGATTTTGTATGGTATATTATATATTATTTTGCAATTATAAATGGCACAGTTTTTAATATTACAGTTTACAACTGCTGGCTGAAAGTTTATAGAAATGCACTTTGCTTTTGTATATTGAAATTATTGCAGCCACCTTACTGAACTCTTGTTAATTCTAATAATTTATCTGTGGATTCTCTTGAGTTATCTATGCAGGAAGTTATATCATCTGCAGATTATAACAACAGGTTAGAAATTTTAAAACACTTTCACATACATTATGCCATCTGATTTTCCCAGAGCAAGTATTATCATCTCCATTATAGAAGTGAGAAAATAGATCAAAAGATTTTAAGTGACCTGCCATAGGTACCAGGTACCAAGTTATTGAGGTAGAAGAATCTAGTCTCATGTCATCTTATTTCAATCCAACACTGTGCCTCCTAAAATCACTCACCTTGAAAAGGAGATGAAAACTACAATTGGAGAGAAGCCACGGATAGTGGGGGTAGATGGAAAAGAGGAAAATAATTTCACTTACCATGTGAACATCAAAATATCATGAATTGGCTAAGTCTTGATTTATTGGCCATAGGGACTTACAGACTCCTTTTTATTTTTTCCCGTTTGCAAGGTTTAATATTATTGGTATGTCTATAAAAGTAAATATTTCAGTTTTGTCCCAATGCTACTGAAGTAATGAAGTCCTTGGCTGCAATTACACAACTGTGGCAAGATCCAGCTACTGCAGTTGTAATGGTGGCCTCATAAGTGGTAGGAACTAGTATCAGTAACTATTCTGCCTCTCATAATGCTTTGTAGAATGACAAAGATGTCACCAAAGAGTCTATGTTTATGTCATCAGAACCATTATTGCAAAAAGAAGGTCACCATTTCTTCTTTTGTCTTCACTCTGCAAAATCTGCAAAAGTACTTTAGAGTTTGGATTCAGTAAGAGTATATCCCATTTCTTCCTGTGGTTATTTTCAAAAGAGGCCTGGAAAGCAAATAGAGGAATTTCCATTTAGTAAATATAGGAATTTCTTCCACTGCCTTGGAGAATATGTTTTCTCTCCAATGTCAAGTAGATATATTGGAATCTACCCATTGGATAATAAGGAAATAGAGTCTAGGAAAACTCAAGAGCAATTAAGTGTTGGTTTCCATGTTTATAATAAAGATCTGGCATCTCCCCAAGTTGTGCTTGAAAAAAATATGTTTTGTTATAAAGCCAAACAGCTCCTATTCCCAGGTAGTTCAATATTGGTTCATAGTCTGCAGTGATTCCAATTATGAAACCAAACTGGATTGAGGTGTATATACTGAATAACAAATATTTTACACCATACATGTCCTATGACATGAGATCCGTCTCATCCCAAATGCTATCTAAAATGCCCAGTGCACACCAAGAACCTCTTAAATTCCCTTGTTGAACCATTTGTTTCATATGGAAGTGGGAATTACGGATTTTCAAGCAGGACTTCTGGTTGTCACTCACATGAGGCAGAGCTAGACTGGCTGTCCAATCAGTAAATGAAATGATATAAACCTAATCACCTCCAAGACCTGAAAACCACACTCCTTGATTCTTGCCAATACAACTCCATATGGAAACTTACTATACAAAATACTCCAATGAATTCAAGTGCCAGATTGTTGGAAACCTTCCTTAAGAAAAAAGAAATCTCTTTTATTCAGGTAATTATTTTCTTTAACAAAGACACCCTCAGTTTTATTTAAGGGGCTTAAAATTAGGTGTCCTTTCTCTTTTTCTTTACTCTGAATGCTTCAAGGAAAGTATTTTAGAGCTTATATTTTAGAGTGTGATTTTATAGAAAAGGAGCTTCATCGTGGAAGGTTCCATGCAAACCCACTAATGTTTGAAATGATCCTTTAAGAAACAGCTTTTGGCTGGGTGCCCTGGCTCCCGCCTGTAATCCCAGCACTTTGGGAGGCCGAGGCGGGCGTGTCATGAGGTCAGGAGATCGAGACCATCCCGGCTAACACGGTGAAACCCTGTCTCTACTAAAAATACAAAAAAAAAAAAAAAAAAAAAAATTAGCCGTGCGTGGTGGCAGGAGCCTATAGTCCCAGCTACTCGGGAAGCTAAGGCAAGAGAATGGCATGAACCCGGGAGGTGGAGCTTGCAGTGAGCCGAGATCGTGCCACTGCACTCCAGCCTGGGCAACAGAGCGAGACTCCATCTCAAAAAAGAAACAGCTTTTTTTGGTTTCTGGGACAGCATGAGACAAAGCCAAGGAAAGAAGATGAGAAAACAGCTGAAGTGCAAAACCACAAGAGATTTCTCAGGAAGATACATTATTAATGCATCTTAAAATGTTATCATTACCAAGACTGAGAGTTGACATGTATGTTTGCAGGCTACTTTGCTTACTCTTCTTTTGGAAATACTAAACAAAACAAAAGCAAGTGGATTGATAGGCTTTTTTACGAACCTTGCTGAGCAACAATATACCTTCAGAGGGCTGGGGATGTATCATGTAACTCATGTGTGGCTTAGTTTTAGAAGAGTCAAGAGAATACTATTGGTACAACCAGAAGTAATTTTAAAACAAGTCATTTACTTGAACTTCTTGGAAACAACTAAATATTTAATACCCAGAAATATTGCTTACAATGTCTTCTTTCCTCTCCCATCACCATCCTTAAACACTATAACCAGATTTGTACCTCTTTCAAGTGCTCAAAAATCTCAAGTACAAGTTTTGCAAGGGTCCCCGTTGGAGGCCAGGGCAGGTACATGCTGAAGCTGGACAAGCCAGAAGATCTTTAACATTCTGGAGAAGGGAGTATTTAGGAACATTCCTAAGAATTATATATATATATGCTATATATATACTATATATATATATTATGTATATATATAGTATATATATGCTATATATACTATATATATATTATGTATATATATTATGTATATATATAGCATATATATATATTATGTATATATATAGAGAGAGAGAGAGCCAATTCCACATAAAACTGCAGAAAATAAATGTAATAAATCCCAAATCAAATTTTAGCTTGACCACTTCTAAGTTCTGAGTTGACAAAGTGTAGCTAATTATTTCTGGGTTTTCCAAATCTACACTAGTGTTTCCTTATTTTGAATAGGGGCTTTTAATAAATGCCTTTAATAAATGCTTTTAATAAATGCCCATGTAAGGATGCCTCTAAGTCAGTCTTGCAGCATATATTAGTGAGGAGTAGATTTGGAAAACTTGACTTTCCACAACTCTGCAAGACTGAGAAAAATTGTAGAATTCATTTAGCTTCTGTTTGGCTTCCCTTTGCTATTTATCTTAATAACTAAGTGAGCTTTCTGCCCTTGGACAAAGCCCAGGGGACCAGTCACACAGAGAGATTCTTGTGTGCAAATGCCTGCTTCTATGAAAAAATCTCTGTAGAGTAAAATTCATTAGCTGTCATGGTATGTGAGCAGAATATTGAAGTTTTGAAGGTTGAAAAATTCAATTATTTGCTTGTTGAGAAGCATGCAATTCTTCAGAGGTATCATTCTGAATGGAAGTTTTTGTAAAAAGAACAGTAAGCATAGCATCGGTCAGAAGAGCCAGATTTCTCACTTTTGTATGATCTTAGGAAATGCAACCACTCAATGTGTTTCCGGATATTCCTCTGATTAGGTTCTGTGGATGAAACTGTTACATGGACTGTAAAACATTGTAGAAATATAAAACATGGCCTGGTGCGGTGGCTCATGCCTGTAATCCTAGAACTTTGGGAGGCTGAGGTGGGCGGATCACCTGAGGTCAGGAGTTTGAGACCAGCCTGGCCAACATGGTGAAACCCCGTCTCTACTAAAAATACAAAAAGTAGCTGGGCATGATGGTGCATGCCTGTAATCTCAGCTACTCAGGAGGCTGAGGCAGGAGAATCACTTGAACCTGGGAGGCGGAGCTTGCAGTAAGCCGAGATCGTGCCACTGCACTCCATACTGGGCGACAGGGTGAGACTCAGTCTCAAAAAAATAAATTAAAAAAATTATTATTCTCATTTATCATGTACCTAGTCCATAATAGACATCTAATAGATATTCCTTGAATGATTTAATGAATGAATGAACAATGTGGTTACTCTGAACCCATTGATGGAATATTTAGGATTTCAGATTGCATCCATACTAATATTATATCTCCTGCCAGAAGTCTGGGGTCAGGGGTTGATACGTAATTGTGGTTTTTCTTGTTTTCCTAATTTTTGCATGAGTTTCTTTTGTTATCTGTTGATTTTCATCTTAAGTGTCAAACATAAAGAGTCATTTCAATTCAACAGACATTTATTAAACCCTTATTAAATGCCAGGGAAGACATCATCTCTACCTTCAAGGAGTTTCCAGTCTAGCAGTAATTTCAAACATGTAAAGGAGTGGTATTACAGTGGGGCAGATTGTTACCAAGGTGCTATGCATCATGGAGAAAGGGCATTGTCTTACTCTGGGGAGCAGGGGAGTGACACCTGTGCGGGGTGCAGAAGGTACTGTAGACAGAGTGAGCAGCAAAAGCAAAGCTGAAAGTATAGATGAGTGGGGGTTGTGAGTCTCCAGAATGTTGTTCTTCAGAACTGTTACTTGTATTGCTAGATTCGCTTTCATATAAACCCTCTTTCAACTTGAGGAACCACGTTTGAATATTTATCATCAGTTGTAACTAAGGTTTTACTTCTTGAACTGTAATGCTTGAGTGGACTGATTGTTCTGTGAAAGCAATTAGCAAATCAAGTCAGATGGCACCAGAAAGCTGCACTGTGAACTCAAGGGGTACAGAAAATATACTCCGGCTTTGTTGCTATGGTAACAAGTGGTTCTCCTGCGTTTTAGTTCCATTATAGGCCATGGTGATAACAGTTTCTCTTTGGGTAATTATGAAAAATAAAGGAGAGAGAAAGAAAAGCCACATCTTGGTGTTTGCCCCTGCGTCTAACAGCTGCATTTTATTCCTGCAACTGTTAAGGGTATTGGAATGAATTCTTGTAAGGGGCAGCTATTGTGATAACTCTTCCCTGAGGATCCATGTGACATTGGCTTTATGAACACTTCCAATGTGTGCAGGTTACAGGGAGGCTAAGCATCCCTGGGCAAGCTATGCTGCACAGCCAGATCCACGAATGGGAATGCTGGGGTCTCTCACCTGCACTCATATTAACAGCCCTCTTGGTAATTCTCCAGCAAGATGCCATCCTTTGGACCAGTGGTTTGCAACGGAGGTCAGCGGTGGGGAAATGGGGGAGGATTTTGCCACCCAGGGGACATTTGATAATGCCTGGAGACATTTTGATTGTCACAACAATGGAGGGAGGTGTGCAAATGACATTTAGTGGACAGAGGCCCAGGGTACTGCTAAATGTTCTTCAATGCACAAGACAGCTAGCACCACATGGAGTTATCTGCCCACACCGGTTCATAGTGCTGAAGATTAGAAACCCTGCTTTGGACCATGATTTTCATCTTTTGGAATGGCTGGCATTCAGGAAGTACTAGCAGAACCAGTGTATGAATCTGATGCTGTAAAACGGATTTCTTCGGGGTGAGTTTTCTGTGACTTCTTAGAGGATGTCGGAGATGTTCAGCCTTGGAAGAACGTGCATTACAAAGGGCAGGCTCACCAGAGCCCTGCAGTGAAGGGCTCATCTCACACTAGCATGACTCAGAAGCCCAGCAGGCTCAGGTGCTCAGTTCCAGAAAAACATTTCTCTTCTCCTCATATTGTATTACTTGTTTAGAATTTCACGTAGGTAGCTGAGCACGTTGAAATGACACGTTTGTTGTATTTAGTTTGAACACCATATGTTGACGGGGCTGCAAGCCCAACAAGCTGTTTTTTTATAGGATTTCAGCTATCACCCTTTCATCAACCTGGGATCAAACATACAATAGATAGCAAAAGAACACACACACACACACACACACACACACACACACACACACTTATTATTTGTTCTACAAAGGGGATTTCAAGCATAAATCACTTATCACGCTCTATGCAAATATCAACGACCTGTCAGCTTACTTCTTATTTTTCTGGGAAGCTCTCCCTTAAAGGAGCAAGAACAAACTGCCTTGTTGTTGGTATCTAGGGGCTGTTCTGGTGACAACTGTGAGTGTCCATGGTCGTGGAATGTGCCCACTCATCAGCCATTTCTGTCAGGGTGAATATCTCACCTGTCACAGGGAAAGGATATCATACCTGTGTGTCTTAGAGTGTTCCCCAGCAGCATTGTGGAGCTTCACAGCCTGACATTTTTCTTCCTAGCCAAGATGTTTCTGACATGTCAGTCCACGTATGTTTACTCCCAGTTTTGCCTAAGGCGCCTATGATCACTGATGCCAGTCAGCTACAAATCATCCAGGAATCCTTCCAAATCCCTGGACCTTGATGCATCCATCTACTAAGGCTTTGTTAGCACATCTCCAGCAGTGTGCCAGCCCCTGTGCTGAAGGATGCAGATCTAAAAATCAGGAAGTTGTGGCTCATGCTTTCAGGGGAACTTGGTAAGGGAAAGAAGGCACATGTAGAAAATAAATGATGACTTTTAATCCAAGAGAAGGCATGTACAGGGGCAGCGTAGCCCAAAGAGGTAGGGGTGCATTGGCCTGTGGGTGTAGAGGAGGCTCCACTAGTGGAGGTGTGACTTTAGAGCTCGAGCCTAGAAGCCTAGTGAGAATGTGCCCAGGCGGGAGAGAAAAGCTGGGATGCATTCCTGGGAGCACAAACCAATGTGAGGTCTTCCAGGGACTCCCAAACAACACACAATGGCTGCCTGGATGTCAGATTTCTGTTGCTAATCAGATGTAATTGAACTGGCACTTGAGAAAGACAGTTTTGGCAGTGGAGAGTAAGCTATATGGATTGGGGCTTGCGAAGGTGGGGATGGCAGGCCAAAGCCAGGGAGACCAATGAATAAACCATTGGTGGTGAGGACACAAAGGAAATAAAACGTATAGATTCAAGAGAGAATTCTGACATGGGGCCCACTAGCCTTGGTGGCTTGTTGGGTTAGGGGCCAAAGGTGGTGTCTCAGCTGGCAGTGACAAAGGAAGGCTAGTGAAGAATACGCTTCTCATAGCTTTCACAACATCTTGTTCCCAGCTGCCCCAGAGAAGTATAGAAACCAAGTCAACAAAACTTACTCCCAGCCTCCCGCACCAAACTGTATTGCTGCATATAAAACCCTGGAGGCATCACTGGCCCCTGGCTTAGAAAATTGGATGAAGGTGAGACATTTCAATGAAACATACTTTATGGTAGGAGAGAAGTGTGGATAATGTTTGGTATTTCACATGATAAATTTGAGATGCCTGTGGAATGTACATGCAGGGGTGTCCAGGGAGCTTTTTGGTAGGAGCTCAGAGAAAGAGCTAAGATGAACGCACTCATTTGGGAGGAATTAAAGACTAGGCCAGTGGTTCCCAGCCCTGAGTGCATCATCTATGGGGCCTTTCAGAATCCCAATGTCCAGGCCCACCCCCAGACCAATTATATCACAACTATACAGCAGCATATTTTAAGGGATGGAGGAATAGTTCCCAGAAATCGTGCTGGTTCTCTGTGAGAGAAGAGGTAACTTTAAGTGGTGCCAGTTCATGCAGGGGCTTGAGAAAAGAAGTGGAGTGAGTACAGGCTAAAAGCTGCAAGTCCTGGAAGAGGAAGGAATGCAATGGACTGATGGCCAACCAGTGCTCTGAACCCCATCTGGGATAAGAATTGTGGATCTGTGTCTAGTCTGCATATTTGTGCACTCATTTTGCCCCAGTGTACTTACCATCCAACTTGAGGAAGGAGGGTATGGTGGTATGGTCTGAGACAACGGAAGGGCAAGAAGGGTTTCTGCAGCTGACTTTGGAATCCAGGCTGGATAAGGAAGGCACAAAAGTCAAGAGGGACTGATGATCCAGAAGAAAATCAAGTAAGGAGGAAGGATTGGAGGCTGTGCTCAAAGACTGGAATATTTGAGGTTAAGATTTCCAAGTGGTACAATTATAGTGGATGCATGACAGAGAGTGGCTGAATATGCTTTGAGGCGAAAGCTGTTCCAATTGAGGTGGAAAGCATAAGTGTGGAGAAGTATTTGTTTAGTCTTCTTGTACTCCTTTGTTCTAGAAGTCTGCCTTGGTTATTCCCAACTTCCTTAACATAAAGGCTGTCCAATGGTGACTGCAAGTGTTTTAACACAGCTGTCTTCTATAGAACGGGTTATTATTATATCTGTTATTTTAAAACACCCACCCTTGCATCAATAAATATACATGTCAACCAAATTCTTTATATTAATTGACAATTATTTATGAAAATTGCAATGCCTTAAGTGAAAAATTTGTGGAGCCAGCATCCCTTAGAAACACCTTTCTTGCTAGAACCATGTGTTCTTGCTTTGTGACTGTTTGCATGTTTTATTGCTAAGTCTGTAGATAACATTCTTTCTTGAAGATTATTAATTATGTATACAAGTACCCCTGTGTAAAAGTATTCACTTGGAAGAGACCCAGGAATCTAAGGCAGGGGCCAGCAAACTGTTCCTGTAAAAAGCCGAGAGTAAATATTTTCAGCTTTGCAGACTAGACAATCTCTGCCACAACTACTCAACTCTGCTTTTGTAACCTTAAAGCAAACATACAATACATGAATGAGTTGTGGCTGTGTTCCAATAAAACTTTATTTACAAAAATAGGCAGTGGGCTGGATTTGGTCTGAGAGCTGTAGTTTGTTGACCCCTGATCTAAGATAATAAAGGACTCTAGTGGATTATTTTTGTGGGAAGGTTTCCAAGTTCATATTTTAATTGATTTGACTTTTCAGTTTTGGCTTCAATAAAACCATTTAAATCATAGTTTGTTATGGTGCTATAGAAATGAAGTAACTTGTAAATGATGACACATGGAAGGTTCTAACTACAGATGGGTTTGTGGAAAACTAATAGGTCACGATATTCTGATGTAGACAGTCATCAGGCTTGTCATCTTAACTTACTCCCTTGAAGACTCAAGTACCTCCTCCCTCATCTTGGAGAAAGTGCGTGTCTGACGCTACAGTGTCATTTCCTTCAACCATGTAATCCATAGGCACAAGTGAAATGGTGTAATTCAATGTTGACTAGACCAATGACGGTATTCTAAACTATTTCCTTATGGAAATTCAGTGTCTTCTGGGAAAACTAACATTAGATTGCAAATCTGTTCCTAGCATTTAGAGACTCCTCATTAATAAGCACTTTTTTTAATAGTAAAATATGGCCTGGCCAAAAAAAATCTCTGACAAGATGTGAGACTCAATGTCGTTCTTATGATTTAGAAGATAGGCTGAAGTGAGATATACTTCCCTACAAATAAAATAGATATTCCTCAAAATGTCAATCGAAGTTATGTGGTTTCATTGTCTCTGTAAAGTATTTACATATTTGCAACTAAGGCCTATTAAATATTTATTATTAAGGTTGCCACCCTCTGAGGTGGTTTGATGTTTCAGTCAGGGCCCAGAGGTTTTTTTAATTTTTTTTCATCAGTCATTCTTTGGAATTAAATGTGTGCACGTTGGTAGGACAGAAAAGGAACGGAATGTCAGCTTTCTGCCAACAACTCTTCTGGCTACAAGAGAATTTCTCATTTTTTTTTCTTTTCAGTGTGAGTCACATGGAGAATTTATCTGAGGAGGGCATCAAAAGAAGGAGTGAAAAGCAATTAAGGAGAAAAAACACAGTTCCTTACATCCATGTTGGTCCATATTGGAAAATGAATACTGAGTATCATGGCTGGTTATCAATTTCTTTTCTTTCTAAAGCCCAATTACTGAATTTTTCACTTGGAACATGCCCAGATAAGATGGAACTTATTCAGGCTCCATTCTTAAAAAAAGATACCAGAAGTCATGATCTGCCTTTCTCACTCTGGACATGGAAATTCTCATCACAGTGGTCAGTTGAGGTGATTTCAAGGAATAATACCTGAAGGGATCCTTTAATTCAGGTTGTAGAACAAAAGCCCAAACAAATCATTAACAATAATTAACCTCTCAGATGTAATAAATTACTTTTCAATAAGTTAGTTTATTGAGAAATGTAATTTGAACATATATAATAACAACAGTCTGACACTAACTTCTGTACCCTCTGCTTGAAGCAACTGGGGAACTCTGACTGTGGTGTGATGGGAAGTTAACTTTACTCAACCTGTGAGACTGGGTCTTTCTTCTGAACCAACCACAGGGCATAAGGTTCATGCTGATGTGCTTTGGAATGTGCATGGCCCATCCTATCTATTTCTCTAGCTTCTGCTGGCTTTAATTCAGAGTTTCTCAACCTCAGCACTGTTGATATTTGGGCCACATGTGACAGGCCATCCTGTGCACTGTAGGATGTTTAACAGCATCCTTGGCATCTACCCACTAGATGCCAGTAGTGCCCAACCCCTGACCCTCGTCACGACAACCAAAATGTCCCCACACATTGCCCAATGTCCTCTGGGAGGCAGAATCACCCTGGTTGAAACCACTGCCCTAATAAGATGTTGCAAAGTTCCAGATTTGATATCATTGAACTGATATTCTAAAAAGCATTGGCTACATCTGCATGCTGCTGCCCTAGGCTTCTCTTGACATATTTGATCTCAACTTTGCATTGAGTCTTGGAGGGAAGGGGCAATGTGTGTAGGATGTCCACACATCTAGGTTTGCCTAGGATAATCCAGTTTTTGTCTGTCATCTGGATGTAATTATTAAGTAGCACCACCTTGAAAAGTGACACAGTAAGAGTGAAAATTATCTGGCCCCCATGTGGTCTTGGAAAATGGGGAAGAGTTTTAAGAGTTCTTACAATGTCAGAAAACTTTTACCTTGCAGAGGTTTTTGATGCCTTCCTGTCCTATTTTAAGAGCCTGGGAATTCAACTATTTCATGCCCATATGGACCACATATTCAAGTCTTCAGCCTTAACTCTTAACAGCTTCAGTTTTTGTCCAAGTAGGCAAAGTGAGCTCAGACAACAAGGAAAAGAACAGTGCTTTTAAAAGAATGTTCTTCTCAATAAAAATAAATTCTAAAGTTCTAAGTAGGGAGTTACTGCTGAGTTTATAATGGCTTTCATATTTGCTTTTACAATCACAGTATTGCTGGGCTCAGGCTTCCTGCTTGGAAAAGTGCTTTGCAATGCTTCAGACAGAAGAGAATGATTTTAGAACAGGCTGGGCTATGAAACAAGAGAGTTGAAGAAGCCCGAAGTGGTTTGAAAGCAGTCATTCCTTTGGTGTTAAAGATAGGGGAAAAAAGATTGTTCCCCCTTATTAAATCCTGTCACATGTAGACAAGAGTGCTTGTTAAAGCCTCGAGTGGACATTTGCATTGTGTGGTTCTCTGGTGTGTACCTTTGCTAAAATAAGTATGCAAAAGTCTCCAGGTAGTAATATGCCCTTGACCCTGTAATCAGAATCGGTCTCTCACCTGGAAATGTGAAGACAAGATGTTTGGCTAGTAATGAAGGTAAGATAATCATGTGGGACCACACCATTCAAAAGGTTGTCTCATGCTCACAAGATGAATGCTATATTTCCAGCCATCATGCCCATGTATCAGACAGAAAGAATAAGGAAGAGGGGAGCTCAAAAGGGCATCCTTGCTGAGACAGCTTCCCAAAATTACTGAAGCCCTCAACCTAACACTTGCTCTCCAATATCGATAGTTTTTTCAGCCAGGTATTTTTACCACCTCCTTCAGTATTATCTTACCAATGAATGACAGGAGAATGGATATTGGGTAGACAATTAGCAAGCTCTGGTATATAGCCCAACTTTTGCTAATGTTTAAAAGTCAAAACCACACAAATCTTCTAAACCAGTGGTCAACATTCGCTGCCTGTGGACTAAATTCAGCCCGCTGACTGTTTTGGTAAATAAAGTTTTATTGGGACACAACCACACCCCTTCATTTACATATGGTCTGTGGCTGCTTTTGTGCTGTCAAACAGAATAGTTGTGACACAGACTGTATATATGACCTCCGAAGTCTAAAATGTGGTCTCTCTGGCCCTTTATAGGGAAATGTTGCCAACCTCTGTTCTAAACAGATAACTCAATGAAAAAAATGGGCAGAAGACATGAACAGACACTTTACAAAGAGGATATCCAAAGACCAATAAGCACATGAACAGGTGTTCCAACTCATTAGTCACCAGGAAATATTTTTTTTTTTTTGGTTTTCTTTTTTGTTTTGTTTTGTTTGAGACGGAGTCTCGCTCTGTCACCCAGGCTGGAGTGCGGTGGCACAATCTCAGCTCACTGCAAGTTCTGCCTCCCAGGTTCATGCCATTCTCCTGCCTCAGCCTCCCGAGTAGCTGAGACTGCAGGTGCCTGCCACCATGACCGGCTAATTTTTTGTATTTTTAGTAGAGATGAGGTTTCACCATGTTAGCCAGGATGGTCTCGATCTCCTGACCTCGTGATCCACCCACTTCGGCCTCCCAAAGTACTGGGATTACAGGCGTGAGCCACCGCACCTGGTAGGAAATGTTAATTTAAACCACAGTGGGATGGCACTGCTTTCCCATCAGAATGGCTATAATCAAGAAATAAAGAGAGAGCTGACAATATCAAGCATTGCATTAATATGGGACAACTGGAACTCTTGTACATTGCTGGTGGCACTGTGGGTTGGTATAAAGACTTTGAGAAGCTGTTGGGCAGTGTCTACTAAAGTAGAACATATGTCCCCCTCTGTGATGGAGCCATTCCACTCTCAGGTATACGCCCAACAGAAATGCCTACGTATATTCACCAAAAGGGATGGACCAGAATGTTCACGTTGGCACTATTTATTAATAATCCAAAGTTGGTAACAACCAAAATGTCTATCAACAATAGAAAAGGGAAAACTGTGTTTTATTCATATGATGGAATACTTTTAGCGATGAAGAGGAGTCTCGCTACCTGCTACAACATATAATATTGACAAGAGAAACCAGACAAAAAAGACTGATTCTGTGGCCTTAAAGTTCAGAAACAGGCAAACAGATCAATGGTGTTTGAAGTCAGAATATGGTTCCTTTTAGGGGTAGAGATCAGGAGAGGACTCTTCATGATTTGGGTGGTCGTTATACAGGGGGTTCACTTTGGCAAAATGCAGAGTTGTACACTTATGAGTTCAGAATTTTTCTGCTTATATATTGTATTTCAATAAAGAGTTTCAAAAACAGAAAAAAGAATGCACATCTCTTTAATGATAGAAATGTATCAGCATTGCTCTCAGCCAGTTTTCTATTGAAAATGATGCCTATGACATGTCCCTCATGAAACAACCACATAATTAGCCCTGGCCCTTTGGATTCTAGTCTTATTCACAAATGGAATAAATTTTCTGTTTTCAGATTTTTGCATTTGACTACGTCTACCCTGACAGTGTGACTGACTAGGTGGTCTCAGCTCCACACACCCCATGGCAAAAATAAAAAGGTTGTGTCTAAACTGCAGTGGATTAACCCACTGAGCAGACTGCGTGCTCCTGGGCTTTCTTGCCAAAGGAGAGAGCAAAGGATGCAAAGAAGCTGAATGTGGAATTTATGGACCCTAAGAAGGCAATTTGGAAGGATTTTTTCCCCCGTTTCTGTTTAGTCTTAACTTCGTGAAATTGTAAAGAAGTGCTGGAGACTGGGGGAGCTGTTTGTATGCAAAGTGTTGTCTGCCTCAGTTGTGCTCCTGAATTTTGACTGGCTGCCCAGTCTTATGTGGGAAGCTGAATAAAATGTGTATACTTCTAAAAAAAATCAATTTTAGATTTTACAAAAGGAGTCAAATATTATTACTCCCAAAGGAAGAATTGAGGCAGTTTTTTTTTTTTTTAAGAAGAGGGTCAGAAGAAACAGCCAGGTCTTTTTTAAAAATCACCCATATTTTTTGGCTGACATATTCAGTTAAATTTGTCCCCTCTCATTGATGCCGGTGGGGAGTTATAAAGGAAAGAAAAATATTAAATGCTAAAAATGAATAGAAGGGATGTAATAATCCAAGAATTAGGGCAATTGATGACAATTTTTTAAAGACACTGCTGTAAATGAAATTTAAATAACTGTAAAGCTAGATATTCAATCCAATAGTTATATACATAAGATGTACTAGTTATTGTTTCATAATTATCCAGAATCTTTCATTTAAAAATATCATTTTATGTTTCTTAGACTGTATATGTGTATATGTTACGTATATGTGTGTATATATATTTCAAATACATATGTGTAGAAATTCATGAGATTTTTTTTTAAGTTACCATCCTCCAAAGGAAAAAAAAAAAACCTGGCAAGTGATGAGAAGGAATTGGAGCTGTGTACAAGAATCTTAGAAGATTTAGGTGATCTCAATGCAGCCTCCCAGGTCTCGTGTAGCACCTAAAAGGATCATTTTTTAAAAAGAAATCCAAATATTAGTTTAGGAGAAAACACAGAAAATCTCATGACTCTCGATTTTGTGAAAATTAAAATCTGACAGTAGAAAGCAAAGTGGCATGGCCCCTGTGCTTGGGTTACCGCTGCTTCCCAAGGGGCTCCTTAGGGAAATAACTTCCCTGTTCCTTCTCTTTTTTACTTGGCAGTCCCAGGAGGACAGTTGAGTTGGGGGACTAGGGGCATTGGAACAAGTGTGTCCTTGCCAGGCTCCTGTGGTTGGCTGCTAGTTGGGCTTCTCACTTTGTGAACCAAAACGTTTGGAGAGTCTTGTCTTAGGAAAAGCAAATTATTCTGCCCCGTGATGTCCCTTCAGTGTGGAAACATCAAGGAGATAGATCTCACTGATAACAGAGTTGATCAGGGGAGAGTATGCAAAGACAAGACCCAATTATCAAAGCACAGCCTTTTTAAAGGGTTTTGAGTAGATTGCACTTGTTTTGGTGAGAAACCAAATTAGAGAGTTCTGCCTCCTAAACTCTACATAGACTAATGTGTTCTTGGGAAGCACCCCTGCTCTGGGAGTCGCATTTACCTCTTGGTCATACTGAATTCCTTCGTAGGAGGGCCTTTGATATATTTATTCTGTAACCAAAAATGGCAGCCCTGAGATTGGAGAGCATCCCTTTGATTTCCTGTGGACTGTCCTTTTCTGGAGATATGGTTTGTTCTTTCCTAAGGGTCGGAATTATGATTCTGAAAAGTTTTGCTTTTGAAATACTACATCACAGTGTCCTAATGAGAATGGTGAGCCATCTGCAGCATTCAGCACTTGGGCATGGCAATCAAATCTGGGCCCGATGAATGATTATGTTATATAAATCACCAGGTTCCTCCAGGCAGCAGTCATTGCCATTGTAATTGATTCCTGATGAGACTGTTTCTTGATTTGCTGGTGCTGTAACCACTGATGCTGATTGTTCTCATCTCCTGAAATTGTATTTAGTAACAGCATTCAACAAATATTACTCAAGTGGTTATTGTATATGGGACCAGGCTCTGGGGTTAAAAAATGAGTATGGCAGCCCTGTCTTTGAGGAGACAAGTGTTTCAGGAGGAAACAGACAAGATGAGCATCCTAACAGAGGTACGAACAGGAAGCTAGCAAAGCTCCTATTGGAGGGTGGTGAGGTGAATCGGGGAATGTCCCTCCAGAAAATCCAGAGAGGCTAATGGGAGTTACACAGGCAAAGGAGAAATGGAAGGGAGGTGACAGAGGAAGTAGAGCATTATAGGTGGAGGGAAATTTCTCCTTGAAAACAAAGGAATCACATTCAATGTGTGACCTAGAATTTCAGTGGGCATCTCCTCTGGCAAGAAATTGAGTAGAAGGATGGCTGCATTTTGGAATGTTCAAAGTGTGGAGAGGATGCTATGTGTACTGTAGTAAGTGCAAAACAATGGGTTGGATTTTTAAAAATTTTATGTACACACATATTTATCTATATAGTATGACGTGACATAGAAGTTACAGCCTGTTGAAAAGTTTATGCCATAAAAATAACAATTCGAGTTCACTTCCTGTGAGTGGCCTAGGGTTTTTAAGACAAGGAAGAATAATAGGATGTCAAGGGCCAAATATAGACATGGATGTTTTAGAATCCTTTGCTTTTCTGATCTCAGAGCATGTGGCATTTGGTGTAATTGAATCCAGGACAGATGGGTGCAAGCCCCATTCAACTTTGGAGGGAAACCAATTAACAAGCATGTGTCCAAATGTAGGATTAAACTTGCAAGGCAAGCGAGTGGCTTCCAATAACACTTAGGAAACACTAATTAGTGAGAGGGAAATACTTTGTCAAATGGTTTGAGAATAGTAAATACAAATGCAACAAGGGAACATTGTTTTTAGTTACAATTTATATTGTTCTAGAAGAAATGGGGCTGCAGGTGCTTTCTACAGACAAAATGAATCCCAAATACATTTACCTAAGGCTTCTAGAAATAATACAAATGTGTCTTTAAAAGCTCAGATACATAAAGCAGTAGCATCCAATTTGGAAGTCCTCTTGATCTAAGCAGTCTGGTTTCTCTTTGGTAAGTTGCCTGTTTCCAGACTATAAATGAAACAAAATAATCACTATGTTAATAGAGATGAATATATGGAAGATAATTTTTTTTTCTTTTGGGCTTATAAAACTCCAGGAGGGAAAAGATGAAAGCCAAAAGTAGAAAAAGATTCAAAGGAAACAAATTGCAATTTTAGTTTTCTAAATCAGGGGTGGGTGAACATTTTCTGCAAAAGGCCAGATATTTTAGGTTTAGTGAACATGCAGTTGGTCTCTGGCAACTGCTCACCTCTGCTGGTGTAGTGAGAAAGCAGTCATAGACAAGTAAGTAAACGAATGGGTGTGACTATGTTCCAAGAAGACTTTATTTATGGATGTTGAAATTTGTATTTCATGTAATTTTCATTTCATAAAATGTTATTCCTTTAATTTTTTCCAACCACTTAAAAATGTAAAAACAATTTTACTCACCCTGTGCTAGATCTGAGACAATTATCTCCCCACAGGTTTGTTCTGTTAGAAAGTCCTTGGTTGAAAAGCAACATGCTTTCCTTTTAAAGTTTTCATAAATTTATTAAATAATGATGTTTTCCCCCACTGGTGTTTTCCTAGGTTTTTCTAGAATGCTCTGTGCTCTCGTAACACTTTCTAACATCTGTTGTCATCATGCATTTATTAAGCACTCACCATGAACTGAAATGCTGAGGACAGACGTCAGAGGAAAAGAAAATATTAGCAATAGAAAGTGGTACAGAAGCTCCTCTATTTATGGAATTTCAACTCGTGCACTTTCAGAGATACAAACAAAACCATACTCTGGAGCAAAGCCCTCTGGCTCTCTCTTCACCACCAAAATATGCGTCAAGAGGTTCTGGGACCTCTTTTATTTTCTGCCCTTTTTAAAAAGAATTTCTCATTTTTCAGTCTATGGAATATTTGCTGTCTTTCTGCTAGGTGTTGAGGAATTTTGCCAGGAACCCCATCTTATGTGATAACCTCAGAGGACTTGAAAGAAGAAAGTGCTAGTAAGAAGTAGTAGAAGTAAAGGCAAGATAGAAACAATTTCTTTTTAATTGAAATAGGTCAGAAAAACTGTTGTAAGCCCTTTGGCAGGAAGAATGATTTTGAGGACAAAGATCCCATCATACAACCTGAGAGAAGCTCTGTACTTGTGTAATAATAGCAAACATTGATACAGAGCTTCTATGTGCCTGGCTGTGTTTTAAGTGATTACACGATCACATGAGTGTGCATGTACACTAATTTAATCACCACCAAAAAAGTGTTAATCAACTAATGAGCTCACGAAATGATTGATGAAACAGTGAAATTTGAACGTGGCTCCGGAATTAGCATCGTAGGCCTATTTGTGTTAATTTAAGAGAAGGAAACAAATCTGGTAAGTGTACCCGGTCATGGATGGTTCCATGGGTTTGCAGCTTTTGGCATCTGCCCAACCTTAAAGTAAGAGGCAGAACAGCAATGCTATTTTGGAGTAATATTACGGATGCTAAAGCTGTTGAGGAATTCCCTGTGGTGCTTGTGGGCAGATTACCCATTTCAGAAGATTTTCGGTGTATGAAATGAAACAGATCGAATGTAGGCAAAGATGTCAGTCAAAGCATTTATCAGTAAGGAGGAGTACGAAAAGACCGACTCATACCTCACCCAGGTGGAAATCTGGAGGTTGCAAGCTTCTACCCTGTTCAAGACCTCTGGACGTAGGAACAAGGTCATACATAGCCTTTAGAGCTTAACATGTATTCAACCAAAAAGCACAGTGGACTCTGTCTGTGCTCTGCCCGGAATATCTCAGATCTTTTACCAGTTCTGTGTGCCTGTCCCATTCACCAGCTTCTGTGTAGTTTTGCTTCTAATGACCAACATCTGTGAGCACTCTGTGGGGTTCTGGAGCAGTTGCCCTATATTCACAAAGAGCAGGAAGTGCCTGGGAGTTTACATCACCCTGGGGGCGGGGCGTCCCACAGCCCATGACTGACTGATGTGTGTGAAAATATTAAAGTCCAAATTCTTTGGCGAAGGCGGGACAAAGTTTAGATGTAATTAATACCCCAGAGCTTCCCTCAGGACCAGACTGAGACTGGGACTTTGCTAGAAATCACACCCTTACTTGGCTTTATTCCCTTCCCTACCCTGTTATGCTCACCCCTTACCAGTTTCTCCTGGGAACAGGTTCTTAATAAATCAATTGCACATCAGTCTTTATCTTAGTATCTGCTTCTGAGGAACTCTACCTAAAGCAACAAGCACATATATTATTAAGACAGAGAAATATCGTAAGGCTTTACCTTAAGTCAGCAATGAAATATTGAATGAAAGAATGGACTGAATGAATTGATAGAAGCCAGCTTTGCACTACTCATGTTGCAGTTAGGGAAACAGAAAAAGGATAAAATATTGAAACAGTGACTGTTACATTTTAGAGTTTGAAGGGCGTATAGTGAGACTGCCCACATAGTGCAGCCTCTCTGGCTGATGGTAATCTAGGTTCAGCTTACATATGGCCAGGGAAGAAGATACTACCACCTCCTGGGACTGTTGCCTTCCATCTAGATTTGTTATAAAGTCAGTCCTTCCTTCCTCTTTCCCTTTCTCCCTCCCTCCCTTTCTTCCTTCCTTATTTCCTTCCTTCTACTTTATGGAGGTAAAATTCACATGCCATACAAGTCATTCATTTAAAGTGAACAATTCCTTGGTCTTTAACATATTCAAAGTTGGGTAACCACTATTAACATAAATTTCAGAACATTTTCATCACCCTGTAAAGAAACACTGTACCCTTTAGCTATCCCCCCCTCAACTCCTCAACCCCCAAGCTCTGCAGTCCTAGGCAACCCGACATCTACTCTGTGGATTTGCTTATTCTTGACATTTTGTATAAATGAAATAATATAATATGTGGTCTTTTGTGACTGACTTCTTTCAATTAGCTTACAATTTTCGAGGTTCATCTACGTTTTATCAGTATTTCATTCCTTTTAATGGCCAAGTAATCTTTCATTGTATGGATAGATCATATTTTGTTTATTCATTCATCAGTTGATGGAAATTTGGTTTGTTTGTACCTTTTGGCCATTATGAATAATTCTACCATAAACATATGTATACAAGTTTTTGTGGACATATGTTTTCATTTCTCTTGGCTATATACCTAGGAGTAGAATTGCTAAGTCAGATACAGAAAGTTCTTTCTTATATTCAGACAAAATCTGAGTCTCCTTAACTTCCACACTTGGTACTTATCCAGCTTTCTGAAGAAATATGGACAAGACTTTCTTATGTATGACATCCCCTCAAATTATTCATCATCTTTATGTCCTCCTTCAACTTTCAAAGACTGAATATCTTCTGTTCTTTCAATCATTCCACTGCAAAAATGGGACTTACAGAAATGCAAACTGATAGCTTTGAGGTTGTCATATTATCTGTTATAATGTACAAAACAGCTTTCTTTTGTTCCAAATCTCAGACTTTCCCATCAACAACAGGGAACAAGTGGCTAAGTTTATTTTGCTAAGATAAGAGAAAACAAATTATTTTCTGGGTAAGAAGGCTTTTCGATAGACTCTGCATGGGTTTTCCCTTTGGAAAATCAAGAGGACTAATGATTTGTGTAGTTTATGTATACATTTGTCATTTCTTGACATGTTAATGTGAGAAAAAATTTTGTGCTTCTGAAAAATAAAATTGGATGGAAATCAATTATCTTAAGAGCTTTAAAAGAAATCACGTGTAGCATTCTTTTTATTCTTAGTCATGAAGACAATGGGGAGAAAACTTGACAAAACCACAGGAAAATGTAGCAAGTTACTTAGCAGGCTCTGGGTTGTGCTGAACTGGGCCAAATGTTATGGTCATTTCTTCTTCTGTAGCTATGAATGGATCTAATCCTTGCTTGTTAGTCATACACTTAGGACTATTTTCCACCTTCTTTTAACATTAAATCCAGAGCTCAGGATGGCTTCTGACTTTGTCTCATGCTATCTGCATGACGTTGGACAAATCACCCGGCCTTTATGAGTTTCAGTTTCTGCATCATACTACCACTACATCAGTGGCTTTCAAACTGTGTTGCACGGGATAACAACCAAAGAATCTCACTAAAAATGTCAATGGTGTGGTGCTGCAAGGAATTGTGCAAGTAGGCTCTGGGGAGGTCCTCAAAATCTATTTTTAAAAACCCACCCAAGTGATGCTGATGCCCATGGTCCTGAAGACCATACCTTCAAAAACACTGACTAGCCATTTCCTTCTGGTCCCTCTTCCTCTTGTTCTGTATTCCACTGAAAGGGAGAAGAAATCTTATTATCTTTCCAGGTAATATCTTTTCATCTGTGCTGTGTGCAAGGACATGAAGGAAGACAACTAAAGTTGAAATAATGAAAAAAGTCCCAGTCTGATGCTTAGATTCTGATTTATTAGAATTATTTTGACCATAACAATTTTAACCATAAAGTAGGGTTTCTTAACCTTGGTACTATTGACATTTGGGACCAGATCATTCTTTGCCTTGTGTGTGGGAGGCTGTCCTGTGCATTGTAGGAAGTTGAGCAGCATATCTGGCCTCTACCTAGTAGATACCAGTAGCATCTCCCCCTCCCTCCAAGTTACAGCAACCAGATATGCCTCCAGATATTGTCAAATGCACCCTAAGGGGCAAATCTGCCCCTGGCTGAGAACCACCTTCATAAGGCATGGTCCCCAAAGAAAATAATCAAGAAATTAGGCTTGGAGCAGTTTTCTTCGGTTGGTTCTTACTGCACAGCAAGGCAAAGAAGGCCCTGCTAAACTGTTGGTTCTTGACCTTTATGTACCAAGCATTCCTGGGGGATCTGGAACTCCCTGGCTCATCCTCTCTATTTGCTGGATTAATGGGATACAGACAGTTTAAGTGACTTGGCAGGAGAAGGACATTCTGTTTTATTCTCCTCATTTTATTACACTCCTGACAACGAATTCTTAACATTTGCCTTATATGTTCTGCTCCCTATCATTATCACAAGATAGATTAGTTGGCGGGGGGAGGGGAGGGAAACCAATATATGCAAAATTGCTTTGAAACCTGCAGGCACCAGAGTAATGCCAGGTGTCATCATTCATCCTACTCCTGAGCCTCTGAAGCCAGGGGTTTCTTGAGGTTATAAAAGTGGTTTTTTTAGGGGGGTGACTAGTCAAGCACTCCAAAGAACTCCAGAGTGGTCAGTTTTGATCACACAGATGGCCAATTTTTACCCAGTCTGTTAGCCTTTTAACAACACACAGTGTTGCGTGGAGACCCACTTGTGTATGGGTCTTCAACGATGGGTGGAGACCCAGGGCTCAGCTCTACTCTTCTGCTCTGGAGAACTTTCTCTTTGTTTTCTTGGGTGGTGCAAGACCTACTTCACTGAAAGAAAATGTGTTGTTGGTGTGAGAGGTACTGCTAAGTGGAAATTATTAAAGGATGAATTCCTTATGTCTGTGAAAGATTTCTCCGCCTTGGCACTCTAGACATTTGGGACCAGAACTTTCTTTGTTGTGAAGGCCGTCCTGTGCAGTGCAGGATGTTTAGCAGCATCTCTGGTCTCCACCCACTGGATGCAAGTGACACCCTTCCCCTGCAGTTGTGGCAGCCAAAGATAGCTTCAGATATTGCCAAGTTTCTCCTCAGTGGCAAAATTTCCCCTGTTGAGAATCACTGGCCTAGGAGGTGTGGATGGGACACCAGCAATCTAATGAATGGGCCTGATTTGTCAAAAAGAATCTCCACCTTGAAACATACTGGAATGACCTGCAAAGAGATTGGGGTCAACTACCATTTACATCTCAACTCCACCATTTATTAGGTATGCAAAACAGGTTAATTAACCTCATAAATAAAATTAAGATAGTCATACTTTCCTTCCCAGTTGTTCTGAGGATCCAGATGTTTGCAAAGCATCTAGTTGAGCCTGTGATGTAGGTGCTTAATGAATAGTGGAATTGTTACCATTTCAAACAATAATTCTAGCACCTGCGGTGTTGGCGTTGTCATGGGAATTCTGCAGGCTTTAGACAACTGAAACACTGTGCAACTGTGCAGAAGAAAGGAGATTATGATCAGAGGAATGAAGGCAATAGACTAACATTAGATTATGGATATAAATGAAAAATCATTTCTTAATTCCCAAATGGTTATTTGGAAAGTCGTAGCTGGAGAAATTGCGGCCTCTCCTTTTTGCCTAATGACCCTTGAATAGAACATATATATTAGAAATGTCTCTTTTTAGGCACTTTTTAAGGATACCCTCCCTGGCTCTGTGGCATGGAGTAGAAATTCTTCAGTGAAAATATCAAAACGGCAAAAAACAAGATAAACCAATAATACCAAATAGAACCTACTGTAATGGTCATTTATTTCCTCACCCTTCCTCACTTGTTTTCTTTCCCTGAATTCTCGGATTATCATATTCTCGACTCCAATTGATGCATAACTTTATGATATTCTTTGTACTAGGGTTTGAGGCCAAAGACAATGGTACTATGCTGTGCCAGGATGTTCTCCTCTCTCTTCTCCATCTCTCCTATGTGACTGCAGCTCCAGCTGCAGGAATTCCTCCTTCACTGGTCTTCAGCCCAGCTGTCTTCAGGCTGGGGGTTGTCTCCTTAAACTTACCTGGAAAAAGGAATGAGAACCTTCATTCTTCCTTAGATTTCTTCTATCTCCATATCCCTGGAAGGGTTAAGAGGGTGGGAAGAAATTATGGCTATAGAGTAAAATGATAATTCCTGAAATGGCATATATGTTTACAGTTATCAGGCTGAGATTTTACCCCCACTTTGCTGAAATTCTGCCTAATGAGATGTCCTCCCTCAAAAGCACATTCAGTGTATCCATTGCTCCTGTCTGTGCGTGTGGGTGAAGTCGGCCTTATCACTGCCAATGCCAGGGCCTTAGCAGGGCTGGTAGGTCCTTCACTTACAGGAGACACATGATTTCAGCCAAGGAGGGCCTTAAGCTGCTACTCCAGCTCTCCTTTCTGATCCTGGAGTTTGATTTCCTTAATTTCATCTTTGTAGCCCCATGAAAAAGACTTAAAAAAGAGACAACTCTAAACTGTGTTCAGTCTTCATATAAACTGTGTTCAGTCTGTTTATACAATAGTGTAAATAAAGATTCTAATTAATACAGTTTGGAAAACTGTTAGGCATTGTCTAGTAAAGTTGAAGATATGCATGCCTATGACCCAGCAATTATATTCCTGGGTTTGGACCCTATAAAAATGCATGCACATATGCACAAGGAGATATGTATAATGATGTTCAAGCAGTGTGGTTTTCAGTGGTCCAAGATTGAAAAGGACATAAATGTCCATCAACAGTTACAAAGATAAATAGTAATAAACACATATAATGGAGTACTAGACAGCAATTGGAATGAACAAACAACAGCTACATACAGCAAACATGGATGAACCTCAGAAACGGAATGTTGAGCAAAAGAAGTCAGCTATAATAAAAACATACTTATGAATCTGTTTACATAAAGTTAGGAAACAGGCAACACTAAGCTCTAATATTTATGGATGCCTGACTTCCTAAAAGGCAGTGGATTTCAACCAGGGGTGATTATGCCTTTCCCCACTCCCTGGGGGACATCTGCAATATCTAGAGTCATCTTTGGTTGCCACAATTGGCGTAGGGGGAATAATACTGGCATGTAGTGGGTAGAGGCTGGGGATGATGCAAAACATTCTGCAATGTCCAGCCTCTACCATAAAGAATGATTGGTTCCCAAATGTCAAGAGTGCTGGGGTTGAGAAACCCTGCTGTAAAAGGGAAGTGAAGAAGTGAAGTCATGACAGTGTCTACCACTGGGATGGAGGAGGGAAATACAGCCAAGGGACATGGGGGTCTAGGGTACTAGCAATATTTTAATTTTTGACCTCAGTGAAGGTTAGACAGGTGAATGTTTTGTAACAATTCATTAAGCTGCACATTATATGCTATTGATTTTTCCATTTCAAAATGTTAAAAATACTCCAGGGGCTAGATTAACAGGACAATAGGATGGCATAGTGTGGGCACTGGGTTTGGGGGAGGGGATTCCCCATCTTAGAGGGTCTCATAGTAACTCTGTTAACAATGGTGGGGCTGGGCCTTCAAGAAGGGCCTGTCCTGCCATCTGAAGTGATTTTTAGTACTCAGATGGGCCCTCAGCTCTTCCTACACTCTGAAGTTGAATTTGCTTCCACAGATTTGGGTAAAGTTTTTCTGAAAAAAGTAATCACCCTTGCATTGGCATTAACTGTGGAAAATTTTAACTCAGCCTATAGGCAGGCAGAATAAATGCAAACAAGTATTTTAATTTAAATGCTCTGGCAGAAAGGGCAGCATTCAGTTCTGGAAATGCTGTAATGTTTAGGGACAGGAAGACATGGAAATTCCACAGTTAGCAGGGCACGTTTTCTCTTAAAGGTGATGCTAGTAGAGTAACTCATACAGATTATTTTTAAGTCCTCTCTGGGGTGAATGATAAACATCAGATAAATTTATTATTTTTTAAAAAAGAAAAACAAACAAAAAAGAACATTAGCCTAGCAGGCTCTTAACCAACAAATTGGATGAACTTCAGCCTCCTCTGAAGTGAGGTTTTATGTGCTTCTTGCTGCCTTTTTATCTCTCTCCATTACCCCAAAGGATCAAATGTGCATTTTAAAACCACATGCCATGTCAATATACAGTTTAGTTGACCTAGAACAATACCTGTGCATAGTATGCACTTAAAAATATTTATAAAGTGTGGAATGATAGACAATGGACACTCAGAAGGGCAGTGGGGTGGATGATGGTGAATTACTTAATGGGCACAATGTACATTCTTCTGGTGATGGATACCCTAAAAGCCCTGACTTCATCACCACACAATCTATCCATGTAATGAAATTACACTGTTACCCCATACATTTATACAAATTAAAATTTAAAATTTAAAATAATATTTGTTGAATAATGACCAAGTGAACAAATAACATGGGAAGGATACTTGGAAGTAGAGATATGCAAATAAGAAATTTTGATTAGAGTGGTGTTTTAAATATACCCTGAAATATATTTAAATGAAATAATGAATAATGTGTGAAATTCAAATTGTTTAAGATTGAACAGACTTCTTAGAGTTCTGCATGATCTTCTAGATCCTTTCTGGAGCTTTGAGCCTTACACAATTGGACTAAGAATTGAAGGAGGTGGATGATTCATTCCAAGGTGATTTAAGAGTCTTGCAGCATGAACTGATCATTTCTTTAGGTGCTTTGCCCAATCTCACAAACTCTTCAAACACAGAGAAAAAACAATCCTATTGCACTTGAACATTTTACTCCAACTTAGCTATGACACTTTAGCAATAAATAATGCTAGAAGGCAGAAGTCATTCCTAAAATGTAAGTACACAGTGTGGGGCTGATGGAGTATTTTTGGCTTACAAGAATGTCATTTAGTGACTTACTACATTTTTGAAAGAAAGAATACAAACCAAATCCAGGATGACCCAGTTTTAAGAGGTGACTTACTCAGGGGTAATGATCAAAAGGCTATGGTTAAGGTTTTAAGACCCAGGGATCCACCTTGTGTTGTTTAAATATATTCATAATTAAATAGTATTTGTAGGGAAAGGGATTTTTAGCTTCAGGGGCTTAAAGGCAAGCGTGATGGAAGAAAAAGTCCTAAGGCTGGAGTGTTCACCTTTATGAATAGACCACAGTGAAGTGAAAGTCCCTAAACTGGGGCTTGTCTAGGCCATTGAATTACATCTGTACACACGTGCCCCCATCAGGCTGCCCTGGCTGCAATTCTCTGAAAGATGCCAGATGGTGAAGCTCAAGCTGGTTCTCTGTCTTATTCTGAGGATCTTTGATGACTTTGCTCTAAAGGTTGCTTTTAGCAGCAGAACAGAGTGAGAGTAAAGAGGGAACTTTAGTGTGTCATTTTTCGAGCTCTGCCTGGACATGTCACAGAGCAAGGAAGGCCTCCAAGGTCAATGGGCATGCTCATTTCTCCTACAAAGCAGAAGAAAGGAGACTTGGGTAGATCAGGCTGTGGGAGAATGAAAGACTTGGGCAAATAGTTCAATTGACTTTCTCATAAGACAGGCAACACTGTTTGGAAGTTCCTGGGTTTGGCAAGGGATTGATTTTAAATTTATTTTTATTTTTATTTTTTATTTTTGCAGTATAAAATACATGTAGTGAAGGGTGTAAATTACACTAGTCTGAACTGTACTGCACAGTGAATGTTTACATATGGGTGTACTCTAGTAGCTGCCATACAGATCAAGATATAGATCATTTCCAGCACCCTAGAAGGTTCCCTTGTACCACCTTCCTAGTCAATACCACCTTCCCACTTTGGTAACCACTGTTATGACACCTATTACCATGGATTCCATTTGCCTATTGCACTTAAACATTTGAATTTCAGTTGCAGAATAAATAAGTGAAATCTTACAGTATGTACACTTGTGTCTGATTTCTTTCTCCCAACATAATGTTTGTGAGATTAATCCATTTGTTCTGTGCATCAGTAGCATTTTCCTTTTTATTGCTGAATAGTATTCCATCATGTGCACAGACTACAGTTGGTTTGTCATGCATCAGTTGGTGTACATTTGGATCGCTTTTATTTGGGGCAATTATGCCTCAACACAGTATGAGCATTCTGGTATATGATGAGATTATTGTACTCTGTATATCTAGGGGTGGAATTTGCTGGATTGGAAGGTAGGCCTATGATTGACTTTAGCAGATATAACCATCCAGTTTTCCAGGTGGATAAACTGTCATGGGACTATCTAATGGTAGATTCCTCAGGCCACTTGCACCCCTGGCTTCACATTCCCACTGCTAATTATAATTATGCTGTGATTGTTTTAAAATATTACATGCCAGTGGATGGTTCATTCAACTAAATTGTAAGGGCTGAAATTCCGGGGCCACATCCAACTTTCCTCCCCTCTCCTCCCCTCTCCTCTTACACAGAGCAAGTGGAGAGTCATTCAGCCGGTTCAGTACAGTGGGACCCTGACAAACTGGCACAAGCTACCCCCAAGCACATCTTCCACTTTGTAGCCACCCCTCTGGGGCTTGCATTGATTGATTCATGAGTCTGGAGTCTCTACTCTGGCCCCAGGCCTGGCCTTCCTCTGGGCTCAACTTGTGGGAGGCTGGACGTAAATTACAGAAGGACAAGGCTGTGGAGGGAACTCGCTGATCTTCTCCAAGGTGTTTTAAAGTGCAGGTTTCCATGAGGGGATTTCAGAGCAGAGGCCAGTTTTAAGGGTTATTGTGAACCTACAGAATGTGCCCTGCAAGCCCCCCTGGAACTCGGGTCACCCTAAGTGACCAGCATCCTGGGCAGCCTTGTCCCCGCAGCAGTTCTCCTGGGTAGCATGACTTGGTTCCTCTCAGTCCTGCCCTCCCCAAGGGTCCCCACAATTTGAGACTCTCACAGAAGAAGGCTTTCTAGAAAGGGAAACTCTGCCCTCCCAGGAGAAGGCTCTGAATCTCCTTCCACTGTCAGGCCCACACCTCCTTCAAAGTTAGTGAAAGTCTCTCTTTCTTGGAAACCCAAGTTCGCCTTCTCGCTGGCATTAAAGGCTTTGGCAGTCCCCGCCTCAGCAGCCGGGGTCCCACGGGTCCGGGGAGGGTGGGGTGGCAGGAGGCAGGCGTGCCGGCCAGCCTGACACCTGTCGTGGGCGCGTTCGGCCTCCGCAGCCCCCAACAGCTGTCAGCGGCGGCGGCCGCCGGAGGGACCCGCCAGGAGCGGAAGGAATTAAACGCCCGCCCATCGCATCAGACTCGGCCGCTCCCTCCTCCTCCTCCTCCTCCTCCTCCTCCTCCTCCTCCTCCTCCTCCTCTTCCCCCTCCCCCTTCGCGCCGCTGCCTTCTCCAGGTCCCCACCGGCTCCGCAGCGGCAGCGGGACGCTGTGCCAGGGGCGCTTTGCACAGCACTCGGCACGCACGGAGCAGGGCTCGCGCCCAGGGGCTGCCCCAGGATGGCAGTGAAGTGCGGGGAACTCAGAGAGACACCGTGACCCCAGGCTGAGCCCAAGGCGCGCCACTCCTCCCGGAGGCGACATGGGGCACCCGGTGTACCGCGGCGAGAAGCCCCAGCTGCACTACGCGGTGAGTGTCCTGACGCGTGCAGAGGACACAGGGGGCGCCACTGGGCCGCTCCGGGTGGGGACTGCGAGGGGCGATGGTAGTCGGGGCTCCCCACAGGTCCACGGCTGAGGGGGTGGCGGGTGGCCGGGTACGTCACCCCGAAGTGCCACCTGCTCACTAACTCAGTGGCGCTTCCCGAAATCTTTTAGAAGGTACAGGGGAGCCCCAACCCTGAATTCAGTGTTTCTTTGCCCCAACGCTGTGGTCACTGCATCTGGGACGGGGCTGGACTCCGCCACCACCTCGCTGACAAAGGCTGACAAATGGGGTTCCTGGGGTTAGGCCTAGGTCGCTCATTCAGCCTTCAGTCAGATATGTTGAAAGGACGAGAATAAGACTGGACAGGAGGCAGGGCCGCTTCATGATCTCAGTGTGCGGCGAGTGGATTTGCTGAAGAAATGCTGCCGGGAGCGTTGGGGTGCAGCCGTTTCACTCCTTAGAAAGGGAGTGCATTTCCCTCCTACTTTGTGGCGGGACAGAATGTTGCACATTATCATTAATGTTGCACGCTAATACAAGAGAATACCAGGGGCTCTTCTGTCGTACCTTCCCCCTCCCTTATGGTGGCTTCTGTTCTCCCTGTTGATACAAAGATTTACTGGGGACCTACTGTGTGCCAGGGACTGCGCTAGGTGCTGCAGGTACTGCAGGAAACACAACAGAGAGAAAGCTCATGGGATTTGCCTTCTTTGAAGAAGGAGTCAAGATTTTAAGGTTAACGACCGACCAAATCCAGATACTAGATGAGTATATTCTTTGAGAGAGAGAAAAGAAAGGAAAGAAGGAAAAAAGGAAAGTTGTTTCTGAGGAATGACTACTACTTCTGAAGATTTCAAATGCCCCCTCCAGGAAGGGGGCAGGGAGAAGGTTTACCTTATTCCAGTCTTCAGACATTGATTTTCCACGTGTGAGATGTGTCGTTTTGAGATGAGACACTGCAGTTGTTCTGTCATCTGCTAATTTACTGAGTTTTCCTTGAATTGATTTGCACTGTTGAGACTGGACGTTCTGACTGCCAACTTTAAAAATTGGAGAGAAGCAGGCAGAGAGTTGACAAGAATCATTAATATTTATAATCAGGCAAAGACAGTTAACTGTCTGGAATTCGTGTCTTCCAAAATCCAGTCCCCAACATAAAAAAAAAAAAAATTGTTTTTTTGAAGAAAGGAGTAGAGGTGGACAGGGGTGGTGGACTCAGGCATCCCGGAGCTGCTCCAGTTGGTTCCTGGTGTCACCTCGGGGCTCCTGGATTAATTGCAGGGCCATTGGGCAAATTGCACACCTCGTACACTTCGCTTTCCTCCACTGGAAAAATGAAGACCTGAATTAGGAAATTGTTAAGATACCTTCCCAGGCAAACGTTCCAGGAACCTGTAACAGCTCTTTCTCTGGTTTTTCTATAGTTACTTGTCTTGAAACACCAAATGAGATACTTGTAAGTTACTAATGCTCGTTCATCTGTCTTGGAGACACCGGTGGCTCAGTGATTTGCCTTTTAAAGTAGTTTAAAGGGTAACCACTTTTCAACAGAGGTTGCTTTACACTGAAGGAAGTAGAGTCTGTGCTCATTGTGCCCATTCAACATCTCCACCCCACCACCTTTTTGAACTGTGTGCTGGTACCCTTTGATTCATGATCTGAGGTCTTTGCCATTTGCAAGAGTGCGGGTGGGGGAGGAAAGGTGAGAACGGGCTCCTTAATTTTAAAAAAATCTATTCATTCAATGAATGGTTATTGCCTCAATTATGTAAATATATTACAAAAATATTTTAAAATTGTCATTTAATTAGGCTGTCTGATTCTTCTAAAATCATAAACTGAAGAGTCAAGCCGATGCTAATGTCCCCTCTTGGGGCTCTGAAGACTGCTGATGAAATAGCCCTTTATTCTAGTACAGATTATCATGTATGTATATTCTGGTTTAAGACTATAAAAAGGAAGATTCCAGAGGGAATTTGTTGGGATTCCAGGTTGGAATAAGTCACCCGGGCTCTCTGAAGTTTCCTATGCATACTTTAGGATGAGAAAGCAGCAGCTCTGAATCAGTCACGTGTCCAGAGAATGTTCTTTATTAAGTGCGACCCATTGTTTTTCATATTAGTATAACCCTTGGTGGTATAATATCTATTCTAACGCTGCACTTTTGTTTACTTCCCTCATTTGGGTTTTGATAATTCCAGAGCTTGTTTTGCCGTTTAGCACAAATATTCCACTTACTTTGCTCAACAGGGTTTTGTCCCACTGTGCATTTTCCTGTGATCTTGGGTTTTTTTTGGGTCTGTCTTCCTTGACATGAATGACCCTCCATGTGTCCTTAATACCTCCTGCCTCCTCTGAAATATAATTCGGGGATAAGTATGTAATGCTCTTCCTTCAGTGCTTTTTCGTTTGTCCAAGGTGAGACTGCATATAAGAGGTCAGTGGCTCACATTTGATTCATTCAATAAACATTTGTTGAATGCCTGTTGTGTTCCAGGTATTTGGTCAATTTTCCAAAGAGACAGTTAGATAGTGAAAATGTTAGGAGTTGCTATGGACATCTCACTCATCTTTTTAAATGGTCATAATGGTCACAGAGAGCAAAATGCAATTAACTAGACAAGAACATCCTCCATTTACATAAACAGACATTTTCAAAGTATAATACAACTGTCTTCTTGCTTTATCATCACACACAGAAAATAATGTGTGTTAGCAGCTAATGTTCTCCTCAAAAAATTTCCTCCTACAGTTTTCCCACGTTCAGATTATGGTGACTCCGTCCTTCCAGCTGGGTGTTGTCCTTGATGCCTTTTGGTGACTGAATCAGATTTACATTTTGAAATGATCCCAGTATGGAGTGAGGATGAGGAGGAGCTAGAGTGCATCCTGGTATTTGGGCCTGGGAGAGATTCGAGAAGATGACTGATGCTAGGGTGGCAGCTGGGTAGGAGGTTGAGAGCAGTTGGCATATTGGAGAGATGCTTAGAACATAGAACCTGTCAGACTTAGTTTGGATGGGATAAAGAGGTGATAGAGTATGAAGGATGAGGATGACATGAATGAATCAATGATTTTCTGGCAGCATTTCTAGAGAAGCTCTTGAAGTTTATATAATAAGCAAATAGTCATAATGATATTTCCCTCCTTGTTACTGTCTTATACAGATTGCAAAATATTTGAACACAGTCTAGGTCAATTTCAGTCTGAAATCCAATTGCTGCCTTATGCAGGTTTTCTGTTTCCTGATTGAAGAAATCTAAGCTCAGAACAGTAGAATTCAAGGCAGCACATGTGTCGCTGCTGACAGAACTGAGAGCTTTATCCAGGTGCCCTGATCCTGCAGTGCTCTTCTGAGTCATTTAGACAATGAGGATAGTCGAACCTAATCATCCCTCTGCGATCCACTTTGCCACAGTAATAAACCAACAACCAAATGTTGGACCTTCAGTGACTTAATGTGACTATCTGTATTGTCAAATTGCATGGCCAAATAGCTTTTAAATTTGACTAGTGTAGACAAAAACTAAAAATTTAAGTATCCATTAAGTTCAATGCAATATCTTTATGTCTTTCTGAAAGACACTAAAAAAAATCTGGATTAAAAGCTTGGCCTTGTGACTTACTGGGGACCTTAGGAGGCTCAAGCTCTTCTCTCCTGGTGCCCCAACCTGTCTTTACCCTCAAGTGGGGCAGAGAAAAGCAAATCAGTGTCCATTATACAGTCACCATCAGGAATCCCTGGACTGACATCATTCATTTCTCTCTCGCTGGCAGGTTGAAAACTTGCTGGGAGTAGTACTATGTGTGTCTTGTCCCTGCTGTCACCTGGACACCTAGCAGAGTGCTGGAAGCACAGTAGGTGCTCAGTAGAAATGTGTTGAATGACTTCATGAATCTAGTAGTTGAGACCTAGTTTTTGAGGTCCTAAGCTGCTCATTCTCCTTCCTTGTACTGGTCTAGTCTGAGCTCCTCTGCTGCTGATGTCACTTCCTGTTTGGTGTGGTCACTGCACCATCTGTGCTTTTGACCACAGCCTTGTAATCAGATGCTGACTCTGCCCTTGCTCCAGTTAACCCCTTCCTAAGGAACTCACCAGAAGTGCCAAGCTGCTTACCCTGACAGAGAACCTGTTTTCACATAGAATGGAAACTATGAAAGTTTCCACGTTTGTTCTCTATGAACATTCAATTTTCAAAGACTTTGAAGTCATTAAGTTTGCTTAATAATTGAGTGGTATTGAATACAGGATACTCTCTGGTAATTCTGAAGATGCCCAGAACTGGGCGCCGTTGCAGGCCTATGCTGATATGAATCAGTTATCATCCATCGGTGCTAACAGTGTAGACATCTTAGGAAACTCAGCAGAACTTATACTGACCTGTGGCATGGCCCAGAACTTACTTTTATAAAACCATTTTTATATTACTCTGGTTGTCATTTGTCTCCTCATAAAAGCAAAATTTTTTCAACTTACAAATATGTGAGAGATTATTGAATCCTCTTAATTGACACCTCTACTAATTGTAGATACCTTTTCTACTCCCACCCCCAACCTGGCATGCTTACTTTTCTGCTGCATGCAGAAATTTTCCTGGATGAGGCCTCTTTGGTGTGGAAGCCCCATCATCTTAGGAAGCTACATCTCCCCTCCTTCAAACCACTCATTAAGTACCACTACTAATTGATAAAAAATCAGATTCCTGTTGGATGTTGCATAGCAGACATCTCTGCCAATCATTTGAAAACAATTACCACCCTTTGCCTAGTCCTTTCTGGTGATGAACTTTTATTATTTACTTTTCCTGTTCCCACATTGTGATAACCCTGGACCACACACACATGACTCTCAACTTGGTTGTGAAATTATTGTCCAGTCATACAAAGTCTTCATTGGGTTCTTGATTCCTCACTTCCCTGTCACCTGTTTCATTCTCAGACTTTCCCATCTCAGTGAGTGGTTGGCTGTCCCTATGGCCAGTGCAATCTTTTTAAAAGGTAATGAAATAGTGACATTTCAGTGCTTAAGCTCTTTGGTTGGTTTCCATTCCACTTAGAATAATAGCTTCATCCATGACCTTGACCTTCCAAGTGCTCCTTACATGGTCTTCTCTGCCTCATACCACACCCCACTCCACAAGCTTATCATTGCCTGGCCACATCTGTGCCCTTTCTGTTCCTCAAATGCGACCAGTTCTTTTCTGCCCCAAGCCTTTGTACTTGCTGTCCCTTCTGCCTGGAATGTCCTCTGTGTGATAGGCTTTTTTTTTTTACATCCTTCAAATTGCAGGAAAAATGTCGCCTTTCCTGACTGCTTTCTCTGAAGTGTTTCTGAGCCCACTCAGTTACCCTGGATCATATCACACTAGCCACTTCCCTCATTGTTCACATCACCACTTGGTATTATATTATATATTCATTGTTTGTCTGTCTCCTCTGACTAGTGTGTAAGTTTATTCAGGGCAAGGACCCAATGATCCTTTCCCACTGTCTTTCCACTGCCTTAGAGCAGGTCCTGGCACAGGGTAGGCATACAATAAATATTTATGAGAACATGAATCTGGCTGCCTGTGTATTTTTCCCTAGGTTACGCTAGGACTTTCCAAACTTAACCCTTTATTAGTTGATGATTGAGGTCAGAGGGAGAGACGAGACTAAAAATTAGCTTTCCAGTTTCACTGAATTCTTACTAAACGAGAATCTCTAAGGACCAGACTTGGAATCAATCCTTTGAAAAAGCTTTGGGGGTGGTTCCAATATCAGCTGGGTTTGGCAAACACTGATTAATTTACACGGTGAACCACTTACTACTCAAGCAGCCCCTACAAAATGTAGGATTCAGCAGCAAAGTAGATTCAGAAAGTGCAATACAATACTTCACCTCAGCTGACTCTGAGGTAATCTAGTACAAGTTTTCAGAGCAGTCCTTTGTTTTACCACCCAGTGTTCATTTCAGCCAAACTCTCTAATGATACAAAAGGTATAGGAATACTTCCTCTATATAATGTCATCTGGCAATATGTCCCTCGGTATCCATATTCTAGGTAAAATCGACCAGTGGTTCTGAACCAGAGGACCCTGGGCAATGTCTGGAGGCACTTTTGGTTATCATAACTGGCAGGGGTTGCCACAGGCATCTATTAAGTAGAGACCTGACATGTTGCTGAACATCCTACAAAGCACAACACAACCCAACAAGGAGTTGTCCAGCCTCAAATGTCAATAGTGCTGAGACAGAGAAACCCTGACTTAATTGTATCTCAGTAGATATCAAAATCTTAAATGTTTTTGAGAACAATTTTGTATGGCACTTTCTAAAATACATTATTCGTAGTTTCTTGGGTTTTCAGAGATAGAGGTGAGAAAATGTGAGTGAGCTTCCCTGGCTGTGAGTCACAGTTATGAACAGTGTGTTTCATACTGTGTGGGGATTACTCTGGAGAGGGTGTTGGTGGTCCTTCCAGAAGCCTCAGCATCTTGGGCTTTTTGTTTCTTCACTCCTCAATGCCAAAGCCCTTCCTAATCTTGGGTTAAAAAAATGTTTACTGTCTTCTCTCTCATGTCAGACATTAGCTAACTTCTTCCTTTATGACCGTCTAACAGCCTTGCCTAATTTGCCACCTCTCTTCTGATTTAGCCAGAATACCCGTTTAACAAATGTGTTAATCGTGGGCCTAAAATTAGAAGTTATAATCTCCAAATGAGGATGTGTGGAGTGCTCAGCAGCCTTGGTGTGTGGATGTGGGATCTGCATCTGTATGAAAGTGAGAAACTAGAGTGCCTGCTTCTGTCCCTACTCCTTGAGGATAATGACACAGACCGGCCTGCTCTGGGGAAAAGGGAAGAGTTGCTGAAAGAAAAGCCAAAGGAAAGAGGGAGGGAAACAGTGGCTCCCAGCGTTTCTCTCTCAATCACATCAGGGTTCAAAATCTCCTGAGCAGCCCAGGGTGGCAGGCGGGTTTGTGGCCTACCTGTTCTCCCATTGAATTGCAGAGCCCGTTCTTAACTCCTGGCCATGTCACTGCATGTCCATTAGCATGGTCTGTTTTAGATTGTGAGTTACGAGATGATGGGGAGGGTGGGGATAGATTTAACGGTCTTGGGTGCTTGCCACATTTTGGACTGAGACCACTGTTTACAAACACAATTAATTAATTTAATATCTTTTAATGTACTTTCTGTTCTCAGGTTTTCTCATTCTAACCTTATTTTCAAAAGACCAATTTTTCTGATTTATTTTATTCTTAAATATACCCTGAATACTTAAAAACGTAAAGGTAGATCCAGTGATGCAACAAGGACTCCCACCAGTCATTATGTGGTACTGCTTTCACTATCTTTGTGGTGACTACTTGGATGTGAATATGGGATACTTTTCAATACAAGAAACATATACAAAATATAAGCCAAATTTTTTCATTCAAATACAGTTACTGTTACTGAAGACTCTTCCACTTCCAATTTCCTTGAAAGATGCCATGACTCTTTCAAATGAAAACCTGTCAGGCTTGTTCTCCTCTTCTCTTCGGATACTTGTCATTTTCTTAGAACTTTTCTAACATAAAAAAAAATCTTATAGTAAAATTTGAGTGTTTGGGATGTCAGCTAAATTAGATTTCTGAAATAACAATTTTAGAAGAATTTGGAGTTGTGGCTTTAGAGAAAAGTTGCCATGGCAACAGCAACAGAAGTAGTTTAGATGAATAAACTTTTAACATATTTTTGAATGACCCCTTTCTGCAGTTGACTGAAATATCTGGTAAAGAAATGTATAAGCCAGTCCAAGTGCAATACAGAGGCTAAAAGCATCTCAGCACTTTGTGGAGCACGTGGGCTCCATATTTGCCAAGCATCTCTGTGCCAGGTGGGTGCCTCTCCACATGGGCACAAATCCCTGGACATTGCTCTAGGTTCCTAGCTTGGTGATGCCATGTTAATTAGACCCACAGATGAATAATAGATTAGCAAGGGTATGGAACATTGAGTTTGCTAGAATGATTTGAAAATGGTAACATAACACATAGTATTATTTCTGTGGGTATCTATGCACATGACTTTCAACAGTTCCATTCATGTTAAGATGCCATTTCGATGGTCTGAGCAAAATGCAAAACACGGTCTTAACTTTTATCTCAAAAGTTAAGGCATCCTCCCACATTAGCTACTGATTCACAGTCAAGGGCTTTGTGTCGATCAGGATCCAAACAGGAAACAGATAAATCACTCAAAAGGCTTAATTTGAGGAATGAACTACGCCAATGTGTTGACAGGTTTAAAGGAACCAACGGTGAGTGGTGAAGCACCCAGCAATTAGCAACACTGAGAAGCTGTTACCAGGGAGGGACCAGCGTTACCAGAGCCCACTGACTTGCAGCCTTGGCTGGAAGGGACCCTGGCAATGTGTCCAGAGAAGACTCCAGCAAGGGCAAAATACAGAGAAGCAGGGATAGACTGGAACAGTAAATACTCTGACTTCTTGGTCTCCCTGTTCTCCATCTCCTTCTGGGCCCAAGCCCAGCCAATCCAGTGAGACCAGCACAGAGAAGGGCAGAACATTTTATTTCCTATTTTTGTTGAGGGCTGGCGGGAGGGGGGGTCGGTGTTGACAAACATAAAATATCATTACAAGCATTTTCAGTCTTGTTTGGGGTTTGCTTACATTTATGAAAGACCTTAAATTCCTAAGTATATAGAAGTCTCCCAAATTGCTTCAAATGTCTCTTTCTTCCACACTGTAGATTATTTTGACTACCACATTTAAAGTACTCAGGTGCTATGCCAGCTCCATCCATACGTGGTGTGCTTGCTTTTAAGGATTTTTATATCACAAACCTATTAAAGCATTTAGTAGAGAGTGATATATTCTACGTATATTTTGTCATTAATCTAATATTGGAAAGTTCATTACTTTAAAGTGCCCTGGTCTAAATTTATTAGTATTTATTAATATAATTCAAAATATGTAAATGTATTAATATAGACTACAATTAGATTTTTTTTCCCTCTAAGCCCATTAGGATAGTCTAATGTAATTTCCTTGCCAAACAAAGAAAAAGGAAGATTTGGTTTGGCTTTTTTTCTGGTTGATGGGTAAAGGGTTTTAACTCTTAAAATTGCACATCAACACAAATGGTCTAACCTGTGCTTGACTGAAAGGCAATTTTCATTTATCTCTGCTGGTCAAGGAATGGTTGCAGCTAAGTATTGCAGTTAAACCGCCCTGTACCCCAGTAAATTTTAGCAGAGAGAAAACTCTCATTTCAACCTGGACTGCAGAAAGTACCTCTTATTCTTAAGTTAGTTCCTCCTTGAGTCTTCTGTGCACCCACTTTCATAAATATTCATCCTGCTTCTTTGGAGACCATATTCACAACAGAACCAGAAAATCCAAAAGGACGCAGACCAGAACCAGGGACTATATTGTGTGTGACTCAATGCTTGGCCATTTATAGCATGTGCCTGATGCTTAGTATGTACTTGAGTGTCAATGAAATTAATCAGTGATTTAAAGCTCTCAGAAATATTTAGTCTGACTTAGAGTAATAATAATAGCCAATATTTATTGAATGCTCTCTATGAGTCCTGCTTATTCTACATATATTATCTCACTTAATCCTTAAAATAACCCTGTGAGATAGGTCCTATTATCCTCATTTAAAAGATGAGGAAACCAAAGCTCTGACCTTATGTCTGTTTCAGGGCCACACAGCTAGTACGTAGTGGGGCTGGGACTCAAATCCTTGTCTCTTAATTTGATTGCCAAGTCTGCATGCTTGAATCACTGTGCAGTGGGTGATTGTTGACATGCCATTGGCTTAAGGTGATACCTTTGAGGTAATACTTTTTAAAGCCTTTCATTTTGTAATAATTGAAGACTTATAAGAACTTGCAAAAATAGTACTGAGAGGTCCCATGTACCCCTTATCTAGCTTCTCTCAATGGTAGCATCTTATTTACACAATATCAAAACCATGAAGCTGACATTGGGACAATCCTATTAACTAGACTACAGATTCTCATTTTACCAGGTTTTTACATGCATTCTTTTATGTATGTATATATGCGTGCAGTTCTGTGCAATTTTATTACCTGTACAGACTGGCATATCCACTACCGCATTCAAAATACACAGCTGGTCCATCACCGCAAAAGCACTCCCCCCATGCTACCCCTTTGTATTCACATCCACCCTACTCCTGCCCTCATCCTGAATCTGGGCTACCACTGAACTGTCTCCATAAGATGACACATTTTAAATTCTTCCTCCTGTTCTTGCTGCACGGTGGAAACATTCCTGTCTCCATTGATTATTTACACCCAAAGCATCCATAAACATAACAGAAGAAAGTATGGTGAATTGATAGGGAGATCAGAGAGGATTTTGGTGTGTCCTTGTTGTCAGCAATGCATATATATGTATGTGTATATATATATATATATATATATATATATATATATATATATATATATGTACACACCCATATAAAGAACATCCTGTTTGTTATTTTTAGTTGAGGGTTTGAGGGTTGTGGTAATTTTATAATTCCAACACCTGTGTTTTCACTAGCAAACTGCTTTTGATTGAAACACGGCAGAGTTTATCTCCTGCGTAAATGCGGCACACTCCCTCTTTGCATGGCTGTTCTAACGGCACATCCATTTCTGGACCGACAACCGCGTGACTGAACTTGCAGCAGCCTGGAAAAGGTACATGAGAGCTGGCACTCTGCCCTTGTCAGGGTTTTCCAAAAGTATTTACGAACAAGGATAAACACGAGTCCTGCATGGATTTGAGGTAGCCATGACCGAGCTGGGCTCTGGGCAGCACAACAGTTACGTAAACCTTGGCATTCATGGCACACATGCATTTTTATTCATCCATTTCAAAGGGAGTGGCCGTTCGTAGACCTCTCTTGGGGAAAGGTTTGAACCTTATCATGATGAACTGGTTCAAAAAATCCTTAATAGCTGTTTTTATTCAGGATTGCTGAAGAGTGAAACCTTATCATCGGGACACAGTTAGAAAGACTTCCTGCATTTATTTGGTGCTCACTATTTTAAAAAAGGTGTCCAAACTGCTGATGCTGTCTGATTCTGCAAACATAGGCAAACTTACTAGATACTTCACATATTTCAGTTTTACCATATGATTATGACTTGATATTTATTAGAAAGGAAGAACATTTTTTAAATGTAGTCATACTGAGCCCAACTCTTGCTTTTAATGCAATTTAATTGCATTAAAATTAGACAGGTAATGTCACCATTACCACGCAGATACTTTGTATCACCCATTGCAAACATCTGTAAAGGATCAAAGGCTCATGTAGTGAGTCTAAGAGGAAACTTGGTTTGAGAATGAGGCCTTCCATGATATTTCTGTGCTGCCGCAGGTGGGGGAGGGCACATTTTTATTTAAGGCGTCATTAGAAAGGAATGAAATATAGAACTCCTAGCATGCATACATATATGCACATAGACACACAAAATCGTACTTTACCTTATAGCTGTGTTGTCTAAAATGTAGAAGTGTGTTTGTATCAGTTAGCTATCACCACACTAATGCTGTGTGACAAGCTACTCTGACATTCAGTGGCATAAAAAAACCATCACGGATCCTAGTGGATCTGTGGGTCGGTTAGGGTTGGCTTAGCTAGACAGAGCTCAGCTGTTTGACCAGAGGCCAAAGTGTCAAGGCTCTTCTGTCAATTCTGTCCCATGTGTATCTATCCTGGGGCCCAGGCTGGCAGCATCTACCCAAAGAAGTTCAGCAATGACAAAGGCACAAGATGGCAAGTGGGATCAACTGAAGACTCTTGAGACGTAGGCAGGAATTTGACACACTATTGTCTCCACCCACCTGCTACTGGCCACAGCAAGTCACATGTAAAAGCCTAACTTCAGTGTGTGGGGAAATGCACTCCTTCCATGATGGGGCTGTGGTAAGGATGTGAAGCAACGAGGGATGAAGAGATGGGGGAATTGATTCACTTTACCTCAGTGTTTAATCAGTTTATCCTGAGAATGCCAATACTTTTAAGAAGGTACAAATCTATCCTGATTTTCTTTTTCTGTTTCGTCAGTGAGTTCTTTCTGTCATGGATGTCAATATCTATGTCATCATGACCCAATTAAATGACAAAAGCAGGGTTTTGAGGTTCTCTCACTGATATCAGTTCCCATAAATCCACAGTGATTGGAGAAAGACTGAGTAGACATTAAGGGAATATAGAAATAGACTGAATGATATTAACATTTAAACAGAATTGCGACACTCGTCCCTGTTTCCTTGTGTGTAGCAGCTCTGGTTCCTCAAACTATCAAAAAGAAACCATTCAGAATCACCTCCCTGGATACTTTTTAAAATTTATTTTTAATTGACAATTAAAAATTAAATATATTTATGATGTACAATATGTTTTGAAATATGTATGCATTGTGGAATGGCTAAATTGAGATAATCAACATATGCATTACTTCACATACTTATTTTTTGTGGTGAGAACACTTAAAATCTATTGTCTTAGCAGTTTTGAAGTATATAATACATTGTTATTAACTATAGTCACCATGTTGAACAAGGAATATGAACTTACTCCTCCTGCCTAACTAAAATTTTGTATCCTTGACCAACATCTCCCTGGAGATTTTTTATCTGCTTCTTTTTACTAGTATCACTTTTAAAAGATTTCTGAATTTAGCTACTGTTTCAAAACCTAGAAGAAATTAAGGATGAGGTGATTTATGAATGAAAGAAAAATATATTAATCCTTTAGGCCAAACACACCAGAGGCAACGTTTGGCAATTAAATTATTAATTTGATCAATTTTGACATGTAAATGGATAAGCTACATTAAAAGCAATGCACTTAAAGTACACACACAGAATCTTGTCTCATTGAAGTTTGAACACCTTCACCATATCTTCCTCTATTATATCAACTTGATTGAACAGTTGCCAAGGCCTGTTTTTTTTTCCAGTTTGCTCTGTACGTGATCATATCTAGTAGACTGTCTGCCATATTACGGTAGCTCAGTTCTTAAATCAGGGGTCAACAAACTATGACCCACAGGCCAAATCCAGACAACTGCCTGCTTTTGTGTCTCCTATGAGCTAAGAATCAGTTTTACATTTTTAGATGGTTGAAAAAAATACCAAAAGAAGAATATCTTATGCCATGTGAACATTTTATGAAATACAGATTTTAGTGTTCATAAATAAAGTTTTATTAGAACACAGCCATGTGCATTTATTGACATATTGTCTTTGGCTGCTTTCACACTATGATAGCAGAGTTCAGTGGTTGGTTGCAATGAACTGCATGGCTTGCAAAGCCTAAAATGTTTACTCTTTGGCCATTTACAGAAAAAGTTTGCCTATCTCTAGTCTAATGCTATGTCTCAAATTACCACAGACACTGTAGATAGGTCTACGTTACATCAGTATGAAGGCAAAAGAAAGGGACACATATTGTTGGTATGGAGGGGAGTGGTGGGTATATTTCAGATAAGGGCAAAATGTCAGTGAACATTCATTGATTCACCAGTATATGTGCAGAACTGGGTATGTGTATAGCGCTAAGGGAAACATTTTTTTAAAAGGTTAGTCTCCAATTTTTACTCTAAGGCTTCCTCTTGAATAAGAAGATGCATCTGCAAGTATAGTGTCTGAAAACTATTTGCCTTGTCCAATCTCTACATCACTGGAAAATGCTTTAAAAATTTTAAGTTAAAAATAGTATATGTTTCATGGTTTATTTTGCAATTATTCTAGGCAGAATAATTTTCATAAACATTGCCATTCTTACCAGTGCGAAAGGGAGACTTAAACTCAGAAAAGTGTCATTTACTCATGGGTTTAAAATGCTAGTTCTTCTTGTGGATGTATCTGAGATTTTTATGTTACTGTATCCAGAACTCCCTCAGAGGCAAGAACATAAAGGGCCTCCAGGAGCTGACTCTAAAAACACCAGTCTCCTGTTCTTTAAACTCCGTGTGGCTTGCTGAGCGCTCAGCCACAAGAGCTGGGGGTGAGCCATCTCTGGGTCCTGCCAATGCAGCCAGTGTTGTGCCAAAGGAAGTAGCCCTGTCTTACACTTTGTGATGTTTCTTTTGGCTGACTCTTCCACATTCTTGTGACCCTTTGAATGAAGACGTCTTAACAGCTTTAGCTCTACACCATGGCCTCCCGCTATCATTTCCTGCAGGTCTTGTCTTAGAGCTCAGCAGCTTCCTGAGTAAATGTCACCTTGGTGTCTTCTAAGAGGGTCTCACTGAGGTTCAAAAAACCATGGCTTCCACCAGATTGAAAGCATAATGTCCACGAGTCTTTGTCTCACTGGACTGTGCAGGAGGATGAACCTGGAATTCTTTTTGGTTTTGAAGCAACGAGTAGGTCGGGGCACAGAACAGAGAACCAGGAAAATGTCTCTGAGGGTGGAAATCAAATGACCCCAGAGGAGGAAATTCCAGTTGAAAATAGAAACCGGGTCAGCACCCTTGTGAGAGCCACAGCATCCTAGACTTGGAAAGTGGCAACCTGTGGCCTGTGAAGGCTGCTATCAGAAGTCCATGGACTGGCCTGAAAAGAGTGTTGTGTTTTATGGCAATCCAAATTGAAACAGGATTTATCTAGCTTCACAGATGTGGTCTGCTGGAGAGTTATGTGGAAATGACTCAATGTCATATATTTGTCACATTGACCAAGGGTTATTTCTTTAGTAGGAAAAGACAATTCGGGAACAATATTTTCTTGAGAACTATGATATATGCATACATGATGGTGGTAGCTTCCAAATTACCATGGTACGAATTCTCTCCATTGATGGTTAAGGGGAAAAGGGTTATTTTGTTGCAGCTGTACAATATCCCTTCATTAATTCAATGAAAAGATCTCAATTAATGATTATTCCTTAAAATGACAGATCTATAATTAACTTGGAAATGCCCACAATATAATCATGTTGCTATGAAAAGTGATGGTTTTTAAACTAGTCTAACATAATTCCGGATTATCTTTAAAGAGAATTTAATGTCTAGAAAAGTTTCTGTAGCTCTAAAAAGCTGCAGAATAGGATGTCATTTTGGGAAGTTTCCCTTGCTTAATTCAGCTTATGATCCAAATTTGAAGGAGACCAGTAGTCCAGGAGTTTTGTCTGCAAATAAAATGAACAATATGTGTTCTAAAGTGTTTTGGATTTTTGTTTTTGGTGGGAGGCTGGTTAGTCATGGAGCAGGGTAGAATTAGTAGCTTTTGGCTTTAATCAGGAAAATATCACATGGTGTTAAAGTGCTGTCTATTAATTGGTTATTATAAACTTTAAAATGTATATTATGGTGGAGAAACTTCTCATTTGGGGGACTGTTTTTCATAGCATTTGTGGCAACTTTTATTTATTACTTAAAAATTTTAAACATCACAAACACTGAAATTCTGGGGTAGAGATAGGATTTTCTTAAAGGAGAGATATATTTTTGATATATCTTTTTCTATCTGTGTGTGAAAGTGTAATGCCTTCCAGAAATCCATAGGAACAGAAAATAGATTAGTGGTTTCCTGGGGCTGTGGTTGGGAAAGGAGAGTGACTGTCAGTGAGCCCCAGGGATGTTATTGAAGTGACAAAAATGTTCTCAAATTGGATTGTGGTGATGGTTATCCAACGCAGTAAGTTTACAGGTGAAGTTTATAGAATGTAAATTACATCTCAATGAAGTTGTTTTAGAGTATGAGTTAATAAGAGAATCAAAAAGTACTTATTTACAAATGAAGGATTAAAATCAATATTATACAATCAAACTTGAAATACGTTAGTAATGGTATATATATATTTTTTCCTTTCTAGGCCACCTCTTAGAAAGTTCAAAATCTAATAAATGAGGGGAAACACCTTTTTATTTTTTGCTAGTTGTTCAGGATTCAGTGATCTGACCAAGCACCCATTTGTAGTTAAGACATAAACATCCCACTGAACTAGACACCAGACTTCTAAGAAACTCGACTTTCTAAAATCAAAAGCAAAAACATATCTGAGCAGCCACCAGGACTGTCTATATAATTTGATAAAAATGTTGCAAAACTGAATTAATAGTTATGGTTACACAATTTGGTACATTTACTAAAATATCATTGAATTGTACACATAAAATGCATAAATTTTATGCTGTATCAATTATACCAAAATAAAGTTATCTTCCTATAAATATATGTTCATTTGTTTATATATTTATGTTTATTATATATGCATATATAAATCTAACGTAAACATATAAATAAATGTTTATATATTTCATATATATTTGTATATTTTATATATATATATATATATATATATATATATATATATATAAATAATGTCTGCCAGTGACACAGGCCCAATATCTATATTCCACATAATGAAGTCATAGCAACAGGGCCATAATCTTATCTTATTCATCTTATTTTGGGATATTTTGGCCTTAACCATGTGACACTGAAATTTGCTTGGGACTGTTGAAAGCATTCCCCTTGTTTAAAGAGGTTCTACTAAAAACAACTTTTCACCCATTTTTTTGTTTGTTTGTTTCTCTCTTTTTATTTTTTCTAGCACAGTGGTAACACCCTATTCCCACTTTAACTTCTTTTCCTTCCTTCTTTTTTGAAAATTTTCTAACTTGTATTTATAATTCTCTTGCTCATCAAGGTCATCCAGACACTATGGTTCTGTTCATGTGGAATTTTAGTCTCATAGCAATCAGTAAGACTGTCTTGCGAGAGCCGGAAATGTGTTCATTAACTTGAGAGGCCTTCCTGCTAAGTGGTCAAACATGGAAACACAAAGTTATGTAGGGACATTTTGCTCTGTAAACTCAAGGTATAGCATCATTTGTTTAAACCCTCTCTATTGAGATGTAATTCACATGTGATACAATTCACCCATTTAAAGTGTACAGTTCAGTGGGTTTTAGTACATTCACGGAGTTGTACAACCATCACCACTAGCTAATTTTAGAATATTTTTGTTTCCCCAAAAGAAACTCCATGCCACTGGCAGTCACTCTCTTTTTATCTCCTCCACCAATGCTACTCTGAGCCCCTGACAACCATTAATTTGCTTTTTGTCTCTAGATTTGCCTGTTCTTGAGATTTTCCATAAATGGAATCATACAATACGTGGTCCTTTGTGACTGTCTCCTTTCACTGAGTGTGTTGTCGAGGTTCACCCATGTTGCAGCATGTATTAGTACTTCATTCCTTTTTATCACCATATAATATTTCATCATATGGAAACATGATACTTTGCTTATTCATTCATCAAGTGATGGACATTTGTGGTGTTTTCAGTTTTTCTGCTTTTATGAATAATGCTGCTATGGACTTCTGTGTATATGTTTTGTATGGATGTATGCTTTCACTTCTCGTGGGTATATAACTAGGAGTAGAATTGCTTGGTCATTATAGGAACTCTATGTTTAACTATTTGAGGAGCCGCCAGAGTGTTCTCCAAAGTGATTGCATCATTTTACATTCCCACAATGGTGTTTGAGGGTTCCAGTTTCTCCACATCCTTACCAGTACTTGTTGTTGTTATTATTATTAGTAGTAATGTTTAGAGACAGCATCTTGCTATGTTGCCCAGACTGGTCTTGAACTCCTGGGTTTGAGGAATCCTCCAACCTCAATCTTTTGAGCATCTGGGAGTATGGGCATGTGCCACCACATCCAGCTTTGTCTATTTGATAGTAGCCATCCTAGCCAGTGTGAAGTGTTTTATTTTAGTTATAACTTTTATTTGTATAACAAACAAGAGGCACATTAGATGGTGATCATTTGCTTCACAACAGTATTTTTTGTAGTCCTCCTTTTAAAATCACAAAACCACATATGAATTTAAAACCAGATCCTTTTCTTTAAAAATAGTCCACTGCAGTCTGCCCATATTCCAGCAGTATCCATTATCAAAGTAAAGTGTACACAAAAGGCTCCCTCCACCTCTCCTTGCTTGAGAATCTGTGTCCCCTGAGTATGGATGTCCTGCTCCACCTTCACAGTGTCACCTTGGAGGAAGTGGCAGGGGGTCATCCACTTCAACCATTTTCCAGCCCTGGCACTTGGCAGCAAGACTTGGAGAGGCCAGAGGACATGTGGCCACAGGCCCCTGCTTGTGCTCCTGAGTGAACACTTGACATAGATATCCAGTGAATCATGGGGTGCAAGCCAGAGACAACCCCCCACCCCATTTCTTGCAGGCTGTGGATCTACGTGTCGGTGGCCCTAGTTATTATATCTGTTATGCTTTAAAAGTGAAGACTAGGCCAAGACCTACAGGCTGATGATTATTAGGTGGATTAACATACGGAAAACACTATAGAAAAGAAGGAATAGTTTGTGCAAAGATGCTGAGGAGCAAAGTGGCATAGCAAGTTCAAGCAAATGAGTGAAGAAAGTAGCAGACTGAGTGAAGGAGTAAGGGGAACAGTAGCAGAACAGAGCTTTGGAGAGATGGGTGCGGTGGTCAAGAAAAATGGCAGGGACTTACAGGCCACAGAGTAAGGATATTGGAGTAAGGGGAAGTTATAGAAACAGTTAAGCAGTGTGAGGGTTGGAGGATGCGTGTGTGTGTGTGCGTGTGTGTGTGTGTGTGTATGTGTGTGTGTGTGTGATGATCAATTTCCTCAATTAGAAAAAAGAGATGTGATGAAATTGTGTTACAGCCTTTTGGACACTCAGAATAGGAGGTCTTTTATTGCCAGGATACCCATAGCATTGCCACCCTCAGATATCTTGTAAACTCTGGTAGGAAGAACTCATGGATGACTACTTTGTCGTCCTACTGCCTTTAAATCTGCTTCTGTCTGTTCCCGGCACCCACTGAACGGCAATTTCTACAACTCTCAATTTGGGCAGCAGCGTCCATACTGGGAAAACTCTTCCATCATGCTTCCTCATAGACCCCTATTGACTGGGTAACTGCTGCATCGGTCACCTCCTCTCCCTGGGCCTATTATAGCTATGGCTAAGGGTGCTTCCGTTGTACCTGGATAGAGTTTTATGCTTATAAGCTGCTTGTGGCTATTAAACAGAGCAAGAGGAAACTGTGTACATGGAAGGAACTTTGTTGCCCTTCTCTGTTACAGACAAGCAAACCACCAATGAGAGCAACAACTTTTTAAGAAATCCTGGCAGACTTGTGGCAAGAATAACCAATATTGTAGTTCACCCGTGAGGCTTATACAACGTTTGCCACACTGTATGCATTGAGAATCTGGTTGCGATTTTTGTTATAAACTCTTCCATTCCGCTTCCCCCTCCCTGCCTCCTTACACACGTTTACTTCAGTGAACTCTGCTTGACAGACTAACCAGGCTGAGGTCTCAATCTGTGACCTAGGAGCCAGTGATAACACCTTTGACTAATGGACAGAAGACTTATAGTTCTATTTTTGTTGTTTTGATTTTTTTTAAGTTATAGTGTTGAAGTCATACGTTGTCTTTAGTTATTAATCTTACTGCTTCCTTCAGCATTTTGTTGAATAGCATTTCATCATGCTTTGGTTAAGTGATTTATAGTTAGCTCACAAATCCCAGGCTTAAGATTAAAAAGCTACTCATAAATTCCTTAGAACATTCATTGTGCCAGCAGAAAGAAAAAAATACTGGACTATAGGATATCATTCCTGTATCTGATTCCTACACTATTCCTTTGAATATCATCCCACACCTCCTCCCCGTTCAACTCCAAATGGCCAATGAACACATGGAACATACATACAGTTAGCCAATAAGAACATGAAAACATGCTCAAAATCTTTAGCAGTCAGGGATATGGAAATCAAAACCACAAGGAAATACCACTTTACACCCACCAGGATAGTAATGATGAAAAAAATACAAAGAATAAGTGTTGGTGAGGATGTAGGGAAATTAGAACCCTCATAAACTACTGGTGGGAATGTAAAATGCTGCAGCCACTTTGAAAAACAGCCTGTCAGTTCCTCAAAAAGTTAAGCATAGAGTTACCATATGACTCAGCAATTCCACTCCTAGTTATCTACCCAAGAGAAATGAAATGTGTGTACACAAAAAACTTATACATGAATGCACATGCATTATTCATAACAACAAAAAAGTGGAAAAAACCCAAGAATCCATCCTAACTGATTAACAGATAAACAAAATATGGTCAACCATACAAGAGAATATTATTCAATAGGAAAAAGAATGAAGTACTGACACACGCTCCCACATGGATGAACCTTGAAAACATGGTGCTAAGTCTCTCTTGAGCTGGACACAAGAGATCACATATTCTCTTGTGATTCCACTTACATGAAATATCCAGAATAGGCAAATCCATGGAGATGGAATATAGATTGGTGGTTCCCTAGGGCTGGGGGTGGGATAAAATGCAGAGAGACTAATAATGGGTATGGGGTTTCTTTTTGAGGTGATAAAAATATTCTAAAATTGGTTGTGGTGATGGTTGCACAACTCTGTGAATATACTGAAAACCATTTAATCAAACACCTGAAATGTGTGAGTTGTAAAGTATGTGAATTATATCTCAATAATGTAGTTATAAAAAATGAACCAAGAAAGCCAAGCAATGCTAGACATGCATGGTCTATTCCACTGTAAGGTAATAGTCTGTCTAGGCACATTTACTTATTAAAAAAAAAAAAACTCCCCATTTATCTATTTAGATGTTTCTTTGTTATATATGTGCTTAACAATCTTCTCAGTTTACTTGCAGTTTGTAGGTGACAGTTTATTTTATGTCATGGGAAACTGAAACAGAATATGTCAGGACTGTTTACGTGAACACGGTCTGGCCTTTCGCTGGACACTGGGATACAGTATATTTCAATACCCCCTACGCACACATCCCACACACATTAATCAGGGCCAACATGCTGGGAGTAACCACGATGGCCAACCACAGGATACTAGGATGCTTTTTATATGGACATTTGTGGGTGAATGTACCATAATCTGTTTAACTGGCTGATAGTCATGGTGGCAGTGGCATATGTGTGTGTGTTTACATTGTGTGTGAGTGTGTGTGTGGGGTGTGTGTGTGTATAGTTTACAGCAAGCTCAGGCGGAATGCTGTAAGCCAAACAGTACCATGAATCTCTAAAAAGGAAAAAAGATCATTATCTTTAAAAGTGCATTCTTACATGCTGTCAAGTATTTGAGGATTGCTTTTCCTAGCTGAGGCTCAGTATAGTCTTCTTTAGTCTGTTGCCAGGGGATCAGCAATGGGCAAAATCTCCGCCCCCATCCCAGTACCCACTCTGTGTCATACATTTTCCTTGATGACTTATGCGAGTACTTTATAATCTTTACAATTCTCGGCTGGGCATGGTAGCTCATGCCTGTAATCCCAGCACTTTGGGAGAGAAAGGAGGATCATTTAAGCCCAGGAGTTAGAGACCAGCCTGGGCAATATGGCAAGACCCTGTCTCTAAAAATAAAATAAAATATTAGCTGGGCATGGTGGCACACTTACAGTCCCAGCTACTCAGGAAGCTGAGGCGGGAGGATCACTTGAGCGAGGGAGGCTGTGGCTGCAGTGATGATCATGCCACTGCACTCCAGCCTGAGCAACAGAGTGAGATCCTATCTAAAAAAAAATTCCTTACAACTCTCTAATAGGTTTCTTTATATCATTTTATAGATGAGGAAACTGGGGCTTGTAGAGGCTAAGTAACTTTTCCAAAGTCACAAAAATAAGTGGTGAAGTTGGGTTGTAAACTCAAGTCCACTGATTACAAAGACCATATTTAGGGTCCCTTAAGTTAAGCTGTCTTACATCTTCCCGAGGAGAAATAACATGCTTTTTTGCTACTGACTTAATCATAATTATTAATGAAACTGAAGTAGAAATTGATTATTTGACTAGAAATTGATTACACAACAATTCAATGTTTAGACTAAGAACCAAGGATTTCCAATTAATATGCCAGAGCTTGCCATTAAAATTTTTTAAATTGTCATTTTTTTCTTATGGATATGTAATAATCATACAGTAAACCCTTGATTTGTAGGATACCAACCTGCAGGAATGACTAGTAATTTTTTTAAAAAGAAAGAAAAAAGAAATTCTCCTTAAAAGTAGAATTGGGATCCAGATGTGTTTTTACCCAGCAGTGTCTTCCGTCATGGATTTGTCTTATAGAAGGAAAAAGACATTCCACCCCAGTGGTGATAGGTGCATGAAAAGCTCATTTTGAGAACTAAGGATGGAGAAAGCAAAGAGGAGCAGAGTGGTAGAGATCACAGTGGCAACAGTACTGGGGTCACCTGGGACCTCAAGGTGGGCACCCATGGCCATGTGGTGGTAGAAGTGAGAATCAACAGAGGGACAGCAGTTTGCCCTTCCTGTTGACAGTGGAAAAGAGAGCAGCAATGAAGAAGTAGAGTCAGGAACTGCTCTAACGTTTGCTGGAGGGGCAGCCAGCAGCCCCTTATATTAGGCCTACCAGGACGCTGGGTGCCATATTGAAAAGATATAACAGTCATAATGGATTGTCAGTGTGGATGCCTGCAGACATTTGCTTCATGTGGTAATATCATGACAGATTCAATCAGCTCTTTATTTAATCTGTATTTTCACCTATAATTATGCTTATAAGACAAACTGTTCAATGGTTTTAAAAGACATGAAAATGTCTCCATTAGAGAAATAGAAGCTCTTACAATAAGATAGTTAGAATGTTAACCCTGAGCTATCCAGGATGTGTGCTTATCTAGAATTACTCGTTCCTACATGATCCAGGCTCGCTGAGGATTTAGCATACTGGGCCTTAAGAGCTATGATCTGCTTTTTTATTTTTAATATTTTTGGAGATATTCTTCCTTCCTGAGGTTACCCAAAGCAGTATCCTTTGGCCACATTTTCTTTGAGCTCTAGATTAGAAAAACATTTATAACCACCCACAAACACAAAACTTTTTAAGATGAGGTTTTGGAGGGTAAAAAACTTATGAACTGAAAAGAAAATTTGGTTCCTGTTGGCAGACAGTGATACTTTCTTTGAGTTCTAATTATATGGAATAATTTGTAAATGAATTAAACAAATGCAAAACAAAGGGATTATTTTTATGTTTTAATGTAAATGTTGCATTAAAAAGACTGAGGATTGACTTGAATAGATTGGAAGACTACTTCATTATTAATGATTCTCGTGCTTGCCTTTGGAATCTCTTGCTTGGCTGGATTATGTAGAATCGGATTTTAAGGCTTTGATGCAAGGATGACCTCGATCCTGGGCTGCCTGCTACTCTCATAGGTTCTTAAGCCAAAAGTTGAGATGATTTGCAATGGTAGGGGGACAAGACAGATTAGCAATGGGAGATGCAAAGAGTGGAGAGGCTCATCAGAGAGATGAGGAAGACGGCTTTGCCTCTGACCCAGGTGTGAATCAGTTAAGTGGTGGAAATTAAAGAGGAGATGCCAAAAAGCAAGAAGTATCAGTAAGGCATAGACTGGTGAACTTGGATATCTGTAACATATTTGCATTCATAAATGCAACGTTTTCTCTCTTGCCTTGTGCAGACCTGGCCTTTCTGCATCTGTGTCTTTTTGAAACATTACAGGATATTCAACATTAGCACCTAATTATGAGCCCATTTCAATGTTAGAGCCTGTTTTATCTCTGCTTTAACGTGGTTTAAGTATGTCTGCAAAGGAAGAAAGTTTAGTTACATTGTTAACCATCCTTTTTCATGTCTCAAAGAGTAGAAGATTTGTTTATCTAACAGATTTTGCCAAGAAGGCAGTGAATGAAATTTCAGTTTTGAAGTATATTTGAAGTTAACATTTTGAGATAGGGAGCCAAGCTCAGTCAAGCAACACTTTCCTATGGAAGCGCCTTCCTTTGAGCTCAGCATAAATCATGCCTTAAAGTAACTTTCAGCCTGATTAGTGTTGTCCAATAGAAATGAAATCCAAGCCACATATGCAATTTTAAATTTTATAATAGCCACATTTAGATAAGTTTAAAAATAAAAAGAAACAGTAATATATTTTATTTAACCTAATATATCTGAAATATTATTTTAATATGCAAACAATAGAAAAGTTCCTAACGAGATATACACATTTGTCATGCCAAGTCTTTGCACTATTATTTATTTCATACTTACAGCACATTTTAATTCTGACTAGCCACATTTCCAGTACTCATTGGTCACTTGGGGCTAGTGGCTGTCGTATTTGACACCAGGGCTTTAGAGAACTGAATGAGCAACCAAAAGATGACTGATTTGACTCAGTTTCCTACTGGGGAAGTTTTCACATCAACTATCTCTAACTCTCCCCCATACCTACACCCAGCCCTGAGCACCCCAAGATTGCTGAACTTTTCTCACACTGAAATAGTCAGGATGTCTTATCTTCACAGGTGGGGAGGATACAGAGCTGTGTTTTCACATTTCGTAGTAAAATTCAGCTGCTGTTCTCTGCCCGTATTCTACTCAGCTTTGAATTTCAACCCCTTGGCTTTCCCATACTGAGCAGCCAACGCAAACTATTGTTTTCAATGACACCTGTTCCTTTCGAAGAAGATGAAGGCAGTAAGCAGATTTGTGCTTAGTACAAGGTGTTCAAGTGAAATTACCTATTTATTTTGGTGATCACCCTCCCAAATTGCTAGGGTGTATCTTCATCTGGAGTTACATAAATAGGATTTGCCCACCTCCTAAATAGAGTGTGTGATAATGGAGGTAACCTAGGCATCCTCCTACGCTCTGCCACAACTGATGCTCAATTATTCCCCAGAACACCTAATGCTTTATGTAACAGAGCTCTGAGAGAATAGGGGAGTGGCAGGCAAAAATGAAATAGATATTTCAAACATCACTCCTATGTGAAACATATAGATTTGGCATTTAGGTGGAAGGCTCTTTTTTCCTTCCACTTACAGAGTTTGTTAAATTGCAAGCATGCCTTGGTGTTGCCAGAGCAATGTCTTGTAGCTGATACTCACAGAGAGCTAGTGACTTGTAGACTTCTCTATACAAGCATAGTTGTGGATAAAGCCATTCTAGAAGGGAGGTGACCCCTGTACAATAAAGCCTGGGTTGTTGCAATGTGAGATCAAGAGAGCAGAACAATCTTCTATTTTGTTAATTAATCTAGTATATAAAGTCTTGCTTAAATTAGGCATAGGCTCAAAGTCTGACTCACAGTCTTTTATGTTTTGAAAATGTTCAAAGAAGGTGGAACCAAAATGGGTGAAAAAAACTTGACACATATTTGAATTGTTCTCATTTGTTCATATTTGTAATTCTTTAAAACGAGACAGACAAACGTACAGCATACTTTTGTGGCCAAGAACTTGGGAATCAGATCCTAAATCTCAATGCAATGTTGTACTTTGGGTTTGTGTTTGGAATCAGGCATGGTTTCAAATCCCAACTCTTGTATCTACTAATTGGATGACTTCCAGCAAGTTATTTGTGAGCCTTAGTATTATATCATAATTGAGTCAGCAGACCTATCTTTCAGAGATGGAGTCAGAATTAAGCAGAATGATGTACATAAAGTTATTGGACAGTGATGGGACAAAGTCTGACTAAATAATAACACCACTGAATTTTAAAATTTAACATGTTATCAGATCTCCTTCAATTATTTATATGTATATATGTATGCAATGAAAACATAATGCACTAGCCTTTTTACTGAATTATTCTTATTCTAAAACAGGAAATATATACAATCATATGGTTTTATTTAAGCTAACAAACATTTGCTGAGTTTTGGTAATGTCAAATAACTTACTGTTGGATACTGAAGGGTATATTTTTGTTCAGGTCGTAAGTATCCTAATATCCTGTACATATGAATGGCCGTTAGGTCACAGCTTCCCTCCTGTAGCTCTTAACATGTAATGCCTCTAGCCCTGTGGCTCTCAACTGGGGGCAATTTTGCCCTCCCCCACCCCTACTCCCCCACCAAGGGACATTTGGCAATGTCTGGAGACATTTTTGTGTATTTGCTTGCCACATCTTGGGGAGGGTGCTATTGGCGTATAAGCAAGTAGAGGTCAGAGATGCTACTAAATATCCTACAGGGCACAGAACAGCCCCTACAGCAAAGAATTATCCAGACCCAAATGTCTACAGTGCCTAGGTTAAGAAACATGGTCTTGATATTATGTATTTTTCTAGAGTTTATTATGTCTTTCATCATTTGTGACTTTGGCCATGCTATGAGGACTGTCTAGATAAAAATTGTCCAGTCATGAGCTGGTTGGACATAAAGCTGTGACTACTTGAACTCAAGGTGATACTTACCTAATAGCATCGTCGGAGGGAATTTGTTCATTGGGCGGGAGGCTGGATTAGCTGCTTTTGGATGCTCTTCCAATCCCAGGAATCCCGTGCTTTTCCTCTTTTGTCACACAAAGCTATATTTCAGCAAGAATCTCTCCCAAACTTTGTGTTCACCATGACCAGCTTCTTCTCAGATCCTGCCATCAAGGCCAAGCAGAGTATTTTTGGAATGTGGATGAATGTGACAAGAATGTTATTCTTAAATAGCAATTCTGCTATGCAACACCATGATACAGTCTCCTGAATGGATCTGATTCCAAGTGGAGGCTTGAACTCTAATATTTAATAGTAAACTATAGAAACCTTATCAAGATAAACAGCACTAGGAGTTTTTAATTCTATTTACATGACTAGAAGTTGACATTCATGTCCTTCTTGAAACTCAGACCCCCAAATATTGGGAAAGTCAAATACAATACGGCACAGTCACAGCATGAGTATCATACAGTGATAGTTCATGCTAGGTTAATGTCAAACATTAAGAGTATAATGCTGAAATATTTCTGGATGAAAGATAGGATATCTAGGATTTCTTTCAATGTAATTGAGTGGGACAGAAATCTAAAAGTTGGTGTTTTAAAGAGAAATTGGTAAGCCACAGCTGTGAAAATGGAGGCTTAGGTGGTTTGCATATTGGCTGCCTTGAACTGTAAATTCCACCTGAAGCAGAGGTAAACGACAGTGCTTTTAGCCAGGGGGGGACGGGGTGCGGGGGGGCACGTTCATTGACAATATTATTGCAAGGTATGTTGGTTCTTTTTTTTTTCATGACTGGAACAATGACCAGCTTCACTTCGTCACCTTCTTTCTCTTCTATGAAATGCCTTCCCTCCTTAAACCTAAATCCAATGCATCCCTGAAGACCTAGCTCAATTATCCCCTCCCCCTGGAAGCCTCTAAGGTCTTCCAAATTTTATTAATACTTCTCCACTGAACTCCTGCAGTGATGCATCTTTTGCATGTTTTAAGAAATTGAGGTCTAGTTCACATACCATAAAATTCCCCTTTTTAAAAGTGTACAATTTAGTAGTTTTTAGTATATTCACAGAATTGTGCATTTATCACCACATGTTCTAGAACATCCTGATCACCTCATAAAGAATTGCTGCATTCATTAGCAGCCAACCACCCCTCCCTTTCCCTTTAACACCTCTGGCAACTACTAATTACTTTCTGTCCCCATAGATTTGCCTTTTATGGATATTTCATAAAAATAGAATCATATAATATATGGCCTTTTGTAACTGTCTCCTTTCACTTAGCATAATGTTTTCAAGGCTCATCTATGTTGTACATGTATCAGGATTTCATTTTGTGGCTGAATAATCTTTCGTTGTATGGGTACGCCACATTTTGTTTATTCATTCATCAGCTGATGGACATTTGGGTTATTTCCACTTTTTAGCTATTATGAATAATGCTGTGAACATTTATGTGCAAGTTTTTGTGTGTACATGTGTTTTTGTTTCTCTTGAAATGAAATATAGCTAGGAGTGGAATTGCTGGGTCACATAGTAGCTCTATGTTTAAACTTTTGAAGAGCTGCCAGACAGTTTTCCAAAGTGGCTGCTCCATTTTACATTCCCACCAGTGATGTAACAGTGATGATTAAAAGCAATGGCAAAAACTGCAATTACTTTTGCACCAATCTTAATACAGGGATTCAGATTTCTCCATATCCTCTTTGACATTTTACCCTGCACAAGTCTGTTGATGTCACTATTTGTCCTCAGGATTGATTATCCCACATCCCAAATTAGTCTCACCTCCCAAATTAGACTGTAAGCTACTTAGGACAATGATCCATTTATTTGGTCTTTATTTAAGCCAGTGGTTTTTTTTTTTTTTTTTTTTTTTGATTGCTTATTGTGTGGCAGGAACTGGTAAGTGCTAAGGCTTTAATTAAGAAGCTCTATTTTGTGGGGGAGGCACATAAAATCACACTGGCCTGTTTTGGGGTGATGGGTGCAGTAATAACAGCCTATTCAAGGTATAGCCTTTGCTTCATATAGTTTCCCTCCCACAATGTCATACTTACAAACACCACTCAAGTCTACTATTTAATACATTCTATTAGAGAGGAACAGATCTCTGTGTGTGTCCTCTTTTTAGTCCAAATGTAGAAGCTCTGATTTTTCTGTTGGGCTTTTGTGTTTAAATGTGCTTAAAGAAATCAATGCCAGCAATATTTCTAGCAGTAACTTTGGATGTACCATGTAAGTTATTTTGAAACAGTGAATCATCACGAATGTTAATCTGTTGACTTGTATGTATAAAAGCTTCTTGAGACTCTAGGCTAAGGAGAGACAAAGCATCAAAAATGTAATTCCTCTGGATTCAGAAATAAATTATCCACATGCCATTTTCACCTGCAGTTAATCTGGTTTTATGTTTGTCTTTCTGCAACTCTCATTCAGTGTTTTGGAGAAATTAGGACATTTAGAATTCCTAAATGACATCAAGGATAAAAGGAATCAAACTGCAAACTGTAGAAAAGAATGCATTGTTATACTATATATAAAGGTATAATTATATAATTATGACTATAATAATTAAAACATATTGTGCTTAACAATAGTATCAAATTGTTTTCATCTGAGTTCTTAATTACCTAATATAAATATGTCTATGCCAGCCATGCCAAAGCAGGTACCTAAAGGAATTTCTTATATCTAGGAAAAAACGTATTGATCACCTCATGCATTTAAGGGACAAGAATGGCACTTTCATTCCAGCTTATAAATCATGTCAATTTTAACAATGACTTAAAAATTCTTTTGTGATTTGTTTAAACTCTGAAAAGAGGCTTGTTTGTGTTAAGGAAAAATCAAACTGAGAATGAGTTATGTGCTCATATTATATATAGATGAGTAAAACTCTTACTCCCTCTGCAAACATTAGAAAACAATAAGATACTCCCACGGTTTCTTTTTTTTTTTTTTTTTTTTTATAGCACTTACGCAGTCCTTACTATTTAACAGGCACTGGTTTAGAATTTTTACAAATACTTCTTTAATCTTCATAACAACCCTAGGAAACATATACAATTATTATCCCCATTTTACAGATAAGGAACCTGAGAGTTTCAGTAACTTGTGTAAGGTCACCAGGTAGTGTAAGCCCATGAGATTTGGCACCTTTTCCAAAGTGGAGTAGGCCTGCCCCAGAGTAAAGAGTGCCTGTTCTAGTCTTTATCTCAAAGAAAGCAGTGATTTAATTAGTTACTATCAATGTGGGGAATCTGTTGGTCTGACATCATTCTAGGTTTCAGAGGCAACTTGGCTGCAGGTTTTGTTTTTGTTTTCGTTTTTGTTTTCATTTTTGTTTTGAGACAGAGTCTTGCTCTGTTGCCCAGGCTGGAGTGCAGTGGTGTGACCTTGGCTCACTGCAGCTTCGACCTCCCTGGGCTCAGTTGATCCTCCCACCTCAGCCTCCTGAGTGCCTAGAACTACATGTGTGTGCCACTACACCTGGCTAATTTTTTGTGTTTGTATTTTTTGTAGAGATGGGGTCTCACCATGTTGCCTGGGTTGGTCTCATCCTGGGCGCAAGTGATCCGCCCACTTTGGCCTCCCAAAGTTCTAGGAAAACAGGCGTGAGTCACCATGTTCAGCTTGCAGGATATTTTCATACAGCTTAGGAGAGCAATGAAATTAAATGTGAGAGATAAAATATACATTGTCACCTACCTGTTTGATGGTATATATAATGGATTATCTATACCATACATTATACATTATAGATAATATATATTATATTACATCTTCATATTATGTATAGTCATGCTGTCTTTGATATACATACACATATATATGCATATGTTATACACACACATAAATGCTTAGCCCCTTGCAGGCTACCCTTTCCCATGTGCTTCCATGTCTTGGGTAATAATTCTTCTCAGACTTTCAGGAAGTACAGTGCTACTAATATTCTTGGAGGTTATTATTCTTTCTTCTTGGTGAAGAGGATGTTGAAAGATCAATAATTTCCATCTATCTCCAGATAGTAAGGATGCCTTGTAGGAGAGAGATCTGAAGACCCTGACATGTCCACAGCTTTGCAGCCTGATTCTGACCTTTCTGCTTTGGGGGCAACTTCCATCAAAAGGAGTTTCTTGTCGCAGTTCTTACAGGCAGGGGCATCTCACAACAGTTGCTAGTAATGATACCATCTACTCCCAAGAATGGGAAACCTATACTCATCTACTTGGCCTCCCAAAGATGGATCCCATTTAGGGTGTGTGTGCACATGTGTGTGTTTGTGTGTGTATATGTTTTAACCAAAATAATTAGTGTTACCAAATCTCTAGGCCTCCATGCCTAGAGGATCTCTCATTAAGTAGGATATTCTATGCGCTCATACTAGAAAGTTATAAAGGCAAAAAAGACACTAGATTAAAACTGATAATGTCCATATAGGTTCTGAGATTTTTTTAAAAAAAAGTCTGAGCTTATGTTAAACAGAGGTAATGAGGATAATCAGTTGTATAGGCTTCCCTAATGTAAGTCAGCGTCTCTCATCTTGGCATTCATTCCAGAACTGTTTTTAAACAGGCTTGCATGTGCACAGTATGTTACCTTGCCTTCTAAGTACTGTCAGAATTGGACTGGTACCTAGCAAAAATATCAAAATTATGAGTCCTAGAACAGTGCTTGGATGTAATAAGCACTCCGTAAATACTTTTGGAAAAAATATGTTGATCAACTACGGTTTTATTAGATAATTTAAAAAAGATAACTTTAACCCCTGCCCTCTCTGGAGGAGAGAGTTGCTACAGTAAGAGGGAGCAGTCATCCCCAGACCTCTCTTTGATGCTTCTGGGTGTAAGAAGGGCAATTGAAAAGGGATTTAGGAAACACCAGGCATGCTGGGTGAGTAATATGGCTGCCACCTAAGAGACCATCAGGGAAGTGTCTTCTGTGGTATCATGCCCTGAGCCAGAATGCCGTTGACTGCTTGACTCTGAAGAAATTTTAAAGTGTTCCTGAGGGTGAGAGAGGTCTTTTGAATCAGGGATTCTCAAGGTAGCCTATGGTGATTTGAAATGTTTACATTTTAATATCACATATACTCTCCTTTCTATTGGAAGCAACTAAAACTGATAGTGAAGACTTATGCTTTTGCTGTAAAGAGTAAGAGTTGCCTATCTGTGGTATGATAGTACTCCTAGAGGGTGATTCATAGGTTAAACCATTGGAACAGAAAAGAGAAAATATTTTTACTTGGCCATGCTCTCTTTTTTAAAAACAAATATTACTATTTTTTTAAAAGCCATATCACTGGCATAGTTTTCAGTTGTTTTTACAGTCGGTTGCTCTTTAGGCTTACAATCTTTAACCTTGAAATTATTCAGAGATAATTATTTTTGGAAGGAAAGTGACAAGGGAAATAGTTATGTAGTCAATTTTTGATTATCCAAGATGATTTTGCCATTAGAATTAGTATCTTATTTTAGCAAATAGCAACAGTCACCTTCTCTCTTTGCTAACCCTTGGAACAAAATGTTTTATAAGGGAACAGAACTGAATTTTATTTCTCCTCCTGTGCCCCGGGCCTGTCTTATATTTTCACTGCCGGTAGTACCTAATGTTTTCCCCATTTCAGCAGTATGCTGGAGCCAGCTTGCGTTGGCTGGAGAACCAGTTGTGTGCATCTCTTCCTAACTGCATGTCCTGTGTCCTCACCTTGGTACCCTGGAATCCGCCACAATGAGTATTTATATTATGGAAATTAACAAATGGCGCAAATCAGAGCTTTCCTCCAGAGAACCAGTTGTTAAATGTTTTATCAGCACACTGCTGCCCCATTGAGTCCTTCCTTTTTGTTTTTTGATGAATATTTTCTAAAATGTATTAGATGTTGCTGTCTTTGCAAACAGGGTGTAATAGAAAAATTTACTATTTCCTGGTCCCATTATTATACTTCATATTGCTGGGTTAGCTTCTTAGTGTTTCTTCACTTTTCCCTTCAGAAGAGGGCTTCTTCCTTCTGAAATCTTCCACTCAGTTCTTATGTGTTGATTTTGATTGCCCTTAGTCCATCAAATGAGATAACCAAGTCCATAAATGTGCATGTAGAATAAAATGAGAGTTAGAGGACTTCTGTTACAGAATAAACCTCTTGAATAAAATGCATGGCCTTAGTCCAGAATTTTTGTGACAACTAGTTTGATTGCCAACACCAGCTTTATGAGTATCCTACCTGTGTGGTCGCACAGGGCCCATGCTCAGAAGGACAACATGACTAATGTTCTGCTGTCATCATTTTAAAATTATTAATCTGAGCAAGAGGTCCTGCATTTTCATTTTGATCAGGGCTCCATAAATTATGTAGCCAATCCTGATAGTTGTTCAGATGCCTTTTTTGCTTCTGATTTTAGAAAGCTGAATTTCTTAGAAGTCTGGTGTGTAGATCAGTGGGCTGTTTCTATATTAACCACAGATGGATGCTTGGTCAGATCACTATAAATACTAAATAAGTAGTAACAAAAAAATGATGTTTATTTTCATTCATTATATTGTGATTTTTCTAAATGGGTGTCCTAGGAAGGAAAATGATACATTATAATGTTACTCACTTATTTTGAATGTATAAGATTAATTTTAATCCTTCACTTGCAAGTAATTTCTGGTTCTCTTATTGAGATATATTTTTAAAATAACTTTATTGAAGTAATTTTACATCATAAAATTTACTCAGTTTAAGTGTGCAATTCAGTGGTTTCTTAATAAATTTACAGAGTTGTGCAACATTCCCACAATCTGTTTAGAATATTTCCATCATCCCAATGAAATTGTTCATCCCCATTTGCAGTCATTCCCTGTTCCCACCCCCAGCCCCAGGTACCCACTAATCTACTTTCTATTGGAACAGCTTTGCCTTCTATGGACATTTCATATGAATGGAACCATACAACATGACATGTGGTCTTTTGTGATTGACTTCTTTCACTCAGTATTATGTCTTTGAGGCTCATTCATGTTGCAGCAGGTCAATGCACAACTTTACGCTAAGATTTATAGGATATGTGAGGTTGGTGTAGGACAAATAATGCTTATCTACTTATCTGTGAGTGCACATTTATTTTTGCTGAAATTTTCATTGAGAATGGAAAGGTAGCCCCATTGCATTCTACAGGAAGTCCATTTTTGGCTTATAACGCTTATCATTTTGGCACCTTCTGGATCAACTACTCACCCTACCTTCTGAGAAACTTTAAGCTATTTATGAGGGTGTAAGTGAACTTAATATTTGAGTTCAATTACTACCAAGCACACTTTCTGGAATTACTACTAAATTGCAAACATATTGTAGCAGTTCTAAAGACGCTTTTTTGAGTTAATGTTCATCAATATTTAAAAAATATTTTTCTCAGTATTAAAACAAGTTAAAAATACCATTGATAAGAATTCAGGCTCTGGGCTGAGACAGCTCTCAGTGGAAATCCTAGCTCTGCCTCTCAAAGCCATGTCCTAAAATAAGCTATTAAATCTCTCCAATACTTGATTTCCTAGATTATGAAATAATACTACACACTACCTCAGAGAATCATTGACAGAATTAAATAAGTCAGGTAATGCATTGAACACAGTGCTTAGTACAACAAATGTTACTAAATGTAAACATTTCTACAATGATGAGTGATGATTCTGTTATGTACAGATATGTACTACCATTTGCTAGTGTATCACAACAGAATAGAACACATCATATAATATGATGCAAGTTATATTAATAACATAATGTCTATGCATATATTTTGTTATATCCATAGAAAATTTTAACAAATTAATAGCACAGTGTGTGGCCTTTACTACACTCAACAAATGTTAGTTATATTATTATTATCATTATTACTTACAATGGCTTTCTTCAGGGGGAGGAACTATAGGAGATTTCTTCTTTTCACAGTATATTTCTGCTGTTTTTGGTTTTTGCTTTTGTTTGTTTTCTTTAAAAAAGTATTACTTTTTTAAATAGGAAAAATTAAAGACTAAAAAACTTAAATTGCTCTTGAATAGATTTGTAATCATTATCATATACTCTCTTAAATCACTTATTATTCACCTTTTATAATCTTTGGAATAAATAATAATTAAAACTTCCATTTTCTTTAAATAAGAAAATAATACTGCTTTATAAATACTCAGTAATACAAACTAACTGACTATTTCCTGAATTTGATAGTGTCTTTTTCAGGATATCCTTCTTGTAATTCAGTAAATAGAAAGGGCCCCCATTAAAAATCACATGGAGAAAGTAGGGTGTAGGGTTGGGACAAACACACCAACGTGACTTGCCTTGTATCTCTTATTTCCCATTTTAGATACTGGTGGGTTAAATTTACTTAATATCAAGTTCAAATGTATGTACAGTCTTAGGACTTGGTTGTTGATTCTTAAGAGTGTGTTGAAAAAATAAAGAAGTCAGCTAGGAGAAGTTGAAAGAACTTAGACTTTGAATTCAGATGCCTGCCTTTGATTCTTCCTTCTGTGATTTTGTGCTCTTTGGCATCTCAAAAACTCAGTTTTCCTACCTTGAGAATGGGGAAAATCCCCACCCTATGAGTTTTTCATAGGCATCAAATGAGACAATCAATTTGAGATTAAGCTATAAATGTAAAGCCTCCTCCAAAATGCTAGCCAGTGTGATTTTTTAATAAGGTCATTATTTTTCTTCCTTTTAGGATTTCTCTCTCCCAAGACCAATAGTACTAACCAATATTCAGGCTTCATTCATGTTTCAGCAGGGCATGGGAATGGTTGTGGGTTTCTTTGAGCTCACTGGCCATTTATTGTTATTGATTAATTAACTCGTGATAAACAGCTGGTGAAAAACCCAGGATAAGGAAATGAGAGTGATGGGGTGGGGTTGGGAATGGTACATAGGAGGAGGCTGGAATGATGAACAGGAAACAGCCATGCAGAACTCTGCTGAAAGAGCCTTCCAGAAAAGGAAACGCAAAAGCTAAGGCTGGGGCAAGTTACCTGTATTAATATAAGATAACATCAAATGGGCTGTCCTTCCAGAGGAGTAACTGAGCTTCCTTTGGTCTACAATGGAATTTCTTCCCATTAGAAAATTTGACCCTTTTTTCTTGCAAAAGATAAGCCAAAGATATGTGAATTGCATGACAGTGATTTAGGATGGAACAATTCCTTATTTGAGGAATGCTTCTTTTTCTATTTTACTTCTGTGCCCACATAGCACCCAGCTTACAACTAGGAGCTTAGTCATAGACAGTTCTCAATGCTGGCTGCACATTAGAATCAAACAGGAAGCTTTTGACACCTCACTATTCCAAGTGTGTTCCTTAGAACACCACTGTTGACATTGCAAAATGCAGAATCTCAGGCACACCCCAGACCCACTCAATTAGAATCTGCATTTTACGAAGATCCCTAGGCAATCTACATGAAAGTTAAAGTTTGAGATGTGCTGTACAATACTGTGCCAAAGATCAAGCTTCACTCCTAGAGCTTCTGATTTATTTGGTCTGGGAAGAAGCCTGCCTTGGCATCATTTTAAAAAAGAAAAAGAAAGCTTGTAATCTCCAACTGATGAGAACGTACAGCAAAACTTGAAGACCACTGACTTGATTGTTCTCACTCACAGGCCCTCAATCACTGATGACTATCAAGCACGTGGAAATGGGATTCATCAATTATTTAAATTGCTTGTTTGAGAGTACCAGTTATGTTTTAAAGTTTTCTGGCTTTTTTTTTTCTTTTCTTTTCTTTTTTTAATCATACTTTAAGTTCTAGGGTACATGTGCACAACGTGCAGGTTTGTTACATATGTATACATGTGCCATGTTTCTGTGCTGACCCCATTAACTAGTTATTTACATTAGGTATATATCCTAATGCTATCCCTCCCTCCTCTGCCCACCCCACAACAGGCCCCGGTGTGTGATGTTCCCCTTCCTGTGTCCATGTGTTCTCATTGTTCAATTCCCACCTATGAGTGAGAACATGTGGTGTTTGGTTTTTTGTCCTTGCAATAGTTTGCTCACAATGATGGTTTCCGGCTTCATCCATGTCCCTACAAAGGACATGAACTCATCGTTTTTCATGGCTGCATAGTATTTCATGGTGTATATGTGCCACATTTTCTTAATCCAGTCTATCATTGTTGGACATTTGGGTTGGTTCCAAGTCTTTGCTATTGTGAATAGTGCCACAATAAACATACGTGTGCATGTGTCTTCATAGCAGCATGATTTAGAATCCTTTGGGTATATACCCAGTAATGCGATGTCTGGGTCAAATGGTATTTCTAGTTCTAGATCCCTGAGGAATCACCACACTGTCTTCCACAATGGTTGAACTAGTTTACAGTCCCACCAACAGTGTAAAAGTGTTCCTATTTCTCCACAGCCTCTCCAGCACCTGTTGTTTCCTGACATTTGAATGATCGCCATTGTAACTGGTGTGAGATGGTATCTCACTGTGGTTTTGATTTGCATTTCTCTGATGGCCAGTGATGATGAGCATTTTGTCATGTGTGTATTGGCTGCATAAATGTCTTCTTTTGAGAAGTGCCTGTTCATATCCTTTGCCCACTTTTTGATGGGGTTGTTTGTTTTTTTCTTGTAAATTTGTTTGAGTTCATTGTAGATTCTGGATATTAGCCCTTTGTCAGATGAGTAGATTGCAAAAATTTTCTCCCATTTTGTAGGTTGCCTGTTCACTCTGATGGTAGTTTCTTTTGCTGTGCAGAAGCTCTTTAGTTTAATTAGATCCCATTTGTCAATTTTGGCTTTTGTTGCCATTGCTTTTGGTGTTTTAGACATGAAGTCCTTGCCCATGCCTATGTCCTGAATGGTATTGCCTACCTGGAGGCATCATGCTACCTGACTTCAAACTATACTACAAGGCTACAGTAACCAAAACAGCATGGTACTGGTACCAAAACAGAGATATAGACCAATGGAACAGAACAGAGCCCTCAGAAATAATACCACACATCTACAACCATCTGATCTTTGACAAACCTGACAAAAACAAGAAATGGGGAAAGTATTCCCTATTTAATAAATGGTGCTGGGAAAATTGGCTAGCCATATGTAGAAAGCTGAAACTGGTTTCCTTCCTTATACCTTATACAAAAATTAATTCAAGATGGATTAAAGACTTAAATGTTAGACCTAAAACCATAAAAACCCTAGAAGAAAAGCTAGGCAATACCATTCAGGACATAGGCATGTTTTGTGGCTTTTAATGAATACTCTTAATAATTTGTAAATCTTTCTCTAGAATAGACTTCTAGTTCCCATTAGAACTAGACTAGTGGTTAACATTACTGTTATCACAGATCAGAGACTGGGATGCATGATAAGTTTTCCTTGTCTTCCTTCAGCTCTAACCACACCGACTTTCTCATGTTTGGGGGTGATATTATTTCTCACTGTATTTGCATTGCAATTCTGAAAAATATCTTCCTATCCCACCTCTGTTTTGTTTTCCATGAAGTGAGCAAATTTACCAAGTGATTTGGAAGAAATTTATATAATTGTATAGCTTGAAAAGCCTTTTTTTCCCCTACAAATGTATTATTTAGGACATGTAAAATTTAGCAAACACAGATATTTTAAGCATAATTTACTAAATATTGATGATAACGCATGCTCAGAAGTCTTCATTTAGAGGACTCTCAATTTGTCTGAGTGTAAACTCAATTCCAACAATCAAAATAATTTGATATCTGGTTTTTGCTTTAGCAACTTCACTTGGTTGGCCAATGTTTTAATTCTCCAGTCCTTGATCTCTCATTGTGGTAAACCCACAGGATAATTTTATTAGTGCTTTGATTTTCTGTAAGAGGCTTTTTTGTTTTTCTTTAATTCAGCATATAATTGGTGCATGTTTAAACTTATTTGTGTTTCGGTTGAAAGGCAGTTATTAGTAGAGAGTATCAATAGAGAGTTATTATAGAGAGTATTAGTTATTATTTGCAGAAATGTTAACCTTACTATCTAGAGCAGGATCTTTCTGCCTCAGCACATTGATATTTTGGACTGGATAATTCTTTACTTTAAGGGATTTGTCATGCGTTGTAGAGTGTTTAGCAGTGTCCCTGGTCGATCCCCGGTAGATTCCAATAACAAGCTGCCAATCATGACAATAAAAAATGTCTGAAATATTGCCAAATGTCCCCTAAGGGTGCAAAACTGCCCCCAGTTGAGAATCACTGATCAGTAGAGATGAAAACAGAAAAAGAATCTGTAGGCATTTTGTGACCTAAATAAGACATTCTTATCTCCGTGTTGCTAGCTTTTATTTTGTGGCTGAGTGAATTGTTTTCAGTGTGAAGACCAATGGTACACTGGATTTCTATTTAAAGATGGTTTCAAATATGTAAAATAATTGATAGTTTACAAGCCACCCAAACATATTTCCCCACTTCCTTTTCTGAGTTTAGTTGAGAAAATTTTATATGTAGAAAGCTGAAACTGGATCCTTTCCTTACACCTTATACAAAAATCAATTCAAGATGGGTTAAAGACTTAAACGTTAGACCTAAAACCATAAAAACCCTAGAAGAAAACCTAGGCATTACCATTCAGGACATAGGCATGGGCAAGGACTTCATGTCTAAAACACCAAAAGCAATGGCAACAAAAGCCAAAATTGACAAATGGGATCTAATTAAACTAAAGAGCTTCTGCACAGCAAGAGAAAATACCATCAGAGTGAACAGGCAACCTACAAAACGGGAGAAAATTTTTGCAATCTACTCATCTGACAAAGGGCTAATATCCAGAATCTACAATGAACACAAACAAATTTACAAGAAAAAAACAAACAACCCCATCAACAAGTGGGTGAAGGATATGAACAGACACTTCTCAAAAGAAGACATTTATGCAGCCAAAAGACACATGAAAAAATGCTCATCATCACTGGCCATCAGAGAAATGCAAATCAAAACCACAATGAGATACCATCTCACACCAGTTAGAACGGTGATCATTAAAAAGTCAGGAAACAACAGGTGCTGGAGAGGCTGTGGAGAAATAGGAACACTTTTACACTGTTGGTGGGACTGTAAACTAGTTCAACCATTGTGGAAGTCAGTGTGTTGATTCCTCAGGGATCTAGAACTTGAAATACCATTTGACCCAGCCATTGCATTACTGGGTATATACCCAAAGGATTATAAATCATGCTGTTATAAAGACACATGCACACGTATGTTTATTGCAGCACTATTCACAATAGCAAAGACTTGGAACCAACCCAAATGTCCAACAATGATAGACTGGATTAAGAAAATGTGGCACATATACACCATGAAATACTATGCAGCCATAAAAAACAATGAGTTCATGTCCTTTGTAGGGACATGGATGAAGCTGGAAACCATCATTCTGAGCAAACTATCGCAAGGACAAAAAACCAAACACCGCATGTTCTCACTCATAGGTGGGAATTGAACAATAAGAACACATGGACACAGGAAGGGGAACATCACACACCGGGGCCTGTTGTGGGGTGGGGGAAGCGGGGAGGGATAGCATTAGGAGATATACCTAATGTTAAATGACTAGTTAATGGGGGCAGCACACCAACATGGCACATGTATACATATGTAACAAACTTGCACGTTGCGCACATGTACTCTAAAACTTAAAGGATAATAAAAAAATTTCTTCCTTTCTTCCTTCTGAATTTTAAAGCTCCTTAAGTCAAGTGAAAAATCTAGTCATTTACCTGCGAAGTTCAAATAAGGAAATGACTTTGGCTACAATTATTGGAGTGCTTCAGGTGCAAGTGGCTGTTTGGGCCTGATAATTTAGAGATATGGGACCTCACATTTACTCTCTCTGCATGCAAAGCAGTGGGTCTCAGCCCTAGCTGCAAATTGAGATCACCTGGGAGCTTTAGAAACTTCATACCCAATCCCCAAGCCCCAGAGATTCCAGCTCAGTGGTCGAGGGTGGTGCATAGGTATTTTGTAGAGCTCCCCAGGTAATTCTAGAGTGCAGTCAGGGTTGACACCCACTGATGTAGGTAGATAGGGCTTTGCTGCCTTTCTCCTTCATTGATCACTTTCCCACATTTCCCTGTAGCCTGCTTTCTTCCTGTCTGCAACATCCTGGTCAAACTCTTCTGCCTATCCCTTGTTATTATTTTTAACCAAATGATTTTTTCCAAGTGTTTTTCCTTTGTTCAGACTTGGACTTGGCGTGGAAACTGCTGGATCAGTCTACTTAATCCATGACCTTCTTTCAGCTGCTGCCTTCCTTTCAACTGCTGCCTTTATTTCAACTGTTAACCTCAGTCCACCTTAAAAAATATATATGGTTTTTAAGCGGGTATTTCTTCCTTTGCCAGCAAATCATTATACGCAGTTCCTGTCTATGTTTACCACCATCACTTGCCTCTATTTCTTTTTCCTTACTGCTATTTATAGTTTAATTTTCTTTCTTTTCTTTGTGCTCTTTTTTATTCATGTTTCCATCCTTAGATGACATGCTCACGTTTTGTGAATTAGGTGTGTTTCAAGATGCTGGGAAAGTAAGTTTTCTGTGCTTTATAACTTCAGACCCGTGTATTTGGTTTGTGTCTTATTTAAAAATGTATGTTCTTATGGCCCTGTTTGCCCCACCTAAGCGTTTAAATGTGACACCTCATGTCTGTTGGGCTCCCAGGTTCCTATTATGGCCGGTGGATCTGGGCCAGGCAAACCATCCTAGGCCTCAGGCATCTCGTCACGTCTAGATTCACCTCTCCCCTTCCCACAAGACAGGCTCACCTGCCTTCCAGCCCTGTAGCTGCTGGCCTCTCCCTGAACTCCGTGGTCTCTAGCAACCTTTGGACTTCTAAGTAATATTGCAAAGATCTTTATCCTTGGCTTGCTTGAGAGCATTTCTGCTAAGCCCTACCAGCAACTTTCATCTTGTTTCCTCAGTTAGTTCTTCTAAAATAAATCATAAATTGCCCCATTGCTAAAACTTACGTCACATTCTTTCAATTCTAGTATCTGAGTCATTGCAAAAAGGCATCTCAGGTTCGTTCCAGAGATTTGGCAGGGGAGCTTCCCACAACTCAGCAAAGTGTTTGGCCCCTTTGGGCCTTTTCACTGAGACTTGAGGCTAGATTTGCTGTGCCTGCTCTGTCCTTTCCCTTCTAATTTCTCAGGAATTGTCTTTGCTGTCTTCTTGTGTTCTCTGAGATCACACTTCCACAGCTGTTCCAGAAACATCACACCACTTGTATTTTTTTAAAGCCTTAGCTTTTGCTTGTGGGTTCACTTGTACAAGAATATTAACGTTGACTCTCACTTTGTGTAATACTAGTATATCAAGCTAGTCTTTTAAAAACACCTTTTTTAAGCCTTTAAGCCCAATTTATATATCTCATTTTTTTATCATTTTTGCATTAATGTTTAAAAACAAAACAAAACACAACACCTTTCTTTTGATCCCTTAAATACCAGCTAGTGAGACTTTCAAATCTAGCACTTAATTTTTTACTGAGCATCTAAATATTCCTTACAAAATTTAAACTTCTAGATTTAACTCATCAGATTTCCTCAAACACTTAAACAGAGATTGCAAACTTAAATCATTAAGTCCCAAGTATTTTAGTTAAAATCATAAGTTCGATATGTCAGATTCTCCAAAACAATTCAAACACCTCAAAGAACAAATAAAACTTGCATATCCTAACATGTTGATTCCAGAAGTTATTTTTACACTCAACTCAATTGTATTAATACCAAAGTTTGATTAATTTCTTCATTTGCCCCATGTATTTTATCAATATTACTACTAGTACCTGATTAGTATTAATACTGGTAGCAGCATTATCATTAGTATTCATAATAGTGTTAATGCTAGAGCTATCATCATTATTAGTACCAGCACCAGCACTATTAGCATAGAATTAGCCTTGGTCTTAGAATTATATTAGTATTAGTATACTTCTCAGAGTTGCAAGGTTACTGACCCAAATAAGGAAAACAGAAATGATAGATACAGTTATTGGTTGAGAATGTGACTTCAAATTTATAAATTGGGGGTTTTCAGTCAGAGATTTTGGACCAAGACACCAAGAACTAGGGTTTGCCATTCTGATTCCTCAATCCCACTGGGCCTTTATTGTGCTATAGTCATTTATACAGTAGTAAGAATTTCTAAGCTTCAACCTTTTCTTGTAGTCTGGTGAATCATGGTCATTTATACTTAATTTTCTTACAGTGTTTTCTTATGTAATTTTTATTGAAAATTTCTGTGACAACTTTTTATTGCCTGATTGGAGAGGGTGACCAATCATCCTTGTTTTTCCAGGACTGGAGGGTTTGCTGGGACATGGGAACTTTTCAGCGCTAAAACCAGGAAAGTGTCCAGGATGACTGGTTATCCTAGATTCTAGGCCAGTGGTTCTCCACCCCCACTAGAATGGTCTGGGGAACTTTTCAAACATACCAGGCCCCAAGCCCCACCTCCAGAGATTCTGATTTAATTTGTCTGGGGATAGTGCCCAGTCATTGATATTTTTTAAATTTTCTCAAGTGATTTTCCTGTGTAGCCAAGGTTGAGAACCATCATTCTGCATTCTCTACCCAATTTGAAACACCCTATGCAACATTGTATTGTCTACTTTGACCTCCTGGAACTTAGCAAAACTTGAATTTGACAAGCATGTGTTTGGGTTCATCAATGTGAAGTATTTCCAGTAAATATTCCTGGGGGAAGTCATGCACATCTTTCTTGAGCAGATTATGTTATTTGTTGTTTTTGAGTATATGTGTTCTCATGACTTTTCACAGAGTTTTTTGTTGTTGATTAAACTGTCATGCTTTCATTAGTGACAACTGCATTAAGCTGGTCCATTTGTCCAGTTAGCACCACCCTTGAAAGTATTCAAGCTTCTTGGTAACAACAAAGTGTTCCAGACTCATCCTGGTTTTTCCTGCCACAAGACATGGAATCAACTACTTTTCAAGGATCCCTGTGTCTTTCACTTTTTAGTTGAAAGTTTTAGAGACCAAAATCTTGGCTACCCGGGGGCACATCGTGTTGTTTTACAAGAGCATTCATAGTAGGTAGATCTTGGATCCATGATCTTATCTGAAATTGAAATTCTTAATTCTCTCACATGGTTTTTGTGCATCCCCATTGTCCATCCTGTAGATACTTTTTTATCCTTATTCTTTTTTTCTATAAATCAATATGGTGTTCTTTGTGTTTTTTTCAAGCATTAAAATTCTGTCACTCTTTTATTTACTTTCCTTTCAAATTTCAACTGAGAATCAGGAAAACTGTGTGTATAGACTTCATTTATTTTCTAGTTTATTCTGAGAGGCAAGGGGAAGCACCCTGTTGTCTTTTCCAGGCACAAACTCTATTTCCTTTTATAGTTTGATAATTTCTTCGTTCTCCAGTACTCATATTTTCTGAAGAGTCATCACTCCTTAGCTTATTTCTTCATAAGTTATAGCCAACTGAGTTTTATACATGAAGTGGAAAGTGGATTTTCCTCTGAAATGAGAGGAAGTAGGTATTTTGTTGCCTTTTAAAAAGAGGTAGAAATGTACGAGCAGGTCACCCTCTCAGTCCTCATATGGGCTGATAATTTGTACCTGAGACTATAGATTTAGGATATGGGGCAGAAATTGAGTCAGAACAGTACAGCCACCAATGGCAGAGACCACAGGCCAAGGCTCAAAAATAAAACCCACATAAATGTTATTTTAGTGAGTTTTGCCCTCATCCTGGGTTGTTTTGTAGGGAAAGTGATGGGAGAGAGAAGGGGGCATATCTTAAGAAGGCAGTCCCTTTTGCAGTGTTTTCTGACTTAATCTTAGACCTAACTCTTAATTTTAGAATTCACTCTGAGAAGATATTAGGCAAACTCTTACTATCAAAGGATTTCCCTCATTTGGGATCCTGAGTTTCGTCAAGTCACTTCAGATCAGCAATAAAATCCCCTTGAGAGTTTCCAGATTTTTCTCCACAATGAACCATGAAGCATGCTGTTTATTTGTGGAACTCCCACTCCTGGTTCTTCAGAACTCCTTCATTTGCCGATCTAAAGATAGCAAAAAAGGCTCTTAAAAATACACGCCTTATTGATTTTGGAATGTTCTGGTAAATGCCAATCTGATTGATGTCATTTATGTAGGGAAGGCTTTGGCTTAAGCCCCAAAGTGATTTTAGCCAAGAGGAAGTAACGTATCTAATAAATAATGTGGAGTTTGTGTATTCATCCACCAAATAATAATTATCATCACTAAAAATGTGACTAGAGATGCCACATCCACTTCTCCATTGAGGTAAATTTCTAACAGACAAAGCCAAGTGAAATTTGATGTCCGTATAAGCTGCTTTGACCTCGTTGTTTCTGACTTTCATTACAGATGAATTTTCATTTGTAATTTTGTTGTTGTTTTTTGGTTTCCTTGGTACTTTGATTTGTTTGGGCAAAAACTCAGTGAATCTGTAGTGATTTAGGAGACAGTTTAATCAACACAAGTGCCCATGTTTCAGACTCAGACATGCAGGTGATATTTATTCTGGGTAATTTTGGGGGATCTACACCTTTTGTTTATTCTAAGATGACGAAGCTGCATTATTATTTTATATGTAACATGCACTCATTGTAAAAAAGTTGCAACGATAGACAAAATTATAAAGAGTGGATTGTAATAAGAAAAAATTCTGAGTACATGGCAGGATCCATATACTATGTGTATTCTTGCCTTATTTTATTGGGACAACAATGAAAATAGGCCAATAGTTTATCACATGAAGAGCCAGCCTTCACAAATACAGCTCTGTGGAATTGTATCTGAGCATAAAAACACTCTTTATTTAATTATTATTAATATAACAATTACCAATAACCTTTATATCTATCTATTTACTTATTTATCTTTTCCTGTGGTGGGGGGTTCAAAGGTTTCTGGGAGTGATCAGGATGCCCAAACTTCCTCTAACTTTAAAATTTTAATAAGTAAATGAAGAAAGCTCCATGTTTTCCTCCTAGAGTTTAATTAGCTACTAATATAAGTTGCTTAGCCCAGGATCTATCCTATGGTGGTAGGTGTTCATTATGTTTAGCTAAAATTTCCATCACCATTATCATCTTTGTCATCATTACTGCCATCACTACCACAACCAACAACATTACAATCACCACCACTGTCATCATCACCATTGTCATCATCCTTTAATACTAGGCTTGAGGAAGCTAAAGGGAGCCAAATGTACATTTATGTCTTATGTAACATTAATGTTACTTGTCTTATTCCTAATGCCTCATCTTAAATGTAAAGAAAGTAAGAAGACCCAGAGATAGTTAACTTTGTCGTCTCTTGACTCCCAGGATCAAAAATAGTTGTTGCTGCAGTGTTTGGAATAAAAAAGCTTAAAAGACCTTGTATACAAAAGTGGTTCGTACTGCCTTCTCTCGTGAATTCATGCCAGCAGATATTTTTATTCTGGTAGGAAGTAACTAAAAGCTTTGTTCAACCCTGGTCTGCCAGCCTCTGTAACGCACGTCTGACAAATATGTGTGACTCTGTGAGAAAGTTTGGTTCTCCCCCTGGTGGCAAAAGGAAAAACTAACACTAGTGCTCCTTATGGGAGTGTATTGATAGGGTACGAGATATGTAAATACAGCTTTACCCTTTTCACCAGTGTTGCCTGAGATTTTTATCTCAGCCCCCTTGGTTACTTTTGTTCTTTGGACAACAACTGGTTTATATCTTCTATGGTCGTTGGGATGAAAGGGATTTGACAAACTGACAAAGCATTTTGCTTCAGAAACCACTTGAAAAACACATCTATGTTTCAAATAAAGATTATTTCAGGATCATAAAAATATGCTCGGTGTATTAGCCATGGAACTAGATTTTAAGCTTCATGATCATAGAGATAGATATTGGGTTTATTTTATTGTTATTGCCTCTGAACTGAGAAAAGACTCTAGAATTCTAAATATAACGCACACACTTGAACTAAGTAGACGGAAACTTACCCTTCTAGGTAGGTAACTCTGCTTACCTTCCAAACAGAGTTTGGATGATATTGCCTCATAGAAAGATTTTTTGATACAATACTCAGGAACCGCTATGGACTGCTGCTTTGGGGCCAGGCCCCATGCCACTTGATTAAATACATCCTCACTTAACCTGTCCCTACAACAACTCTGTGAGGGAGGCATACTCATACCGAAGCTTTAGCCATGTGGACACTGCTCCCCTGAACCACATGCGTAGTCAAATGGTTAGGGCAGATTTCAGCTCATGTCTCTTTTATTCAGAACCCATCCTTTAAGCCAGTAGTTCTCAATGGGGGTGATTTGACTCCCAGAGGACACTTGGCAATGTCTGGAAACATTTTTGGTTGTCATACCTGGAGAGGTGCTACTAGTCGGTAGAGGCCAAGGATGCTCCTCAACATCCTGTAATGCACAGTGCAGCCCCCACAACAGAGAATTACTTGGTCCAGATGTCAGTAGTGCCAAAGCTGAGAAACTGTACTCCTAACCAGTGCTACTCAAAATGTATTCCACGGAACAGCAGCATCTGCAACACGTGGGAGCTTGTTAGAAATGCAGAATCACGAGCCCTGTCCCAGACCCAGTGAACCAGAAACTCCATGGTTGGAGCTCAGGAACGTGTGTTTCTACAAGCCCCCAAGTTCTTCTTGCACACTCAAGGGAGAGAAGCTCTGCTCTAAAACAACAGATCATTCTGTGTCTATTGAGCTAGACACAATCGTATGGTTTCCTCACCACTTTCAGTGTTCCGTTGTCGCATAGAAGTATCTCCTCAAGCATCTAAAAGGGGAAAGTCTGGCGTACACTAGGAACAAATGTGACTCATGGGGAAATCAGTGCAATTACAAATCCAGGAACCACACCCAGCTGAAAATCTAGGAAGGTTCTTTTTCTCTTATTTTCTCTACTTAAGAAGGGAAGTCTCGGAGACTTAGTCTAGGTTCAAAAGATGTCAACATATACACAGGCTTGGTTTGGGGTTTGATTATCTAAAATTAAACCTTAAATTGAATTAGGTAAAACCCATTTTGGAGAGCCACAGAATTCTAAATTAGAAATTACATTGAGTTTCGTATTTACTGGCCCAAATAAGTAATCTTCTCTATTTGTGCATTTTTCTAATCACAAATTGTCTTCTGAGAGCCAGTGAAATAATTATTTTTATATGGGTCTCTCTTCAATAATTGCTCATCACTTGGTATTTTATGTGATTTTTGTGGGGCATACATTATAGGCAAGGATGTATTGTAAAGGATAAAAATGTCAGATAAAACATCTGTGTTTAGGTAGTTTGTACGTCACTGTCCTCCATCCCACCTCATAGATTCCTACTGCTTGGCTATAACTAAGAGTAGAATTTAAGGCTGACACAGGAAACCAGGCAATCAAGTTCATTAAGTACCTTAATCAACTCTGGCCAGAGGATGATCTCAGAGCTCCCCTATCTCAAGAAGAAATTTCATGAGAAAGCTTTGGGGTTACTTCCAGATTAAAGATTATGTTCTGGACAGTTCAAGCCCTAAACAACAGACACATGAATAAGTGGAGCCATTTCTATCATACTTTTTCAGGGACTGAAGATATAAATATTGCTATTTGTTATTAAAGGATTTTGTTTGTTAAACCTGATGATACTTATTTTTATGTGAGTTCATAGTATTCCAGCTCTTCAAAACCTAATTTGTTTGTAGATCCCTCATTGTCATCTTTGAAAGGTTCCAGTAGTTTCTGGAATACTTTCTTTTCCTATGCCAAATACAACAGTGACCAAGAAATCCATCTGAAGGATTTGGATAGTGTGGTAGCATGTATTGATGGACCCAGTGTTCCACTCATCCCTGTATACATGCTCTTTAGGTAACATGACAGTGCCCTCTAACTCTGACTCTGGAGTCAGCCTTTTGACTGGCTTTGGCCAATAGGGACATGGAGAAGTGATAGCATACCTGTTGTAATCCTAGACCTCAAGAGACCTTTCTTGTTCACACTTGTCCACTTGTGCTTCTGCCATGGCCATGAGAAGGACATGTCTGAGCCGGATTGCTGGAGAGGAATGAGAGACATGTGGCGTAGAGCTGCATAGCTAAGCAACTCCACCCAAGCCCAGCCTAGAGCACAGCCCCCTGCAGATGCATGAGCTAGTCCATTCAGGATCAACCACTCTCCAGCTTCCGAGTAGGTTATTACACAGCAATAGCTGACTGATACACATGAGTAGAGAAGAAAAGAATTTTCCAAGTAAAGATAATAGTATTGATAAAACCGTGAAGAGAAGGGTCTATCAACATGTTGGATCACGAGAAAGTTGGCTTGAGTGAAGTAGAACACGCTTATTGAGAAATAATCAAAAATAAAACTGGATAGAGAGTGCTGACTCAAATTATAGAGGAGTTTAAAAGCCAGCCAAAAGAATCATAGTATTGTGTGAAAGTGCCATAGAAATAATCTGGTGCCAGGTCTTCAACTAAGACAAAGTGATTAGTGGCCAAACAATAATGGTACCCAAGTCTTAAGTGTTTGTAAGTGATGCAATAGGAAGAGATAATGGAATGATGGAACAGGGATTTTAGGAAGGTAAATACAACCATGAGTTAGAAGGAATGGTTTGGCTGTCCCTAGACATATTACCTGTGAGACTTTTGTAGTATTATGGAACTGGAGTCATGAAGCTCTGAAGCAGAGGATGGTCTTCGGGAATGGAAAGGATAGTTATGGAAGAATTTTTGAGAAAGAAAAAATATTCCAGTTATCTATTGATGAAACCCATGTTTCTCTCCTGATCACACTTGATATTTAATGAGAGAGTTCTTATTAAAAGTAACCATGTCCATGAAGGATCTTATTGGGATGAAGAAAGTGTTCTAAAACTGGTTTATGGTGATGGTAGCACCACTTGGTAAATTTTCTAAATGTCATTGAATTGCATGCTTGAAATTGTTGAATTTTATGATATGTGAAATATATATCAATAAAGCTGTTAAACAAAGAAACAATGAAAATCCCCACCAGTTATGTTCCATAGTCCCTGGAGGGGGCTGTTTTCATTTGAATACCCAAACTCATCCTGTCAAGTACAGGTAGCATCCTCCTCTTCTTTCTCAGATGACACTATACGCAGCGAACCATTGGGGTGCCCACATGTGCCACACAGCCTAGAGCCACCACTGTGTCCATGCCAGTGGTACTCCATGTAGATGCAGGGAAGAGCCCTTCTTCCCCATCCTGGCCCAGACTGTCAGTGAGTAACAATGACGTGCTGCTTGTATCCATCATGAAAACAGTCCCTTTCATCTTGGCCAGAAACCCTCTTTTCCTAGATCTGAGATCTATGTCCTGTGTTTGGGCCCACAGATCAGTTCCTTGGCTCCACTTCTCAACTGTCCCTTCCAGTTGCCATCCTTCTTACTTTTTCTGTCCTGGACCTATCTCTCTCACTGTCGTAAACCCTCAGCCTCATTTGAATGTTGGCAACGAATGAATGGTAGCAAATTCTACTACTAAAATCCCGCTCACGAGGGGACTAATCAAAGGTGACATTGAAATAAGTCTTCTGGATTTTAAGCACAATATGGGGCAAATGAGGAAATTGATATAATCTTTTTAAAAAATTTAATAGCATTATTGAGCTCTGATTCACATACCATACAATTAACTGATTTAAAGTGTACAACTCAACGGCTTTTAGTACATTCCTCTAGTTGTGCATCCATTACCACAATAAATTTTAAAATATTTTCATCACTCCAAAGGAAACTCCATACCCATTAGCAGTCACACCCTATTTTCCCCATCACCCACCAGCCCTTGCAAACACTAATCTGCTTTCTGCCTCTATAGATTTGCCTATTCTAGGCATTTCATAGGAATGAAATCATACAAGATGTGGTCCTTTGTGACTGGCTTCTTTCATTTAGCATCACGTTTCTGTGTTCTTGATTCAATTAAATTAACACAAAACTTTGGGATCCATTTTGTGCCAAGCACTATGCTGGGCACTGGTTGGAAAAAGAGCTTACCTTTCTGGGAAAGCAGAACAACAAGGAAACAATGAATCCCATTCCATTTAACAGAGGGATTGATCATTTGGAGTGTGCAAGTTGAAGCATGAGGTATGGGACTCACACTGGAAGAATTTTGCTCTGCAGGCCATCAAAGCACCAGAGTATTGAACCAGGCAAATTACTTTAATTGTGCTCTTGAGTTTATTAGATGTGAATGTCTTGCTGGCAATCATGGTTTTACTATGGAAGCAAACTGAGGTCTTGGAGAGCTCATTCTGTCCTTAATTGTAACATTTAGTACCAAGACCTTGGACATGGTACCTCTCTGGGCCCCCCTTGTCTCATCAGGAGGGGTAGAATTGATGGTCTTTGCTTATATTCCACAGGTCTTAGAATGATCAGACCTGACAATATATGGGAAAGGGCTTTGTATGCTGTAAAATGACAACCAAGCATGATTTTAACAATTGTGCTGCACAAAATAAGCATTTTGCTGTAATAATTTGTGATCTCATAAGCATTAGTCTTCTATTGATGCAATAATAAATGACCACAAACTTAGTGTCTTAAAATACTACAAAAGTATTATATTCTAGTTCTGTAGACTAGAATTCTGACACAGATCTCACTAGGCTAAAATCAAGGTGTCAGCAGGGTTCCTTTGGGAGGCTCCAGGGGCAGATCCCTGCCTTTTGAGCTCCTATTAATAGAAGCTGCCCTCATTCATTGGCTTTTGTGCCCTTCTTCCATCTTGAAAGTCAACAGTGTTGCATCTCCCTGTGCCTTTGTGCTTTTCTTCCATTTCCCTTTGACAGACTCCAACTGGAAGAGTCTCACTTTTAAAGGTTCATGGGATTAGATTGGTTTTACCTGGATAATCCAGGATAATTTCTCCTTCTCAAGGTCTATACACTTAATCATATCTGCAGTGTTCCTATTACCATGTCAGTCAAAATATTCACAGGTTCCAGGGATGGGTGTGTGGACATCTTTGGGAGGCCATCTTTCTGCCAATAGATGAGTTTCTGTTATTTCTCTCCTTATCGCATCTCACTGTGTTTGTATGTGCACATGATCATCTTGTTATTTTCTCTCTTCTGTATTTACAGTCTTTTTTCATTTTCTCTTTTCATGCTGTATCACTGTTTATCCTTTTTTACTATTTCTTTCCCTTGCTACACATTTCTTTTTTCCCTTATTGTTACTATCCTTTACTGCTTCTTAGTATTTTCTTTGTATTTCTTATTCATTTGGCTATTTATGGATATTTTGAACTTCCTTTATCTTCCTGGCTTTTTCTAATTTAATTTTCTTATCACCTTCCTTTGAGCCCTCTTGGTCTCTATTTTTACACAACATTGAGTCAATCTCTTTTTCTGTCCTTCTTAGCTTCCTCTTCTAACCCTTGCTCTCATGCAGAATTCTTATCTTCATTTACACACATTGTTTAACTTTTGTAGCTCCTTCAGCCCTGACTGTGCAGTTTATATCTTGACAAATGGGAGGCGGGAAAGCAGACATAGCAGGGAGAAGCCATTGGTACTGAGAATCACAATCCACATCTACATAAAAATGCCCCATGTTCTGCAGCCAAACTTGAACCTTTTGGAGCTCCTGCTAAAATCTCTTAAGGAAATCTCAAAGACAACAGTTACATGATTACTGATTACACATGCGTAAATATAGAGGTATGTTTAATAAGAAAGATCAGAATAGAATTTGGAGTGATCTAAATTACCTAGGATAGATGAAGTTCTTTTTGGTGTAAATTTTCTTACAATTACAGCAACAACAACAACAAGCCCTTCAAATATAAATGTTTCATGTCATTGCTTTTTCAACTTATATTTATTTTGTATGATTCTAATAAAGTAAGCATTTGATCAGTTGCAGAACTTTCATGTATGGACATTGCAGAGAATGATGTTGCTGATAATGAAATGGCATAATGTGTGTAAAACTCAGGTTCTTAGTCTTTTTAAGCCCCAGAACAAATCTGTTCAGAATAAGATCTAAGTTATACATTTGCTCTCCAGAGGAATGTATATGAAGAAAATTTTGTATCTGCTTTCTGGAGGTTTCATTCATAAATTCATTCTATAAGTATTTACTAAGCATATATAAAGTGAACAAAAACAGAGATACTGTTCTAGGCATTAGGAATACATCAGTGAATAAAATACAATACTTTCTTTTAAAGAGATTATGCTGTAGAATAGGGAGACTGACAAGCCAATAAGTATATAATATGCCAGGTGGTAATACAGAAGATAAGGGGATAGAATGATGGAGGGGAGTCAGTAGGATGGTAGGGAAGCTTTCTCAAAAGGTGACAATCAGAAATATGACATAAAGGAGACCTGATATTTAAAGGATGAGTCAACCATTGTTAACGGCTTGCTATCACTTAGGTTCCTGTGTGGGAAGTCAATTTAGATAGTCAGACAAAGAAAGCCCTTTTTGTCTGTTAATGTGAAGAACAGGTTTTAGTTTAACTTCTTACGCATAGCAGTGAGTAACTAGAAATTAGCACATTCCAGGGACAACATACTCTTTCAGATTTATTTGATTTTCCAATATGGCTAAGCAAACATATGATTATTCATTGAAATAGTAGCTCCAGAGGTGGTATTAGATTGCCTACTTCTGAGGAATTAAGAGAAGAAATGGTTGCAGATAAATTTTAAAAAGCTAACACTTTAAATGTTATAGCACCTAGATATACAGCATTGTCCAATAGAAAATTTTGTGATGCTGGAAATATGTAATATCTGCCCTGTCCCAGTGAATAGTCTTCCTCAGAGGTTTTCTTTATAGCTTCCACATCTCTGTTGTTTGAGATGTCCCAAGGACCACAAAGATGGAATCTCCACCCTAGAGCCCACCTGAGAGGGAGTGACTACTCAAAGCCTCTTTACGAGCAAAACTGTGGCTCCTAAGTACCTGGCCAAGTCAACCACAGTCCTCCAGGATCTTGTTTTGAATTTTAAAGCTGCTCTCTCTTGGGCCCACTCCATATTACTACCACGGAGAGGGTAGCTAGGCCATAGTGCTTCTGTGAAGGAGGAAGAGCCCCTTCAAACTCCAGTCCTTTACCTCAACAGGCTTAGCTATAGGGATGTCTCCTCAGGCTTGTGTTTGTATCTTCAGATAATTTCCATGGGATATTGGTCTTGATTATTTTATTTTATGTTATATAGTCAAAAGGCTGATAATTGCTTGGTCTCAATAATAAGACATTGCCTCCTCACTGAAATATTAATCAGAATGGTAGGTGGCTGCTATCTCTGTAGAGTACCAATCAACTTAATCTCATTTGGATAAATTTTGAAAATGAAGGAAAGAAATGTGGCTACAAACACCATGTTTTATTTTTTAGCACCTGGAATCCCACTCCAAAGGAGATAAATTTATTTCACTAACCTTAGCAAACAAATCAAATTTACCCACTAACTCCACCTATGCCCACCCTGCCTAGGAGTTCACACTTGTTCAATCATTCCATTCCATTGCAGCCCAGGTGAAAAAGGCTGGTTGAATTTGAGATGTGACCTTTGCTTAAATTTCATCCCCAAAGTGTGCCCCTCAGAATGTCACATTCTTTTGGTAAATAGCCCTTTCAAAGTGAAGACACAATTATTTCATGTTATTTATATGCTTGAAATGCAGACCTTCTGTTTTTCAAATCCACAAAAGCAATGATTTAATTTTCAGTAGTTAGGAAGTACTTGGGTCAAATTTTAGCCACCTTGCTTCAGGATAAATATTACTATCATTTGCTTTTTTCTCTCTCTCTTTTTTTTTTAAACAATGTCTTTTTTATGAACTTGAGAGGGCTGGTGATGATTTTGTTTTGTTTTGATTTATTTTCCCCAAAGTAGAGAAAACAAGATCTCCTGTTTTACATTTTACTTTTTATTTTACTTACCAAGCAGGAATTTGTCGGTCTGTTGTCTCACCTACTAACATCTGTGTATCCTGGCATTGAAGATTGGGAATCACAAGCTCTTTAAAAGGCTGACACAGATGGGCAGAGATTTAGCATCCTAATTTTAAAAGTATATATATATATGTGTGTGTGTGTGTGTGTGTGTGTGTTTGTGTGTGTGTGTGAAAAAAATAGAAAATATTCATATTTAAAAATTTAGAATTATTAGAATCTTTAGTTTCATGGTTAGGGATTTGTATGAATAATTTTTATTTCAATATTTACATATGGCAAGCATTCTATAAACATTCCAAATTTTTTGTACCTGATAAGAAAGAAAAGAATAAAGCAATATTAATTGTGGTTGGCTTTTGAATTTCCAAAGTCTTTCCTTAACCTTTCAGCATCAGTAGAATTGTAAATCATTGTCCCAATTAAGTTAACAATAATTTCGTTTCTTTTCTTTTCTTTTTTTTTTTTTTTTTTTTTTTTTGAGATGGAGTCTCGCTCTGTCACCCAGGCTGCAGTACAGTGGCGCGATCTTGGCTCACTGCAAGCTCCGCCTCCTAGGTTCAGGCCATTCTCCTGCCTCAGCTTCCCGAGTAGCTGGGACTACAGGCGCGTGCCACCATGCCTGGCTAATTTTCTATATTTTTAGTAGAGGCAGGGTTTCACCGTGTTAGCCAGGATGGTCTCCATCTCCTGACCTCGTAATCCACCCTCCTCGGCCTCCCAAAGTGCTGGGATTACAGGCGTGAGCCACCGTGCCAGTCAACAATAATTTCTTAACCATTCTGTACAATTCACATAGCATGAGGAATATGAGATCAATATCCCAAAGTGAACATGATTTTTAAAAAATCCATTCTTTATTAATATTCACTTGGTATATATTTAATCACTGACTCATTAGTCAAGAAGTATCTGTAGTGAGAAAAATGTTTAGCTTTAAATACTGGTTTCATGTGGGAAAAAGTTAATATATAAACATATAGTCAGTATATACTTTATTTACTAAGAAAACACAATTTTGCTGAATTTTCCATCTGATTATAATGACACATCTAGATATTTTAATAATAAAGCTACAGCAAATACTTGAGGGTCTTTGAAAGGAGAAAGCAGGTTCTATATTTCAAAAGTAGCTTGGATATAAACTGCAAAATTATTTCTGCAGATGGGCTTGTTTCCCCTTTTGTTTTATCAACTTTAGATATTTATGTCTTAAAATTAACTAAAGCAGGACACAGAAATAACCCTCTTCTCCATTTAAATATATATTTTTTCATTTGGGTTCTAGATTCTCAAATGATTACACATATACATTGTTAAAAGCTTATGAGATACATTAAATCTAGATTAAAATGATAATATACTTTTACAGAGACATTTCCTGTAGTACTTACAGCAGAGTCGTGGATCAACTCATCTATTCCTAATTATTATGTAGATATTAGGATATGAGCATGAGCTCAAGTACTAGTATTTATTTTATGATATACTGGCAGAAATCAGAGCTGTTGAATATGTTTACTTGTTATCTTTTTCATTAAGTTTCCAATATATAAAACTAGGCATTATCTTTCTCATAAATAATATTTGATTAATTTGTTAGTGATTAACCATATACCAAAGGGATATTTGCATAGAAATTTTTATTCCAAATCTCTCCATTGTAGCTTTTAATTACCTCTATTAAGGATTATAGTAATTTAAAATTATTAAAGATATCTATGAATTCTTCAAACTAAATCACTGAAATGTCAATGCAAGCTTAATGGTTTTGTTGTTGTTGTTTTTGGTAAAGTAGCATGGTCTTTTAGTTAAGACCAGATAGTAAATATTTTAGGCTTTTCTGACCATAAGATCTCAGTCACAACTCTGCCATTTGAGTACAAAAACAGTCATAGACAATACACAAATGAATGTGCATGGCTGGTTCCAATAAAACTTTATTTACAATAACAGGTGATGGGCTGGATTTGGTCCATGGATTATAGTTTGCTGACCCTTGCTTAGAGGATAAATAGCTGTGTGCTTGTAGAACCAATCTGGTGAGGGAAACACTTAAGGGACCATGTTAATTTTAATGTTGCACATATCCTGGTTGCTGTTCTCTAGGAAATAGCCATCCCTCCAGTCAGATAATGAAAATATGCTGGTGATTTCTCTTCTTTCTGCATGGAAATCTTCTTAAGGGATTTTGAGAATTATCCATCAAGTGAGACCTATCAGTGCTCAGTGCAACCCTGGTGGAAAATATAAATTAGTTATTCCTACTATTTCTATAAGTAGGCCCTCCAGTCATTGTGATAGTTGGGCCAATCTTTGTTAAGAACATGTTGTTGTTGTTGTTGTTGTTGTTGTTGTTTGTAAGCATACTTTGAAAATGACCTGCCATGTAAGTGTCAAGAATAGTTAACTCAAGATGGAATCATGATTGACCTGTAGAGTGTGATGGGCCTCAGGAAGCATGCCCTGGTAGTTCTGTGAGTTCTCACTAGGGAGAGACATTTTATTATGTTCTTCATGCCATAGGTACTATGGTCTAAGCAAGTGTACAATGAATAAGTCAATGAATTAATCAATGGAAAATTATAGTCTATAGTGAGCTTTGAATTGTAGGAGGTAAACCTATAGCACATTGTCACTTCAAACTCAACATCCAGTTTTACAATGACTAAGTAGAGATTTTCTAGTAAGAAAATTATCCAAGTTTCTGATATCACTTTTATTCTTTCACTGGTGACTCTACCCAGAGAGAAAGAACATGGGTCCTACATTAGGACTGACATCAGAGGAAAGAGAAATGTTTATAGCCAGAAGGGACCTTGAAGATGAGGAAGAGAATAACAATTTTGATGACTGCAACAATGATGTTGACGCTATAGGTTTAAATAGTAAGTTGTTATTTACAAAATGCTGTTTCAGTCCTATCACTTTCCATGAGTTAAAACGAAGGTTTAGATTATGTGACTTTTGAAAGGCTAAAATAAAGTAAGTGAAACTGGAATACTTGGAATTCTGCTACCTGATACCCAATTAGGAAAAAGAGAAGGCAAAGTTTAAAACAAGGTCTAGGTTGATGAGTTGGTCTATTAAACTTTTCTATTTTTCTAATATTCATTCTCTTTCTTCTGGTAATTCTGGGTTTTAGAAGAGTATATACAATTGAATTGCTTCTGACTGCTGCTATTGACGCATGCTAACTAAAGGAGGCAGCCTCAGCCCAGGGAATTTAATCCAGTCAAGTGATAATTAAGCATCTATGAATTGGCATTAATTGCCAACTTTTGGCCCTTCCTGTAGATCTGTCCAAACCTTGATTGTAATTCCTGCATGTACTGACAACTTGATAGTTTAGCATATCCCAGTGTCCATTTTTAAGGCACTATCCAAAATATATCTCTGCTCATTACCCTTTGATATTTATCTAAACAAGTAACTTCTGATGTTAAGCTTTGAGTAAAACGGGGGAAATGGCAGGGAAGAACTGGGCAGAGAAAACGGGGGAGGAATTCAAACTACACTTGATAACTGTGATGATGACAATTTCAGCTACCACCAGTTTTGAACATTTACAATGAGGGAAGATAGTACTGTTTTATATTTATTATTTCATTTAATCTTCACATCATTCCTCTGAGATAATTGTTATTCTTTGTATCTCATATATAAGAAAACTGAGTTTTAGAGGGATCAATACATTGTGTAAGGTCACAAAGGTATGAGTGATGAGGGCAAGGTTTGACCTCAGCTCTGTGGCTTCTAAAGAGTATCCTGTTGAGCACTAAGCAATGTTATGTCATAATAGCTGGGCTCTAAGTCATGGCTAACTAGGAAAACTTGGAGACCCTTGTTACTCAAAGTGCTGTCCTCAGCCCAACAGTATCAGGAGCCCCATTCCAGACCTGCTGAATAGGATCTACATTTTCACAGAAGCCCCCAGTGATACATTAAAGCACACTAAAATTTGAAAAGCATGGCCCTAGGCTTTTCCTAGACAACCCCTGCCCAGTAGTCTGAAAGTCCGTAGAGATACTTTATCATCAGGAAGGGGAGTAGGCAAAAAAACAAACAAACAAACAAACAAACAAAAAACCTACCACAATGTCCTGTAAAAAGAAAGCTTTCTCCAGCTTCTGAAATGCACATGTAGAATTTTACAGAGGGGCTCAAGGGACCCGGGAGAATAGTGATTAGAGGGTCATTCAAACTGGGATACTTTTGAAAGGGAAAAGATCACTAGGAATAATTACCCTGGCACATTAGGCATGAACTGGAACTGCACTAAGCAAACTGGGACATATGGGCACCTAAGTCTTACTTGGTGAGAATCTACCAAAATATCAGGATTTTTTAGACTGTAAAACATGAAACCAGAGAGACAGGAAATTTAAAGTCTACAAATTTAAAAGGGTGACAATTAGTTATTGATTAAATTATTTTATTCCACAAATATTTATCAAGCTCTTTCCTTCTTTGTCAGGTACTTTATAAGCTACAGAGATATGAGATGGACAAGACACAATAGAACTTAACAGGACTAGGTAATACCCTTTAAGCTTGACAACAGCAATATTAGGAAACATAAAATTAGAGTTAACTTCATGGAAGTCATAAATTGCAAGCATCCTGGTTCTATTTCTATCCTGTATCTTAAGAAGTGATATAGTCTAATATTTTAATTCATGGAAGATGAATCCAAATGTGATAATTAAGGCAGGTTGGGAAGTTAGAATTGGAGGAGGAATAAGAATGCTATTTTAGATGATAGCCAAAACCATGCCCTCCCTAATATGTCACGGGGATCTTCTGACAGATATGGAACCCTGGGCCAAATGGGCCATAATGAAAATTAGAACACATGTAAGCTTTGGAGTTTATCATCTTTTGTGTGTTTTAGAAAAGAGTATTTATCCTAGGGCTTTGTTCACCCTGAGCTGTATCTTGTAAATGAAAAGTACAATGTGTGCATCTTCCATGCCGAAAAATAAACAGCAACCTTACCCTTTTGTAAACAGTAATGCAATATGCTCAAGCAAGATTTACAGATGCATCCGTTTAGATAAACAACAAGAATCCTTATTAACAATTAGTCCTCATGCAAGACCCACGGCAATCTGTGCTACATAGGAAAACTATTTTACGATCACCATGCTTTCTCCAGTGCCTAGGACAGAGTCTAATGCACAGTATAGATCAGTCAAAACTTGTGGGTTTAGTAAATGAGTCAGACGGCATTTCAGGGATGCTGAAAGAGGAGAACAGTGTAGTCCTTCCTGCTTTAATTCTTTTTGCAGAGTGCAGAATTGGTTGAAGGCAGTTCACGTAGATAGTTCCAGGTCAGTGCAGGAAACCAGGAAGGAGAGGGCAAGAATTGACCTTGTTGCTTTGCCAACTGACTCTTCTATTCTGGTTTTGTTTCCTTCATCTGGAGAAGCAGATGTGCCTGCCTGATAGGGCGGAAGCCTGGAAGTCCCACAATCTGGAGGTAACATCCTGGTCTCTCAAACTTCCTGGGTGATTCATTAGCCAGCCACAAGCACAAGATCTGTCACTTCCAGAAACTTAGCCCCATCAATGTTCTTATGATATGAGCTTAAGATCCAGAACAAATAACAATAATTGGGAAATTTTAAATGACCATATTATTTATATATAATACTTTGTGAGGTTAAAACAAGCTCACTTAAAACTTTAAATATCCTTTGTTATAGCTAGTTCCACATGAAAGTACTGGGTCAATTTGTCCTTGTAGTCAAAGATTCATCACAAATGAAATTCAAGTATGGGCAGCACAGGCCCCATTTCCTCCCATCTCAGAGGCAAAGGCATCTGTCATCCTGTCCAAATCCCATGCAGTTCTGCTTCATCAGGGTCACTCCAGATAGCATCATGTTAACTCTTCCCCAGCTTCAACTTCTACACTCTCAGTCATCTTGTCATGTCAAAACCCTTCCTTGAGCAAACCTCTTCTGAAAGCCATCTCTTTTTTGCAACTAAATCTCTCATAAGAATAGTTTACACTCAAAGCTAGTTCACATGCTCATCTATCTACTCCTGAACTCTCTGCTATCTGGCTTCTACCCCATCATTCCTTTGAGTCTTCTGTCTTCAGGGTTATAGGCAACTTTGCTGCGAATTCAGGAGAGTGAGTCCTTATTGCATGTTACCTCTGGAACCTCTGAATCCAGCTGTTTTTTCCTGACAACGTCTTTTCTTCCCTTTTCCATAACTCTATTATTTCTCCTCCTACCTCTGGGAGTAATATGTCTTGCTCTCCTTTGAAGGCATGTTATTCCTCACCTGCTCCTTAAACATACTTCCATCTTAGGCCTCTTCTCCTCTCACTGTAGACACATTTCTTTCACCCTTTTATCAATTCTGTGGCTTAGGCTACTACTTTGTTTTATGTTCTTCCATGTTGCAAGGAACAGAGACACACTTGGTTATTTCAGGTAGGAGATATCCATTGTAAAGTTACACAGGAAAGAACTTAAAAGGGGAAAAACATCTTAGCCCTTGTGAAAACTGAACACCACCCCATGCAAGACTCAAAGGAAACTCATCCCTGTGCAAAGTATGACTCTAGTAACATTCGACATTTACCAGGCTGTAGACTTGATGCTAACTAGCTTTCTCTCTTTCTCCCCACCTCCCTCACTTACCCACGTCGCTCTAGTCTACTCTCAAATACCTTTCGTTGACTTTTCTTCTCTTTCCCTCATGGCTTCTGCTCCTTCATGACATCTGATGTCTCTTGGTTTCTGCTATCTCTCTATCTACCCATAATTTCTTGATAGATACAATTTATTCTATAACTTAAAACATTGCAATAATTTTTATATTTGCTTTCCTTCTGCTTTCAATGCCTTCTGGAACTAGGTGGAATCTGAATGTATGTATGTATAAACGAATGAATGAAATATTGAATCAGATCTACTAACTTTGTCTTTGTATCCTCACTGGCTGCCCATGATGTCATAGTTGCCAGTTAATGAGTACTATATAACTGCCATTATGCCACTTACACATTTCTTCAACCTTCACACATTCTTAAGAAGAGATGGTTTTATGGACTGAATGTTTGCGTCCCACCAAAATTCCTATGTTGAAGCCTAGCCCTACAGCCAGTGTGATGCTATTTGCAGGTAGGGCCTTTGGGGAGTGATTAGGTTTAGCTGAATTCATGAGAGTGGGGCTCCCATGATGGGATTAGTGCCCTTATAAGAAGAGGAAGAGACCAGACCTTGCTCTTTCCCTGCCATGTGAGAACACAGTGAGAAGGTGGCTGTCTGCAAGCCAGGAGGAGATCCCTCATCAGAACTGAACTCTGCTGGCACCATGATCTCAGATGTCCAGCCTCCAGAACTGTGAAAAGCAAATGATATTTTGTTTTGGCAGCCAAGGCTGACTAAAACCAGTGGTATTCCTCTCCCATTTTTTAATGTATAAAAAACTATGGCTCTCACAGATGAAATTGCTTTCCTTAGATCACAATGCAAGTGGTAAGGCCAGGAATTGGAACCCCAATACCTGAATTATTTTATGGTTTTCTGCATTCATTTTATAAAACAATAAGCCAAAAGATAAATGAACAATTATTTTTTAATGAACGTGAATATGACGTATTTAATGAATTTTATCTTTTTGTTCTGCTTTTCTATTTTGGTCTACATGACAATAACACATCACTATAGGCATATACGTTACTTAATATTGCTAAGGCATTAATCAAGATATATTTTGATAATAGTGATTAAAATAAGAATTGATTGATCTTCTATGTCTCTAGAATTTTTAGCTTGTGAAAATACAAACCAAGAGGGAGAAATGACTGTCTTTAAATTTGTAAGGCCTACTGGATAGGTCGAATGAATTTGAAGACATTTGTCTGCAAGTAACAGAAGACTCCCCCTCCATTGGAAATAAACAGTAATGAAATTTCCATCTAAGATGACAAGAAGTCCAGCATGGCCTACGATCTGGGTACCATACAGAATGTCAGGATGTTGGGTCCTTCTCTCTGCAGGCTCTGTCCTGCTCTGTGTATTGTTGGCTTTGCTCTCAGGCTGGTACCAAGATGGCTGCATCAGTTTCAGACATCACATTGAGATGTGACACTGATCAGAGGGAGAAGTACAGTTTATCTCTTTTTGTTTCTCTTTCATAGCAGGAGACTTTCCCGGAAGCTTCATATTTCATAGGCGGGAATTGGGCCACATGCTGTGACAATGACTACTAGTTGTCTCCCCTTCTCCTTGCATTTCCCCCACCTTCCTTTCACTACCTCCTGTATAGCTAACTGTCATCATGTGACTAAGTCCCCTGCAGTAAGGGCTTCCTGTTGGCTGAAGTTGTCCAGGGCTCCTAGCAGCAGTGCCGGACCTGAGACAGCACAGCAAAATGGCAGAAAAGTAAGCTAGTTGAGAGCCTCATCCCTGATGCATCTATCTACTCCTGAACAGGGTGCCCCCTGTTGCCTAACACCTGTCTTCTTTTCTCCAGTATATAAAATATAATTCCCCAGGGAATTATATTTGCATCTTATTTAAGACCACTGTTATTTTTATTTCTTGCTCTTTTTTGTAGTTATGCAACCAAACTTAATCTGATATGCATTTCCCTTCTTAAAACATTCCTGGCAAATGGAATAGTGTAACCACAAGGGACCAAACATAATGAGGATCTATCTTTGGAGCCGGGATGGGTCATCTACCCTTGGTCACGTGGCGGAAGGTTGAATAGCCAAATAACATTAGACCTCTCTTTGGAAGAAGGAGGGAAGGGGAAATCACTGTTGGGTAGGCAACTAACTGAGGCTGCTAATAAAGTTAATTAAGTTTTCCAAGGTCACATGGCTAATTATTGGTGGAAAAGTAATTTCTTTTTTTTTTTTTTTAACATTTTTAGTTTCAAAGGTACATGTGCAGGTTTGTTATATAGGTAAATTGCATGTTGTGGGGCTGTGGTGTAGAGATTATTTCATCAACCATGTAGTAAACATAGTACTCAATAGGTAGTTTTTCGATCCTCACTCTCCTCCCACCCTCCACCCTCAAGTAGGCCCTGGTGTCTGTTGTTCCCTTCTTTGTATCCATGTGTACTAAATGTTTAACTCCCACTTACAAGTGAGAACATGCAGTATATGGTTTTCTGTTCCTATGTTCCTCCACTTATGATAATGGCCTCTAGTTCCATCCGTGTTGCTGCAAAGAATGTGATCTTGTTCCTTTTTATGGCTGCATAGTATTCCATGGAATATATGTACCACATTTTCTTTATCCAGTCTACTGTTGATGTGCATTTAGGTTGATTCCATGTCTTTGGAATATTATGGATAGTGCTGTGATAAACATACATGTGCATGTGTCTTTATGATAGAACAATTTATATTCCTTTGAGTATATACCCAATAATGGGATTGTTGGGCTGAATGGTAGTTCTGTTTTAAATGCTTTGAGAAATTGCCAATCTGCTTTTTACAGTGGCTGAATTAATTTACATTCAGAAAAGTAATTTCGACTTAGGTTGTCTAAAAGCAAGTTCAGTGGACTTCTGTCTATAAGATAAGCTTAGTCAATGATTTGTCATTGATATTATAACAGAAATTCATACACAGCTGGGAGATGACACCTAGCTGTTAAACATTTATTGCTTCATCAATTCCCTCTTACTAAGATACAAATGTGAGCAGTTACCTCTACATTGCTGAGAATCATATGCATACAGGTCAATGTTATACTCATATGGAAAGAAGCAGACCGCGCAGACCACCTCAAAGTTATATATTTGGCCATGGGCAATAAGGTGAGAAAAATCTGCTTTGCTAATGTTGTTGGCCTGAGCTAAATATTGAAATAGCATCCAGTTACTCAGCATGTGAACCAGGCAGTGGGGAGTCACGCAAACTGGGACTGTTTTGTGTGGTGGAACAGAGGTGATCCAAATGTGTGTTTGTGTGCTTTTTAGAGTTTGAGGCCAATTTAAAAAATAGTCTGCACTGCACCATGCACGTGGGTTTCTTTGTCAACACCATCTGGGTGCTGACTCTAGAAGTTTCACTTCCCTTAGCATACTGTGGCTCCATTAGGAGATGGGGCACAGCACTTTGATTTCAAAGGTGGTTGGCCTCATTAGCTATTTGTGGAACTTAGTAACCAGCAGAAATGATGCTGTTGGAAAAATCCTCTACCTTAACTTTAATTCATATGGTTTTATTTTTTTTCTTCTGCTTTTGAGGGGCTTTCAAATGAAGTATCAGAAGGAAACAGTGCTTTTTATATGCGCATGTGTGTAGTTTTTTTCTTAGTCAACTGAAAAGATAGAAAAAACATTCTGTGTTTGTGGACAGTATTCATATAAAATTCAAAGGCAAATTTTATCTATGTGACCGATAAACAAATTACTAATGCCTGTTAATCCCAGTGAATTTTACAAAATGATTTGACTGGTGCCGAAGGAGGCAGGAGAAAGACAGCAAATCTGAACTCTATAAAATCCCTCAAGGAGTACCTTCTTAGAAGACAAGGGAGGAAATACTTTTTTTCAAATGGGAAGCAAATCACAATATAGAATTACAGTGTTTATTATTATTATTATTATTATTATACTTTAAGTTTTAGGGTACATATGCACAATGTGCAGGTTAGTTACATATGTATACATGTGCCATGCTGGTGTGCTGCACCCATTAACTCGTCATTTAGCATTAGGTATATCTCCTAATGCTAACCCTCCCCCCTTCCGCCACCCCACAACAGTCCCCAGAGTGTGATGTTCCCCTTCCTGTGTCCATGTGTTTTCGTTGTTCAGTTCCCATCTATGAGTGAGAACTTGCGGTGTTTGGTTTTTTGTTCTTGCGATAGTTTACTGAGAATGATGATTTCCAATTTCATCCATGTCCCTACAAAGGACATGAACTCATCATTTTTTATGGCTGCATAGTATTCCATGGTGTATATGTGCCACATTTTCTTAATCCAGTCTATCCTTGTTGGACATTTGGGTTGGTTCCAAGACTTTGCTATTGTGAATAGTGCTGCAATAAACATACGTGTGCATGTGTCTTTATAACAGCATGATTTATAGTCCTTTGGGTATATACCCAGTAATGGGATGGCTGGGTCAAATGGTGTTTCTAGTTCTAGATCCCTGAGGAATCGCCACACTGACTTCCACAAGGGTTGAACTAGTTTGCAGTCCCACCAACAGTGTAAAAGTGTTCCTATTTCTCCACATCCTCTCCAGCACCTGTTGTTTCCTGACTTTTTAATGATTGCCATTGTAACTGGTGTGAGATGGTATCTCATTGTGGTTTTGATTTGCATTTCTCTGATGGCCAGTGATGATGAGCATTTTGTCGTGTGTCTTTTGGCTGCATAAATGTCTTCTTTTGAGAAGTGTCTGTTCATATCCTTCGCCCACTTTTTGATGGGGTTGGTCGTTTTTTTCTTGTAAATTTGTTTGTGTTCATTGTAGATTCTGGATATTAGCCCTTTGTGAGATGAGTAGGTTGCAAAAATTTTCTCCTATTTTGTAGGTTGCCTATTCACTCTGATGGTAGTTTCTTTTGCTGTGCAGAAGCTCTTTAGTTTAATTAGATCCCATTTGTCAATTTTGGCTTTTGTTGCCATTGCTTTTGGTGTTTTAGACATGAAGTCCTTGCCCATGCCTATGTCCTGAATGGTATTGCCTAGGTTTTCTTCTAGGGTTTTTATGGTTTTAGGTCTAACATTTAAGTCTTTAATCCATCTTGAATTAATTTTTGTATAAGGTGTAAGGAAGGGATGCAGTTTCAGCTTTCTACATATGGCTAGCCAGTTTTCCCAGCACCATTTATTAAATAGGGACTCCTTTCCCCATTGCTTGTTTTTCTCAGGTTTGTCAAAGATCAGATAGTTGTAGATATGCGGCGTTATTTCTGAGGGCTCTGTTCTATTCCATTGATCTATATCTCTGTTTTGGTACCAGTACCATGCTGTTTTGGTTACTGTAGCCTTGTAGTATAGTTTGAAGTCAGGTAGCATGATGCCTCCAGCTTTGTTCTTTTGGCTTAGGATTGACTTGGCGATGCGGGCTCTTTTTTGGTTCCATATGAACTTTAAAGTAGTTTTTTCCAATTCTGTGAAGAAAGTCATTGGTAGCTTGATGGGGATGGCATTGAATCTATAAATTACCTTGGGCAGTATGGCCATTTTCACGGTATTGATTCTTCCTACCCATGAGCATGGAATGTTCTTCCATTTCTTTGTATCCTCTTTTATTTCATTGAGCAGTGGTTTGTAGTTCTCCTTGAAGAGGTCCTCCACGTCCCTTGTAAGTTGGATTCCTAAGTATTTTATTCTCTTTGAAGCAGTTGTGAATGGGAGTTCACTCATGATTTGGCTCTCTCTCTGTTATTGGTGTATAAGAATGCTTGTGATTTTTGTACATTCATTTTGTATCCTGAGACTTTGCTGAGGTTGCTTATCAGCTTAAGGAGATTTTGGGCTGAGACAATGGGGTTTTCTAGATATACAATCGTGTCGTCTGCAAACAGGGACAATTTGACTTCCTCTTTTCCTAATTGAATACCCTTTATTTCCTTCTCCTGCCTAATTGCCCTGGCCAGAACTTCCAACACTATGTTGAATAGGAGTGGTGAGAGAGGGCATCCCTGTCTTGTGCCAGTTTTCAAAGGGAATGCTTCCAGTTTTTGCCCATTTAGTATGATATTGGCTGTGGGTTTGTCATAGATAGCTCTTATTATTTTGAGATACGTCCCATCAATACCTAATTTATTGAGAGTTTTTGGCATGAGGGGTTGTTGAATTTTGTCAAAGGCCTTTTCTGCATCTATTGAGATAATCATGTGGTTTTTGTCTTTGGTTCTGTTTATATGCTGGATTACATTTATTGATTTGCATATATTGAACCAGCCTTGCATCCCAGGAATGAAGCCCACTTGATCATGGTGGATAAGCTTTTTGATGTGCTGCTAGATTCGGTTTGCCAGTATTTTATTGAGGATTTTTGCATCAATGTTCATCAGGGATATTGGTCTAAAATTCTCTTTGTTGGTTGTGTCTCTGCCCGGCTTTGGTATCAGGATGATGCTGGCCTCATAAAATGAGTTAGGGAGGATTCCCTCTTTTTGTATTGATTGGAATAGTTTCAGAAGGAATGGTACTGGTTCCTCCTTGTACCTCTGGTAGAATTCGGCTGTGAATCCATCTGGTCCTGGACTCTTTTTGGTTGGTAAGCTATTGATTATTGCCACAATTTCAGAGCCTGTTATTGGTCTATTCAGAGATTCAACTTCTTCCTGGTTTAGTCTTGGGAGGGTGTATGTGTTGAGGAATTTATCGATTTCTTCTAGATTTTCCAGTTTATTTGCGTAGATGTGTTTGTAGTATTCTCTGATGGTAGTTTGTATTTCTGTGGGATCGGTGGTGATATCCCCTTTATCATTTTTTATTGCGTCTATTTGATTCTTCTCTCTTTTTTTCTTTATTAGTCTTGCTAGCGGTCTATCAATTTTGTTGATCCTTTCGAAAAACCAGCTCCTGGATTCATTAATTTTTTGAAGGGTTTTTTGTGTCTCTATTTCCTTCAGTTCTGCTCTGATTTTAGTTATTTCTTGCCTTCTGCTAGCTTTTGAATGTGTTTGCTCTGGCTTAATAATGCTTGTGCAAAGATGATTAGGAATTTTGAATACATTGGAATATGGTGATAGGAGGTTTGGTACTGATACACATTTTTAGCAAGCCTTTTATTATAGGCTAAATAAGATTTAGAAGTTGTATTGATAATACATATGAGCAAGACTGTTTGGTTACCTTTAATCTTCCTTTAAGTGCCACTTACAGAATTAATTTGTTTATTAAACATAATGTCCTCTTATTATCTAACAAAGTTTCTTATCCTGAAAATCTGAATAATTGTGTGTTCCTGAATATAAAAATGTTTACATGGAAAAACTTGTTTGTTTTTGGTGTCACTAATTCAGATTGATCCGTTTGTCTCATATAAGATGGGTTTGGCACTACCAGATTTTACAGTGAGCAGAAAATGTTTCTGTACAGATTCATACCATCAGCTCTCAGAGGACTTGACATTCACACAAGGAAGAAATTATTTGTAATACCTAGTACCTGAGGTGTTTGCTTTATAAGGAGATGCCATAACAGATAATATTATAACAAAGAGTTATTAATGAATGGGGAATTTACCCATTTTTTTACATACAGAATTCTTCTAAATCAAGCTGAATTTATTTTTAAGGAGATAAGTGCTTAGGATTTAACTTTCTTTAGGACTTTGCATTAAAATGTTTCTAGACATGGGTGGAGGACCTTTATGAAGATAAAATGGAATAAAATATACCAAACCAATTTTTCTATTATAAAAAGGCAGGAAGTCACTAAATCATAAAAGAATTTACAGAAGAATTGAGACCACTCATAGCTACCTGAGGAAAACAATTAAGATATAGTTAAGGCCGGGCACGGTGGCTCACGCCTGTAATCCCAGCACTTTGGGTGGCCAAGGTGGACGGATCACCTGAAGTTGGGAGTTCGAGACTGTCCTGACCAACATGGAGAAACCCCACCTCTACTAAAAAATACAAAAAATTAGCTGGGTGTGGTGGCGTATGCCTGTAATCCCAGCTACTCGGGAGGCTGAGGCAGGAGAATCACTTGAACCCAGGAGGCAGAGGTAGCGGTGAGCTGAGATCACGCCATCGCATTCCAGCCTAGGCAACAAGAGTAAAACTCTGTCAAAAAAAAAAAAAGAAAGAAAGAAAGAAAGAAAGAAAGAAAGAAAGAAAGAAAGAAAGAAAGAAAGATACAGTTAAAACGTAGAACTACCATATGACGCAGAAACTCCACTCTTGGTTATCTACCTAAGAGAAATGAACATATATGTCTACATGGAAACATGTACATGAATGTTCAGAGCAGTGTTATTTATAATAGCTAAGAATTGAAAACAATCCAAATGTTCATCAACAAATAAACAAATGTGATATATCAATACAGAAGAATATATTTAGCCACAAAAGGGATGATTCCTGCGACAACACATGCAAACCTCGAAAATGTTATGCTAAGTAAAGAATCCAGACCCAAAAGGCTACATATTGTATGACTGGATATATATGAAATGTCCAGAACAGGCAAATCCACAGAGGCAGAAAGTAGATTCATGGTTGCTAGGGGTTGAGGGAGAGGGATGTGAGGAGTAACTGTTAATGGGTATGGATTTCTTTTTAAGGTGATGAAAATGCTCCAAAGTTGATTGTGGTAATGGTTGCATGACTCTGAATATACTAAAACTTACTGGATTGTACACTTTAAAGTGGTAAATTTTATAGTATGTGAATTATATCTCAATTTTAAAGAAAGATATAATTAAGACTCAAGTTCGAGAAAAAGCAGACCTGACTAGTAGTTCTAGCTTTTCTATCCACACAACAGATATTTATTAAGTAAATCGCTATATCCCTAGTGTACTGCTGTTCATGACTTGTAGGATACCCAAGATAATTTCTGGGTTTTAAAAGACTTATTAGCATGGGGGTGATGTCATCTCTCACAAAGGCAGAATCTTTGCAGCTGGCCAGAGAGACCCCATATCCAAAAAGTAATGCAGCTTTGGGGGAAGAAAGGAGAAAAAAGTACTACATCTGTTTGAATACAATGGATAGAGTTAGGAGTCTGATTAACTGACCCAAACACATAAAATTTGGAGAACAATAAAGCCATGAGCCAAATCATAAGAGTGTAGGATGTAAGTTTCCCTAACCCCATCCCTCATCTAACTTAAAAAGAGAAAACATTTTCCATCAACTGAGTGGGAAAAAAGCCAGGAATCTCCATGAATCAGGACCCCCTGGATTTCTTCCATCCTCATTGCTTTGGAAGTGATTAAGTCCAATGATGAGCCAGTGTCTATAAAGAATTATGCTTTGTGTATGAGCCTGTCATTTTGAAATTATATTATAAAAGGTAAATAAAGGAAAATGACTTCCCAATTCAATGCAGTTTGGGGTCGGTCCATAAGCACAATACCATTGTAATTAAAATCTAAAATGAAATACTCAGAGACAACAGGATCAAAAGCCGTGGCATTTCAAATTGACCTGAACTATCACTTACTGGCAGGTAATATGGCTGTGATGAAATTCCTCAGCAAGAAAAGGTTTCAATGGATTAAGGAGAGGTACAGGCTCGGGTAGTATTATGTGTGTAGCCAACATAGCAACAAGGAGGTAAAGAGGATATTTGAAAATGCACTCCCTCCATTAATTATGCTCTACAATAATATTCTAACCTTGCTTTAACACTGTAGCATCATTTTCCTCATTTCTGGGTCCAGGCAATATGGATATTTTGTGTTAAATATGAAATAAATTCTCAATTTTCTTTAGTATAATTTAATACATAAATGGATGTAATTCTTCTAGAAAGTTTTGTTAGATATTAAGGTACATATATCAAAACATAATGTATGCTATATATTTTATATTATATCAAAATATGTTAAATCACTATAGTGTTGAAGCACAGTCTAACAATATTCTTTAATGTCCCATCAGACATTAAAAAGTATATTTTAAAAAGACAAATTTTAAAAATTAACAGTGATCAAGAGATTTAAGAAAAAAACCCACATTGACATACTACTGTGATATTTTTCTCAAAAAAACAGCAAAAATGTTTATATCACCTTGATGTCAAAGTACTTCAACTTAGGTTGAGGTCATATATCCTAGTGAAAGTAGTCAAGGAAATAGTCATCTTGCCAAACAAGTTTCTTTTTGTTTTTGTTTTGTTTGTGTGTTTGTTATTTTGCTTTAAGTTCTGGGATACATGTGCAGAATGTGCAGGTTTGTTACATAGGTACACATGTGCCATGGTGGTTTGCTGCATCTACCAACCTGTCATCTAGGTTTTAAGCCCCACGTGCATTAGGTATTTGTCCTAATGCTCTCCCTCCCCTTGTCCCCCACCCCCAACAGGCCCCGGTGTGTGATGTTCCCCTCCCTGTGTCCATGTGTTCTCTTTGTTCAACTCCCACTTATGAGTGAGAACATGTGGTGTGTCAAACTAGTTTCTACTGTTGACTAATCATTCCTCATTCTTTAGCCTGAACTCCCTGGAGCAAAAGTAGAAAGTTAATAAAGCTGCTGCCTAGTGCCTAAGGTGTCATGAGGACTGTGAAAAAGAATAAAACATCATTCCAGCATGGGGAGGGAATGGATTAGACCATAGGGCACTTGGGCAGCTATCTTTGACTCAGTTGTCATTAGAATAGGACTAGCATTGAGTAAAATTCCAAAGTTTGGTTTGAGCCTTTATTAATTAATTAGTATGAATTCATTTATCATGGGAACTATGCTACCTGCTACACTCTTCAGCTACCCAAAGCCAGCCGTAAACTGCTCTTTCCCCATTTCCAGCCATCCCCTTCTCCTCTAACGAAGCCCTCCCTCTTCCTCATATCACTCATTGACACTTTACACAGGAGAACTGAATTACAGTTGTGGCACCCTAACGGTCATATGTTTGGCCACTCACCCAAAACAGGATTCCTTTTTACCACATTCAGAATGGATAATCAGATGGTTATCTGCATGAACCTTTAAGTATTAAGAATCCCCTTACCCTTAAGTCACTTATCCTTGGGTGAATGTTTTCTTTAGATATAGTCTCCTTGAAGGAGGCCCAGGCCTACTTCCTGAAATTCTCATTCTGTCATTTGAAATCTGCTCTCTTGAAAGATAGGCCAGATCTACTACTTCACCATTCAAATATTTTAGGTCAGCATTTCTATTACTGCACAGCCTTTGCAACTTCAGTCTCAACATCAGTTTCTTTCATGGATTTCAAAGGTTTGTCAAATGACCAAGCTTTCACCATCTTCCCCTCTCTAGCCTCACTACCCTCTTCAGAACTTGCTGGATGCCTCAATGTCTTTCAAAGGCGTATCCTCCAGACCAGAGTTTAGTGCTCCATGTGTGCTCTGGCTGGGGTGGAATCCATTGCGTGGTCACTTTTCTCTTTTCTTGAGTTGGATTCCAAAGTTTTTTTCATGCAGCTCAAGTTTCCATTGCCTGGTGTAATGCTTTTGTCAGACTTGGAGTTCATTTGAGCTTATCGGACAATTGTTGGCTCATTAGAAATCCTACCTCTTCCTTTTCACAGAATTAAACTCAAGTTGCCTCTCTCTGTCTAATTAATTGTTACAATTTAAATGCAAATTTCTAATTTCTTGAATTTTTAAAGTATCATCCTAACCTTTTAATCTAATTAAATTATTATATATAAATTACAATTGTATTTTAAAACCCCAATTCTCTCTTCTATTATATTATGCATTCTTCCTAGCTTAGTTGTCTAGTAAAAATTTGATAATCACTGCCCATGCTTTTATGTAAGTTTCTGATGAAGATGTTAAACAAGATGGGACCAGGTACCTGTGGTGGTAGATTTGCCTACTTTGTTAATTAGTACCTGATATGCATAGTTCTTCAGTCCATCTGTATGTACAGCTGTATTTGCTACATTTTACTGTCTGATCCACAAAGTTTCCGGAAAAATTTGTCCAGCATGCTGCTGAAATCAGTAATTTATCTAAATCTTTTGGAGTCAGATTCCATGGTAATGGAAGAAAAGTGGATATATGGTTTGTGGGGAAAATATGTGGAGACTGATGAACTCTCAGGGGATCCTTCTACATAGAGAACTATGTATTATTGTGTTTACCTTTCAGTTTATTCTATCATGGATGGTACTCCTGTCCTAACTAAAATTTTATAATCAGTAGTCCTCATTTCACAATAAATGATGACAATGATGGTGGTGATGATAGTGGTGGTGGTGATCATGGTTATAATGATTATGATGATGCTGATGAACATATATATATATATATATATATATATATAGAGAGAGAGAGAGAGAGAGAGAGAGAGAGAGAAAGAGAGAGAGAGAGAGAGAGAGAGAGAGCTCTTTCCATGTGCCAGGTACTACATAAGTGCTTTATACTTTTTATCTCATGTAATCATTGCAACAAACTTGTAGGCTAGGTGTTGCTCACTGACCCTAACTAGTTTAGACATTCACAACTGGTAGGTTCTCTTTGGCAGATAATGGAAACACTGGAGAAGTGACAAGTGGTAAAAGTTAACTGCTGTACTACCATGTCACTACCAGGTTGTATGAAAGAGCAAATTCTTCTACATAACCATTTAATAGCCAGCAGGCACCAAAAATCCAGCCTGTTTTGGTAGCTTGGAGATAATCAATTTATCTGTCTTTTTGGGCTTTCTAAGCATTTCTTTGCATGAAAAGTTTGCCTGATGTAGTCACAAACGATTGTTAGCTCATTAAAAATCCTAGGCAGTGACTTTTCTAGAATATGGCTTCACCCACTCTATGAGTACACCCTTTCCAATGATGAGGTCAAGGAAAATGATCAGAAAGTACAGAGAGGAGGCAGAACAATTAGGGAAGAGAGAACTAAAATAGAAGTGACGGGTCAGACAAAAATTCATTTGGGCTACTTGCCACATCTCTAATTTCAAACTCCTTATCCTAAATCGGGTTTGTTTAACTCTCAAGAAATAGGTGTGGCCCTTGGGACAAGTTGGCTCAGATTGACATACTACCATGCATACACACACACACACACACACACACACACACACACACACACACACACACTATAAGCAATACTGTTGCCTGAGACAGGTTGTTTCTGATTAAATAAGGACACCCTAGCAAATAGCTCAATACTAAAGACTTCTAAGCACTGGCCAAGTTCAGTAAATGTCCTGAAAGGAAGAAGTTTAGTTCTCAGGGTGACTTGAAATTAGAACTTTTTTTGCTGTTTTTGTTTTAAAATGCTTTGCCTGGGAGAGAGCACTATGTGGAATTAATATCCCCTTCTGTCTCCACAGCACCACACTAGTCAGCCTAACTTAGAGAGGGAAATTCTTTGTTGCCTTTTTTCCAAATACCTGTTAAAGAACTTTTGCTGGGGCTTACCTCTGTGTGTTGATCAAACTGAAAATTTTCCAAGGATCTGAGGCTTCTCTGGAGGGTAGGTTGGCATTAAGATTTCTTCAATAGTGCAAAGGATGTTGTTTTTCACAACCAACACAGATGTGCATGCTTACAATTTACCTTCAGTCTGGAAACATGTTAGTGAGGCATGAATTTCTAATTGGCTACCCACAGATGGATACGGTACTAAGTATGCTTGAACTGAATCATATAATTTGAAGGCATTTCTAAAGGTCAGTTGACATATATTGTATAAAAAAGAAAGATTATATATATGTGCATATGCATATATATGTAGTATATATACCTATACATAGTATGTATACATCAATCCAGGTGAACAGAGTGTATATGCATAATATATAGTCTACATATGTGTGTATCCATATATTATATTCCAACTAAAATATCATTCTCAGGCATTTAAGAAACCTGCTCTTACCTCATTTCAGATTCCCCATGGGTACTGGAATATTTTATCCTTGGGGATGATTAAGTAAGAGAGATACAACACCAAAGCTGACTTATCATTAGTGACTCAGTACTGGAGAATTGAGAATTATTCAGATGTGCCGAAATCTCTCTTCTGACCCCCTACATGGAGGACAAGTCACTACACTGAAGTTGGCCCTTGTCTGTCCCCTTGTCCTTTGGTTAAGAACTTTGATCAACTGACTTAAGGCCTCAGATATGGGAGATCCTCTACTTTTTCATGCCCTAATTTGGTCCTCAGTGGTTTCTGTGCTGTCTTTAAGTAGATAAGGGAGGCCCTACTTCTTACTGGTAAATAAACTGAAGATATACCAAAGGTACCTGCTTCAGCATGACCATTGCCTTATTTGGACCAGTTAACAGTGTGTACTTAAGGCTCCCAGGCAGTGAATATCTTTCATCTCCTAGCAGATTACAATCTGCTACTATAATAACTCCCCATCTCTGTTGCATTGTTAGCTGTCTTTGTGTGTGTGTTGTGTGGGTAAACTATTTGATCTTGTATTTCATCAACTTTTACCAAACTACCTCTTTGCTATTGATGAGAACAGTAACCTTTCTACACGTAAGTTCCACTTATTCAAGAGGACTATTAAGTGATCATGTCTCTCAGTTGATTAGAACATGGTGTTACTGAGGTATAATTTATTTTTGTAGTCGTTTTATTAATGACAACAGTAAAATATACACATTACTTGCCATGGAACAGATCACATGCTGAGTGTTGGACTTGCCTTATGTTTCTCTGTGTAAGAGTTGACTCCAATGATCACTCAAGTATTTCCAGAAGGGAAAGGTGAGAAGTGATTGGTCAATGCCTAAGGCTCTCACAACTTGTGGTCTACAACCCTGTTTGACAGTGAGCTGTTTGGGCCTCGGTAGGAATTTTCCCACAGAAAGGATGTTCTCACTGGCAGGCTCCCAGGACCGCCCAGAAATCCATTTAACCATAACAGAGCTGACAGCACTGTCAGGACTGGAGTTGGCTTCCAAGTGGGAAGTCAGCCTAGTATTAATAGCACAGTTCCAGCTGCACTGTGGGTCCAGCAGACTTCTGACGGTCCGGCCTGGGAACCAAGGCACTCTTTGTAACATTTATGGGAAATGGAGTCCTCGTTGAGAATGGTGGGAAGACAGTACTGAGGCGGTACAAGGCCCATGGCTTCTCACTTCCCCTTTCTACTCTAATCACTTCCAACGCCACTATCCAGCAGGACGAGATGGAGGGGAATCCTAGAGGAATCCTTCTCTAGCCTTCAAGTCTGGGGAGAGCCTGCCCTGTTCCTGGCCTGGCTCACTTGGGTCGACTGTTCTCATGTACAGGATATTTGTAAGTTGGGTGTTTCTAGGTCACGTGTATTTAGTTATATGATATGAATGTTTATTTTAATATAGTAGCTCTTGATCCAGGCACAAATATATTAGAATGTAAAGTTCATTTTTATTTTTAAAAGATTTTTCTTCATTTTGACTAATTTCAGTTCTGATTATGATCTCCTGCTTCTTTACCAGTTTAAAGGCATCATTTTTATGTAAATAAAATGGGTGTGCATGATTGTAGTAAAACATTCCGTTTTGTGGTTACAGGAGGAAATGAGAGAAGTGGGTGGTGCACTGTGTATGCATGCGTGTGTGTGTGTGTGTGTGTGTGTGTGTGTGTGTGTGTGTAATTTGAATATGACCTAAAGGATGGGGGTGTTTGTTACCCCAAGACATACTTCAAGGAATTAAAAATTGTGTTGTACTAAAGGGAAGTCTTTTTCACTAATAACTTAGAAGTATTGCAGACCATTTAGGTTTTTTTGTTGGTCAGAAGTATTATAGTTAACAGATTTTTTTCCCCCGGGAGCTCTTTGAATACATAATTTCTTTAAAAAGATTTTTAAAGACTGACCAGCAACCTGAAAATTATTTTCTGCTAATCCCAAGTAAATGTCTCTGTAATGTAAGTGCTGCTTTAAAGTTATCTTATGGGGTACATATGACCCAAAGGGAAAATAACTTGTTTATTAAGTTGATTTTCTTTCTTTTTTCATGATTCACAAATTGTCAAATTCATTCTGTTTGGGACAGTAGAAATGTGGAAACATGTAAGTGAGTAACAATTTTAAAGTGTAAATCAACTAAAATGTATATGAAACCCTGCTGGGTTCTTAGGCAGTCTCTTGATATTTCTAAGCTACACTTCTCTCTTCTAGGATTCTGTTTTGGGACATAGTCATAAACACAAAAGGAAGATTTCAGCACCAAATTATATTCATCTTTAAAATATTGGGGCCCTTCAGCCCCTTCCAAACACTGGAAAACTCTCTGGAGTTTGGTTTGCCAAGACATGGGAAACTTTTTTTCCGAATATTTTTAAGGGAAAATTATATTTTAGGGTTATGAATGTAGAATTATAACACAGATAATTTAATAAGCCTCTATAGCTAAGTCTAGGTTCTCTTTAAAAGATCTTGTTTTTTCACCCAGCCCCATAGTTACATATTTGAGGGAGTGAAACTGAGCATACAGGATTTTTGGAGTGGCAGGTCCATTTGAAATCATTCTCGTCCAATGTTTTCATTTTCTAGAAAAGGGAACTGGAGCCCAGAGGGGTTAAGTGACTTGAGCAGGCTACTGTTGGTGATGGCAATAGTAGGAGTGGCCATCATTTACTGAAGATCTTCTTTTTCTGGGTTTCCTTACGTTTTATTTTACCCTCACAACCACCTTGTAAGGCAGGGGGCCATATTCCAGTTTTATAAGTGAGAAATCTGAAGTTTGGGAAGTCCTCTAGCTGCTCAAAGTCAACAGGTACTAAGAGGCAGAGCAAGAATCCACTGATTCTGGATGCCTGGTGGCTTCTGCCTCAGGGTGTTTTCCATTGTACCAGACATTTCCCAGGCCTAAGTAGAAATACAAGAAGCATTCCTTCTTTATACATGTTTACTTCTAATATATCAAGAGCATCTGTATCTAAGCAATCACCCTGGTTACTCAATCTTTTGGATAGTAGTCTGGGGTATTGGGTCTCCTTACCTTAGTTTTTCTGACAAAAAATAATCTTCCTCCTACTGGATTTCATAATATTCCAAAATTTGTCTTCAGTGGATGCCTCAACATATACTTTGAAATGTCTATTTTATTTAGATCTGAAGAAGAGTATTCTTTTTTTTTGCTCTCATTCAGTGATTCATTCATTTATTTATTCAGTAAGTATGTTTTGAATGCCTACTATGTGCAGATGCTATTCTAGGCTTTGGAGATACAGTTCTGGACAGAACAGACACAAACCCCTGCCCTGATGGTACTTTATTTCTAGAGGGCCAAAGGATGGCCAATACATACACGGTAAAAAATAAGGTAAGTGAGATGGTGATAAATACACTAGAAACAAAAAACAAAGAAATTTGTTTAATGAGTGGAAGGAGACACCAGGAAGATGGGGTAGGACTTACTCAAAAATAACTGAGAGGGGAAATTGGGGAGTGCTTCTTATCACATTGTCAATTCAGCAAAAAATGCCAGTGTCTATTTTGTTCAGCAAATTCCTTTCCAAAAATATAAGTTTTCAATCCCCCACCAATAGTAAAATGCTTATCCTAACTCTGTCTCTATCCTTATGATATCTTCCCATCCACCCTTTATGGAACCCATTGTTATCACTATTATACCAAAAAAAAAAAAAAACAGGAATAACAGGAGTTATCCACATATCTAAGGGTAATACAATTTGAGAGTAAGAGAAGCTTAGTGCCTGGCCTATTTTTCCCAAACATCTAATTTATGGAGGAGAATCTTGAATCTCAGAAATATTGAAATGTTGGGAGGCTGGGGCAGGAGAGTTGCTTGAGCCCAGGAGTTTGAGACCAGCCTGGGCAACATAGTGAGACCCTGTCTCTTAAAAAAAACTTTTTTTAATTAGTAGGTGTGGTGCCCACCTGGAGTCCTAGCAGTTTGGGAGGCTGAGGCGGGAGAATCGCTTAAGCCTAGGAGGTCGAGGCTTCAGTGAGCCAAGATCACATTGCTGCATTCCAGCCTGGGTAACAGAGGGAGTCCCCGTCTCAAAACAAAACAAAACAGAAAAATAAATGTTCAAATGACTAAATGACGACCTCAGATCAAATGGCAAGGTGCTTATTATTTTATTTCCAGTAAATGATGTGCTGAGTTCCCATGGTGAGCTAAGTGATTGAGCTGGATCCAGGGGCCTCAGCACTGACTTCAGAGGAGATGGTCTGTGGCCTGGAGGCACAGAGAAAGAACTGATACAGACAAAGACTTCTGATCCCAACCCAGTGCTCCTTCCCCTATCCCATGATGGGGACTCTTTGCTGTTTTCCAGGGTCTCACAACGGTGAGAATGGGGTTCCCTTTTACATTTGTACTTCCCACTCTGTACTTCACGTATGTCATAGGTTAAATGAGACTACTTGAGCTGACCTACGAACCAAAACCACTGTATCTTTATTTCTATGGGAAAATGCATGTGGACTTTGAAATATCCAGCTATCTTAACAGACTTTCAGAATTGAGGAGTGTCTGAGTTGGAAAATATAAGCAAAGATCATTTAGTGTTCAGTGAGGCAAACTCTAGCTGCCCAGCCTCTAAGATACTGACTATCTCCTAGAGAAAACACAATCCTCTGCAGTCCTGAAGGAAGCATCAGATGAGATACAAATAAGTAGTAACAGTTTCTTCCAAATTGTATGGGGAAAGTTTTCTTCTCTTCACTATGAAGAAAACCTGATGATCATAAATAGTGACCATTTTTTCCACAAAGTGGCAATTTGTGAGTGTGTATACCAGCCATTCTGTAGTTTGTCATAGTTCCTAGGGCTATGGGGACCTATCACAGGATTGTAGCTCATTTAATCTGGATTCACTACTTTGTGGGCTGGACTTATGTTTCTATTAATGGTAGTAGCCAGTATAGTGTCCCAAATGCATGTTGAATGGCGTGGAGTGGAAGGACATGTTCTCTTAGCTATTCTGTATGCTAGCAAGTGTCATTTTCCTGTCTGCCTTCCATAATGGGAATGCCATGGACATTTCAGTTCGTGTTCTACATTCCTATCATCACCTGATTGATTGGAATGATATTGCTATATAATAAGGATTTCGAACATACATAAGCATTCTGAGGAAACATGAGGTTAGATTGAACTGCAGTGGATGCTCTACCACAGTTCAAGGGCAAGATTATTACAGTTGCCTTGACAACCATAGCTCTGCACTCTCTGTTTTATTACATACTCTTTTCCTATTTGGGAATCCTTTTGAGAAGAAACAAAAGAAAGAATGTCAGTAAGGTCTCATTTTCAATTTATGAGGCTTCTGGAAATAATAGAGTCTTATATAGCTACAAAAACGTCTCCATTTCTTAAAATTTCCCCAAACATTGGAAAGTCCAGGCATATGAAATGAACTAAAAATAAGCTTTTACTTATGTCAAAACACAAATATCATCTTTACTCCCTATAGAAGTAATTATTTTGTAAGGACTGAAAGAAAAGATTACTTTTCTATTTTTCTCTAGCGTACAGCTGTGACTTCTATTTTTCTATAAAAGGGAAATATTTTTGCCTATAAATTTTCATTAGTATTTTTACCTGTATTACAGTTATTCAACTGCAAATAGGTATATAAGTAAAATAGTCTTACTCTAGGAAATGGCTAGGTTGAGAGACTATCAAACAGTGATATTTTAACAATGTGTTACATTATTAATTATCAACACATCCTCTTTTAGGTTTCCTTTGTAGAGCACACTAGTTTGTTTGTTTGTTTGTTTGTTTGTTTGTTTGTTTTTCAAGAGAAAAGGTGACAATATTTGGGTCTTTATAATTGTTTTTTCTGTATTAAAGCAAAAATGTAGTATAAATGTATACTACTGTGTGACTATAAAAGTCATTGAGAAATATTATTTTTTATTTTGTCCACTTGTTATTAAATCTTTCTTTTCTTTTCTTTCTCTCTTTCTTTCTTTCTTTCTTTCTTTCTTTCTTTCTTTTCTTTCTTCTTGAGACAGGGTCTCACTGTGTCACCCAAGCTACAGTGCAGTGGCATGATCTCAGCTTACTGAAACCTCCACCTCCTGGGTTCAAGTGATCCTCCCACCTCAGCCTCCCCAGTAGCTGGCACTATAGGCACCCACCAGCATGCCTGGCTAATTTTTGTAGAGACAGAGTTTTGCCATGTTACCCAGGCTGGTCTCAAACTCCTGGGCTCCAGCCATCCTCCCCTCTCCGCCTCCCAAAGTGCTGGGATTACAGTGGCTCTATGGAACAAATTCATATGTTAATACCCTAGGATGGGAGTTAGGGAACTTTTCTGTAATGGGACAGATGGTAAGTATTTCAGGCTTTTGAGGCTATACAGATTTTGTCACAACTACTCAACTCTGATGTTGTAGCTGAAAGAAGCCATAGATAATATGCAAACGAATGGACTGGGCTGTGTTAAATTAATACTGTATTCACAGAAACAGACAGTGGACTGGATTTGTCCCAGGGGCTGTAGTTTGCCAACTCCTACTCTGGGAGAAAAATTGTTTTGCTTACTTATCTGTCCACAGTCTACAGGGGAGTGTAGTGCTTCAGGCAAATTGCTTCTTTTATAATATATGCCTAAACTGAGCATGGTGGTGCACGCCTGTAATCCCAGCTACTTGAGAGACTGAGGTGGGAGGATCACTTGTGCCCCAGGAGTTTGTGTCCAGCCTGGGCAGCATAGAGAAACCCTCATCTCTTAAAAAAAAAAAATGTGCCTAAAAGTCCATCTTTTCACTCTGACTTTTGTGTAAAATGTCCCCATTGCTACCATATTGGTTCTATTAGAGAGAAAGGCAGGGGTTACACACTTTTGCAACTCATTAGGGAGAGTAGAAGCAGATATTGATAATAATTTCCTTGTTTTAAAAGCTGTTAGAGCACATGAAAAAAAAATTCAACTACTAAGATTTCCTTACACCCTAGCTGAACTGCTCAGTTAGAACTGCTCTTGAATATCAAAGGCTAACGTGCCCTGCCTGCGTAAGGTGGCAATATAAACTGAGGTAGACACTGTGGGATGCAGCCCCTTGGCCCCCAGCTGGCCTCCCCATCCCCATGGGGTCTACATAGTCACCTGGCACCAAGAAAAACGTGCTTTTTTCTTTATTTTTCTTTGAAGTATTCACTGGTGCTTTGTTCAAACTGATTTTAGCATCCTCTTTGAGTTTGAATCAGATACTTCAAAGAAAAATATAGAAAAACGAAAACAAGTATCTATGTATTTGTTACTCAGATTTAGTAACTGTTAACATTTGTTCTTATTTGCTTTGGATATTTTTATCTTTTTTAAAATAAAGAATCCCTTTCATTGACACAATTGTAACCCAAGAATTTTCCCCATTCTTTCTAAAGAGGCTATTGTCAGAGGAATCTGAATTATTTTCCACTTATTAAAATTGGTTATTGAGAGGCAAAAGAATAGAAAGAATATTGATTTTATAGTATATATTCAGAGCATCACTGGTGCATAGTATGAACGATTTGATCCAATTTGTATGGTTTTCTGCCCATCGAAGACTGAATAATATCATGAATCTACTCCCAAGAGAGACATAGAGAATGCATCACATCTCTTTCCTATTGGGAATGGGATATGAATCTAAAAGACAGTAAATATAAACCATCCTAATTCATAATAGAGAGCTGGATATATTTTTCAATTTCAATGGCAACTTTGAAAAGTACATTATTTTTCTCTGCTGCCTTTAACATACTAATTGCCTTGTGGTATAAATGCTTTCATAAATGCTCTCTCATCTGATCTTGTGTGATAGTTACAATAGATGGTATTACAGCTCTCTCCCAGGTAAGGGTATGGATGCACTGGGATGTCTGTACAGTGTTTGGCAGTCTTGGCTGGACCTTTGTATCACCTACCGAGCTTTGAAAAGATACTGATTCTGAGCCTATCCACAGAGGTTCAATCCAACCAGTCTGAGCAACAGTATTCTTTTCTTTTCTTTTCTTTCTTTTCTTTTTTTTTTTTTTTTTTTTTTTTTTGTGATGGAGTTTCACTCTTGTTGCCCAGACTGGAGTGCAGTGGTACAGTCTCGGCTCACTGCAACCTCCGCCTCCTGGGTTCAAGTGATTCTCCTGCCTCAGCCTCCTGAGTAGCTGGGATTACAGGCACCTGCCACCACCATGCCCAGCTAATTTTTGTATTTTTTTAGTAGAGATGGGGTTTCACCATGTTAGCCAGGCTGGTCTTGAACTCCTGACCTGAGGTGATCTACCCACCTCGGCCTCCCAAAGTGTTGTGATTACAGGCGTGAGCCACTGCGCCTGGCCGGGCATCAGTATTAATTGATTCTACTGTACTGCTGAGGTTGAGAACCCCCAATGGACCGACCAGTGGTTCTCAAGTAGGGACTATTTGCCCCCGCAAGGGGACATCTGACAATGGGACATTTTTTATTATCACAACTGAGAAGGGGCATCCCCTGGCATCTAGTGGGTAGAGACCAGGGATGCTGCCAAATATCCTATAGCACCCCTACAACATAGAATTATCTGGCCCCAAAGGTCAATAATGCTTATATTGAGTAACCCTGATTTAAGCTGGACTAAAGTCCCTCTGACTCTAAGCCATATTGTTTCCCCAGTCTCAAGTTGCTAGATTATTCAAATTAGTCATCCTCTTATTATTGCTGCTAATAAAATATATTTTAATTAGGTTGTTCTTCAAAACAACATTTACAATGACTTTTTAGTTTATCAGGAACCAAGTGATCTTGTGTCATAACCATACTGGGATAGGCAAAAATCCTTATATTAAACATTTTCAATTACTTTTATCAGAATACAAAACAAGCAAGCAAACACACAAAAAACAACACACCATCAAAAAGAAGAAAAGAGCTATTTCTCAACATAAATTGCTCTGTATGTATTATCCCAGATGAGCAATGTGTATTATATAAAGCAGTGGATTTCAAACTTGAGAGTGCATTGAAGTCACCTAGAGGGCTTGTTAAAATACTGATTGCCGGCCTCATCTCCAGAGTGCCTAGTCAGTAGGTCCGGGGTGGGGTTCAAACAGTTGCATTTTGAATAAGTTTCCAGCTAAGATTGACATTTCTCTCCTAGGGACTATACTTTGACAATCATTAATGTAAAGAATTTCTCTATATTAGCATTTCAAATGAATATTAACCCTGGGGACCATCTATTAAGGCCTCAAGTTAATATTCCTAAAAGTTAAAAATCATTTTATCATAGTATACAAATAACTTAAAATATGATTCATCAAGAAATATAGAGGGCTTCCTAATTCTATAGTTACAATCAGGACAGCCCTATAGAATCAAACCTTTTGCTCCCACTTCTAAGAGCAGCAAGAGCTAGCAACAGCAAGCTTTGCTTAAGAACAAGCCTAGTAGTTTTATGAATGCACAGCTCTCTACCTGATCGGAAATGAAGGGATGCCAGTTCACTGAGACATTTTTAAACGCATCTGGTCAATGAGAAAGTTGATATTTTCTGTTTCCTGATGTGTATCCTTCAAATTATACATAAGTGCTTAAGTGAAAATGACTTGATCCAAATTCCCTTAGCTTTGGATACATTAACATATGCTCATGGAAGGGTGGATGGGATATCTAAAATTTTATTGAAGTGTATTGCCTCTCTATAAAATAACAAAACCTTAACTCCTTAAGTAATTAAAATATTTGGCAGAAGTGGCTAAATAATGTTAGATTCAAGTATGGAATCTGAAGCCCATTTCAGGTATTTCAAGAACAAGTCAATTATTCATCCAGTCTATCAGCCAAAGACACTTGACAGAGAGCAGTGACATGGTGTTTTGTAAAAGGCATTTCCATAGTACTAGTGCTCTCATTTTGTTGTCATCCAGTAGAAAGAAGTGTACACATTTGTGAAGAAATGCATGAGGTAATAAAACTATTTAAAAATCCACATTTTCTCAATTTAGATGGACTTTTCTTAAACTAGTATAAAGTTAGGTGTTACCATATATTTTGTAGGCATAAAAATCTAAACCTCAAAGTGGCAGAATTCAAGAGTACCCATCCCTTATTTTCTACAGGAGTTCATCTGAATCCCTTGATAGTAAAGATTTTCTTTCTTTCTAGAACCTGACATAATTCCTAGTACATACCAAGTGATAATGACACTTTCATTGAATTTACTTAAATAGCTATATGAGAGGTCCATGTATTTCTATATTTCATGAATTTCAAATTATATATTTCAGTCCCATTTAAAGTTAGGATCTTTATAAAGAAAATCCTGAAGAGGATCCAGACTATAGCGTCCAATGTGCAAATTTTTAATTGTGAGCTAGAGATTGAGAATAAAGGAAAGTTATTGGAAAATTTTCCAAGAACTAAGCCTTTCTGTTGTGCTGGTATTGATGATATATGTGTCAGTCAGCAATAAGACTACCAAAGGTGAACTAAATAATCCGGTGCCATAAAATGTCTTATAAAACTTAAGCTGCTAAGAAAATCTAAGGATTAAAAAATGTACCTATTCGCATACTTCTGCTGTTGTGTGTTTAAGAGCAAACTGAGAGGTTGCTATGGCATTACTTATGCGTGCATGGCAACAGAGCGAACTTAGTGATTCAGCTTGATAAAAGAGGAAATTAGCTCACCATTTCCCCTTTCCCCAAATCAGAGTCAGATATCCAAATATTTCATTTTGAAATGGTATATCCATCAACACGTTCTAATGGATGAAAGTCAGTGGGGGTGGGGGTGGGGGAAATGTCATAAGGTGAAATTCGTATGTCATGTGCTTACTTTAGGGAATGCAACTTGTGTCTAAACAGTCTATTCATATCTCTGCATCCTTCTTTCCCCCTGATAGGATGGGGTTTCTCAGTGGCATCTGTTGGGTGAATATACGATGATGAGTAACACTTTGGCAAAAGACAGCAATTTATCAGCCCGTATAACTTTGTTCTAATGGAAGTGGATCATCCCAGAATTTGAGAAAGAAACATTGTTCAGCTGTGAAACTCCAATTCCCTGTGTGTAACAGCCCTCCAGGGAAGGAGTAGATTTTGTCAGCATAATATGTGAAGTTTAGTCATTATCAACTGCACAAAGCAGAGGTCAGGCGTGGGCGTACATGTGGGAGGCACTATTATGAAATCAACCCACAGCCACTGCCCTGCTGGGGTGATCCAATACAAACAGAGCCAAATGTCATGAATAAATGCTGACATTTTATCACATGATTAGTTTAAATATTATTTTACTACTGTGCTTTTTCTTGTATTATTTATCTTTCACATCTTTATTTTGTTTCCGGTTTCCTTTCTTTAAACTGATAAATGAAAAATAGGGAAGTATGTTTTGAGTCAGTACTTTGACCATGAACACAGGAAGTTAACTGAACCCTCCACCACCAGAACAACAACAACAAAAAAACTCTAAACCTGTGAATCTTGGAATCTTAGATTTGTTCTGGGTTGACATGGGTTTTGGAATCATAATTTTATTAATTTATTTTTTAATTTACATAGAGTAAAATTGACCTTCTGGAGGGTATGGTTCTATCAGTTTTGACAAATACATAAAGTTGTGTAGCCAACATCACAATTGTGATACAGAAGAATTCTATATATACCACCCCCCACCCCCACCCCCACCACCAAATCTCTTCCTTCTGCCTTTTCGTAGTCAACCCCTCTTTTCACCCTCAGGCTCTGGCAACCATTGATCTGTTGGAACTGTATTAATCTGACCGTTTTTCTCCACTCTGTCCATTCATGCAACAACCGTTTATTGATAATCTATGCTGAGCTCCATTTTAGGTGCTAGGGATGAAATGGTGAACAAGACTGACATAGAAGTTTCTATCTGGAAACAAGATAATGAACAGTAGTAAATCAGTAATTCCAAATTGTGGCAAATGCTGTGTAAAGAACAGAAATATTTCTGTGACAACAGATATCTGAAGGCGAAATCTTTTTTTTTTTTTAGACGGAGTCTCACTCTTTCTCCCAGGCTGGAGTGCAGTGGCGCGATCTCGGCTCACTGCAAGCTCCGCTTCCCGGGTTCACGCCATTCTCCTGCCTCAGCCTCCCGAGTAGCTGGGACTACAGGCGCCCGCCACTACGCCCGGCTAATTTTTTATATTTTTAGTAGAGACGGGGTTTCACCGTGTTAGCCAGGATGGTCTCCATCTCCTGACCTCATGATCCACCCGCCTCGGCCTCCCAAACTGCTGGGATTACAGGCGCGAGCCACTGCACCCGGCCGAAATCTATTTTAGACACTGTTAAGAAGGTTACTCTGAGAAGGCAGCATGTAATCTGAGGACTGGAGGAGGAGAAGAAGCCAGCTGTGTGAGGTGTGGGTGGGGACACATGGGGTAATCATTCCAGGCGGAGGGAACAGTATGTACAAAAGAGAGTTGGGAGTCTAGTGAGTGAAGGGAGCAATGCCATGAGGTGCTGTAGATAGATAGGCAGAGCTTCACTAAGGTGTATGTACTTCATTGCATTGCAGTGAGAAGCCATTGAATTAGGATGGGGCTCTAATGGGGATGGTTTGATTGATGTTTTGAGCTCTGTGTAGAAAATCTGTGGTAGACCAGCAAGAATGGATACAGGGGACCAGTTGATTTGCAGCCACCATCCAGTTGACTGTTAATGGAAGATTGGGCTTGGCAGCAGCTGTGGAGATGGAGAAGGGATGGATTTGAAATATATTTTAGAAGTATAAGCAACAGGACTAAGTGTTTAATTAGATATGGGTAAGGGGCTGGTGAAGGAAAAGGGGGAATCAGATGTGACTCTCAAGAGCTTGCTTGAGCAACTGGGTGGGTGATGCTATTTACTAACATGAGTAAAATATTGAGAGAGAAACAAGTTTGTATTGGAAAATTTAAAAGCTGGGGCTTTGGACAGGCTGAAATAGAGAAACCCATTAGACATCCGTTTGGAGATGTGATGCCCCTAGATGGGGATATGCATGTAGAATTCAGAGGAGAGCTCAGAGCTGAGGAGAGAGAAATTTGTGTCATCATTTAACTTTTAATTATTCATTATATCATAAATATACAATTTAAATATATTATTATATTTTGATATATTAACGTTAATATAAAATCTGTATTATTAACAATTTATTCACTGATATTTATTGAGGGCCCACCATGAGGGAGACTTAGTGAGGAAATGGAGGTATGATGGTGAGTGCAAGCCTGTATGATCTGAGACAGGCTGGCAGTAGTCACACAGATATGTGTAAAATTTAAGGGACCTCAGTACCACAAAGGAGAGGGTTCTATGAAAGGGCACGAGAGGGAGATTCGACTAAATCTGGGTGGAGGTGAGGGTCAGGAAAGGCTTCCCTGCGCATTAAAGAATGAGGAAGTGGGAGAGGATATCAGATTAAGGAAAGAACATGGATAAAAGTCGGTGTGGTAGAAGACCAGAGATTTTGGTTCTCAGATGCACTGTGATTCCAATTTAGATGTCCAGAAGGGCATCCCAGGAACATCTCAAGCACTTCAGGCAATTCACATTCCTTCAGCAAATATTTGTTGAGCACCTGGAGTGTGCCTGAGATTCTTTCAGGTGTTGGGAATTCAGCAATTTATGTGCAAAAGTTCTTTCCCTCATGAAGCTTGTTTCTTTCTGGTGGAGCTGATTCAGGAGGTTCACAAATTCCAGACACATCTTCAGAAGGATTGACTAAGAGATGTTGGCCTGCAACAGAGCCATGAGGAGTGCCAGCATTTAGAGCTCTAAAGGAGCAGAAGCAGCAGCAAAGAACCTAGAGCAAGTGGCTAGTGAAGGAAAAAGAGAGAAAAGGGGTGCGTATAGCAAAAGCTGGGGGAGGTCCAGATGGCAAAGGTAATGAATGGCCAGCTAGGTTTAGTGGTGCTGAGGGATCAGGTAGAATAAAAGCAGAATAGTCGCCCCTCAGCTTTATAACATGGCAGCATTGGGAATTTTTACCAAACCAGTTTTATCTGAATAGTGGAAGTAGAAAACAGATTGAGTTGCTTGAAGGAGTGTCTGGGAAGTGAAAACTGACAAAGTGAGAAGATATTGGCAATTGAGAAGTGAAAAATTGCTGATGACTTTAGAGAAGTTTGCCTTCAGTTCGGGACTTCATTATTTTCCTGCAGGAAAGAGTCTTCTGTTAGTGGGGAGATTAATTAACTTATTTTTGCCCAACTTGTCTATCTAAAAGGAAGAAAGTAGTAATACATTAAAAGATTGAGACTGCTGAGGATGAAATGGGGTAGTATATGCATGCAGTGGATGCTCACTAAAAATAAGAGCTTGCATTTATAGTATTTTAAGTTTGCCAGTCTCACTCTACCTGACATAAATTTTCAGTAATTATCTTATTAAATGCCAAGTAAGATTCAAATTATTATTAACTGATACTCAAGGGAGGAAATAGGGTAAGTTAAGCAAATTGCCCTAATAACGCTGCTCATAAGCCATGGCCCTCGGAGAATTTGAATCCATATTTTCTGTGGTTTGGACATGGTTTGTTTGTCCCCATCAAATCTCATGTTGACATTTGACGGTCAGCATGGTGATATCGGAGGTGGGGCATAGTGGGAGATGTCTGGGTTACAGGGATGGATCCCTCATAAATGGCTTGGTGCTGTTCTCATGGCAGTGAGGGCATTCTCACTCTTGACACTAGATTGGTTCTCAGGGGAATTGATTAGTTCCTGCAAGAGTGGGTTGCTAGAAAGCCAGGACACCCCTGGGTTTGGTCCCTCTTTGCACATGTCTGCTTCCTCTTTGACCTTCTCAGACATATTTTAATGGAACACAAAAGCTCTGCTGAAATCCAAGCAGATGCCAGTGCCATCTATCTTGTAAAGCCAGCAGAACTTTGAACCAAAATAAACCTCTGTTGTTTATTAACTACCCAGCCTTAGCTATTCCTTTATAGCAACACAAAATGAAGTAAGACAACATCTGTTGACTTGGTTCTATGCTGTGTTTGCTCCACTTGGTGTTGTAATTTTATTCCCCTATAAGAATTGTATCTGCTTAAGTGGAGACTGAGTATTCATCTACTTTGTATCCCCATACTTACCATTGCATTTAGCCCAGTGCCTGGCACAAAGTTTGCAGTTGTGAGTGGCACTGATATGAAATTTCTCAGCCCTTGGCCCAGCCTTCTTGGGCTGCTCTTGTTTTTGAAGCTCCAGTTTATACTCAGGAGAAATGCTTTGGACTTCAGACCTCCAAACTGATTCATGTTACACATATCATCAGTGGAGAAAGTGGGACAGAGTAAAGGGTGGAGATAGCTCTTGAACACGACAGTAGAAATGGTATGATGTTAGCAGAAAATTAATATGTGCACATCTTGTTGTACTGAGAAATACTCTAACATTATAAGGAAACAAATAAAACTGATCATTGCTAGGTGACGTATTATATATATAGTATATAATGTAAAAATACATATATAGTGTATGTTGTATATAATGTAATTGAATATTATATTGTATATTATATGCAATGTACATCTATATATCTATAGATATCTACCCTTGTGTATTTTTTTCCTACAAAATGAAATACTTTCACCATCAGAGAGTACCAAGTAGGAATATTCCCAGGAGGGTCTGAGATTGGGATGCAATCTCGGAACCCATTAAAGAGCCTGGGGACAGGTGGGCTGTAGGAGTCCTGTGGAGAGCTTAAAAGGTGTCTCTTACCTCTTGAAAGAAATGACTGTGAGGGGTGAAGTAAACTGACCCGGTGTACGTCTCCCTGGGATATATTACTTACTAACTTTTAGGTCTTACCTAGGACACGTATATAGGAAATGTTCCTGAATCATGCTTGGCTGCATTATTTCCCTGTAGTGGCAAAAGTGGCCTGCAGAAGCTGTGCATTCTGGGTCCTTGCTAGAACCCAGATGAATGTTGCTTGGGAATTGGAGAGGAAAAAAGGAAACAGAGCACTCCCAAATTCTTTCCCAAATCTCTTGGATCGAAACATCTTAAATTGCCATTTTTATATGTCCAAGATGGTCAAATAGTAACCATTTCACGCAGCTCAACCAAAAAGTATGATCCAGCTACTACAGAGATGTGGACATTGGAAGGCCTTCTTGTTGGTTTCAAGTTTGGCCAATTGGTAGACATCTGGGGCTGTATATTAAGGCATCTTGATTTTGTGAGCCAGAGCAAAGGCCTTCTTGTTCCTGTCTCTATTTGAATAGTATCTTTGGTGAGAGAGTGCCAGCGTCATCTATTTATTATCCTTCATGCTCAGTGACTATGTGAAAAGAAAGGAAAAGACCTTTAAAGCTGGGGTGATTGTCTAGACAGTCCTAAAATAGCTGCTCCAGGTGCAAAGGAAGCCATAAAATGCAGACAAAGCATGAGACTCCTTTGGCGAAAATACAGTGTGTTTGAACTCTCATAGGCTCCCTGTAAATTATGAAGTAGAAAATGCCCAGGAGACTAGATTCCAATAATTATGATCATTAGTTATTTTAAATTGCCACCACTTACTTCACACAGAGGCATTCTCTGTGTGCTAAATTAAATTTAAAATATTTTAAAAATAATTATTTGAATAATTCAGAGCTGAAATAGTCCAGGTTGAACTATTTAGCAGGCTGAAACACCTGTGCAAGCTTTAATTCAAAATATACAGAGAAGTGACTTCATTTTTCACTCCACTGTGGAGGTCTTCTAATACAAAACAAGACCTTCAGCAGGAGTCCATGCCCCCTGGTTCTGCACCTTCTTGCCTTCTACTTTGTCCTGTGCCTACCCACTGCACTCTCAAGGTCCACCATGACCCGGCCCTGCTCCACTCCAGCCGTGTCCTCTAGGGGATCGCTGCCACCTTTTACCTAGGCCTCCCCACCATGGCCTCTGCCAGAGCCAGCTCCTTGTGGGCCCATGTGGAAATGAGACCTCCAGATCCCATCCTGGGAACCACCAAAGCCTTTAAGAGGGAAATCAACAGCAAAAAGATGAATCTGGGAGTTGGTGCCTACCGGGACAATAAGAGACCCAGTTAGATTACCATAAAAAATTTAGACAACAGCAAAGACTTGGAACCAACCCAGATGTCCATCAATAATAGACTGGATAAAGAAAATGTGGCACATATACACCATGGGATACTATGCAGCCATAAAAAAGGGTGAGTTCATGTCCTTTGCAGGGACATGGATGAAGCTGGAAACCATCATTCTCAGCAAACTATCACAAGAACAGAAAACCAAACAGCGCATGTTCTCACTCATAAGTGGGAGTTTAACAATGAGAACACATGGACATAGGGAGGGGAATATTACACACCGGGGCCTGTCACGGGGTTGGGGGCTAGGGGAGAGAAAACATTAGGAGAAATACCTAATGTAGGTGACGAGTTGATGGGTACAGAAAACCACTATGGCATGTGTATATCCATGTAACAAAACTGCACATTTTGCACATGTACCCCAGAACTTAAAATATAATAAAAAAATTTAGACAAGGAATACCTGCCCATTTGGGGACAAGCTGAATTTTCCAAGGCATCTGCAGAACCAGCCTTGGGTGAGAAGAGCAAAGTGTTGAAAAGTGGCCAGTCTGTCACTGTGTGGATCATTTCTGGAACTGGGGTTTAAGGGTTGGAGCCAGTTTTGTGCAAAGATTTTTAAAGTTTTTGAAGACAGAGATGTCTCTGTCCAAACCACCCTGGGGAAATCACACACCTATCTTCAGGGTAGCTGGCATGCAACTACAAGATTATCAATTCTATAACCCCAAGACTTGCAGTTTTGACTTCACGGGTGCTATGGAGGACATTTCAAAAATACCAGAGCAAAGTGCTCTTCTCCTGCATGCCTGGGACCCTCATGCAAAGCAGTGAAAGGAAATAATAATAGTGGCAAAGAAAAAGAAACTGCGTTCTTTGATATGGCCTACCAAGGCTTTGCCAGTGGTGATGGTAACAAGGATGCCTGGGCTGTGTGCAACTTCATTGAACAGAGCATTAATGTTTGTCTCTGTCAATCATGTGCCAAGAACATGGGCTTTATATGGTCAGTGTATGAGAGCCTTCACTGTGATCTGCAAAGACAGTGAATGAAACCAAAAGAGGGGAGTCAGTTGAAGATCCTGATCCATCCCATGTATTCCAACCCTTCTCTCAGTGGGGCCTGTATTGCCTCTACCATTCTGAACAGCCTGGGTTTGTGAAAATAATGGTTGCAAGAAGTGAAAATCATGGCCAACTGCATTACTAGCATGCAGACTCAGCTGATCTCCAACTGCAGTAAGGAGAGTTCCTCACACATCTGACAACACATGACTGACTAAATTGGCATGCTTTGTTTCACAAGGCTAAAGCCTGAACAGGTGGAGAAGCTAACCAAGGGGTTTTCCATCTGTATGACAAAGGATGACTGCATCCCTGTGGCAGGGATCACCTCCAGCAACACGGGTAATCTTGCCTATGCCATTCACCAGGTCACCAAGTAATGTCCCTGGTGTGAGGGAACAGGTACAACTTTTCTGTCTTCAGCTGCTGCTACCGTGAGCTTCACATGGAGGATAAGGGAGGGTAGATGGTGGTGAGTAGATCTTTTTTTTTTTTTTTAACCACAGTGCGTAATACTGAGTGATTGAATGCATTTCTCAGAAAAGAACATGTAGCGACATTGGGCAGAGGCATCTGTGGCTGGTATCTGGAACTTTGTGACTCTAAACCAAACTCTCCCCCATCTTTTTATCTCCAACTTTTCCGAAAGGGTTTACATGTGTGAGAAACTCATAGCACCAAAAAACTTGTCAATTATGCCACTGCAATATTTCAGAAGCTTTAACTGAAGCATCTTACGGTGTCAGGGGTTCTTCATGAGAAATAGCACACATTAGAGGCTTTGAGAGAAGACCTAGTTCTGTCATTAACAGTCAGCCTCAAGTTTGTCCTCCCATGATGGAGCAACCTTATCAACAGACCATATCGCAGAAGTTGTGTTTTATGAAAACCAATGAGTTTGCTGCCACTGCAGCAAGGAAAATAAAAGGTGCTTTTTCCTCTCATTTAAGAAAAAGAAAAGGCTATCTCTTCTCCTTTTTCATGCTATTCTTTTCCTTATGCACAAAGATTTTTAACTATCCTAGATTTTCATCCCATTCTACTGCTGGATTGACCATCTACCCTGTATTAGTCCATTTTCGTGCTGCTAATAAAGGCATACTGGAGACTGGGTAATTTATAAAGGAAAGAGGTTTAATTGACTCATGGTTCAGCATGGTTGGGGAGGCCTCAGGAAACTTACAATCATGGTGGAAGGGGAAGTAAACAAGTCCTTCTTCACATGGCAGGAGCAAGAAGACTTGCTGAGCAAAAGGGGCAAAAGCCCCTTATAAAACCATCAGATCTCGTGAGAACTCACTATCACGAGAACAACATGAGGGTAACCATCCCATTGACTCAGTTACCTCCCACCGGGTCCCTCCCATGACATGTGGGGATTATGGGAACTATAATTCAAGCTGAGATTTGGGTGGGAACACAGCCAAAGTATATCAAGCCCCATCCTACTTGGATTTATTTAAGAATAAAGAACATAATTTTCTAATGACGCCATAGCCTTACTGTTCTCAGTGGAGAAGGTAACTGCAATTTATCTGAGCATCTTCTTCGATGATTGTGTAATTGTCTCCTGCTGGATGTTGCCTCTGCCCAGTTGGACATCCTCCCTTCATTGAATATGGAAAGCAGATTAGTGGTTGCTAGATTTAAGAAGATGATGAGTTGAGAGGGAGGTGCAAATAGCTGTAAAGGGGTAGCAAGAGGAATCCTTGTGGCAATGAAACTGTTCTGTGCCCTGACTATTGTGGTTGTCACACAAAGATACATATGTGATAAAATTGCATATAACTAAATACACACACATACACACATTCACACACAAATGATAACATGTAAAACTTGTGAATTCTAAATAAGATAGTTGAATCAATGTCAGTTTCCTGGCTGTGACATTATACTATAGTCATGAAAGATGTTACAACTGGGGGAAGCTGGGAGAAGAGTATAGGAGATGGCTCTATATTATTTCTTACAAATGAATGTGAATCTAAAATTATCTCAAAATAAAAAAGTTTAGTCTAAAATGCATTCATCAACATGAACTTGAGTCAAACCATCTTGGAAGAGAGGCACTTTGATGTATTCACTTCACAAAGCATAGGGATGAAGATCTCTGGTAGTACCAGCAAGCCAAAACACATGACTTTCTGCTGTCTGTACCCTGTGGCCCTGCACTGTGGATAAGGGAATGTATGTGTCCTCTAGAACATTTTTGTTTTGATTGCTTTGTGTTTGTTTGCATCAAGAAAAAAGTTGCAAATTAATGAGAATATATGTGTATATCTCTAAGATTCATCAGCACCCAAAATACCAGAGCAAGCCAGACGTCATAGGGAAGCCCTGAGCAGAATCTACAAAAAAGGATTGAATAATTTGATTATTCAGAGAAAGCATATTTCTAGGGGATGGATCTAAGAGTAGCTTGATCATGAAAATGGTGGGAAAAATATAGCGGCAAGAGGGTCACTAGGTGGAAGTAATATGTCTAGTTTTTTTGAGAACCACACTTGAGCTAAACCTTTAAAATCCAATCAAAGAATGAAAATGAATAGATTAGTGTGAGGAGGTAAACGTATCATTTGAAAATAGCCTTGGACTTGGGTACTTTGCTCTCATTGATTTAGCAATATGCCCCATTTTGTTAGTTGTTTATACAGAGCTTCACAGTTTTAAAGTAAGCATAGCCAGTTATGTCTATGATTTCTCTGTATTCAGTTATATTTGCCCAGGAAAGTCTAATCAACAAACAGTTATCAGTTATCTTACCCATGACAACATTGTGAGATGTTGTGAGATGCCAAGAATAGACCACAAGAGCCTCTTTGTGATGGTCTCAGACCTCCAAAACCAATAAAGAAGAATAACACAGTAAATCAGTAACATATCTATAGCATTTGAATTCACATAGAGAATTTGTTTAGTGGGCCTGACTAAATGCCTTCACTTTGCAGCTTACAGGGGCTTGTGTTTATTCTGCCTATCTTAAGCATGGTTTTACTCATTTAGTGGGAGCAGTTGGCTCATGTCTTTTACCTATTTCATTTACTAACTCTAAGGGAGTCAAGAAGAAACTTCCCCTTTGCGCTCTAAAGGGTCACTGAAAATATACTGGCATGAGGCAGATTGATTAACAGAAGAAAAGGCATACACGTTTATTTAACTTGTATACACAGAAACCTTCGGAATGAATACCTAACATACAGGGGAAAATGGACAGTTGTCCATTTTTATGCTTAGGTTCAACAATATGTGGACAGCCATGTAGAAATGTGATTGGACAGAAAGGGTCTGATTTAAATGCTAATGGACTGAGTAGGGGAAACCCAGTAAGGCCTGTCCATCTAGATTATTCTTGGCCTCTCTGAGAAGCATTTCTTCCTTCTTGATGTGAGAGAGGACCCTGTCTGGAACAGGAGTCTTAGGATCTACAGTCAAACCAGTTAGGTCAGATCATTTCTTCATGGCCAGTTTTTACGTAGAATATTTTTAGGTTTTATGACTGACTTTCAGGAAAAGGGGTTCTGATTTGTATGATCTATCTTGGGGAAAAGGGATTCTAGTTTCCATGGCTATCCTTAGGGCAAAATGGGACTGAGAGGAGGACAGGAGAAGGTCAGGAGAAACTTTTGCTTCTGAAGCTGCTCAGCAGCAGTCTTCATTTTGAGATACTGTTTTCTGAGCCCCAACAAAATTCTTCTAACATGCTGAACATGTGCCAGGCACTATTCTAACATCCATGAGAATAGAGAGGAAAGGAAGAGAGGGATCCTGCAGCTTTCCAGTTGGGTGCTGAGATGATGACACCATTCACTGGGTGACTCCAATTGATTTGCTAAATCTATTCTCTGCATTTTGACTCTGCCACCTTCTTACCGTGGGTCTATGAGCAAGTTTCTCCACTGTTCTATTAAATATCTGTGAAATGGGAGCAATGGTGGTGTTGTGATGATTAGATGAGTAAACACATCTAGAGCATAGAGCTCTATGCCTGGCACAAACGAAGCCCTCAGTTAATATTTGCGGGATGTGTAAAAGATTGTGTTTATCTGGTTTTCAAGACCATCCTCCTCAGAGACGCCAAGGAGATAGTTGCTATGCTTCCTGGCGTTCTAAGACCCACATGCATCTCGTTAACCCTTGAGAAATCTAGTGGGCTCTCAGAATTTTTAAAATTATATATTAATAAATTATAATTGTATTTATTTGGTGAAAAGTGATGTTATGAATTTTGAATACAATGTGGAATGATTAAATCGAGCTGATTAACATATACATCCCAAATATTTAATCTTTTTGTGATTAGAACATTTGAAATTTACTCTCTGTAATTATGAAATGTATGGTACTCAGTTATTAGCTATATTCAACATGCTGTGCAGCAGATCTCAAAAAAAACTCAAATGTCTTCCTCGTTTCTGAGGCTTTGCACCCTTTAACCCCATTGCTGACATCCCCCAGCCTCACCAGCTTGGTGGAACACCTTGAGATGTGCTTATAACAGTAGCTGGGATGTAGTCAGTGCTAAAAAATTGTTAGCTTTTGCTGTTGTGCATGTAGTTGTTGTTGTTATTGTAAAATGGTGGCTGGAATCCACTTGCGAATATGCAGTCATGTTACAAATGAGGATGTTTCTGTCAATAATGGACCACATAGACAACAGTGGTCTCATAAGATTATAATACCATATTGTTACTCTACCTTTCTATGTTTAGATATGTTTAGATACACAAATACTATTGTGTTACACTTACCTACAGTATTCAGTATAGTAACATGCTGTACAGGTCTGTATTACAGGAGCAATAGGCTGTACCATCTAGCCTAGGTGTGTAGTAGGTTTGTGTAAGTACATGCTATGATGTTCACTTCGTGGTCCACTAGGTCACTAGTAAGCCTTTCTGTACCTTTTTGTATGTAACTCTTTGTATGTCTGCCACACTGTATGATAATGCTTAGGTGTTTGTATAAATACACTCTATGATGTTCACAATGACAGTTTTCTCAGGATATATCCTCATCATTGACACGTGATTGTACTTTAACAGAGATACAATTCTTGAACATCTTGTTAGAAGGAGATGGGAGAAATAACAGAAATAAAGGTAGTGTCTTGCATTTTTCAATTATTAAACTAATCAATTCATTAAAACAGCTGTCATTAATTACTTAAAGTCAGGCAGGTGAGGGAAAGAATGGCTTGACGTTTTCTAATTTATCACTCTTTCCTGTTGCCCCTGACTAAACAAACTGTGGCTGCTGCTACAGCTAAGTATGTCAAACTGTTGAATACCCAAGCCAGGCTTTTGAAATATTGAAAAATGACTACTCCCATGTTGATCCATAAAATCTTTACCATCTTACAGAGAGCTGATGAATCATCTCTCTAGCACCAGGTTCACGAACTTCCCATAATGATCTCATAACTCTGGTGCCAACATTGCCTGGGCTCGGTAACCTTCATGAAATTTATTATTAAAGTTTGAAATTCGTTCTTGTGTAGGTGTAATGGGATTAGTCGAATTGCAAAGATGATAGGGCTGCTATTTACAGAAAAAGCTCCTTTCTAACACTTGCCTTTTCTAATGAGTCACCATAATACCTCTGTAATTATTACATTGATTGTCTTTTGCAGAATTAGATTTTTTTGTAACTCTGGGAGATTTTGATTAGAACATTCAGTTATTATGTCTGAAGAGTGATCTAGCTACATGAGTTAATAGTCTTTGGATTGAATGTGTTGAAAATTAAATTGAAATTAGAATTTTTGTACATCAAGGCTTCAGGTGCCCTTTAGCAACTTTGGGAGACGAAGATATCTCCACACTCAGAAATAGGTTTTACTGAAAAGTTTTTGGTGGTGAAAAAAATAAAATACCTCAAACAAGCTGCAGAAACAAAGATTTTCCCAGAAATTCTCAACAACTATGAGGATAGACTAGAAGTTCTGCAAGGGCAGACACTTGTACATCATTAATCCTTGACAGAATTGGTAGGAAACCTTTGGATTTTAGCCAGTGTGGCAGAGTACCCTGAGACGTGACAGAAAAGAGTGGTGGTGGTCAGGCACTGAATTCAGTTAACTGTTACTGGTTTCTAAGAACTCATCATGCATTCACATAGAATCTTTGTCAACTTCACAAAAATCCTAGTAGAGTGAGATTTTTATCCCCATTTTAAAAGTGAGCCATGTAGGTAACTCGCTCCCAAATTACTCAATAAATGCTGCATCTGAATTAGAATCTATCGGAGGCTGGCTCCCCCATCTGGACTTCAGCATGACTTCATTAATGTTCCCTACCCTCTCCAGCCCTATGCTGGTCCACTAGTCACTGGTGTACCTTCCTATACCATAACTGTATCTCCTGTACAGAATAATAATGCTCAGATGTTTGGAGATGTATGTGCAAAGTTCAGAAATGACTTTAGACAACATTTTACCTTCCTTCACGATGAAATGAGAAAAATTAACACCAATCTAATACCAAAACAAAATAATTTACCACAAAAGTGATTATCTTGTAATGTGAAGGATTCAATATGAACTATCACTGAATATGGTTTGAAAGGGTTCCATATTAATGCATGTCAGAGAAGCAGGCCAGATGCTGACTAAATCAGCAATGTCTTTGTTGATGCTTTTTGGCCTGTAAAGTACCTGTAAAGTACCTGTAAAGTACCTTTAAAACCCTGTAAAGTATCTTGTAATGGTGTAGAATAATCAAAGACTTGGGATAACTTCTGTGGTCACAAAGCCTGTTGTAAATGAATAACCAGGACTTTTGTTTTGATAAATCTAATCTACATTCCTCTGTAGCACACGATTATACTCAAAAGCAGGTTATGATTGCCCCCAAATTCCTAGGTACCATTGTGAAGTCAGGCTCAGACCTGACTTTTTGATATCTTTTTACCTGAGCCCCTACATCCCTGGCACCAATAGAGGACATGGTAATAGTCACTAAATGAACCCATAATATCTGTGTTTAGGAGGAGTGACATTTTTTGGCTTATTGCTGGTATTCAAATGCCTCTTTACTCACCTATCTTTGACAACATCCCTCTGGATTATGGTACTCACTTAGTATGCCCTTCCCATAGGTGTTCAACATTCCAAAATTATTTGATACTTTGCAAAACATCCAGCAACATCAAATATTTTCCAATCTTTAAAGGGCTGAATTTAGTTTGGCCTTAGAACAAAACAATCTGATTGAAGTAATGCATACTAAAAAGTGAATGACGAATATGTTTTGTTTTGTATTATTTGAAATTTTAGACAAACTTTTCCCTTACAAGTCTTTAAAACGAAATGTGTGAGCAAGATTTTCTTTTCTTTCTTAGCAGGAATGAATGTCAGATGTCCTTTTCTTACCTCAACTTCTCTTTACTACCCCATTCAGAAACTTGACACCTTTCTCCTGAAGTGTTGATGACATGTAATCTAAAGAATATCTTGGACATTTAGGAAAATTAAACACATAGGAAACTTTTTTTTCCTTCCTAGCATGAAGTTTTCTATTTTTCCTTCCTTTGGGTGGGACAAAACATTAGTAACTTATACAGTGCTACTCCCTAATGTAAAATTATAAAGTCATTTGTATTTAGGGATGTAGGGGTTTTTTTTAGATTTAATGTGTACTTATCATGAAATCAGTGGATGATTGGGTCAAGTCTATGACATTATTTAACTAAGCGGTCTGCCATGGCATTATTTAATGAAATAATTTTTAAAAATGCTTTTATTTTACTGTAAGCCATTGAAGAAAAATTTTACTCAAAGTTTAACAAGTGTTTAGTTCATGATGAGGCATTTGCAGCTGTAAGCAATCATATTACTGTGCCATCATTTAGTTTTATGGAAAATGAAAACGTTTACTTAAGGCTGTTAAAAGTTTGTTTTTTAATAGTGCCTCCTAAGCAATACAGGCTACCACTTACTTTTGACATCGAGGGAAAAAGAGTTACTCAGATTCATTCAAGCTTTAGTTATATTGATTTCTACGATGGGTTTTTCTTAGCATGTCAAGTGATTCCTGTTTTATAGTGAAGGCATTACTTTGAGTCAATATCAAAGTACATGATCCCCTCAACCTTCAACTGTGTTTCCTGCTTTGTGAGGTGCCAACAATAGCAAGAAGGGATAATTTAAATTCCGCTTTCCATAGGAAAAAAAAAAAATCCCAGCTGGGCGCGATGGCTCACGCCTGTAATCCCAGCACTTTGGGAGGCCAAGGCGGGTGGATCACCTGAGATCGGGAGTTCAAGACCAGCCTGACCAACATGGAGAAATCCTTTTTCTACTAAAACTACAAAATTAGCTGGGCGTGGTGGTGCATGCCTGTAATCCCAGCTACTTGGGAGGCTGAGGCAGGAGAATTGGTTGAACCCAGGAGGCGGAGGTTGCAGTGAGCCGAGATCATGCCATTGCACTCCAGCCTGGGCAACAAAAGCGAAACTCCATCTCAAAAAAAAAAAAAAGAAAGAAAGAAAGAAAGAAAAAGAAAAATTCCTTTGGTAAAACATTATATACTCTCTAAACAGGGATTCTCTTCACACCATTTTGAATTGCGTGCTTCTTGCCTTGTTGCACAGATTAAACTGGGAAACAATTTTATGTGTAGCAGGGTTTCTAAACCTCAGCTCTATTGACATTTGGGGGCAGATCATTCTTTTTTGTGAGGGGCTGTCCTGTGCATTGCAGAATGTTGAGCAGGATGCCTGATTTCTAGCCGCTAGATGCCAGTAGCACCTTCCCCTCAGTTGAGACAACCAAAAATGTTTCCAGACATCCCTAAATGTCTTATTGGGTGTGAAGTCATCCTCAGTTGAGAGCTACTAATCTAGCAAATTAGCATATTTCTAGCAAAATAGCATAACTACTTTTAAAAATAAGTTTGGTCTAGGATGTTTTTCTCTTTCAAATGAGGTATATTTTAGATAATTTTCACTTCAATAATAAATAATAATTACAGAAACCAAAATACAGGTTTCAGATGTTATCTGTGTAGGAATGTGAATAACAGTGACAACATTTTCTGAAAGAAAAATTTGTATGTAGAGACTAACAAAGGTGTTTTTTCTCATTTGTGCATTTAATTATGATACAATAATTTGATTATATTTAGTGGTAAATGAATAATCTTCATTAGAAAATTATACAAAGAAATGAACAATTCAGAAAAAAATAATAGCTTTCATATTTTGTCCTGTATTATTGAAGTAAGCATGTTGCACCCACTTGATATGCTTATTATTCTTAAAAATTTCCCACATTTCTTGGTAAATTTGAGTAATTCCTGTATTGTCAGTGAATACATTATAATTTTAATAGTGATTGATAAGCATTTTGATCTCTAGATTTATTATCATTAAACAATGCAGTCACACACTTTAAACAGAATTAGTAGAAACATTTTCTTATTTTTCTTATTTGGAACATTTATCAGACTAAAGAATTTTAAGTGTGGCTCACGCCTGTAATCCCAGCACTTTGGGAGGCCGAGGCGGGTGGATCATGAGGTCAGGAGATCGAGACCATCCTGGCTAACAAGGTGAAACCCCGTCTCTACTAAAAATACAAAAAATTAGCCGGGCGCGGTGGCGGGCGCCTGTAGTCCCAGCTACTCGGGAGGCTGAGGCAGGAGAATGGCGTGAACCCGGGAAGCGGAGCTTGCAGTGAGTCGAGATTGCGCCACTGCAGTCCGCAGTCCGGCCTGGGCGACAGAGCAAGACTCCGTCTCAAAAGAATTTTAAGTGAAACCAACCACTACTTTGTGCTGCATATATGAGAGCACTTCAAAAAGTTCATGGGACAAATTAAATGAAAAGATAAGAAATAATAAATAGAAACTTTCTCAGCATCAAGCTCAAGACACTTTTTTGATCAATGATACCCGCCATTTTAGTCCATCTCTAAAGAACTAAGGGTCCTGGGAATTTTACCATGTCATTGCAATCTTTTTTATTTTATTAACTGAAGACAAATGGGTGCCCTTTAGATTTTTTTTTTTTTTAAGATTAGTAAGCAAAAAGAAGTCAGAAGGAGCCAAATCAGGACTGGAAGGTGAGTGCTTAGTAATTTCCCATAGAGACTCTCACAAAATTGCCCTTGTTTGATAAGAGGAGTGATCCAGGAGCATTGTTGTAGTCATTTTTCTGCTAAAGCTTTGGCTAACTTTCTCAAAATACTCTCATAGTAAACAGATGTTAATTGAGTTTTGGCCCTCTAAAAAGTCAACAAACAAAATGCCTTGAGCATCCCAAAACGCTGTTGCCATGACCTTTGCTCTTGACCAGTCTGCTTTTACTTTGACTGGACCACTTCCTCTTGGTAGCCACTGCTTTGATTGTGCTTTGTCTTCAGGATGGTACTGGGAAAGCCATGTTTTATTTCCTGTTACAATTCTTTGAAGAAATGCTTCAGGATCTTGGTCCCACTTGTGAAAAATTTCCTTCAAAAGCTCTGCTCTTGTCTGCAGCTGATCTAAGTGCAATGGTTTTGGTAACTTTAGGGCGTAAAGTTTGCTTGACTTTAATTTTTCAGTCAGAATTGTGTAAGCTGAACCAATTGAGATGTCTATGGTGTTGGCTATTGTTTCTGCTGTTAATCATTGGTCCTCTTCGATTAGAGCATGAACAAGATGAATTTTTTTCCTCACAAATTGATATGGATGGCCTGCTGCTGTGGGCTTCATCTTCAATATCATCCCTTCTTCTTTTTTCTTTTTTTTTTTTTTTTTTTTTGAAATGGGGGTTTTCACTCTTGTCACCAGACTGGAGGGCAATGGTGCGATCTCGGCTCACTGCAACCTCTGCCTCCCGGGTTCAAGCAATTCTCCTGCCTCAGCCTCCTGAGTAGCTGGGATTACAGCTGCCCACCACCAAGCCCAGCTAATTTTTGTATTTTTAGTAGAGACAGGGTTTCACCATGTTGGCCAGGCTGGCCTCAAACTTCTGACCTCAGGTGATCTGTGCACCTCAGCATCCCAAAGTGCTGGGATTACAGGCGTGAGCCACCACACTCAGCCCTCATCACTTCTTAAAATGAGTTTTTCATTTGCAAACTGTTGATATCTTTGGGGGACTGTCCTCATAAACTTTTAATAAAGCATCAGTGATTTCACCATTCTTCCACCCAATCTTCACCATAAATTTGATGTTTGTTCTTGCTTCAATTTTAGCAGAATTCATGTTTCCCTGACAGGGGCTCTTTTCAAACTGATGTCTTATCTTTCTTAGTGCCTCAAACTAGATCTTGTTAAGGCAGGTTATAACAAGTTAGTAAGAATTTATTTTGGTGTAATATACATTTGAAATTTTTGTATAGTTCTTTCATAATGCATATTTTCTATGAACTTTTTGAAGTCCCCTCATACTTTCTCTTTGTTCATTTTACTAGCGTGTTTGACTAAGATAAGTTTTAAGGACAAAAGTATGACTTGTATGGTTTTTATAATTAAGTATTTCTGTAATATTCCACATTATTGCCAGTTCTGTCCAGGGAGAAGTTTTTCCAGCTCATTCCTGAATAATTGTTACAAACCATTCACATTCATCTAAGGTATTTCTGATAACTAATATCAAAACCTTCAGAATTCAGGGTATACTATGCTTAGCAATATTACTTGGAGCTTCTATTCAAACAGCAGAAACAGATTGTTTTCCTTTATCCAAAATATAATATAAGTTACATCATGTAAAGCAGTGATAACATTTTGGGTTAAACCCCAAATCACAACTTCTGGGTGAGAATCCTTCAAATTTTAATATAATCAGCAGAAGCATTCTAGTAGAGTTTAAAAATGTTTATACCTAAGAAATAGTCACTCCAGATTTGTCAATCTATTGTGCTTAAATATGAAAAATGTGTACATACAACACTTAGGCAAAATTCACAGAATGAGTTCTGTATGAATATAACATTGTGGACAATTTTATCCTATTTACCACATCAATTGATCAAATAAGTTTATGTGAATGTATGCTATCTTGGAAGGCCAAGGCAGGTGGATCACCTGAGGTCAGGAGTTCAAAACCAGCCTGGCCAACATGGTGAAACCCCGTCTCTACTAAAAATATAAAAAATTAGCCAGGCATGGTGGTGCATGCCTATAATCCCAGCTACTTGGGAGGCTGAGGCAGGAGAATTGCTTGAACCTGGGAGGCAGAGGTTGCAGTGAGCTGAGGTCATGCCATTGCACTCCAGCCTGGACAACAAGAGTGAAACTCTGTCTCAAAAAAGAAAAATATGCTATCAGTGTTTTTCACTGGGGAAATTTTGTACCTCCCCCCAGGACACATTTGCCAATGTCTGGAGACTTTTGTGGTCACATTTGGGAGGGGTGATTTGCTACTGGCCAAGGATGCTGCTAAACATCCCACAGTTTAGAGGACAGCAACACCCACCACAAAAACAAGTGATCTCGCCCAAATAGCAAGAATGCCAAGATTGAGAAACTCTGTACTGTAGAGATGATCAATAAAATGTTTTCTTTATTCTCCAGTGATTTTCTTGAGATGTTCTTCAGATTTGGGACATTTTGCAAATGTTAACTTGCATCACTGTATCTGTGGGTATGCCAACAGTCTTACTCACATATGTCACGTCACAGCAGAAAGAAAAGATAATCTCTTAATTGTCATTTTATCTTATTTTCCAGAGCGCCACTTTAACTGCAATTTCTTCACAAAGATTTCTCACCAGGAAACTGGCAGCTGTAATATTTATGATCCGTTTCTTTTTTATTTTTAATTTGTTTTAATTTTTAATGTTTGTGGGTACATAGTAGGTGTATATTAATGATGAAAGTGCGCCATTCCTGTGGCAAATGTTTTTGAATTTTTGATGCAGACTTGTTTTGAACATCTGCTTTGTGCTTTATTTGTACTCTTTAGAATCTTTTCTTTTTGAATAATATGAAAATTGCTATAATGGCTGTGGCTAAACTATGCATTTTTGGTGTGATGGACAGTTACAACTTCTTTTAACACAGGCTTATTTTTAATAGGATAACATTGAATTTGAAAATGTGTGCGTATATGTGTGTGGCTGTTGAAGTTCTGGGAGCTCAGATCTGAGAGCCAGCAAATTTAGATGTATTATTTTATTCAATCATTCATTTTATTGAGAAGTTACTTGTGAGTAGCATTTATTGCACTATTTTTATATTCAAAATATTACTATTTTTAGAAAAGGTACTTATTTTGAAAAATGTTCACTTTTCCTGCTTTTTATACTAACTTTTACATCAAAATACCACTGTGCAACTAAATTTGTGCCCAATTGAACAAATTTTTAAATAAATTAGAACTACAGGCCAAATTGTTACATTAGAAAACACTTAGAAATTGTTACCATTTCTTCTATTTTGTTGCTTCCAGTAAATTTCCTTCATGGCACAATTTACAAAAAGTAATAAATATTGAACATGTATTTAACATTAAAAACACCGCTTACATCCATATACAGTTATGGCTCTTAAAATGCAGACTTTTGTATTGTAGCAGTCTATGAGCTGTCTCTTTTGCAAAATATTTTTCTTTGTAGTAACAGCTTTATTTCAATGTTGGCTGACTATATCTTTTATTCAGGGACTATTTGCTGAAGTATTTGCAACTAGGGGCATTTTGGATGTTTAATGGGAACAAGGAGACCTTATATATAATTAGAATTATTCCATAAGGTCTGAGTGTGTGTATGCATGTGTGTATGCATGTGTGTATATGTAGGTGTATGTGTATATATATACACATATATGTGTTTGCGTTTATATATGTGTGTGTGTGTATATTATACACCTGTGTGTGTGTGTGTGTGTGTGTGTGTGTGTGTGTGTGTGTGTGTAAAGAGATATTTTCTTTGAATTGAGCAAAACACACATCTCCCTTTTCTTCATTAGGGCACAAGATTTTTTCCTATTCCTTTAACTATTCTGTTCTGATACCATAAAAGCCATTCACAATAGGTTGTAGGTGGCTGTAATTTATAATCATTTCAGTAGTAAAATTCATCATCCCTGGGATTATTCCCTCTCTTGTCACACGTTAATTCCTGGCTCCAGATTGTCTTTGCTGTGACTTCATCTGTAAAGATTTGCTTCCCTTTTCAATGTCCGCCTTTTGCTTTCTGGAGATATAACCTTTGTTTCTCAAGATCTGAATGCATGGAATATGAAACTTTCCCCAACTCCACCAGCACAAGTGACCTCTTTCTCTCAACCCTGCAGTTGTTTATCCATTAAAATTACCAATTAAATTTCCTTTTATACATGTCTTGTCTCCCACTAATTGGTAGCCGCTGAGGTCTGAGACAGCACAGCCCATATTCTTTAACTTGACCCTGAGGAGATGCCGGTCTAGCTTTTATTTAGGTTAGGGTTGGCATCTGAGGAACTGTGTTCCTATTGCATGCTGCAGTCATGAGCTAACAGAACGCTTAAATCAAAAGCTGTCAACCTAACATGAAGAGGCATCCACAGAGCTGTCTCTGAGAAGCTTTATTCTTTGACTCACATCTCCAATGTGAGTAATGTGGTTGAAACCTAGCAAAGTCAAAATTTACTTGAAGTGATATGGTGGATCCGGTGCTGTAGATGATGATTGTAGACCTGAAAAAAAGAAGTTACGCGAATAACATCTGCTTTTCTGTGTGATATTTTCCCCCCCAGCTGTTTAGAGAATTAGAAATTGCTCTGTCAAGGGTTTGTTTACAAAAGCCTGGCCAATTTCAAAATGAAGCTGCCTTTGAGTTGTCCCTGTTTCATCTCACTGTTTGGAAAATAAATCTGAACCATTAAGATGTAAATACATCAAGTTAGAAGCCAAAGGCAGTGAAAACCAAGTAAAAGCAAGAAATGTACCACGATTTAAGTATTCTCCTGGGAGGAAAAATATACATGGTAATAATTTTTGTATCTTATAATTTTATTATTAAATTAAGGGGAGAGAAATTTGAAATCAGCATAATATCTATTTTGTGTAGTATTTAACACTGTGATGTATATTGACAATTGATAATGAATCAAAATATGTGCGGGTAACTGTATGTTCATTAAATTAGAGTTTGGTAATGAGATAGAAAGAGAGAATGAGAGGGGTACAGGTGTAAGCAGCAGTTCTCAAAGTGTAATCCCGGAACCATCAGCAGCTGCATCACCCTGAAACATTAGAAATGCAAATTCTCAGGCCCTGTTGAAGACCTACTGAATCAGAAACTCTGGGGATGGGGCCCAGTAATCTGTGTTTTAACAAGCCCTCCAGAGGATTCTGATGCATACTCCAGTTTAAGAAGCACTTCTATGTAGATGGATGGATGGTTGGATGGCTGGCAAGATATGTGGGTACAATGACACATACATATGTAAGTACAAGTATAGGTATGGGTATAAATACAAATATGAATACAAATACAGATATAAATACAGATATTTTGAGAGAGAGATATATAGATAGACATAGATATAGATATAGATATAGATATAGAAATGTGGAGTTACCATCACAGGACTTTTTTAGAGGAGCAAATTATTTCCTTTTACTTATTATATGATTGAATAAAAGCTGTTCTTTTCTCTAGGCAATGGGTCTATCATTTATAAACTGAGAAAATCTACTGGTGGTCCATTTGTTGAACCATTTTCCATTAGGTTCACTTAAAGTGTTTGTTCCATCAAGTCTGCCACCTGGGTGGTTTCCTTCACTGCAAAACTGGTTTGCTCTTCCCTCCCCTCTGTCTTCTTGGCAGCTGCTGTCTGCCCTGGTTCTTATCCATTGGTAGATCTGATTGCTTTGGGGACTGGATCAACAGTTGAATCCTCACAGGATTTTGAAGCCAACAATATCCTACATATTGGTCCATTTTTCAGAATTTCTTCATTTGTGTTTTATCCTTCCATTTTTCTTTCTAAGCATATATAATTTATTTAGATTGGTGCAGAAGTAATTGCGGTTTTGCCATGGAAAGTAATGGCAAAAACCGTAATTACTTTTGTACCAACCTAATAATTTCAGCCAACTATTCATATGCAGCACTGTTTACAATGGGGATGAATAAGTAACAGCTAAATATCTGATAAAAGGGGATGTTTTAAATATAGTAGATTGCAAAATAATATGATACTTTTTGAGAAGAAAATTTCAATATGCAAAAAATATAGGGGATAATATTCATTAAGACATAATCAATGATTGTTGGATTATGGATGATTTTAATTTTACTCATTTTGCTTATTTTTATATTTATGATTACATTAGTTGTAAGCTCAAATTGCTGTTATAAGCAAAGATAATGCAGATTTATATGTATATATATAAAACAGTAAAATAAATTGATTGTATTTTTTATCTTCTTCCTTTCCCCACTATGCTATGAACTTAAAGTCCAGCAATTATGCCAGCTGTATCTATTCATCATTTTTCACATTAAAAGCAATATTGCTGGATAGTAGAATTAAATGACAACTCTGCTTTTGGAAATGACAGGAAGTCTGCTGTAAATAGATAATTGATGTAGACGTTAAAGCCAAATAGAATTTCCATTTATGGAGAAGGGAATATTTAAGGGTATGTGGCTATAAGAAAATATTTCCTTTTGCTTTTAACACAAGATGTAACATGACTTGTCATGCTCAGGATGTGTTTTGAAGTGGATAATGGCACTTTCCCTAATATTTGGAGGCACCGGGCTTGATCCTCTTTTGAAGGCCTTCCTTTGAAGATAAACATAGACATTGGTTTTAGCTTAATTCTCCATCCCTAAAATTCCTTCCTGCTCTAAAATTCTATAATTCCATAACAACAGTGTATAAGCAATAATTATGAAATGGAAAAATGAGCCATTCTACTTGCCATCCTTCATGTAAAGCTGTACTATGGAATCCTGCTCTAAGGTGGGGCCGGTGTCATTTCTCCAAGCAGTATGATGCCCTGGAAGAAAGCAATGTACAGTGGCCTGTGATTCTGGACCTTGGATCACTTTGATGCCCTTGGCTTATAATAAAAGCAAAATCCATTTAAACCACCTTAAATAATTAGGAATTTTAGAGGCTCATGTCACCAAAATCCATAAGTATGTAGGGTTTCATCCAGTGACTTGACCTTTTTCCTGCAGTGCTCTTCATTTTATGTCCCTCTAAGTGTCACCTCTAGGCTGATAGCAACAGAACCTGTGGCAGTTTGGGGATAAATATGACGATGTCTAAGCTAGTGTTTCTCAACTGTGGGTGACCACCCCAGGAGACATCTGGCAAAGTCGGGAAACATTTTTGGTTGTCACAAGTGGAGAGGTGCTACTGGCATCAAGTGAGTAAAAGCCAGGGATGCTTCTAAACATCTTCGGTGTGCAGGACAGCCCCACCAGAGAGAATGATCCAACCCAAAATGTCAATAGTGCTGAGTAACTCTGGCATAGAAGAAGAAAGGTTTCCTCTGCCTATAACTCACTTACATTCTAGGAAACATTTCCAAAGGCTTCCAGCCACATTTCCCTCACATGCTGGTGCCTATAGTACAAAAGGCTTTAGGCCTGGGTTCTGAGATCAATCGTGGGTGGGGAACAGTATTACCAAGATCAGCTCACTGAGCCCCAAAATGCATGTGGCATGTCCATGCTATACACTGTCAACCAGAACAATAAATACCCGTCATATAATAGTACTATTTTGTTATTAGCAAGAGAGGGGAATTCAGGCATCATTACTATTCAGCCCTAAAAAAGAAGAAATTCCTGTTATTTGCAACAACATGGATGAATCTGGAGGACACTGTGTTCAATGAAATAAGCCAGGCACAGAAAGCAAAGACAAATGCTGCACTTTCTCACTTACATGTGGAATCTAAAAAAGTTGAACTCATAGATGCAGAGACTAAAATGGTGCTTTCCAGAACCTGGGGGTGGGGCTGAGGGTTGGAGAGATGTTGGTCAAAGGATGCAATATTTTACTTAGACAAAAGGAATAAATTCAAGAGATCTATTGTACAACATGGTTACTATAATTAACAGCAATGTATTTTATTTTGAAAATCACTAACAGAGTAGATTTTAAGTATTCTCACCACAAAAAGTGACAGCTATGTAGGTAATGCATATGTTAATTGGCTTAATGAAGACATTTCACAATTGTATATGTATGTCAGGACATCATCTTGTACACAATAAATATGTACAATTTTTATTTGTTAATTTTTTAAAAATCCTGTGAACTGCTAAAGAATAAACATACTCTCCAAACCTTTCTGTGGGATTTGGGGAAGTGTTTCTTCACCTGTATTTTTTTCTGGGTTATCTGCATTAATATCTTTCTAGAAAAGGATATGACTGGAAGTGGCTTATTGACAATCTGGATTTTCCCAAGAGAAATTACCTTCAACCAGGAGAGATGACTACTTTAAAGAAGGGCTTTGCAGAACCTATGTCTTTACTGAGTCATTCAGCAATCCAAGTGAGAGATGATGATAGCTTGGACCAAGATGGAACCATTGAAATTATGAGAAGAGGTCAGATTCTGACATATTTTGAAGGTACAGCCAACAAGATTTACTGACAGATTGACTATGGATTGTGAAATGGACCCATTGGTGATAGAGAGTGGAAGTTTTGGCCTGATCTACTGGAAAAATTGAGTTGCTATTGACTTAGATGGGGAACACTATAGAGAAGAATATTGAGAAGAAGTTGAAGAACTCAGGGAATTCAAGAAAAAAATGTCCTAGTTGGAGATATAAACTAGGTAACTATCAGTGCATAGATGTCATTTAAAGATACAAGGTTGGTTAAAATCACCAAAGAGGAATTGCAGATGAAAAATAAAGGAGATTCAAGAACAGAGCCATGGTGAATTCCAACATTATGTTACATTCAGAGAGGTGATAGACACTCAAAAGAGTGTGGCATCCACAAAGCTTATTCTCACATTTGTTAATTGACGTCAAAAACATGGCTGGTTGTTTTGTTTTTGTTTTTAACTTAAGCTCTTTCAAATTCTGGAATTTGGGTATCTTTCCCTAAAAGAGAAAAAACAGCCTTCGTCTTTTGAGCAAGCCAGGAAGCCTCTTCCTGCCGTCAATTATTAATTTTCTTAACATCCACTTATCATCTAAAACAGGGGTTCCCGACCCCCGGGCCGCAGACCAGTACCAGTCCATGGCCTATTAAGAATGGGACTGCACAGCAGGAGTGAGCATTACTGCCTGTGCTCCGCCGCCCGTCAGATCAGTGGTGGCATTCATTAGAGTCTCATAAGAGCGCTAACTCTATTGTGAACTGCGCAGGTGAGGGATCTTGGTTGCAAGCTCCTTATGAGAATCTAACTAATGCCTGATTATCTGAAGTGGAACAGTTTCATGCTGAAACCATCCCCGCCGCACTGTCTGTGGAAAAGTTGTCTTCCACAAAACCGGTCCCTGGTGCCAAAAATGGCTGGGGTCAGCTAGTCTAAAACATAGCGAAGCTATGGGCTAAGGAACTTACCTTGCTTTTGTTTTTCCATCTGGGCAAATGGTTCATCCTGCCCCTCCAGGGTGAGAAATGCCTGTCCCTTTCTCTCAATCTGTATATGCAGGCTAACAAAAGATATTTTTCAGAGATGATTTATTTCACCAGAACGATTATTGATAATTTGCATTTATGGACACTTGGTGATCTTATCAATATTTTTATGTTTTCTCTTTTTTAGCTTTTAAGTTCAAGGGTACATGTGCAGGTTTGTTACATGGATAAACTTGTATCATGGGGTTTTGTTGTACAGATTATTTCCTCACCCGGGTATTAATCCTAGTACCCATTAGTTATTTTTCCTGTTCCTCTCCCTCCTCCCACCCTCTACCTTCTGAGAGGTCCCCAGTGTGTGTTGTTCCCCTCCATGTGTCCATGTGTTCTCATCATTTAGCTCCCACTTATAAGTGAGAACATGCAGTATTTAGTTTTCTGTTCCTGTGTTAGTTTGCTAAGGATATATACCATGGAATAGCATGCAGCCATAAAAAAGAATGAGATCATATCTTTTGCAGGGACATGGATGGAGGTGGAGGCCATTATCCTTAGCAAAATGTTTTCCCTTTTTGTGGGACATTATCTTGAATTTCTCAGAAATCAACCACAAATTTAAAGAGTGAACACTGGATATCTATTGCAAATTTTTCTAAAATAACATACATAAATCTAGCTATGAGAAAAACAGCTTTCAATTTTTATTTTGCATAAGAGTTTCTTGGAAAGTTTCTTAAAATGCAGATTCCTTGACATCAGAAGTTCTGTTATGATCAATTTGGGACTGGACTCCAGCTGGTCCATTTCATCCATCCCACACCATTATCTGATTACAGGGCAGAGGATCCACAAGCTGTTCAGGAGCTCATATAAATTTCTGCAAGCTGAAAAGGAAATTATTGACTCCCAAAGTAATGATGTAAATACTCACCTATATATCTAAAAACATAGCAAGTGCCAATTTCATTGTCAACTAGTATTTTTAACAATCTCATCACATGTAAAAACAATTCGTAATGTACATTTTGTTCTCTTAACAAGTATTCCTGAACACGCACAATAATTACTTAAAAAATCACAGCCAAACGAGAATCCGATGAATTACTTATTGCCAAATCATGTCAAAATCAAAATTGTAAAAATTCTTGATAATACAAGGAGATGAACCTCAAAAGTAAGTGCTTAAAATAGCTCAGAGCTCCTGGAACTCACTTTTAACAAAAAGTAACCCCAGGTGATTCTGTATTTGATCTTTTGCCCACACTTGGAGAATCTAAGGTCTGTGTGGGGATGCTTCATATCATCAAAGCGTACTTGTCTTCCTTCAATCATTTATCAAAATTCTTAGCACCTAAACCTAGCATCTTAGCATGATGCTAGATTATAAAAATACAGTGATAAACAATCTTTCTAATTGTGAAGCCTCCAGCCCAGTAAGAGAGACAGCCAATAGACAAATGCACAAACAAGTAAAATCAATTATAGGTTGAGATAAGTGCTAAGAAGAAAATCAACAGTGTGTTGAGATCAAGAAGCCAGGAAACATTAATATCAGATTGGGGAAGTCAAGGAAGGCTTTTTGAGCAGATGATATTTAAGCAGAGACCAGAAAAAGGAGGAGCCAGCCCTGTGACTGACGCCTTAGGAAAGCAGTTCAAGCAAAGGAAACAGCATAGACAGAAACCCCTAATCAGGACCCAGCTTGCCTTGTCCATGAGTGTTTGAAGAACAGGAGGAAAGAGAGGAGGCATGAAAGGTGAGGCTAAGGAAGTTGGTCCAGACCCTTTGACATAGGCAAGTTCTATGTGGATGGATTTTATTCTAAGTGCAATGGAAGCCCGTTGATGATCTTTGCTTGCTTGTTTGTTGTTATTTTTTTAAGGTTGGATATGGTGTGGTACTTTGTGTAGCAGTTGAACACATAACTCGAGCCAGACTGCCCAGGCAGGAATTCTGGCTTTGCCTCTTATAGGCAGAGTAAAGTTGAGCATGTTCTAACCTCTCTTCACTCACTTCCTCATTGTAAAATGGAAGTAATAACAGTACCTACCTCTTAAGGTTGTTTAGCAGATTTAATAAATATGTGATATGCTCTATGTATGTCTCAAAATGAAGAATTGTCTTTAAGAAGATTACTGTTATTTCCCCCATGAACAAATTGAGTAAGGACAAGAGCAGATGGCTAGGTTGTCTGGAAGGCTGCTAAATTTGTTTGGGAGAAATGTGATGGGGGCTGGAATTGGAGTGATGAAAGTAAAGATGGAGAGGAGGGGTCAGATTCCTGATTTATTTTGGATGCAGAGTTGACAGAAGTTGGTAATAGATTAAAAGTAGAACATGCAGTGAAGAGGAGAATAAAGAAAATGACTTAGTTCCTGGCTCAACTAACTGGGTGGATAAAAATAATCATTATTTAATAATAATAATAATCATCATCATCATCCACAACAACACTGATTAAGCGAGTGCTGCATACCAGGCAGGCATTGTGATAAATGCTTTGTAAACACCTCTAAAGATGTGGGAGGCTAGGATACCAAAACATTTGCCAGAAGAGAAAGTCAAGAGTTCATTAGTGGATAAGGGAAGTTTGAGATGACCCTGAGACACCAGGTAGAAGGGTCAAGAAGGCAGCTGGATAGTCAGCTCCATAAACACAAAGATGATTGGTTTGGAGATAGTATTTGAGAGTCCTGAACTTTGCAATGGGATTTACCACCATGTTTTTTTGTATAATGGCTTGGGCTGTTACGATAATATTTTTGTCTTTTTTGGTCTAATTCTTTTTAGTTCAAGACCTGCTTTGTAAAAACCTTAGTGTCAATCAAATTTTCAGTCAGTTCTCCATAGTGTAAAATAAAGTATTGCATTAACATTTCTGACTCTGAAACAACTCTACTGAACTAAACTACTTAATCTGAAGTTTGTGTTGTGTGTGTCTGAAACATTTCCTCATCAAAATTCAAAGAAACTTTAGTTCAAGTTATGGCCTGAAATCAACAGAATTATATTAATTCATATGGATATAGAAAATCATTTATTTACAGTATTTAAATTGACATTTAAACAGTTTTTCCAATCCCACACAGTTAGTGGCATAAGGTCTTGAGAAAGCATGAAACATTTTTTTTTTATCAGCCTCATATTTCGTTGAGCTTGCCAAACACAGTTCATTTTCCATAGAAATTTGCAAACCTGAGTAGTGGCCAAATTTTCAGAGTCGCTGAATGTAAGCCAATGAATAAAATTGTTAAACCCTTTGATTTCCCCCCACTTTTTTCCCTTAAAAAGTAACATAGCGTGTGCCTGAGTTTTATTTTTTGACATCTATTACCCACAACACTCGAGTGTGTTTCAGAATCAGCCTGTATGGACATTTCAGTACAAAATGAACACAGCCGGCGCTTTGGGGAACGTTCATTTGCAGCTTTGTTATCCTTAGACAGGAAGCCTTCTCCTCCACACTTTGATCGACATTTTTCAGAAGGCAATGGCATCAACCTTTAAAAATGGATACTTTCAAGGGTTTAAAGGTTGAGATTTTTAAGACAAACCCAGAATAGGCAAAAGTTACATATTGGCCAAAAATGTGACTCCAGAAACCATGTGTTGTAGCTAACTGGGGCCACTAGCAAATCTTTCTTTTGAGACTTCTGTCCTGTTAGCAGAATGCACTGATCGAACTAAACCTTGAGCATGACACAGGATAGAACTAGTTATTGTTAAGAAAATAATGTTCAAGGGCATTGGTCCATTGTACCCAGGAATAGTTTGGAAAGATGAAGGATATGGAAACAAACAAGCAAAAAAAGAAGAATTAAAATTAATAATTAAAATGTCAGTAACTGTAATGTATTTCTCTTAGTGGATGATAAAATTACATAAGAATGTCGACCTTTTCTTTAACCCAATGACCATAGTGGCAGTCTCTTCATTGGACTGCTTCCTTCATTGGCATCGCCTTCTAATTTCATTTTTACTTATGATAGTGAAAATGCACAATGGCCCCTGGAGGCAATACCCTAATTTTTTTGTTTAAGTGCTCAAAAAAGTATATCCTTTCCCTGCGAAAAAGGCAGAGGGTCACAATTAATTACTGAATTTCAGCTATGAAAAACCCACTGAACTGTGAGAGTCCATTGTGCTTAAGTTGCATTTAATCTCTTTGGAGATGCCAACTACCTGATATACAAGAGCAACTGTAAGTTCCAAAAAAACTCTCACAGATAGGAACCATAGACATGGAGAGAAGGGAGCCACTACTCAGAAATGAAGGAGTTGGGGAGGAGTGGGGCTGAACCATGAAGCCAGAACAGAATTTTTGTCAGTGGCCTAGAAGCAAAGCTGAGAAGAAGGGTCTGAATGTGCTGGGGACCAGTGGTTGTAGCTCCACACTGAGATGGAAGCCTCCTCTCACTGTAGCTTCTGCCAAAACACATAGGTAAATTTGCAGGAGTAATGGTGACCTCGGAAGAGCCTGGTGTAATTGGGGAATGATTGTTGCAAGGGAATAAGAGCCAGTATTTCATTTGGTCTTTTGTGTCTGGCATTTTTCACTCAGTATAATGTCCCCAGGGTTCATCCATGTTGTAGTATTTATCAGTACTTCATCCCTTTTTGTGGCTGAATAATATTCTATTGTAGGGATATGACACATTTTGTTTATTCCTTCATCTGTTGATGGATTATTTGGGTTGTTTTGACTGTTTGACTATTAAGAATAATGCTGTTAGGAACATTCATATGCAAGTTTTTGTGCAGACTTACATGTTTTTCATGTCCATATTTCTTGGGTATATACCTAAAAGTTGAATTGCTGAGTATAATGGCAAATGTATGTTTAACATTTGGAGACACATTCTCACCAGCACTATGTAAGGGTTCCACATCCTTACCAACAGTTTTTTTTTTTTTTTAAAGCTATCCTAGTGGGCGTGATGTGATAATTTTTTTTTTTTTTTTTTTTGAGATAGAGTCTCACTCTGTCACTTAGGTTGGAATGCAGTGGCACAATCACAGTTCACTTCAGCCTCGACCTCCCTGGGCTCAGGTGATCCTCCCACTTCAGCCTCCCAAGTAGCTGGAACTATGGGCACGCACCACCACACCAGGCTGTTTTTTATTTTATTTTAATTTTTGTACAGACGAGGTTTTGCCATGTTGCTCAGGTTGATCTCGAACTCCTGAGCTCAAGTGATCCGCCCACCTTGGCCTCTCAAAATGCTGGGATTACCGGCATGAGCCTCACTGTGATTTTGATTTGCATTTCCCTGATGGCTAATGATATCAAGCATCTTTTCATATGCTTATCAGCCATTTGTATATCTTCTTCAGAGAAATATTTATTCAGATTTTTTTTCTTATTTTTCAATTAGGTTGTCTTTTTATTATTGAATTGTAAGAGTTCTTCAGATTCTGGATACAAATCTCTCATCAGATATGTGAGTGAGCATTTTTTTCAAATGATTTTTTCCCTCCAGCAATCATACTGCATTTCTACCATCTACTGTAAACTGCCATATGTCTACCTCATTTATCTCAACTTTTTAACTTTTTAACTTTTACACTTTTCTTCCTAGTGGGTGCTTGGGGGCTTTCAGCCTTCTGTGCCTGGGGAGGACTTTCAGAACTAAGAGCTCCCCAGGGTGTCTGACTCAGAGGATCACAGTGACCCAAGGCTCTCTCCCTCCGAGATCCTCTAGTTGTGCATTCCAGACAGGGAGACTGCCTGGCCGGCTCCTCTAGCACTTTGAGCAGTGTCCCTCCCTGCCTCCTGTCTCCTTCTCTGTTCCCACACTGCACAGGGGCTCTGCGTGGGGAGTATGGGGGCTCGCTACTGCCTGGAGCTGCTGCTATTGCTGAGGTGTAAGAACCCTGGAGAGGTAAGAAGATACGGTGTGTGTATTTCAGGCTCTGTGTTTCGTGCCTACTGCTAGAAGCAAGGTAGGACCCAAGCCAGGAAGACGTGAAAGATTCCATGGGGTAATAATCCCAGAGCAGCATCTGGAAAAGGTGAACATAAGTAGGAAAGAAGGAGGGAAGTAATAGCGTTGGAGGGATTTGCTCAATGTGTCCTGGCGCTTGAGTCTCTTTTAACATCAAAGCTCAGGTGGTTCAAATGACAGTCACACTGCCTCTGCCTGTTGCTTTAAGAGTAAATTCAGAGTCTTCAAACCAGGCTTATTGGAATATTACATACCATTGCCAAGACGTGTATATTTTTATTGAAAGTTCAGAGCAAATCATAGTAAGGACCCACCATTTCTTCTGCACCATTCCTTTTGGCTATTTTCTCAGTATTTGAAAATCAATGGAATTTGACTTTAACATGCACATTGGCTTATAATGTTACTGTTGCATGGGTCTTAATGTTACTGTTCCAGTCCAGTGTTTTTGTGCTAGAGGTAAGGAAACTGAAGTTCAGAGTGAATCAGGCATTGCCAGGATCACCAGACTAATCCAGGATGAGCCAAAACATCATTGCTATGGAGTGTCTCTTTGGGTCTCAATCATTGGGTACTATATAATGACTGACGACTGGGGACAAGGGCATAGGTTGCCCTTTTCCTTAGTATGATGAAGGATCAAGATTCTATAACATCGATAACTGATTAGGGTACTAATGTGGAACCACAAAATGTGGTTCAGCTCTGTCCTGTGGCCACTCCATGCAGCAAAGACAGATGGCTGGTTCAGAAAACTTTGGTTTTGTTGTTTGCATACAATAAAGGTAGCATCTGGTGCAAATTTTATTTTTTTTAATGATTCCAGGGTTTTTTCTTTAATGATTTCATAGAAAGAACCTTAAAACTCATCTTTTCAGAATATTAATTTAGATTGTTACCGAAGTGTTCACAGAGCCTAATTAAATACTTGCTGGTTTCATATAGCTACAAGTAAAAGCTGCTTTGAATCCTTCCTAAACTTATATTGGTTTATTTGGTGAATTGTGTGTTAACACCAAGAAAGTGAAATCATTGGCTTTTCTACAGATTGGTGATCTATTACCTTAAACAATATGATCAGGCCACATCAATTCATTTGCAAATTTCTTCCTCTCTCTATCATGTGCACATGCCACCATAGGTATAAAGTAATTAAAATATATACGAATTATTTAGTTTGTTAAAAGCCAAGTTGCTTTTGAAGAAAATTTGCTGCTCTTAGATTATGATTATTTACAGTTTGTTAAGTGATTTCATTTTGTAGGCATAGACTTTTTATTGTGATTCTGATTATTTACAGTAATAGCAACTATCAAATCAACTAATGTGGTGGTGATTGCAGATTTTTGGATATCTATTACTGTTTATCGGGAACATTTTTTCACTACCAGAACGGGGAAAAAAAAGCCACAAAAGCAGTAAATCCCATTGCTTTCCAAGTGTCATTGTAAATCCTGCTGATAAGAACTGCACATTTTAGCAATGTTTAATAAGTACTTTAAAAATTGAGAATTGTCTCAAAAGAAACAGATTTTGAAGTTCCTCTGTTGTACCTACTTCCAGATTAAGAAAAATCATTTGTGGAAAACAAGTTGATCCCAAGTTCCTAATCACAGGGAGAAGATGGGATTTTGTAAACCTGCAGAGCCTGAATTTGTTATTGCATGCAGCTGTGCAAATTTGCAAACATTTCCTTCCCTAGTCAGGACCCTATGGAAGGAGCCAGTTTGGACTGCTGCCTTGATAGCTAACATTTGTAGAGGCTGCAGTGCAGGAAGCTATTGGGGTACCTGAACTTTGTCATCTATTTTAATCTGGGCATTAGATGCCAGGTAGAGAGAGTATGCAAGCCAATTAGTTCTGCTTCAATGTCATGGTAGGGATATATCAGTAGCCTTATTATTCTTGTCATTCTCGGTGAATTTCAGAATGCTGCTTGAAATGGGCTTTCTGTATGCGTTGAGTGTGTGTTCAGTGGGCTGTCTGGGAAGGAAGATAGCGGAGGGCCAAGGCCTGGGTCTCCTAAAACACATGATTATTTCATTGAACTAATCAGTGAGAGAAAGACAGGGCCTTGTGGTTTCTACGAGCACTGGACTTGCGTTTCTTTGTTTTCCATCCATCCTTTGGAACCAGAGAAGGCATGAGGACCATCCATGAGCAGGTTCACACTCAAAGCTGGTTGCCCTTACCCTGGTTGCCATGGCAATGTTGTCCTAGCGTAGGGGATACTTGCCTATGTTTGTAGCTGTCTCCTCCCCATCTTTGGCAGTTTAGCACAAGAGGCAACTCCCTCATGCAACTACAGAGCATTTAATGAGTTAGGGATTCTTCATTTTGAGTTACAGTTAGCTCTCTAGTATATTTTTGGGAGGACAAATGGGCAGGAAAAATTAAGTCACAGGAGACAAGCTTCATGACTCTAATGGAGTTGAATTTACATTTGCCATTAAAAATAGCTATAGATTGTTTAATTAGAATCCTAGAGGCGGATGACGAATTAGTTTATCTTTCAAATGGTACTCATAAAAAATGGGGCAGTGTGTGTGTGTTTTAAAAGAGCCTAACTTCTTGTTAAAATTTAAAGTTCAAACCCTCATTTGTAAATTGGTGATAGAGACAATTCTATAACGTTGTGAGAATTAAATGAGCTAATACATGTCATGTGCTTAGAATAGTGCCTGAAATATAATAAGCCCAGTAAATGTTCAGTGTTATTATTATCATTACTTTTATATGACAGCATCCTGGGTGTTTAATGCTAATGATGGCTCATTGAGCAGATATTAAGCATACTGACCAGTTTCCAGGTATTTTTCCAAATCTGCCTCAAGGAGCTTGACAGCTAAGGGGGAGACAAAAGTAGAAAGAAGCAGTTGTTTGAAATAGAGGCATGGTCAACATATCCTGGGAAACCTCTGAGCCTGTGCACTCCAGCCCTGTGGACTAGCGAGAGAGGTTTCTAGAAGAGGTGACATTGAGGTGTTGGTCATTGATGGCTGCTCCCAGATGTGTGGATATGGGGGCAAGGAGACAGGGGAACCTCACTTCCAGGAGTGCCAGCCAACGTAGAGCAGTGAGAGAAGATTTCTAGAAGAGGTGGCATTGAGGTGAGGGTCACTGATGGCTGCTCCCGGATGTTTGGGATACAGCAGCAAGGAGGCAGGGAGATCCTCACTTCAGAAGTGCCTTGAGTTGGTTATTTGGACAGATAGGGTGTTCGATGGCCTGGGTCTGTCAGATATTCTCAGCTGCCCAAGGTCAGTGCTTAATCATCTTCTCTCCTTACAATACACTGCTTTATATTCTCCATGGCTGTAGGGGTTTTATTCTGTAACAATTTTGTAACAAAAACTTCTTAATCAAAAGAATCATTCTTTTGGAGAGTGGTGGTTCTGAAAATCATGAGAATTAAGGCATCTTAAATTACTGCCCACTTTATGGACAGAACCACTCATTTCTCATTATTCTGCCAGATCCAAGCAAATCTCAGAACAGAACTTATCCCAGACTAATTGAATAACCTTGAATTCAGTAGTTACACTCATGGCTAAATTTATTATTTTCTCCTCTTTATCACTCGGGTAGACACAATCACTTTCAGAGGTTCTTCAGTCTGATTTACAATTAGCTCCTTAGCACATCTTTGGAAGGTCAAACAAGCAGGAACAATTAACTCACAGGAGACAAGCTTCTTGTAACCTCCCAAGAAACAAATACTCACTTCTAAGTAAGTTCTGAAGAAGCAAATAACTATTCTAACTTCTGTCGGACGGTTTTTAAAAATTTTGTTTTAATTTACTTTTTTTATTTTATAGATTTAGAGGGTGGACATGCTTTCTTACATGGATATATTGTGTAGTGGTGAAATCTGGGCTTTTAACAGGATAGTTTTGATTTAGAGACATTAGCTGACTTAATCACGGGACAGCACTTTCTTTATTTTGCAAATTCTCCTTAACACCCCTACCACTCCCCAAGCTGTTTTGATTTGTTTAGATCCCTGTTGTGACTCCAGACATTGCCAAAGGTCCCCTAGGAGACACAACTGTACCTGCTTAAGAACCACTCATCTAGAGGAAAACGGTTTGGTAAAGGCCGGGTGCAGTGGCTCGCGCCTGTGATCCCAGCACTTTGGGTGGCTGAGGCAGGCAGATCAGGAGGTCAGGAGATTGAGCAATCCTGGCCAACATGGTAAAACCCTGTCTCTACTAAAATACAAAAAAAATTAGCCAGGCATGGTGGTGCCTGGCTGTAGTCCCAGCTACTCAGGAGGCTGAGGCAGGGGAATCGCTTGAATTTGGGAGGTGGTGATTGCAGTGAACCGAGATTGAGCCACTGCACTCCAGCCTGGCGACAGAGCGAGACTCCATCTCAAAAAAAAAAAAAAAAAAAAAAAAAAAAGTAAAAGAAAGAAAAATGAAATCCTTATAATGTGGAATTAGCTGAATTGTGCCAATGCCAGAGTGACAAGGGAAGGGTCTGAGTTGGGAGTCACTGTACACAAAGGCTCAGCCCTAGAAAGAAGGTAAAAGGAAGACATGCAGAGAGAGGTGGTCTCAAGTTCTAGCCTCCACTTAGTGGAGCGCCCCCATGACACTTGCCTGGTGTTGCTCTCCTGTTACCCTCAGAGTGGTGAATTGAGGATGAAGGCTTGTCTTGGAGGCAGCAAAGAACAGTGTCTGGGGATATCAGGTAGGAGAAGGCAAAGATCATTTAGGGTCACAATCAGTAAGGGAGGTGTTCAGGTGGCTACACTGTCAGAGTGATGCACTGATAAATGACAGACATGGGCCGGGCATGGTGGCTCACACCTGTAATCCTAGCACTTTGGGAGGCTGAGGTGGGCAGATCACTTGAGGTCAGGAGTTCAAGACCAGCCTGGCCAACATGGTGAAACCCCGTTTCTACTAAAAATACAAAAATTAGCTGGGTGTGGTGGCTCACTCTTGTAATCCCCTCTACTTGGGAGGCTGAGGCTGGAGGATCACTTGAACCCAGGAGGCGGAAGTTGCAGTGAGCCAAGATCATGCCACTGCACTCCAGCCTGGGTGACAGAGCAAGACTCTGTCTCAAAAAAAAAAAGACAAACGTGATGTACTTCAGTGCCTGTGGCATCAAAAACTTCCATGTCATATCCTAATTTTGTATCACTCCTGCTTCCAACTGGGTAGTGTTCTCTTTGGGAGTCTACAGAGGCAGGACAAAGCTCTCTTTCTGATTACAAGAACTGTAGCTAACATTTATTGAGCTTGGGGCTCATTAACATGAAAAGACTCAGAGCAGAGCATGATATTAGTACATTTTATAGACGAGTGTACTGAGCCATAGAGAGGCCAAAAAAATTGTCCAAGTTTCCACAGCAGATAGGCAATGGTCATGATTGTGAATCAAACGGTTTGGTTATGGAGGCTGCACCCCCTACCATCACACTGGAAAGCCGGCTTTGTGCTTCTGTGGACACTTAACTGACACCCCCAGAGCCTGCACATTCCATGGCCAAATATGAAGCATGGAAAATTATTTGGAGAGGCAAACAAAATTTGGCTGTTTGGAGGAATTGAGATTTTAATATCGTTCATTTTTAAAATTAATAGTAAAGTGAATTCTGGGTCCTGTGGTGTTTTTTGTTGACCATAGGACAATGATATTTGCAAATGGGCTTTATTAATTTAGATTTTGTGATAGAGGATTCAAGTGTGATTTATTGAGGTAAATGTTTCGAACCCAAATGACCACTCCTTTCTTCTCTCTTCAAATCCTCACCACTCCCAGCCCAATCTTATTCCTCAATAATTATTTATCGTCTGGAAGAGTCAGGTGTTTCAAATGAGGCCAGCATGGACTTTTCCCAACAGGGAGGTATTTTTTAATATCTAAATGTCGGCCTATGGCCCTTGCTGTTAAGGCTCCAGATCAAATAGGGGCAAAAGGAATTGAAAGCCAAATCACAAAAATAAGTAAAAACTCCAACTAACAAGAATTTCACAACAGACATAAGCTGATGACTATTTTATTAAAGCAATGTGGAGTACTACTAAATGCTACTATGTTCTGGAAATGTAGGAAATTGGTTGAAGTCGTTTTTCTCTTGTTAGTCTCATGTTAAGCTGTTCATACTAGGATCTCTTGGGTTATTTTTTCCCAATTAATACAGTTGTCTACTAATTTATTTTCTTTTTAAAAGTCTTGGCCTTAAACTCAGTCTTGGTATTTTCAGCTATTGTTTACTACCAAAGGAAAAACTTCGGATTTAGAGAAAAGTCTGTATTTTTATTTTGTGTGGAGTTGAGAAAGGGGATGGTAAACTTGACATTGCTTGGAAATGAAATGCACAGCTTGATCTTTTTTTCTTGATATGATTTTTGTATTGGAAGAACTGTAGTATGTCTTGGTGGTGATAATGAATACCATAACCACATAATCATTCTCTAAATGATTGTAATGGAAAGAAGTTTTATTTAAAATTTCAAGTTACTCAAATGGCACATGTCTCCACATGTGTCTTTTTACTACAGGTAAACCCAGAAAGCATGCGTGGTTATGGGTGTGTGAGTGTGTGTAACGTGAATGTGTGCCTCCCTCTATGTTATGTTGCACTATTAGTTTGAACCACAAAATAGAAAAGAATGTAAATATCTTCTGAACTCTGGATTTATCTGTTCTAAATGAAAGCTAGAGGGGAAACCATTTTAGTATGTAAAGTTTGGCCTGAGGAAGAGAATGGCACTTCTACAGTTCTTAGAAAATTCTCATAGAGGATCAGGATTACTGGCATGCTTGGGGAACAACTTGCTGTGGGTAGCTGAGATTTTCAGTTTCAACCAGCAAATCTGTTTTGTTTCATCTTTTGTTTAAAATATTTGAATTAATAAGAATTATTTTTCAACTTCAAGAAGTAGTACATAGAGCAATGCTGTCTGATAAAACTGAATGGTGATGGAAATATTCTGTATCTGTGTTGTCCAGAATGGTAGCCACTAGCCCCATGTGGCTATTTAGCGCTTAAAATGTGTCTACTATGACGGAGGAATTGAATTTTAAGTTTTATTTAATTTTAATTTATTTACATTTAAATAGCCACATAGGACAGGACTACCATATTTGACAGTGCAAGTATTAGAGTATAATTACCAGTTAATGTATGTCTCTGGTTTGAAACATTCCTCTGTATTATCACACTACGTATCTGAATTTTGATTTGGAAACCGTGGCTGAATGCTGGGATTGATTCCAGCTCTGCCAACAGGAAAGGAGTGGTGAGGAAAGCTGTTGGACAGCTAGCCAAGGATATTTGCCATATTTGCCAGAGTGTTTTGACTGTACTTCTGTCATAGTATTAATACCATTTGGCCTTTTTAATTGTTATTTGTGGGCTTATTTTACCCCTTTGGTAGATTCTAGATTCCTTAAGGATGGGGCCTTGCTCTTTTCACCAGCACATGGAATAGTGCCTTGCCCTAGAGTGTGCTTAATAAATATTGACTCAATTGATTAGAATTGGTCCATGCCAATTGATTAAAAGCTTTTCTACCTTTAAAAAATTGAATCTAAATTCTTTAAAATCAAGTTATTTGTTTGAATATTGACACCCTCCCAATAAAGTTATGTTTATTCATTCCAGAAAATGATTAAGGGGCCTTAATCATAAAGGTACTGGAATAAAGTTACCATGGGTTTGTGTAATATAAACCCTGCAAAGACTGTTTACAATTCTGTGTGGGTGTAGGAAGAAAAAAGGATTCAAATATAAATATGAGTGAGAAAGAAAACTTGTTTTGAGTCCATTTTATGCATTTGTTAACATTTTGAAGACTATACAGTACAATTTATCTTAAAGTTATGAGGTGAAAGAAATGACTTGTGTTTAAAATCACTGCAATTCTCTATTTGAAGCTCCATTGATAACATTTTTTGAGGAAAACAAATTACTTGAATAACTTTAAATTCAGTACATTATTATGCATATCACATAATTTCATTTAAAAATCTTTTTTCCATAGAATGAGATCAAAAGACCAGATTTTGATTGCCAGTGTGGTGTGAAGTGTAAAGCCAGTGTTCCATGTCCTATTTTGTTTCATAATATAAACATTCTTCAAAAGTTTATCTTTCTTAATGTAAAGAATTTTTCATATAAACTTCCCTTCATTTGGTTCAGGTTTTAGTTATTGTACATATTCATAAATTTTCATTTTATCAACTGTTTTAACTGATGTATAAACTTTGTTTTTTAAAAAAGATTTGAGACAGTATAATTTAAATTTTCTCTAAAAAGAAATATATTCCTTATTTGCTTGCCAAATGGTGAATTTGTATGACTAAATGAGCAGTTCCTACCTGATTCAAGAATACTCATTCATAATATATCATCTCAAATGATAGGAAAATTTAAGTTTCATTCAACACAAAGACATGAATGATTTTTAATGCATTTTATTGTCTGCTAATGGTACTTTTTTAGTTACAGAATTTGCTAAGTAAAGTGATTATAAGCAAAAATCATTGTGTTCTTGTGTCACTCCTGAAAGCATCTGAAGTATTCATTCCCCTCTCATCTTCTGATCTTTTAATCCTGAAAAAAATTGCAAAAGAACAGTTAAAATAATTTACAAATGTTCCTAGTGAGTACCATTTACAATAACATGTCTGGCTTCAGTTTTGTCAAAACAATGTACAACCATTTAAGTTGAACTCTATAATTTCTGAAGTTTCTTTGTTATTTCGTTGTCATTAGATATTAGGTGTCCATGAGGACTGCTTCCACCTTCAGGACACTTAAAGCCTATTATTTTATAATAAAATAACAATTGCTACCTTTTTGGGGGGTACGTCTTGCATGTCAGGCTCCAAGCTTATCACGCTATTTTGTTTTCCATAAAACAACTCTAAGAAACTATCAATGTTTATACTCAAATTTTACACAAAAAGAAACTGAGTTTTAAAGAGTTCAAACTATCTGCCCAAAGTCACCTTTCCATAAATAGCTTTGTCAAGATGTGAGCACATTATAAAGTTCATGGTATTAATTATTCATAAAGAAGTAAATGCATTTTCTATGTACAGAGAGAACATGTGCCTTGGACTAGAATAGCCAATGATAGGCACCGATTACTTGGGATTCAATCAATTTTCAAAAAATTCTGCCCCATATTTTCCGTAAACATGCTCACAATTATGAAGCCATTTATGACATATATTATGATTTTTTTAAATTCAGAAACTATGGTATTTATAATTGGACAGAGACTTGAAAATAATCTGATTTCGTCATTTTCCCCCATTTAAAAGAAAATAAAACACCGATACATTTGAAGTAACTTTTACAATACTGCCTCGTCTTTGAGGGCAAAGCCAGAATTGGAACCTTTGTGTCCTGGCTTCTTATCCTGGTCATTTCCACCTCACTTCTCTCTTCTTCTCAGTAGCAAATCATCAATAACATGTATAAATTGGAATTACAGTTGGATACATATACATGATAGGATCACATAATCTCGTATACATAGAAGTAAGACTTTATGGATGTAGATTAAGTTTGTTTTGTTGACTATTCCCATTCATTTGTAAGAGCTACCTGTAATGGAAGATTTAGTGCTAAATTGCAGTAACTTCTTGCTAAAAGCTTAATCATCTATAGAACCCCAGTACAGAAAAGGAATCTAACAGTATGTTTAGTTTAGCCGCCTCCAAGTTAGATTGAAAACTACTGGAAATGGGGAATCTTCCTGTAGGTTTTTGAAGAGATTTCCCGTCTACCTTTTGTAGCCTGTTCAGATATTTGCACTCTCAAAATTATCCGCTCCCTCTTGTCTTAAGCCTTCAGTGCAACTCTAGCCTATTCTTGCTAGTCAAACCTTTGAAATATAAGGAGAACTGATATTCCCTTATACTGTTGCCCTTAAAATTCATGGGGTTTAGTAATATATATTTCTATTAATGGGTTTTGGTAATACATATTCTGGTAGAAATTCAGTAATAGTAAAATTGAAACCTACCATAAAAACTGTGGTCTTAATTACCAAGCCATTTAGAGGAATTTGTCTTTAACATAAAGGTATAGCATATTGCTTGGACTAATAGAATCATAGACCTGTAACTACTACAACTCTAGATCCTTGGTTGTCGGAGACCTTAGAACTCTGGGGCCTATTTTGCTGCACCATTTTCACAGGATTTGCATTGTAGTGGCTTCAAAATATACTCACCACTTCCTCCCGCTTGGTCTTGTCTGTTGATGGCCAAGCTTCCAGAGTCAGATCAGGAAGCATGGGAGGCAGGGGCTGCATGGGGAACATCGGAGGCAGAGGTGGCTGTGGCGGCAGGGGCTGCATGGGGTGCACAGGTGGCTGGGGCTGCATGGGCTGGTGAGGCTGTGGCTGAACAGGCTGGGGCTGGTAGGGCTGCTGGGCGGGCGGAGGGAGGTTTGGCTGGTGGTGTTGGATTGGAGTCATGGAGTGTTGGCCAGGAACGGGCATCATTGGTTGCTGGGGGATCACGGGCTGCTGAGCTGGCACCACTGGGATGTGGTGATGAGGCTGCAGGGTGTGAGTCGGGGGGTGCTGTTGGGACAGCACGGGGATGATTTGGTGGTGCAGCCATCCACCCATGGGCTCGTAACCATAGGAAGGGTACTGGTGAGAAACAGAGAGGCAGGTTTACCATTGGCTCAGGTGACTCCAACCAGAGAAGCAGCAGTGTTTTCTTTGCCATTATGGCTATAGGAATATTTTATTCATTTTTCCTTTGCAAAAATTTGTAACTGTGTACACAGATATGATTTTTTACAAACTAAATTTCCCATTAATGTCTGCATGTGGAGTAGACATGATATTTCACTTAATATGGGAATTTTAATGCATGCCTAATATTTTCAGGGAATAAGGAACAAAATGTCTACATACCGGTGGCCTTATGCTCTGGTACCACTTCAAAGGGGTAAGCACCTTAAGAGAAAAAGATATTAGAACCCATTTGATTTAATTTACTTTCATCCAATATAGAAACTCACTGATGCAGTAGGAAATATAGACTCACTAATGCAGTCCTGTCAACATTGATAGCCTGAGAATGTGAGTTCTACAAAAGAAAGAAGAAGGTAAAAATTTGTTGGGTGCTTCCTGTGTGACAGGCACTGTGTTTACATCCATCACACACATTCTTCATCTTTTCTTATATGCTAGGAGGCAAGTATTATTACTCTCACTTTTTAGATAAGGTTATGGGGAGTTAAAGAGATTCATTAACTTGACTGAGGTTACACAGGGAGTAAATCTGTTTAATTCCATAGTTCCTTCTTTTCATTGTAAGAGCAAAACAAACACAAAATTATGACATAATAATATGACATGATGTTAATTTCATTTTTTTCTTTGATGTCACAATGGGAAAAAGAGAGGTGCAAACACTGTCCCTCATCCTAGAAACACAGATTGACTGATCAGATGTGTCAATCTTTTCGGTTCAACAGAAAATCTTGCCTCAAAATCTTACTAACATTTGTCTTCAGCTTTTATAAGTAAATAAACTCATAGATTGTTACCTGAACCTGTGAGAGAAGTAAGAATCTTATTCCTTTCTGAACAGTATATATACTTGGTTAGCCTTAGGTTTGAGGATTCTTCATATAGTAATACGGCATTTAATCGATACAAAAAATAATCAGTAACCTTGCTCATATTATACTTGACAAAGCACTTTTCATATTCATTAACTATATTACTCTCCAAACAATATTTTGAAATATGGTTATTATAATTATTTCCTTTCTCCAGATGAGGAAACCAGGGTTCCAGAAAGAGGAAATGATTTGCCCAAAATCACAAAGTTAGTAAGAGGTTGAGGAGAACCTCAAACCCGACGTCCAAAACTCATGCATTCCGCTGTTCTGCGGAGTCTCTCCTATACCACTTAGTCACTAATATTTCAGCAGAGGCAAGCAAGAGACACACATAGAGTGTGACTATCTTAGAATCAGGAGTTTTTTGAGCTGGAAAGAGTTTTAAATAACATCTTACCTAATCCTTACATTTTACTAGCTGGGTTAGAACCAAGCTGGTCAGAGTTTACTTTTTGCCCTATCATGGAGCCTCCCTGAGTAGTGGTTCATGATGGGTAAGCTTACGGCCATATTTAGGAGGACAGACTGAGTCAGAGTGGCCAGGCGGGAGGCTGCTGGGACGACACAGGCTTGAGGCCAACCATCAGAGCTTAAACTGGGAAGCTGGTGGTAGGAACTGTAAAATCAGGACCACTTGAGAAACATCTGGGATAAAGAATCAACACACTATTCTTTACAGAGCCCAGGGCATTGTTAACGCAAACAATGGTCAAAATTAGTAAAGAGAAAAATTACCTCATAGCTGAAGTTGATATAACCAGGGTGCCCAGGATGAGGTGGTAGCTTTTACAGGGAGGAGGGGAGGAGAATAGAAAGAGAGAGGAAGGGAGAGAGTGAAGGAAGAGAAGAGAGAGGAAGAGATTAAGTCAGTATGCAATTGTTCACATTAAAGGAGACTGAAGCTACTTTAAAAAAATCTATATAGTGCAGAATATACTTGAGGTCTGTTTTTAGTTTGAACAAATGTGCTGTATAGAAGAGGAGACCTTTTATTTTAAAGAGGTTCAGAACAGCTAAATGACTGTTCCTGGGGTTATAGCCTTATGGCTGGAGACCTGGAAGCAGAAACCAGCACACATTTATTCTCCAGTGATCTTTGGACAGCATCCCACCCCCACGCCCAGTGTTTTCAATGAATCCTACCCTATCCTGCCCAACAGTTTACTTGCTGATAAAACTCACCCCATAATGGGGAGAGAAGTGTGTTTCTCTTTCACAATAAAGAAATATCAACAAGGAGAGAATTGTCTCACGAATGTTCCCTTGTAGATCAGGAGGTGGTCAAGTACTTTTAAGTATCAAAGGGATTTCTCATAATTGACATGCAAAGTAAACAACACTTCCATACAACAAAAGAAGCCACAAAAGAAACCACAAGGTGGGAATTATTGATGAATGCCAGAACAAGATGGGTGGAGCAAAGTGGAAACATTATAAATCCCATGGAAAATGAAAGAGTTGATTTATGACGTTTAGGCCGATCTTTTTTTATTATTCTGCCAACGGTTTTATGGCAGAAAAATTTTCAAGTTAAAAATAAAAGGCCACCTGAATGATGATCTGAATCAGGACTGTCTGTCCTCTCAAAAGTGGGGCCCAAGTGTCTGGTGCCTGTATTGTGGAACTCTGGTTGTGCCTGGGGTCCAGGGAGGAGAGACGGTCATGCAGAAAATCTCCCTCAGACATTGGCCTCATTTAGGATTGGCTCTATTATATTCTTTAAAAATGCTCACATTTCATGGGAAGGTTTATTCTCTCTCATCTGGATGTGAATGGTTTTAGTCAGGTCCTATACCCTCTTGAACAATACCATCTTAGAGAGTGGGAAAAGGGCTGAATTTGTAAGGCAGGGACCCCTGAGGAAACTAGGAATCGCTGCAATGCAGGATTTCAGGAAGTCAGAGCACAGAATCTTGGTTTTGTGGGTGAGAGAGGAAGAGAGGAGGCAAGGGTGCAAGCTTGCTGGCTTCTGGTTGTATCAACTGCTCTTTATTCCACCAAAAAGCAGATGCAGCCTGCTTGGCATGCATGTGATCTAAGTTCTCTGCCCTTATGCACCTGTGTCCAGACAGAGTGGGTCTAATGTCCTGATCTTTAATACATTTGAATATAAAATATATCACTATGTATTGGGTGTAGGCAGGATCCCGGGCAACCACAAAAAAGTCACGTACTCATCAGATGTACCCAAAGGGGTGGGGCCTCTGAGAACAGGAATGTGGCTCAAAAAGTGGATTCCTAACACAAAAATCTTACCCCCTGAGGGGTAAGAGCAGCAATATGTGGAGGGCAGGAAGAGATTTGGAATCTTGAGAGGAATTGGGTTTTAGACAAAACTGGCATCTCTGTAATATTTGTCCAAAGCTGGTTAAGCACTTTCTCTGGAGACCTTTCAAGGGTCCCTTCCAAAAGCTTCCTCCATCTAGAGATGGGTGGTGATATTTACAAGCTAACAGTTCCAACAGAATCTCCTGGGGTGCTTATAAAAATGCAGAGTCCTGGGCCCCGCCCCAGCTGTACCAAATCAGAATTTTTGGTAGCGGCATTTGAGAATATACCTTTTTAAAACAAGCTCCTGAAGTGTTTCTTCAACCCAGAGACATATGAAGACATCTGATCTCATACTGTTTTAAACCCTAATTTCACCAACTATGAGCAGATTTTTATGTCCAAGTTTGTGAAATTGGACACTGACTTATGCAAGGGGTGTTTTACTCACAGGCATGGCAAAAGCTGCTCCCAGGAGGCAGGCAAATAAAATCCAGGTCCCCATTTCTTGATGGTTCTGAAATGTAAGTCAACATCCACTTTTCTTATCTCTTCTGAAACATGGATGTAATGAATGCTCCATAAAACACACATAATCTACATTAGTCTATTGCTAGTAAGAAGGATGGAGCCATTGTTTGTGAATTTACTTCAGTCATATGTGATTTCCAGCTCTCAGCCTATTTCATTGTTTCTGGAGTCACAGTAGTGATAAAGATGCATTTAATTTAGGTTGAGGGCTAAACAAGTTACAGGGACATGAATGATCTATCTTCATATGACTTTGCATGCCATTTTCCTATGCCTATACAGCCCTTAGTCATAGAAGCTAAATTGTATTTATAATTAATGATTAAAGGAATAAAGTTGGCTCTAAAGGTTGGGAAGATCATCAAAGTGCACAGTATTTTATAATTTTAGAACAAGGAGGCACAGAAATGTCTCGTGCACAGTCTACCTGGACATTGCTACTGTTAAAAACAAGGACTAATCATTTGAGAAAATATATTAATTTGCCAAGATAGATTTTAGTTCCAGAAATTCCTATCTACAGAACTTCAGGCAAGACCCTCCAGTAACATCTCTGAGCTCCAGATTGTGGAGCAAAAGATGTGGCTGAACCAACAGGAGAGGATGGTACGAATTTTATGTGATTCTTCAATGAATTTTGAATACTTTCTCCCTAAGAGGTTTCATTTTCTTTCAATGGAATCTTCATTTTGTTTGATGTTGCACTGTAATTATTCTATAAATAAGACCCTTGGGACATTAAGCAAAACAGGTCCTCCTAAAATGTGCACATTGATTTGTGGCACAAATTACTGGGAAAACTGTCAGAAGAAAGACCTTAAATTTTGTATAAGAAGTGAATATTACATGTGATAATGCTGTCTATGAAAAGTACACTAAAGTTTTCTAACTCCTAAATTTGTTTTTTGTTTGTTTGTTTGTTTGGGTTAATGAGAAAAAACACTTCATGGATGGTTCTATTTTATGTAATTAAATAAAAAGCTTTTCAAAGTAGTAGATCACAGCCTGTGAATGTATTATTTTTACTTTAATCGATAATTAATTAAAATAAATATTTTACTGTGAAATGTGGCCAAGAAAGACCTTTGGAATTAGACAAGCACTTTGTTGCATTATAAAGTTAAAAATCATTTCAGTAATCAGAGTCTAATTTAATTATGGGCCAACTAAAAAGTAACTATTGATGGCATATAGTATTAGAAATGTAGAATACATTTATATCTTTTAAAAGAAATGCAGAGAAAGAAATAAGCACAATAAAAAGGATATCAAATTATAAATAAAATCCACATACCTTTGAATGTATTCAGTGCAAGTTTCTGTTTGAAACTCAGGGATGCTTGATCCTTTAGATTTCTTCCAACTATAAGCTCAATTTATATCATTCATGGCATCTGTAACAACCAATCCAGTTTCTAAAGGAAAAATGTGTTGAGTATAACTAAAAATCCCTGTATCATGATTTTTTAGAAGCTATGATCAGACATAAGGCTGTATGTTGTGATTAGTGCATATGGAATCTTTCATTATGGGCAATAATAGGTTTAACAGGCAAAGAGTTTCATCACGCTATTTTGAAGTCAGCAAATTAGTTGACTGTACATGTTGATATATTCAGATTTATTTTTAAAAAGCTTCTCTGCCATCGCCTTTTCCTCAGTTCTAGCAAACAACGTTGTTCTTTACAAAAATCAAGGTAGGTGGTTGAGATTCTCTAGTGTAATCTGGATATCCTCCAGGATTTTTCCAGCCCTTTCAGATCAGGAGAAATTGATTCAAATTCCCATTTGGGTAAAACCCCAAAGCTCTCTCTAGTTTCTCTCTGAGGAATTATAATTTTGGGATCACCACTGCTCTATTATCTGCTTCCATTGAAGGTATTTTTTCTCTGTTCCCCTTGGCTACTCCTTTATCACCCCTCTGGTGTCCACCAAAACAGGGGACAAAGCCCCTTCTCGGCCCCATGCTGAAACCCATCTACCGTAAAAACAATCAGGAACTTAAGGTTCTTGCAGTAGCAAAGCTTTTACTGATGATCTATACTACAAGGCAAGGAGTGCACACCAGACAGCACATTTTAAAGTAAATTTTGTTTTTTACAAGCAAACTCATGTCACAGGGGATGTTGTCCTTTGCCTCCCATCTCACAGAGCAGCTTGGCCTCTCAGTATGGCGGCCCTTCTTTGCCCATATCCTTCTGGCCCAATCCCACTTTCTCATACAGGCAAACCCAAATTCCTCTCTATTTTTCAGAGTCTCTTAACTGTCTGGCTAGCTACTTTGTTTCCATGTTCTCAGCAGCCTCCCCTTTCCCTAAGCAATGACCAAAGCTATTCACTTTCTAAAAGAACCTCTGATCATCTACCTATTAAATTCATGTGTGTTTTACCCCTCTACCTTGGTATAACACATGGGCTTTTTCTTTCATTCTGGAATTTGATTAGATTGATCTAATTGAGCAAAGTTGTAATTAGTGGCAGGAGCTAACTGACGAGTCGTCCATCAATATTAGATCAATAAAGGAGATACTGAATATCTACCCAGATACAGTTGATGTTATACTTGGATCTCTTTGAATACACAAGTAATACTTATAAAGTTTGTATATATACATATGTTTATACGTATATATACAAATTACTTAGCCTGTCTGAGCCTCAATTTCCTGATATGTAGAATGGAAATAATAACAGAACCTAGCTCAGGGAATTCATGTGAAAAGTAGATGAGTGACATCTCTGGGGAAATGGAAGTCTATTTATTACTCTCCCCAACCCTGTCAGCTGGCATACAGTAAATGTTTAAAGAATGCTAATAAACAAGATTCCAAGATGATCTTTGGGGATAAATCAGTAGGGATGAATATTGCAAAGAAAGGTAAGACCTTCCAATCAGGGAGAGAGAGATTGCAAAGAAGGAAGTAGAAGATTATAACAGGTAAAATGTATGCATGAAAAGAAACATAGAATATGATTCTAAAAGCCAAATGTCCCCAGGATTTGGCTTTATTTATGAATATATTTATTGGTGAATTTTATAGCAGAGACAAGAAGGATTCCCTTTGAAGGAAGTTGGAAAATGGACCTTAGGAGGATTGGCAGGGGTGTACAGCAAGGTGGTAAGGGAGAGGAAGGAAAATGTGGATCACATTTTATTCACTTTCAATCTTTTTCCCCCATTTTATATAATTACATATATTGGAGTGTCTGAAAGGATTCAGGATATTTTTTTTTTCTACAAAGTTGTGGGTAATCTCTACTAATGAAGTCAATGATGAATTACTAGTAGCCTTGTAGTTTTAGAAAGATTGATCTTATACTTTTTCTCACCTTCTAAGAATGAGAGGATGATATATTTGGCCATAATGATCAACAGGATGCTGCCTTAATGTGGCATTAATTCCTCTGGACCACTGGATAGTGAGTTACCGCTAATTCACCATGGACAGTTGAACAAGCTTTGATGGCCGATTCCATAGAAATAATTGATTTTCCCCTACTGCATATCCTGAATCATAGGACATTAAAATATGGATCTCTGTTTGAAATCTCTTCCACTAATTTAGGCCCCACTTACACAGCTTAAAAATTGGTAAATGTTTTGAGGAAAATGAAATTTCAATTGAAATATTTTTCCTATAAGCAATTATTTTATTTATGAATAAATTGACTGCATAAAATAGTTCTTTTGCTCATTTTTTTGTAGTAGGTATTCTTTTTCTTGACTTGCAGCCCAGTACGTTTTGCTGTTCTCACAATGCTTATGTTAGCAACTTCCCCACTTCTAATTTGCTGCTTCTAATTTACAGTATGCTAGAAAATCATATGCCCAAGCTTGTTAAAAGTATGCGTGAACTGAAAGTAAAGGAACACTCTAAGTGGGGCTGGCCTGGGAGGGCCTCGCCTGTGAGAAAAGCAAATGAATTTCGGTTTTGTGACACTTATTTTTGACTGCTGGGAGGGTGTTTGGTTTGTTTTGGGGTTCCTCTCCACTGGCTTACTGCCTGGGTTTCAACAGCACTCGGGGTATGAGGGTGGCCTTTGGATAAGTCAGGTATTATGAGTTTGCAAAGCCTTTCCTATCATCTGTAAGAGTTCAACTCTTGAGCCTTCTTTTAAAGCATCCCCAGGGTTATCCAATATTCTGGAATAATTTCAACAGTGAGTCTTCTTAAGTAGCTGGAGCCAAAGCTGGCTTTTAAATATTTTCTCTGTAGATGTTTACTTACAAGAAAACATCATTCTCTAGGATAGCTTTTTTTTTTTTTTTTTTGCTGGGGTAGAGTTGGAGTTGTATGATCTTCAGATCTTAGGCACAAAACCACCGATGAATTCCGATACACATCGTAACTTTGACCCCACCGCAACCCTTAGAAATCAGGTATTGTGTCTTATACTTTCTTGGGAGCTCCTTGGTACCTAGAAAAAGCTCTTATACAAAGTAGGTGCTAGATAAATGTGTTGATGAATTAATGAAAATGTAGAAAAGTTTTCCATGACATTGTAAACATAGAAAATGTGGATTCTGAAAGAAATCCTACAGTGATTTAGATGGACCTTTTCAATAGCTAAGATGGATAATTCAGCATTGCTCTCAACTGCTCCTGTGGACTTCTGTGCAAATGACCTCTGATAAGTATCTGAAAAGGGAGATGCTGTAAAAGCGCTAGAATCTATTATCCTAACAGTCTCATTACATTTGGCTCTGACCTCTTAGTTCAAATTATAATATACTCCAAACAAATACACTATGATAGATAATTTTTTGTTGTTGTTTTTGAGACAGAGTCTCGCTCTGTCGCCCAGGCTGGAGTGAAGTGGTACAGTCTCGGCTCGCTGCAATCTCTGCCTCCCGGGTTTAAGTGACTCTCCTGCCTCAGCCTCCCAAGTAGCTGGGATTACAGGCACATGCCACCATGCCCAGCTTATTTTTATATTTTTAGTAGAGACGGGGTTTCACCATGTTGTCCAGGATGGTCTCCATCTCCTGACCTCATGATCTGCCTGCCTCGGCCTCCCAAAGTGCTGGGATTACAGGCATGAGCCACTGCGCCTGGCCTATGAAGTAACATTTAAAACAAAATGTCTACCAATAGCGGGGCTGGTTCAAATCGATTATGGCACAAATAGCATTCAAGATGAGGATGTCACTCTGCGTTTGTCAACATAAAAAGATGTTGGTGATACATTGTTAAGTGGAAAAATAGATTTTTTAAAGTCCCCTTCTCTAATTTTTTTCTCCCTCCCTCCCTGCTCTCCCTTCTCTCCATTTGGGGAGATATTCGCCAAAACACAGTAGTTATCTAGGGACTCCTTGAAAATCTCTGGGTAGCCGAGGTTTAAATTTATTTCTTTTAAATAATCTGTGAATGCAACAAATGCAGGGGAAATACGAGAAGTTTGGAGTATGATATTTCTCACTCATGTTCAGCAAGAGAGATGAGTAAGTGATAGTGCTACTTGCATAGGCCCTGGGTATATCCAATGTTCATTCTTAGGGGGAAAAAAGGTTCAACATAAAATCCAAGACAAAAAAAAACACACGATTTTTTAAAGTGAGAGAGCCCTTTTAAATCATGAGTAGGAAATATTTTAATAATATAAACATTCACAGCAAGAGTTCATACAGCTTGTAATTTGAAAAGTCCGTAGGCATTTGCTAAATATCAGGTGGAACAATTTTCAACAAGGGAAATTATATGCAGTTGAAGAGTGTGTTGTTTGGATTATAATTAACTGGTAACTGTCAGGAGTGAAAATGGTACATCTGTGTTAAAAGAGGTAGGACAGTAATGTAAAAACAAGCATTTTTATTCCTGTTTATTGGGTAAAATATACCAAAGTAAGTTCAACTTTCCTGCTGAGGTTCAGTGGAGACATACATAGATTAGTAGTTTTTTAAAATATTGTTCAGCCATAAAATGGAATGAAGCACTGATCCATACAGCAACATGGATGAACCTTGAAAACATTACATTCAGTGAAGGAAGCCAGTCATAAAATACCATATACTGTATGACTGTATAGGAAATGCCAAGAATAGGCAAAATCCATAGAAACAGAAAGTAGATTCATGGTTGCCAGGGGTTGAGGGAAGGGGGAAATGGGGAGTTACTGCTAATGAGCCCCAGGTTTCTTTTTGTGATGATAGAAATGTTCTGGAGTTAGACAGTGGTGATGGTTGCACAATCTTGTGAATATACTAAAAGCCACTCAATTGTACACTTTAAAGTGGTGAATCTTATGGTATGTGAATTATATCTTAATTTTTAAAAGGACACATATTATATATGGTATGATATCGGCCCTCAAAAAATGTACAGCCTTTATACATTATGTAAAATATAGATTAAAAGGCTAAACACGGTGTAATGGTACAGAACAATAGTGTAAGTGTTGCCCCACGATGATAAAGTTGATGATGACGACTATGATGAAGATGAAACTAACCTTTATTGCCAGCCATGGTTCTAAGCATTTAACATGTTTAAATGTTTATTGGTCACCTCCCGCATGCCGGGTATATTCTGGGTTTATGTTTTACATCAGTGATTAAAACACACAAAGACTCCTACTCACAGTCTCACAGAAAGCAACTATGAACAATGGATATAATAAATAAGGACAGCAGAAGAGAAAGCCTATGGAAAAGGAAAAAGTAGAGCAGCTAAGAAGGATTAGACGTGCTGAGTTGCACGTTTCAATAGGGTGGTCAGTTTTAAACAATTTCTTGAAGAAGGTGAGGTGTTCGCCTGAGCATCTCTGGGATCAGCACAAAGGCACCAGCATGGAAGTGGCCCAGTGTGTTAGCTAGCTGGCAGGAACCCAGCACTGCTGGTGTGGTGCAAGGTGGAGGGCATAAGAGGAGCTGAAGGCCAAAAGGTGACATCTTCTCATGCTTCCATGATCTTAGCAATTAAATGTAGAATTCCTTGCCTAAAATAATTCTATTGTTCATTGTGTGCCAGGGGCTTCAGGCTTTGGAGATGTGAAGGATTTGGATAGACATAGAGGCTATTTCCTCACAGGGCTGAGTCATTGGAAGAAAGAGAAACGGGAATGGGCAGAGCATGCTTGGTGTGCAGAAAAAGACCAGCTAGGCAGCAGCAGAGGTTTTAGGTAGAAAAAGGGCAATGGCAGATGGGCTGTTGGGAACAGAGAGACCCTGAATGTTGGACAGGGAAATCCACTTGTGTCCCCTCTGCAGTGGCAAAGCACTGAGCATTTGTATCCACTGTCCTTGCTTGCTAGGGTTTCTACAAGAAAGTTCGTCTGGAAGCTCAGACTTGTGTCAAGAATGAGAAGGTAGAAACACAAAGCAATCAGATGACTTGGCTGTCTTCACATCACATTGAGAGTCAGAGCAGACGCAAGACCCCTGGGCTCTGGCCCTGGCTCAGACACTCTTCACCCACTTGCTCACAGATGAATGAGGCATACCTTGGGGCCCCAGATCAAATGATAACATTATAAGAACAACTGGAAATAGATAAGTCTTTAAAAATACAGAACATAATGTTTTTCCTGTGAAATATAGGGTTGCATTCAAAAACTGTTACCAGAGAATATTCTCCAGAGAAACCTACAGCTATTCAAAACTGCTCTACAATATAAGCTCTTGTTTAGTAAGAAATAAAAGCTATTTAATGAAAGGTCTATAAAAACGGATTTAATAACTTAATACATAATTATATGCTATAAAGTTCATGTGTTGAAAGGGTACACTTGAGTGGGTTTTAGTATATTTTTAATGTATTTACAAAGTTTGCCACCATCACCATAGTCTAGTTCTAGAACATTTTCATCACCTGAAAAGAAATCCCATACCCAGTAACAGTGAATTCCCATTCTCCTCCCCTTAGCACAAGACAACTACCAATCTATTTCCTGTGTCTATGGATTTGCTTATTTGGTACATTTCATAGAAATAGAGTCATACAACATATGGTTGGAAAATGTGTCTCTGAGAACCTCTACAAAAAGGTTTGTCGGTGTTAGCACTCTTGGCATTTGGGGCCAGATAATTATTTGCTGAGGGATGTTTAGCAGCATCCCTGGCCTCTACCTTCTAGGTGTTAGCAGCAACAACCCTCGCTCTTAAGTTGTGACTAACCAAAAGTGTCTCCGGACATCGCATATGTTTGATGGGGGAGTGAGGGGGCAAATTCGCCCCTAGTTGAAACCCACAGATTTACAGTTACCTAAGAACTGAGCTGGGTGTAGGGGTGTATAAAGTGAGGTGGGTGCCTGGACCCAGGGTGCTGTTGTGGAAAGACAACTATTTCAGGGTCTGTGAAGGTCCAAAGTTTGTACCCCAAGTTCCAAAACTCTGTGATTCATTTTAGCAAATAGGAAAGAGATGACTAGGGGCAAGAGGCACAACTGTTATTTAGATGAAGTTATTGTTCAAACAATAGCTGGTGGGGAAAAACACTCATTTTTTCGGTCACTAAAAAAGATAGAGGGTGATGGGTGCACCAAAATCTCACAAATCACCACTAAAGAACTTATTCATGTAACCAAATATCACCTGTTCCCCAAAAACCTATGGAAATAAAAAGACATTTTAAAAGATAGAAATTGTTATTTTAAAATAAAATTCAATAGTATATGCCAGTGGTCTTTACCTTCCTTATAAAGGACTGGAATCATGGTGTCAATAATTCAAAAAGTGTCTAAATTTGGATTTGGGCTGTTTTATGTTACAACAGTAAGAATTAATGGTTCTCAAAGAGCCTTACTTAAGTCAGCTTTAACATTACTCTGCAGACTATAAACACCCCTTGAGCAGCAAAAGGAAGCATGAAATTTGATTTATACCGTAGCTAACGAAAACAAGTGGGCAATCACAATTTGATCATACCCTACTAATCTAATTTAGTCTCAGGAATGGACTAAAAAGAGGAAGCTTGTGGACTTTAGAAATATGTACATTTCAGAAAATATAAGTGTGACCTCTTTTCTTTTCAGAATTGTGTAAGTGAAGGAAGCTGTCATCCTCCCTGGTAAATCCATTTGTAAATAAACGGGCTAAAGAAATCATGACTGTGGTCCTTTCTAGTTCTTAGGATCTGTCCTGCTCAGAGTGGGAATCACAAAGTGATTGAGGTAATAACTGGTATCTTTGTTGTTCTCAGTTTAAAGGAAGTGTTCTCTCAAACTGCCTTAGACTGCGCAGCCTTGACCCTCTAGGACTTGATGCCCTGTGTATGGCATTGTTATCAGATGCAAGTTAGTAAACCCAGATTGTGTTTACAAGTAGGTTGTCATTATACAGTGGCTTCTCTGTAAGTACAAAATGTATATTTCCTTTTTATTTATCATGGACTATAGCAATTACAGAATGTAGCTCTTGTTTTTATCAGGGATATTACTGAGGCCCTTAAACTCAAGCTGACTTACATTTATTTTAAAATACATGTTCCAAAGATGTTTTTAAAATTTTAAATATGCATATTTTTAAGATTTTCCCCTTTAACCTGTTCTCCCATCCTGACATTTAGGATGGGGAATAGACAGAACATCTGAGGGAGTTTGGGTCTCACAGATCGGCTGTAAAATTGAGTAAGAGCAAAATGTTTGGAAAAAAAAAAAAAAAACAATCTGTGTGGTTGTTCATCTGGAAAGATCTGTTCCCCACTCAGTAGCTTACAGAAGGCTCAACATGATATGGATCAGCTCGAATTCATTATCTGACCAAACAGCAACTCAGGAATCTTATGTCCTGTCCAAGGTGTGCTGTGGGACTCAATAATCTCTTTCCAGATCTATTATATCTACATAAAAATATGCATGAGAATCAGATAAACTAGTGGGCCTCAACCAGGAATGATTGTGCCCTTCAGGGTACATTTTATAATATTTGGAAGCATTTTTGGTTGTCACAATTGGAGGATACGGATGTTCCTGGCATCTAGTGGGTAGAGGCCAGAGATGCTGTTAAATATTCTACAATGCACAGGAAAGCCCCCCAAATAAAGAATTATCCAACCCCAAATGTCAGTAGCATTGAAGTTGGGAAATCTTGTTCAAGGAAATTCCCAGTGCCTCAGGTTGTCTTATGAGATGTGGAGCATGTCAATATCCACAGTTGCCAGTTGTGCCATATGGAATGCTGCAAGGAGAAAATATAGATACACATGAAAATGTGTTTTTGGGATTTGGGGAAATACATCTATGGATTTGATACTTTGGTGTTCCAAAGATGTGGCTATTTTTGCCCACAAGTGTTGCCCAAAACCCTGGGGCTATGTGGTGCCTTTTTCACAGAGCAAGTACATAAAGTACAGACTGTTAAACAGATCACTCACCTGCTATAAAATGTCAGTTAATAATGAGGTCCTATCATGGATATTAGTTGAATGATAAGTGCCACTTCTTTCCTCTTACATGTTTATTAGTGTCATCTAAAGCAATGGCTCTCAAAATGTGGTGGCTGGACCAGCAGCATTGGTATCACCTGGGAACTTGTTAGAAATGCACATTGTCAGCCCCCTCCCACACCTACTGAATCTGAAACTTTTGGGGTAGGGCCCAGCAATCTGTGTTATTTTAACAAGCTTCCCCATGATTCTGATGAACTTTAATGCTTAAATCGGAGAACTGTTGGGGACCACCAGCACCTGGGAGCTTGCTAGAAATCACATGACTAGGCCAGGACCTTGTTGAAAGGCAGATTCTCATTTAGTAGGCCTGAGAAAGGGATCAAGATTTGGGACTACAGATATGATAGCTTGGGTAAAAACTACAAAATTTCTCCTTTTTGAGCCTTCTATTTCCCTCTTCAAAAATTGGGAAGACATTGTATTGGTTCCCTGTTGCTGCTATAATAAATAATCACAAACTTAGTCGCTTAAAACAACACAAATTTATTATCTTACACTTCCAGAGGTCAGAAGTCTGAAATGGGTCTCACTGGGCTAAAATCATGGTACCTGGTGACTGTAGGGGAGAATCATTTTTCTTGACTTTTCCATTTTCTAGAGGCTGCCCACATTCCTTGGCTCATGTTTCCTTCCTCCATCTTCAAAGCCAGAAATGGCCTGGTGAGTCTTTCTCATATCACATCACTCTGACACTGACCCTTCTGCCTCCCTGTTCCACATTTAAGTTGCTCCTGTGATGATATTAGTCCCATATACATAATTCAGGACAATCTCCTTATTTTAACAGCATATGATTAGCAACATTAATCCCATCTGCAACTTTAACTCCTCTTTGCCAGGTAGCATAACATATTCACATATTCTTGAGATTTGGATGTGGACATATTTTGGGGGGCATTATTCTGCTTCCTACACAAATAATTTTACCTTTATTCTCCAGCAAAATTTGTGTCATAGAGAAAAATCTTGGAAGGAATCCAGTCAGGACCAATCTCCTACCAATTCAGAAATCTTCCTGCAAAATCCTCCAAACTTGGCCATGTGATACTAGCTTCTCAGCTAGACTGTAAGCTGTATCCTACAGAAGACCCTATCTTATAGTTATTCTCCATCTCCTCAGTGCCTAGAAGAGAATTTAGCTCATAATAGATACTTAGAAAACATTCTTTGATTGGTACACTGCTTTCAGGCACATAGAGCACGATATGACTATATAGACTGTGGAATCTTGACTTTGTGAAACTGAGGGATTGATGCTGAATCTCTGTCAAGCCTTATTACCCTCCTGTGTAAAATGGGGATAATATTACATTCTGTATAGGATTGTTGTTGGAATCAAATGAAATGTTGTAAATAGAGCACATGGAGATATAGATATAATTTACATGAAACGTCTGAAACCATAACATGGTAGAATACTACCTTGTGATAATTTGCTAACAAAACTGCACAAGATAAGGACAGGTGGTATTGAGTCTCTTTACATAATGCTTACTGAAGTGTCGCCTCTGGCTTCATTTATAACATCAATTTAGAAGCAGTGTTTCTCAACATAGACTATATTTTTGAACCATTCGTGTAGCTTTTAAATAATATTTTTGCCTGGGTTCCATTCTACCTAGTTTCTGATTTACTTGGTCTAAGCATTGGCTCCAACTCTTGCTATGTTTTTGAATCCCCTGGGGAAGCTTTTATAAATATCGATGGCCAGGTGCCACCTCCAGAAATTCTGTTTCGATCAAATATAATGTGTAGCCATGGTTGAGATCCATTGAACACAACTTATTCTACCTTATAAATTGTTACATCTGCCAGACCTTTACTGTATATGAGAAGTTGTAGTTTTATCAACTTTGCCTGAATCAGTGGATGTTTTTCTAATTTCCATTCAATGTCATTGGTGGAATTAAGAACACTCAACATAATGACATTTGCAATTATAAAGGTGGTATCACATCCCCAGAGTTTTAGCAGGATGGCAGAACCACAGTGAGCACTCAGAAAACGTTTGCTAATGATGGGCCAAAAAAAAGTGTCTTTTATGGTCTCTTGATTTATTCAGGAATATTGCATTGCAGTTGAGTCTCTCACAGAGTCCACTTGAGGCTGCTAACATGTTGATTTAATGAATGGGTGCATTTCATGAACCACCCATCCGAGTGAATTACTTTGGGTGTAGCTGTTTTGATTTTTCCTTCCTCTGAGTATATGGTTTTGTTAATTTAAACAAATTCAGTTGTTTTACCATTTTGTAGACACATTCTTTGTGTGGCCAAGAATCTTGTTTGTGGTGGCCACACCACAACTGGATTTGAATGTAGAGCAACCCAGCAAAGAAGTGCTAATTTGAAGCAATTGTTAACATTGCCAGCAACAAACCAAAGTGACCTCCATCAATGGGTTCAGTTAGCAACCCTGAAGGCAAGACACTCTGTTTATTCCATTATCGTTTCCTTCATCTATCAGAAACCCTAATCTTCATGGATGATGAAATAATAACAATCTCAAACTTAAGATATATTTTGTTCATCTTAATTTTCTAAATGTCCTTTTTTCCCCTCAGTACAAACATAATACATGTAAATAAATTCCAACACTATAAAAATTCATTAGGCAGTGTCAAAGTCCCACAAATCCCATCCTCCAGTGATGGCCACTAATAACCATTTGAGAATATATAACCCCAGATCTCCCTGTTAAATTATAATAAACATTTATGTCCATAACTTGTGTTCTGCAACTTCTTTGTTTAACTTTACATATAGTGGATATCTTTCCAAATTTATTCAGAGAGAACTACTCCACTTTTTTTCATGACTGCCCAGAATTCCACTGAATAGATACCCCGTAGTTTAGTTAGCCAGTTGCTCACTGATGGACACTTAGGTTTTTTATGTTTCTTTAAACATATATGCATATAACTAATATATAATAAAATTAATTATATATAAGTATTAATATATATATTTTGGTAGATTATAATACACATGTAGAGAAGTGCACATAAGTTTACAACTTAATGAATTTCTGCAAAGTGAACACACCTGTGCCAGATGGAGAACCATCCCTGACCAGCACCTCACAGGGATCCCTTGGACTCCCTTCCAGTCACTTCTCCCCAAAGGTAACCCCTATTCTGTATTTTTGTAGCATATATTGGTTTTATCTGGTTTTATAGATTACATTACTGGTATCCTACAGCATGTTATTTTTTATGTCAGACTTCTTTCGCTCAACGTGATGTCTCTGGGATTCATCTGTATTGTTGTAGGTGGTTGGAGTTTGTTTTTTCATTCCCATTACTGCATAGTTTTCCATTATGTGATATACCACAATTTATTCAGTCTACTTTCACGAACATTTGGATAATTTACAGTTCGGGGCTGTTTTGAATAATGCTGCTATGAACATTCTAGCACACATATTTTGGTGAACATATGCTCACATTTCCGTTGTTTTTATTGGTGACTGGGTTTTTTTGCTATCAGATATTGTACTGAAGTGAATGTCTTTGCAAATGTATCTTGCACATTTTGCAAGTATTGCTATAAAGTAGATATTAGAATTGCTGGGTCAAATGGTATTCACAGAACTGCTCCGAAAAAAATTTTGATTTTTTTTTTTTTTTTTTTTGAGACAAGGTCTTGCTCTGTCGCCCAGGCTGGAGTGCAGTGGTACAATCATGTCTTGACTGCAGCCTCGAAATCCTGGACTCAAGCAGTCCTCCCATCTCAGCCTCCCAAAGTGCTGGGATTCCAGATGTGAGCCACCATGCCTGGCCTAAATATTTTGACTTTTAAGCTAGGTCTGGACCTCAAGTAACCTATTGTGGATACACCCCTTTGCTATTACCATTATCTGTGACACAGACGCTGCTATTGTGTCTTCCTGACTACAAGGCAAGACTAACAAAAACCAGAATCTTCTGGCTCTTTTCAGTCACGCTCTAGTGAGCTAGTGCCTCTTTCATGTATCCACTGAGGGACAAAAAGATAAAATGACCTAGTGTCCCAGGATGCCAGCTTAAACTTTTGAGTACATTGATGCTATGATAATATACACCAAATGGACTCTGTGGCTCTAAGTACCATCCACTCCAGATTGAGATAACCTCCTTTCCCAAGTAGAGAAAGAAGATTCTAACCTGGAGGTGAGAGCCATTTGCATGTCTTACCAAAAAATGTCCCATTCAGAATGAGCTGACATTGGGAGACATTAGGTTAGAGCAGTGTTTCCCAACCTTGGAACTGTTGACATTTAGGGTGGGATCATTCTTTGCTGTGGGGGCCGTTCTGTGCACTGTAGGATGTTGAGAAGCATCCCTGGACTCCACCCATCACAACTGGCACTTTCCTCCTCAGTTGTGACAACCAAAAATGTCTCCAGGCAATGGCAAATGTCCCTTGAGGGGCAGAATCACCCCAGTAGAGGACTACTAAGCTAGTGCTTATAGAAGACCCCAGCTCTAAATCAGATTATGTTCAGATTCTGGCTCAGCCACTTTTTATGTGACCTAGGACAAAGTACCTAAGTTCTCTGCCTCATTTGGCTCATCTGTTAAATATAGATATTAATAGTAATATTTACCTCAATTGGTTGTTGTTGAGATTAAATGAGATTATTAATGTGATGCACTTGGCATAGTCTTTGGCAAAAAAATAAGTGTCGAAAGTTGTTAGGTTTATTAGTCATAATCTTTATTATTATTAAAAAAAAATGGAGGGGTGGAAGAAGGGGTCCCATTGTGTATCCTGGAAAAAGGATGAGGATAATGCATATCTGAAAAAACATCAAAGGACAAGGGGCTCATAACTCTTGGAACACAGGCAATGGGAAATGGAAATGTGGAGAAAACATTAAGTGCTATGATGGAAGACAATGGCATTTGGTTGTCTCTCTCTGTTCCTTCTCAAGTTAACATTTGGAAACTAGAATTTGTGGAAAATAGACTTTGGCAGCAGAATTAGGCATTTTTAGGAACAGGATAAATCACTGTGGGGAAATATTTTATTGTATTACTCTTGTTAATATGAAGTTATTAAACTTTCAATAGTGTGTTGAATGCTTTTATCTTAAATAATAAAATATATTCAGTGCTAAAGCAGCTGTATTGTTTTTGATATTATTAAGTAGAAAAATTTATCTGTTAGGAGCTTTGTTGGGTTGATTTTCACCTGATACCCTCTTCTCCCACCAAAGATCTAACTTTCATAAATTCTGGCAATAGAAAAACAAGTCATCATGTTAAGCTAGGTCTGAACCTTAAGAAACACACTGTGGCTGCATCCCTTTGTTATTGCCATTATCTGTGATGCAGATACAGCAAGACAGAGTGGCATCCTGGACGGGACTCCAGATGGAGAGTATGAGTCCAGGGTTATGTCTTTGTGTTGCCAAGCTGCACCTTGGCTTGTCACTTCTTCCCATTGTGCCTCAGGTTCTGAGCAGATGGAATTAGTTTAGCATGTCCCAACTATATTCTGGGGAATTCGAGTGATATGGAGAGATGGTCTGAAAATTAAAAAAAAATAAAAAATAGAAGGAGGTGAGATTATAGCAAGTGTATTTAGGAGGTACTCCGAGTTATGATTTCCCCTCTGCAGGACTTCTCTATTATTCTTATTGTTTATTGTGACTACTTAAGTTGAAGCTACCATGCACAACTTTTTCAAATATATTTGATTATGGAACAGCTTGGAAAATCCTGCATTAAATAATGTATGTGTCCCTTGCAGGCATAAAAATATTCTGATTTCTTTTGAATTAATCTGTCATCATGGCTGTGACAAATTACCATAAATTTAGTGCCATGAAACAATACACATTTATTATCTTAAAGTGCTGTAGGTTAGAAATCTGACACAGGTTGCACTGGACAAAAATCAAGGTGTTGACAGAGCTGCATTTCTTCTGGAGGCTCTAAAACCACCCACACTCCTTAGCTCATGGCCCCCTTCCTCCAGCTTCAAGGCCAGCAATATTACATCTCTTAGATCATTATTCTATAGTCACATCTTCCTCAAACTCTGAATTCTGCTGAAAGGGGTTGTCCTATTTTAAGGGCCTGTGTGGTTACGTTGGGCCCACCTGGATAATCTAGACTTCTGTCCCCCTCTCAAGGTTATTAACTTAATCATATGGGCAAAGTCCCTTTTGCCATGTAAGGTAACACATTCCCAGGTTCCAGAAATCAGGGTGTGGAAACCTTAGGGGTGAGAGATATTATTCTGCACTACCTATCCTAGTGGCTTCTTCCATTTCTCAACCCTGGAGGGTGTGGGGTCGTGTTCTGTAGAGCCAGGAAGAAGTTCAGCATTTGTTCATCTGCTTTTGACCCTAGCAACTCATGAAATGTGCAATGACTATCTTGTAAGGGGTATTAAATTCTTCTGGCTTTTCCTCACCCAGTAAGCAATAAAATCAAAGAGGACAAGAGTAATTAAAGCAAGCCTATTGATCTATTTTGTGTAGCATTCTTTTTAGCTTCTCTTCTGATATAGGCAAGAATATCTCCCTGAAAGGAACTAAACTCTGAACTGTACTTTAACAAGTAAAATTGCCATGCTGGATATCAACAATTAGTCTTTAGAGTTAAAATATAAACATAAATGATTAAATTAGTTAATCTACTCTTTGTGGTATAGCCATTACAGGGCTAATTTTTTTTTAAAAAAAAAAAGAATACTAGAAACCTCTAAATTTTTCAAGACACTCATATTCATCAGACTGTAAAAAGCAAAAGAAACTGAAGGATTGTGTTCCTTATCACAGCTTGGAAAAAGCTCTGATGGCTGATCTATATGAAGTGGAAACATTGCATGAGTTTTCTTGTAATTGTTGATATCTCATGTGAATGGAATGAGGCGGAAAACAAGTTTTGCACTAAAATAAGTGTTTGAATCTTGCTATTTGGAGTCATGTTGTCTACGTTTTTTTTTTTTGTTTTTGGCTACATAGTTACCATATGATCCAGCAATTCCACTTCTAGTTATATACCCAAAATCATTGAAAACCTACGTTCACACAAAGTGTGTATGAATATTCACAGCAGCTTTATTCATACCAGTCAAAATGTGGAAAGAACCCAAATGCCCATCAACTGAAGAATGGACAAGCAAAATTTAGTATATCTATACAGTGAATATTATCCTGCCATAAGAATGAATGAAGTAATGACACATGCTACAACGTGGATGAACTCCAAAAACATGCTAAGTGAAAGAAACCAGACACAAAAAGCCCACATATTATATGATTCTACTTTTATATTAAATGTCAAAAACATGCAAAACCATAGAGACAGAAAGTAGATTAGTGGTTCCCAGGGGCTGGGGTGAGAGGGGAATGGGGAGTGACTGGGTATGGGCTTTCCTTTTGGTGTGATGAAAATGTTTTGGAATCAGTGATGATGGTTGTACACTATCTATGAGTATACTAAAAAGAAACACAGAACTATACACTTTAAAGTGGTAACTTTTATGGCATATGATTTTTATGTCCAAGCTCTTCTATTATTTTACTATAATTTATTTTTGAAAATGTAAATTTCAATATGCTTCATTGCTCAGAGAAAGCATGATTTTCTATACATCAGAGCAAAAGTATTTACACAGGTCTGTGAAATACTGTGTAATTTATCATTTTAAAAGTCGTATATTGAGGAGAAAACATTTTTGAAAAATAAATCTGAAAAGTGGCAGCTAGAAAATCAGATGTGAACCAGTAAGTGCAGATGGCTTGTTTTCACGTCATACCTGCATTTGGTGTCATACTTCATGTTGGTTTCTCCCTTTTCAATTTTCCCTTTTACATGTTTGTCTCTTAATACTAAAAGTCAGGAAGCAAGATTTTCTTTTTTTTGCATTTTTACTGGAAGTGATTTTAGCTACTTTAAAATAAATGTCCTAAATATAAATATTCCCTGCTGGTCTTGTTTCCATGCTAATAGACAGAAATGATTTTCTGTATAGACAGAATTGCTACTCTCCTTCAAATTTTCTTTCAACCAGCAAATATACAAAAGCACAAAATGTTAGTGCTGTTTCTATTCTTCCAGAACCTACAGTCTAGCCAGGGAGAAAAGGCACAAATATAGATAATCAAATAGCTTTCCAATGTTTAAATAAGAGTCAAGAAAATAGCTGAGATGGGGCAGGGTCGGGGGGAGATGAGTGTGATGGTTACATAGGAGGGACGTATCGGTGACGTTAGAGTTTTCTGGAAAAATAGCTGACATTTAAACATTCCCACCCCTCCTCTTTCCTCCCTCAATGAGACATCACAAGTGATTGTCTAGACATCTCAAGTGTCTAGGTCATTTGGAACCTTGAAAGAAGCAGATTCGCCTTCTTTAACAAACATAAGGTGAATTTCCTTTGGTCATGTTTTGGTGTTCCTTATAGGTCCATAGTAAACTTGTTTGTGTTTTAGATGGTATGATTTTCTTGTTAATGTGATGATTCATTTGTAATGTCCCTGTAGGGGGACGACAGGGCTTCTCAGAGGAGGTGATGCTCAGTAAGCATTACAGGGTGAGTAGGAAGGCATGGGGAAGCCATTTGGGCTGAGAGCACCCCTCACCCTAACCATGAAGTCCTCTGGGCTCTTCCATGTGGCTGAAATTAAGGGATGTGAAGTAAGTGAGGCTTGGTGAAGCCCAAGAGCTAAGCAGTGGCCAGATCTTGAGCGATCTTGTGTTTTCACCTCAGAGTTGAGAACTTCATCTGGAAAGCTAGGAGCCTCAATGATGGCTTTCAAAAGGGAAGGGACAAGATGAGTTTTGCTTTGTAGGGAGAGACAGCCTACAAGAGTGTGGAAGTGCTGGTGGACATTCCCAGAGAGGAAGTGTTAAAGGAAAGGACAGTTTTTAATGAGGTGGGATCCACAGAAACTGGTGACTTTCTGAGTGTGAGTAGGAGAGACATAGGAAGCAATGTTAAAAATGATTTTGCTTCAGTTTTCCTGGGTCACTGCAGGGAACCCATACTGATGTATTTGAACCACAGAATCATTGCCCCTAATTTTATTGTGTGTATTTTCAAATAATTGGTTTACTTAAAGCAAGATGCATTTGCATACGTACCCTTTACCCACTGTGTATTATCACATACCTATTATAAATATTTGTCTATATAAGATAGAAATATGTCACATATATAATTCATCATATAATAAATATATAATAGTCAAGAGATACATATAGATACACATAGATGTAGAGATAGTTAAATCTATTTAATATGGAGACAAATCTATAATGTTTGTAGTTTTTAATTACAAGTTTCTCAGGCCGGCCATAGTGGATTTGATAGGCATCACTCTAGTATGAATGTCTTTTCTTTCGAGAATACTTGGAAGAAATGCTGATTCCTAATAAGTAGCTCATACCAAATACTAAAGTCCATGCTACTGATTTCACTTTTTCTCCCTGAGCTTTTTCTCATTATGTGCGTAAAAGAAAATTAGACATTGAGTGATCTCTGTGGACCCATCTGCTCATACATACAGAGATGTCACAAACATAGTTTTAAAAACATGTGGTTCCTGGACACAGGAAGGGGAGCAACACACACTGGGTCCTGTCCGGTGGTGGGGTTGGGGGAGGGAGAGCATCAGGATAAATAGCTAATACATGCTGGGCTTAATACCTAGGTGATGGGTTGATAGGTACAGCAAACCACCATGTCACATGTTTACCTATGTAACAAACCTGCACATCCTGCACATGTACCCTGGAACTTAAAATTAATTAAAAAAAGAAACAGAAAAAAAATGTGGTTCCTTTGCTGTTTGAAATAGTGAAATGCTCCACCATGAAATGTGAACATTGTCATCCCCTATGTCATATATCTGGTGATTTCTTTTCAGTGGGTCCAGATCTGGGGTCGGCAAACTTTTTCTGTAAAGAATCAGATAGAAAACATTTTAGGTGTTGCGGATCATACTGTCTGTGTTGCAACTACTCAACTTTGCTGTTGTATCGGAAAAGCAGCCACAGACAATAGGTAAATGAGTGGGTGTGGTTGTTTTCCAATAAAATTTGATTACAAAAATAGGCCTTAGGCTGTCCTTTGCTGACCCTGCTTTAAGTCAACAGTTGCCACCTCAAGGTCAAGGCATGCCTCAGTCAATGTGTTAGAAGTAATTTATTACCTATAATAATTAAGTTACAAACTTTAGAATATTTGTAAGAAAACTAAATGAGAGAGAATTAGAGATGAGCCTAGAACCACCTCATACAGTTATTTTGATGAATTTTCTTGAGTAGGAGAGCAAGGTGCAGAAAAGTAGCATAGGATAGTGGTTAAGACCACAAACTCAGGACTAAGGTCCCTGAGTTTGAATTTCAGCCATGCCACTTGCAATATGTGTCCTGGGACAAGTTACTTGACTGCCCTGTGCTTTGATTTCTTCATCTATAAAATGGGCATATTAATAAACCTCACATTTTAAGATTGTTTAATGATTAAAACCATGAGTACACCATAAGGGACTGGAATAATAATGGGTACACACTATATGTACAAGAGATGATAGTCATTCCCCACATATCTAAATCTTTTGGATTTAGATCCAGGACATAGCTCTCAGCTTATTTTATCTGTGCTGTGAGTCACTGATGAATAATCCTTACTGTGCACCACTAATTAGTAGTTGTGGTGACTACAAATTTTTATGTTGCTAATGGGTTGTAATTTTGTAGTTTCTGAGGTTAAAAAAAAAATCTACCCATAGATGGATACTTAACAAGAAAGAAGCAGCAAAACTCTGTGTAGAAAATGTGAACGTGCACAAATCAGTAATGCCCATGAGTGAAAATGACATGGGAACATGTTGTTAGGGTACAACAGTTAAAATTACCAAAAGGTCAACAAAGCGATTATGTACTTGAACATTGGACATCATGTTCTTTATGTTCATATCACTGAATTCTGGAATTCTGAGTCTACTGGTTTTTTTTTTTTACAAATGAAATAAAATGTAGCTATGTTTACAGCATACCCTTCCTTGTCCATCCTATTAATATTAACTGGTGGCATGGAAGTCAAGAAAAATGACTCATTAAAATAAAAATTTTTAATAATTTTTAAAAATCAGATTACCATATAATTGATTTTTTTGTAACTGTTTTCAAAATGGTCTTCATATTGCCACGTTAATTTATCAAATACTTGGAACATGCTTTTAGGGATTTCATGACTTTCTCCTTCAAAAGTTGGCCCCGCTATTTGCTTTATTTACCAAAAAAAAAGGGTGAGGTTTGGGGAGGGGTGTAGGGAAAAAGCAATCAAAACCTGGGTCTATCAGCGCATGTGACACGTTCATTTATCATAAGTGTTACATGCATAGCTCTCTCCTCCCTACAGGACTATTTTATCTCCACTTTACAGAGCAGGTAATTGAGGCTTAAAAGCGTTGGATACTCACATGGCTAGTTATATGCTGAACTTGAATTCAAACACAGGCAGCCAGAAGGAGAGTCCTCCCTGTAACCACTGTGCTATAACACTGCATCCCATTTGAATGAAACAGTGGCAAAATGAACAGATAAGATGAAAGCTGCTTAACTGTGCTACTGTTCAAAATATTCCCCATCACATCTATGGCAGAGCTCATGGAAAGTGACATCTGGATCAAGCCTGTGCACGTGAAAAACAATTTTAAATTATGGATGTATGTGCTTGGAGACTTAATCTCTTAATTGGTAGCATTGTTAAGTTTTCTTTCTGCTGTCAATGGAAGAGAAAGGAAAAAAAGAATCTGAGCTTTGAGATGAGGGCACGTTATGCTCTCGGTGTGGGAGAAATCTGGCAGAATCAGTCAATGAAGGAATATATGGAGAGTGCAGTCATCACATGAGTATGTGGAAGGGTGCAAGAAATGAGGAGTGGAGGCAGGAGGGAGGGAAGCAAAGGTACATGACAAATTCTTAGTGGAATTTGGAGAAAAGTTATGGATCCTGGAAAAAGTTCAAGGAATTTGTCTTCCCTGATAGTTTCATTAAGCTCTGGCCATTACAATGGTTCTCAACCTGGACTGCACCTTAGAATTTTGGGGAAAGCTTTATAAATATATCATTGTCTGAGCCCCAACCCCAGACAGTCTAATTGACTTGGTCTATACCTGTGCTGTCCAATACAGTAGCCACTATCCACCTGTGGTAATTTAAATTTGAATCAATTAACATTAAATACAATTACCAATTCAATATTCAGTTTCTCTGGCCATATCTCAAGTGCTCATTAGCCACGGGTGGCTAGTAGCCACCTTAGCAATTAGTACTGTTAACAAAAATGTCCATTGTTATAGAAAAGTCTATTGGACCATGCTGTTCTTGGGGAGAGGGACATGGTCATAAAAATTTTTGAAAACTACAGCAAGTAATTATAATGTGCAATGAACTTAGAGAACTGTTGGTCCTTGGAGAATACATTTGTTCTAAAATGTATCACCACTTGTATCTGAGGTCATTTTGCTTTGGAAGATGATTCTGAAAATATCATTAATGCTAGACTTTTTCTGCAGCCTAGAAATGTAGCCGCATATATTTTTATTTAAAGCAGCTTGCTTGCTCATTTACTCTACAAGATTTAGATGAGTTAACTACCAGACTGCAACTAAAAATGAATAACTTGCTTTTCCCCACTTAGAATGAAGTGGTACAACAATTCATGTAGATTTTGAATTACTTATTAAAAGAGTTTAATAGGATAAATTATCTTACAGTAAAACCGAGAGGCTCATTGTCCACAGCTCACATTTTAGGCAACAGATTAGAAGCAACGTCTATATATTTGATGATATCCAAAATTAATTTATTAACTTAATATGTTTATGAAGTCGCATGTAATTTTGAGGAAATTGTTTTCCTTTCTCATTAGAGAAGAACCCCACTGAGAAGAGACTTTTGCAAAGTGCCAAAGTGCAATTGATGAAACACAATGTCACCAAATATAGCATTGAAATGAGAAAGTGGAAAGGAATTCACTTTGGCATTTTTTATTTTGCCTAGTTTGTTTGGCCTAAGAGTTTTCAAGCTCCTAAATACGATATTCTTCTATCCTTAAGGCTTGTTTTATATCCTGCTGATTTGTAAATATCTGACTTGGGATTGGGTTCTTCAGTTTGAGGTGACAGTACTTCAGCATCCCTGTATCTTTTAGGTAATCTTGCTCTGAAATCCATTCCATGTTTAATGAGCAGTGAATATACCCATAACAGAATAAATGACCTGCCCTACAAAGAGTTCACATGACATCTTACCTAGAATGAGTGCCCTCTTATCTGAGTTTCCTTCTTATTTCAAGAAACCTGAAGCATCCAACCTTATAACTCAGCGTTCCTCACTACATGAGTAGAAGGAGCAGCTACAAAATAAGTACCATTCTCTGCAGTGTGGTAGAACCAGCGATATACAGATTTCTCCATAAGAATCAAGATAAAATGCTTTTCTCTAGGTCAACCCTCCTGGGCACCTAAAATGAGATGCAAATTTCACACTCTGTACTCAAAGGTATTTCTCCAGCTATAATCTTGGGCTTAATTTTCTGGGGATCCATATTTATTGGAAAAAGAGAGGGACTCTCATAAAGAAAGAATTCCTAGAGTCAGCTTGTTTTATTGCTGCCTAGACTCGCTTCTTATCAGTTCATTCCACAGGTAGAGCCTCCGTTTACCGGTTACATTGTAGACTCAGTTTGCTTCCTCTCTTTATCCCCTTCCTATCAGTTCTGCACCACTCGGCCTCATTCATCTTTCCTAAAACATCTCTTTCATGGTGTTACACCCCTACCTAAAACTGAGAGTGGCTAGTTCTACTTGTAAAGGATCTGGCATCCAGGAGGTTTTCTAACATGGCTGTTCCTTTTTTCTTTAAATGAAATACCTGTCCCTCTCCTTATTCCTGGAGGTCATTGCCCCATCTATTGGCTTTCTTTTCTCTGTTTCATCCTGGTGCCCTGCCTCTGTTTCTGCATATTTCTGTGTCTCAATTCCACAGGGCTTTGAGCCCTGAGCTGTCATCTATGTATTTACCAAAATTCTCCCAGTTGCAGAGAGGCCTTCCAGTCTCTGTTGGATGCTCTGTGTCATACTTACTTTGTTTATAGGTCTTCCAAGGAAGTGAATAAAGAAAAGGTTGCTGGCATGCTGTGATATTGCCTAGGGGTTAAAATTATTGCATTTGAAAACAGACTGCCTGGGTTTGAGTGCCAACTCTTTACTTGCCAGTTGTGTGACTTCTGGCAAGCTCTTTACGCTTTACGCTCTCTTTGTTTCAACTTTCTTATCTGCAAAATAGAGATAATTCTAGTGCCTGCCTCCTAGAGGATAGCGTATTCATGGAGACAATAAGTACTCAGTAAATTTTAGTTGTTCTTTATTGTGGTTTTGACTGTTTCAGATTCATGGTCTTAAATAGCTTTCCAGTTACTAGATTTGCTTTGATGGTAGAGTTTAGATCTGAAGGATCCAAAACATTCTCTCCGTGCAAATAGGTCACAGTAGCATCAGAAGGACGCTAGCAATTAGACCAAGGTCAGGGTGCTAGGAATGGGGAAAGGACGGACAGCTACAGTTAAGGAAGCAAATGGCAGCAATGAGAGAATATACATTGGCTTATCACCTAGCCCCTGGAAGTTCTGAGCAATACAAAGATAGAGTCTGATGGTTAAACTGATGGTACCACATTTTCACTGAGCACTGTAAGGCAGCAGATGAACTAAAATGTCTCTCACAATTTGCATTTTTATATATAGTCTTAAAAAATATTAAGACCTTACATGCGAACTCTATGCTACACTCAAAAAAGGTTACCAGGACCAATGGAAGGTTTATCAGTAATGAATATAATCTAAATGAAATTTCACTGTGCCATTTTATGAGTCAGTCATGATTTTGAAAGATAAAAGCATTACCTATTTCTAACCATTGGCTATATATTATTCAAAATCTGAAGGATGTCATTAGAAATATATTTGTCTTCTTTTATATTAAAGACTTTCTACATGCTCAGCAAAACAATATATAAAGAGCAATTTTTACTTTACCATCCAGTTGATCAACTACTCTGTTTCCAAGTGAGAATGTAGGAAGGGACGAAATGAGTCATGATGTCGTTCAGTGGGGAGAAGTATAGGAGGAGTTTCAAGCGCAAGGGCTCCAGATCAGGCTGCTTAGATTTATTATCTGTGTTCATATGGGAAGTTCAGGAAAGTGAGGTCAGCTGCTATATCAGATACATCCCCAAATTTCACAACATAAGTCTATTTGTCATTCATACTGTTAGATTGGCCACAATTGGTGGGACAGCTGTGCTCCAAGCAATGATTCTGAACCTGGGCTGCTTCTTCCTTTCATTCAGCTGGAGGTAGGGTGGGCTGGATTTAGGTTGAGACATTGGGGCAACTAAACCTTTCACGCTGGCTATATTGCCTCTCCACGTGGTCTCTTCAACATAGTGGCTACACCTATGTCATGGGGGCTCAAGGGTCCTATGAATGCAAAAGCAGAAGTTTCCATGCCTTCTTATGTCTCAGGTCCAGAATGGGCTTGGCATCCCCTTCTGCCACATTCAGTTGGTTAAAGTAACTCATAGAGCCAGGCGGGCTTGAAGGGCAGGGGACTACACTAGGCAAAGAACACTGAAAAATGTGGTCCACTCCTGGGACTACCACACATGGCTATGCAGGTTGCCTGGATGCTGTCTCCAGGTTTTTATGGACTGGGGCTAGAAATGAAGCTTGTCACTTCCTCTGACATTCCATTAGCTAGACTCCAGTCATATGACCACTATTAACTGCAAGAGAGGCTGGGAAATGTAGACTAGCTGAATGCCCACGAAAAAGGGGCTACGGGCTTCATGAGCAGTCAGTGTTTTCCTCACTGTGCGCCATCCATTTCTGTGCCTCCATCACTTCCTCTATAAAATGAAATTGTTGGAGGCAGTGAATACATGGCACACATGAAGTGCTTAGCACCTAATACATGCTCAGTAAACTTCTACTGTTATCATTCACTATTATGTAGTGGCTATTTGATTTTATTCCATCTAAGTAAAAGCACACCGCACTGGATACCAGGCTAAGGAATTTGGACTTTGTCCTGGAGCTAAGGAGGAGACATCAAAGGGTTTTAGGCAAAAGAGTACTGTAATCAGAAATGTATTCACTCAAAAAGTTTGACAGTGATTCTATGATATTTTTGCCTTAAATGTGCAAAATATCACCAGTGATATAAACAGAAATAATCCAGAATAAGAGCCAAGAAGAAGGTGGAATGAATGCTTAATGGCATAGATTCTTAGGCTATAAATTGTTTCTTGGTATGCTTAGATATGGAGGGTTAAATGGGAAAAAAATGACCATTGTGCTCTCAGCACTTTTTGTGATTAGCGAAACTCTTCCACAGATGGAACCTTTTAGTTGCTTCCTGATATTTATTTCCAAGGCTCTTTCAGTGACTCTTTGGTCTCTTATTGGTTTTACTTAAAGAGTTGTTATTTAAATCTTAAAAAGGATTCCTTATCTTTATGTTTTGTTTTTCTGGTTTGAATGCATTTTCCAAAGAATACCAAATATACACACCTTCTCCATTATTTCTGCACTTCCTCTTAAGGCCTGCCTTGCTTCCACTCTTAAAACAGACTAGGAATTTCACAAGATGTTGTCTCTCGGGATTATTTGAGATTATTCACTTAGTCACCTTCTTACGAAACATTTATTGACCTGACAGTGTATGTCTCCATCAAATAATTGATTTAACAGACCACTCTAGTGTTAGGTAAACATTCTTATTTCATCACTGTCTCTTCCTTATTAGATACTTATAACATGGCTCCTACTAGTACTGACTCTGAACTGTGGTTTTGTCTTCCAGTTAATTTGTAAGCTCATAGTGGTTGGGATGACAGCCGCATTACTTATGAGCTGTGAATCTTTGAGCAAGTCACTTAACTCCTCTGCGCTTCTGTTTCCTCATCTGTAATATGAGGATAATAATGTAACCTACTGCTAAGAATTATTTTGATGGTTAGATAAGTCAGTGCCCATAAAATGCCTAAAACAATGCCTGACACTTAGTAAGTGCTCAGTCAGAACTACATGTTGCTGTCATCTATTTATAAACTAAAGGATCATTTGCCTAATAATAAAAAATGAATTACATATTTATCAATTTCATGTGAAATAATATATTAAGATATTAGATATATTGATATTAAGATATTAGATATCTTTAAATGAGGATGTAACTTCCATTGATGAGTATCCAGTATGAGCCATGTTGACTGTCTACTGGAATAATGCGTATTTTCAACATCAGTTTTTAGGATAGTGGTGGTGGAGGTATGTGCAGTAACAGGTAGATTTTACTCTGAATCTCTGTTTAAGTTTAATCATTCTAGTAAAGAAAACCACCTGGAATATTTTACTGCTTTAAAATTCCTTCCTTAGCAGCAGCAGCAGCAGAGGCTATGTGTGGCTTACATGATTAGTTTCACAGAATCCTAGTAAAAGCATACCGAGTCCTTAATTTTGAATCAGTAAGATCTTCCATGAAATCATTTCCCGGTTTGTAAATTATAATCACAGTGATTCTTTTGTTGGAATTCACTTGAGACCCATGAGAGAACTATAACTTCCTATTGACTGGGAAACAAAGATGTCTTTTCGAGTTGTATTTGGTTCAGTGCCATGTGGAATGCATGGAGATCAAGGTAATTCGCGATTGGAATTAATCTTCCCTTTTCTCTCTGCTCTTCATGGATGCCACCCCCAACCCCCACCCCAACCTGAACCCTCTTAGATATGGCCATGTGGGTATATTCACTCTGACCTCCACACCCTCTGTTCAGGAAATGAACAACTTCTCAAGGACTGCTGTCCCACAAAGAGGATAAAATACAGAGCATGTGTTATGCTTCAGTGTGAAAGAGAATGAAAACTTTTGCTTTTTAGTGTGTGTGGCTAGTGTTAGAAAAATGGAGTCAGTAGTTTTAAAATATAATTTAAGAACTGAGAATTTGTCCTAAACAAAGAAGGCATCCTATGTGCTTTATCTTGCTCTCAGGGGTTTCACCAGTGGCTTCCAACATTCTTTGGTTGATTCCTAATAAGGACAGTTTGCACAGTTACAATCCAATTACCGTTTGTAGATCCCTGTGGAAAAGAGGATTTTTTTTAGAGGAATCCTTTTCTAACTCGAGTATATTTCTTCAAAATACTCTCATTCTTTTTGTCCCTTCCCTCCCCTCTTTCCTCCTCCCCAACTCTCTCTCTCTCTCACCCTCTCTCTCTCTCTCTCTCTCTCACACACACACACACACACACACACACACACACACACACAGGCACACACGCATACAAACACACGCACTCACTCATTTGTGCACTTACTCAGGGACACAGCCTGCCTCTGTTCTGAAAGGACAGGAACTTCTCAATGATCCGATGAAAAGATTGCATATTTTTGGTCCCAAGATTCACAGTAGCGGAGGTCTCTGGCAACAAAAGGTATCGTGGGAGTCACAGCTATGCCAGCTGGGCCATTTCTCAGACATTCAATATGATCTGCCATTTCAGGATGCATTTTTTACCAAAAAAATAATTTTTTTAAAACAGACTCAACTTCCTACTGCAAGCTTAGTTCAGTTAGATTAGAGAGGACAGCAAAGACGCGGCTGATTATAATTTATGGGTAAGCAATATAAATATCTATACTTACACTACTTTTTCAGAAAATAATTGTGATAAAGTTTTGTGATTCTTTCACATCCATCTTGTGATTTAGGAAGAAAACTGGAATGATCAGTGTCTGAGATGTGTGACAGCTAAAAACTGTCTGTGTCAATATGGATTTATGAGAACCTTATTTTTAGATTAATGATGTGGCAGCTTGAAATGAGCAAACTCAAGCAGGAAAGGATTGTGTCATGATTAACAGAACAGCATAATTGAGCTAATTTCTGTAAAAGATTCGGGCACAGGCTGTTTTGAAGTCTGAAAGGGTAAAGTGGTTTATCTTTCCCTCTTAACTTCTTGAATATGGGTGCAACATTTTAGTTGCTGTGGCTGTGATAAATATGGGTTTAGGGGAACAGTTTGGATATTAAATAAGGCTAATAATACATCGGATGTGCTTGTGCTGTCTTTTACAAAAGAGGAAACTTTAAGCCTCTGAATTTTTAAACACTGTCTGGCTTTCATTATTATAAGGGTATGTCTCATAATGAAAGGGCTTGGTGGTGGAAAGAGGGGAACATGACCCTGATGTCCCAGATCCCATTATGCCACTGCAGCTGCTTTGCTCATTTGTAAAGTTAGAGGTTTGGATTGGTTTATCATGAAATGTTATGAAATACATATAGTGGTTATGAGTCTAAATTCTAGAACCTAAAGCCTGGCTTCAAATCCTAACTCTGCCACTTAATTGGTGTGTGCTCTTGGCAAGTTACTTAAGTTCTGTGCCTCAGTTTCTTCATCTGAAATATGGGAATAATGATGGTAACATAGTCCTTAGGTTGTTGTAAGAATTAAATGAGATAATATAAATAAAAGGCTTAGAACAGTAACTAGCAGAGAGCGGACCATCTATAAATGTGAGCAGTATCTTCAAGGTCTAATCTATCTCCGGAGGTCGTTCTAATTTCAGTGAACTAAATTTAATTAGAGAAAGACAAGTAGAACCATCAGCTGCTGGCCCTGTCATTAAGAAATTTCTAATTCATGCCAGTGTTTCCAGTTTTTGCAACCCTGAGATTTGTGCAGGCCATCTTACCTTCTTCCTCCCATCCAAGACTCGAGAGAAGCTTAGAACTGAGAATTAAATTGATGGCCATTAGAAAAGTCCACAATTCAACTGGGACTACACAGAAATGAAATTGACCTTTTGCTCTGACGTTTTTGCCCTTGAGGACTTCCAGTATGTCCCCTCTATGCTAACCACTGGAAAGGTTCTTTCCACTGGAAACAAGATGTAAGTGACATTTGATTTTTTAGATGGTGTTAGCCCAGCCCTGGGTTTGACAATGTTCATTTCTACTTCTTTAGTTTATCGGTAACCCAGGTGAACAGGCCATTTGCAGATAACCACTTCTATTTCATGCTAGCATTTGCATATTTTCTAATATGCTAAATTATGTTGTTTGATTTTTTTTTTTACAGGCTCTCTGGGATGTTTCTCAGAGACAAAATCTTAGGAGAGGAGGAAAATGGTGATGGCAAAAGGCAGATCCTAATCATAGATGTGTCTTTACTTTTAGTCCAGTCCAGGGGTCAGCAAACTTTTTCCATAAAGGGCCAGATGGTTACCTTTACGGAAGGGCAGCTTCATGGACTGTGCAGTCTCTGTTGCAACAACTCAACTCTGCAATTGTGGCCTGTAGGCTGCCACAGAAAATAACAATGAATGAGTGTGGCTGTGGTTTTCATAAATCAATAAAACTTGATTTATGAAAACAATCAGTAGGCAGTACTTGGCTCCCCGGCTAGTCAGCTTGTATCAGCAAAATCCCTGTCATCATCCCCATTTCATAGATGAGGAAAATGGGGCATGGGGAATGTAAGTAGCTTGCTAAAAAGCCACATGGCTGGCTAGTAAGTGGCAAAACTGGGACTCAAACTCAGGCAGCCCAGCTTGCCACCCCTTGCTTTTAGCCACCAGGCTATGCTATACCTATGTCAACCAGTCTCTGCCTGGGCTGCTGGGCTCCCAAAACCTGCCTGGCTCATTCCCTCACCTCCTTAAGGGTTGGTGCAAAAATCATGTTCTCTGTAAGGCTGTCCTGGTAGCTCATGCAGCACTCCTATTCCCCTCACCCTGTGCTACCTCCTTCTCTATCTCTTATCACCTTGTAAAACTTGCTGTGTAATTCAGCACACATTTCTTAAGAGTTTTTGGTGTCTCTAATACTTCCAAGTTAAGATGCTGTGTTAGGTCCTTCTTGTATCACCATAAAAATACCTGAGACTGCGTAATTTATAAAGAAAGGAAAAGAGGTTTAATTGGTTCACAGTTCTGCAGGCTATACAGGAAGCATGGTGGTGTCATCTGCTCAGCTTCTAGTAATGCCCTTGGGTAACTTGTACTCAGGATGGAAGGCAACAGGGAACCAGCCTGTCACATGGTAAGAGCAGAAGCAAGAGAGAGAGGGAAGAAGTGCCATGCCCTTTTAAAAAACCATATCTCACATGAACTCAGAGCAAGAATTCACTATTGCAAGGACAGCACCAAGATATTCATGAGGGATCCACCCTCATGACACAAACACCTCCCACCAGGCCCCACCTCCAACATTAGTGATTGTATTTCAACATGAGATTTGGAGGGGACAAACATCCAAACCACATCAGATGGTGATGCAAATTTAGAGTGGTGATGATTAATATTAATTATAACTTAAATTTCCATTTATTCAGGTCTTGTGGGAGCTTATAAGCCTTCCACAAGAAATTCATTTGTATTGTCTGATATTATCCCTACAAACTGAGAGTTAAGTCTTGTTCTTTTCTCCATCTTAATAATGAGAAAACCGATGATCAGAGATTTTCTGAATCTTACCAAAGAACTGCCATCTATCTGAATCCAAGTCTTCACCACCATGCCAGTGAGACTCAACTTTTATTATGCAAAAAGTAAGACTCATCTGGGGATGCTGCTTTATAATGGAGGTGCTTGGGACCTATTCCCTGTGACTCTAATTCTCTAAATCTACCTTAGAGCCAAAGGAACCTACGTGTTTAACAATGATCATTCTGCCCACGTGATTCCGATGCCTTGGGTCCACAAACCACATTTTGAACAGCCCTGCCTCACCCCTTGTTTGGCCCTGGGGAGTTTACAGTTGGATGAGATTAAAGAGATGCTGCAGTTAGAGACTAGCCCCAAGGATGTAATAAAACAATGTGGTGTAGAACAAAACCAAAATTATTTCAATCAATTTTATTTCATGGGAAAATCAAGTCTGTAAAGGTGCAACTTAGCTCAAAAGAATGACTTTCTGAATAAAGCATAGATATTAGATTGTTTGGGTTTTAGTTTGTCTTTTGCTTCTTTTTTTCTAAACATAGAGACATATACTTCTGGTGGGAAGGAAATCTCTTTAGTTAACACTTTTGGTGAGTTGTTCTCCAGTTAATCAAGACTCTATTGTTTTCAAACTTTTTTTGGTTTGCTTCTTTTAATTAGGTTTGTAGTGTTTGTACTTATTAATACTAGCTTAAAATAAGCCCTATGATTCTGTTTATGTGTATAATACGTAGAAAAATACATGTAAAATACACATAGTAATGCATGATATATAAACGAATATATAGTACATATTTTTATGATAAACAAAATATATAAATAATTGTTAATATTTCCAGCACCATCATTTTAAGGAGATTATATGTAATCTGGGCTTAACAGCAGACTTATTTATGCTAAACCAAGGTTTCTCAACTTCTGCACTGTAGACAAGTTGATCCAGATAGTTGTTGATTTTGGGCAGTAGTCCTGTGCATTATAAGGTGCTTAGCAGCATCCCTAGCCTCTATCTTCTAGCTGCCAGTATCAAACGCTGCCCCAGTTATAACAACCAAAAATGTCTTCAGACATTGCTAAATGCTCACTGGGGGCAACATTACCCCACCAAGGACCATTATCCTATATCATTTTATCATATTGCTGCCCTTTATTAATGCTGTCACATAGTACCCTAGAATAGAAAGATGTTTTTACAACTGCCAAGGTCTTTAGTCTATCCAGAGACATTGGATGAATTTCAATTTCATCTACATTTATAAAATCTAAACAAATTTGAAATCATCCATTTTCAATCCTTAAAAAAATTCCATGATGATCACTCAAAAGACTAGATTCAGAAAGCCTTCAAATGAGTCATTCATTTATAAGATAAACAGTCACCAAAGAAAAATGCTGGTCTGGACCATGCATGTGAGCCTTGAGAAACCACCAGAAACATATTCTAGACTGTGCTGGTAGGCTTTGGTGCCCTTCCTGGGTGCTTGTTTATCACTTTATGGTCCATGCCATGAGAGTCAAAGGGAGACTATGACCTTTGTGTTCATGTCTTACTGCTCCTATGAAGTCTGATGGGTGGGTATAGGTATCACGGATTAACTCTTCCCCGCGTCACCTATTATCACATTTATTTTCTCCCCTCATGTACTGGCATGGGTTTTTCTTGGCTTATCAACAGGCTATTTCAAAAGACTGTCTCTTAATGGTTTATTCGAATCCAGAATACAGTTTCCCACATATATACAACATTGTATGGGTTGGTTAGGTTTCCAATTTATTTAACTCATGATGGGGCTGGTTCATTAGTCCCTAGATTGACAAATATTTATTCAGTGGCTGTTAAGTGCCAGGTACTGCCTTAGATACCGAGAACATCAAAATGAATAAGCCAGACAAGGGTCTTGCCCTCCTGAATCTAGCTGTTGTATATGGCTGATAATGCAAGGCCCTAGGACTGGGTTGCTGGAATATGGCTGTAGATGCTACACAAATATGTGTAGGGCACTACATGACCCTAATCTCCATATCAGGGGTTGGCAAACAACAGCCAGTGGGCCAAAAGCAGCCTGATGCCCGTTTTTGTATGACTTGCAAGCTAAGAATTATGTTTACATTTCTAAATAGTTGAAAAAAATTTGAAGGAAGGATATTTTGTACACATAAAATTATATGAGCCTTGACTTTTCATGTCATAGATAAAATTTTTGGAATATTTGTTTATGTAGGGTCTATGGCTGTTTTTGCCCTACAATGGCAAAAGTTGAGTAACTGTGGCAGAGACCATAAGACCCACAGAGCGTAAAGTATTTACTATATGTAATTTTCTATAATTCTATTTTATGGGAAAAGTGATTTCAGAATTCCAGTCTTGGGACCTCTCCAGCACAAATCATTGGTGATGGTACCTGTAGTATGAAGCAGCACCTTAGCATCAGGTAGCAGGGAGATAAGAATCTGATGGAAGGTCAAAACCTACTTTTTTAAGTGTCTGCGAGCATGCCCTTCACCCCACCAACTTCCTTTTCTAATGCTCCCCCTTACTCTTGAATTCATTTCCTATTGCTGCCATAACAAATTATCACAAACTTACAACACAAACTTACATAAGTCTCATGTGGGCCTCACTGGGCTAAAATCAAAGGCCATGTTCCTTCTGGAGGCTCCAGGAGAGAATCCTTGGCTTTTCCTGCACTAGAAGCTGTGTGCATTTCTTGTCTTGTGGCTCCTTTTTCCATCTGTAAAGCTAGCAGCCAAGCTCTTTCAAATCTTTCTCTCTCCCACCTCTGCTTCCATTATCACATTTTTGTCTCGCTTCTGCCTCTACCTCTCTCCTTGTGATGACATTGCACTCGCCTGGATAATTCAGAATAATCTCCCCATCTCAATAATCTGAAATTAATAGCATCTGCAAAGTCCCTTTTACCATGTAAAATAACATACTCACAGGTTCCTGGGATTCGGGTATGGACATCTTTAGGGGAGACATTATTCTACCAACCACACCTTCCACCTGATTACGCCTTACTGTACTTCTCTCTACCTCCACAGAACAAAATGTGGGCAGAGGGGCAACTCACAAGCTTGCAACAACCAGCCAGAATATTGTAGTGGCTAAGAGTGGCTTCTGAGAGTGTCAGGTTCAAGTTAATTTTTTTGTTGAGTGAAAAAATAAGGATTATGTCATCACTTCATTTGTTTAATAAAAGAAAGCAGGGTCATGCTTACTCTCAGTTTCAGAAAGTAACGTCCTTACTATTATGACTGTCATAGAAATAGCTTTCTTTCCCTTGGTAGATTTGTATCTTTCTTTGACAATGGAGGACTTCTTGGATTTTCTAGACTTACTACATAGCACTTATTATAGCCTAACTGAACAATGTGGATGCACACTCAAACTAGAATCTATTCAAGCCTTGAGCTCAGTGGTTCTCAACCCTGGCTGCATGGGAGAATCATTAGGGAACTTCAGGAAAAAAAATGGACAAAGAAAATGTGGTACATATACACAATGGAGTATTATTCAGCCATAAAAAAGAATGAGATCCTGTCATTTGCAACAACATGGATGAAACTGGAGATTGTCATGCTAAGTGAAGTAAGCCAGGCACAGAAAGACAAACATCGCATGTTCTTACCTATTTGTGGGTTCTAAAAATCAAAGCAATTGAACTCATGGATAGAGAGTAGAAGGACGGTTACCACAGGCTTGGAAGGGCAGTGTGGGGGATCAGGGGAGGTGGGGATAGTTAATGGCTACAAAAAATAATTAGAATTAATGAATAAGACCTACCATTTGATAGCACAACAGGGTGACTATAGTCAACAATAACTTAACTGTACATTTTTAAAATAACTTAAAGAGTGGAATTGGATGGTTTGTAATTCAAAGGATAAATGCTTGAGGGGACAGATACCCCATTCTCCATGATGATTATTATGCATTGCCTGCCTGTATCAAAACATCTCATGTACCCCATAAATATATAAACCTACTATGAACCCACAGAAATTTAAAAAGTAAAAATAAGGAAACAAAAAATACAGATATTGTCTTGGTCACTGGGTCTGCCATAACAAAATAACCTCAGATCTCTCTTTTGGTTAACAATTCCAAATATAACAAAGAAGTTTAAAAATCCAAGAAGTTAAGAACCGTGGGCTGCAATATATAATGGACTAAAGTAAACTTGAAGCATCGCACTTTACTTTTTATTATGCTAACTGTAGTCATTTGTAAACAGTTTGAAAAAACATATATTATTTGATTGTGTTGGAACTGTTTTAATTGAGAGTACAAAATCAAAGCTCAAGAAAAATATAAATTGGCCAGGTTCTGTTTTGCCAGACTTAGTAATGTTTTAATTCTGTTTTTTCAAAAGAAAATACCATTTTCACCATGTCCAAAACTGGGTGATCTTCCTTCTCCCCCTGCAAACATAATTCCCTCTGCCATTCCCCATCTTGGTGATTAGTGTTACTGTCTGCCCAGTTGCTGAAGCTAGAAACTCAAGAGTCATCCTAGATTACCCCTTCTCTTCCCCTCACTGCATCCAGTTTATTCTCTAGCATCTATGTGGTTCTAAGTTTCTCCCGTGTCTGTTCAAATTGGAATCAGCATCCCACTTAGCACGGAGTCTTTTCTCATCTCCACATCTTTGACTTGCTCTCCCCTTTAATTCCTTAGGAAACTTGTTTCCAGTCATCTTCCCTATATTTCAAATCTGCTCATGTTCCTCTCTAGCTCAAAGTTCCTGAATGACTAGCCATCGTCTATGGAGGAAAATCTAATCTGGTTTGCATTGCCAACAGAGACAGCCCTACAGAATCTGGCCCTGACTTCTGCTTGGCTTCACCTCTTGCCCTTTTCCTCCTTCCAGCCTTGTAATTCCCTGAACAAGCCTGTTTTCTCAAACTCATTTGCCTTTGCACCTGCTGCTAAAGTTGCATTGCTACTGGGCGAACCCTGCCCCCTCTTACTCAACTTTCAAGCCTCCATTGAAACACTACCTTCTCTATAAAGCTTTCCTTGATCCTCCAGATAGATAACAAAGCCTTGTCTCCTAGGCATTCATTGCATTTAGTACTTACTTCTAGTACCACAATCTCTGTGTTTTATGGATTGTTTGTGTTCTTCCTACCTGAAGGTTAACTCTGAGGACGAGGACTGTGTTGTCATCTTAATAGTCCCAAGCCTACCACAGAGCTTAGCATCTCATCTGTGCTTATTAAATATTGTTTGAATTAATTAACCAGGAGGACTTAGTAAATAAGAACAAAATGTCCCTTCTAGGAATTACTTTATTTCAGTCATAAGCTATAGTTCACAGGTTGGGAAACTCTAGCCCGCCAGCCAAAACCAGCCTGCTGTTTTTGTAAATAAAGTTTTATTGGCATATGGCCACACTCGCTGATTTATAAATTATCTGTGGCTGCTTTCATCCCACCAAGCCAGAGTTGAGTAGTTGTAACAGAGATCACATGGCTCACAAAGCCTGATATATTTTCTATGTGGTCTTTACAGAAAAAGATTGTCAAACCCCTACTACAGATAATTAAGCCCATTGGAGGTCACATCTTTGATTGCTTTTAAAGAATAGGTATGTAATTCTGTTTTGACACTTCAAATAACAGTCAGCTCCCGTAGGTACCTAAGCTTGATATCTAAAATTTATAAACTCATCTGGGGACTTTCTATCTGGGAGAAAATAATAATAAAAAAAATTCCCCAATAGTGTTCCTTGTAGTTCTCTAAGCTTAGAGGGTGTGAGTGAGGGGTACACCCAAGGCCTGAGTCCCCAACCATAATGTCTATATGTCCTATTTTTTCTTAGTCTGGTTATACCAAAAACATAAAAGAAAGAAAAAATTCAAAATACACTGGCCCCAGAAGAATTTTCTTCTGTTCACTGAATGTGACTGCAGCCTCCTCACTTTGACTAGATTTGCTCACTCACTCCTCTCCCCACATCCCCTCCTGCATCACCCTCCCTGAGCTCCTCCTGGGTTCCTGCTAGTCTTCATCATTATCCACTGGATATAATTCATACATGTCAAGGCAAAGAAACTAAAAGCCATAACTTCTTTAACACTTGCTCAAATTTTGCCTTCTCAGTGAGGTCTTTCCTGGCTGCTGTCTCTAAAACTGCAAATTCCTTTCTTCTACTTCCCCTTCTTTGCCTTTTTCTCCTTCCTAGCAGTTATCATTATTTCACACACCATTCCTTTTACTTACCCCGTTCATTTTCTGCCCCTACCAGAGTATAATATATTCATGTATTAAATGAGTGAATGAAATCCCAGATAAAGAGGGAAAATATCAAAGAATTAACATCATGCCATTCACTTTTGGAATGAATACACTAGACAGGAATTTGTCACCAGTGTGAAACAAAGTGCTATGGCACTTTGTTGCTGGGACCAGTCTTTCTGTCTCCCTTCTTTAAGGTGAGTGACTTCTTTTTTATGTTTTTAAGACAGAGTTTTGCTCTTGTTGCCCAGGCTGGAATGCAGTGGTGTGATCTTGGCTCACTGCAACCTCCCCCTCCCAGGTTCAAGCGATTCTCCTGCCTCGGCCTCCCAAGTAGCTGGGACTACAGGCATGCGCCACCATGCCTGGCTAATTTTGTATTTTTAGTAGAGACGGGCTTTTGCCATGTTGGCCAGGCTGGTCTTGAACTCCTGACCTCAGGTGATCCACCCACCTCAGCCTCCCAAAGTGCTGGGATTACAGGTGTGAGCCACCACGTCCAGGCGAGTGACTTCTTTAAGATGGTGAAGTCTTATGGGATTCTGTTAAGTGTTCCATTTATTGCAATGAGTCCCTGCGTGGGCCAGTACCTCTCCTTCCCTGATAGAACTTTTCTTTCTTGATCATTGAGCAACAGTAGCTGCCTCCTCAAATCTGTTGCAGCATGCCTGATACATGAGATTCACAAGAAGTCTTTAGTAAGGAGACACTGGGTTTCAGAGGATTGTAAAGTACTTTTTCTTTGGACGTCACTTTCTTACTGTCTGCATTGAGGGTGGAGCCATTTACCCTCAGTGGCCTGCAAGGGTGTGCATGTGTACACATGAGTACACTTTTAGGATTGTGGAAATCTTTGCTTTGACTCTTTGATGTGGAGTATTTTAGCATCAAATGTCTCTATAAATACTGAACATCTTCCTGTTGATCATAACTCTAAGCTTATTGTGTTCACAATAACTCATGAGAGTGCTACAAATAGAACCTCAGTGGTTACAATATTAGCATAGAGTTTAAAGCCCTACATTCTTAGCTTGAGTCCTTATTCCAAATCTTATAAGTTTTATGATTTGGGGAGAATTACTTAACCTCCTCAAGACTCAGTTTCATCATCTATATTATATTGGTATATGTTACTATACTATTCATATAATATGTCATAAGTATAAACTTTACTATTATAATATATTCTCATATATTATACTAGATTATATTATTAAATTTTACATGAGATAGGTAAAAAATGTTAACCACTTCATAAGGTTGTTGGAGGGATTAACTAAAAAGCCCTTGACTATGGTTAACAGTAATATATGATCTCAAATAGCTAGAAGGAGGATATTGAATGTTAGCAACCAAAGAAATAATAAGTGTTTGAGATTAGTTACTAATTATTAGAAATATATATCTAATAACCATATGTATAGAAATATCACCATGTGCCCCATGAATATGTACGATTTTTATTTGCCAATTTTAAAAAATGCCCTTGGTGCAGCCGCTGGCACATGGTAGGCTCTCCATACACACTCATCCCCCTATATCTGATGTGTGTGATGGCAATTAGCAGCAGCACAGTGTTTCACAAAAGTTAGAAGTTCCCATGTGTTCCCATAAAAAGGAGGAAGTAGGACCCTCACAGTATCTTTCTACATAGTTTCCTCAGGCCTATATGCATAATGAGATAAGATCATGTGACCCAGCAGATACTTGAGATTTTGACATTTGCAACTAACTGAGAAAATCCACAGTGAACTAAAAGAGGATTTGACTTTGGGAATTGAGACCCAATTTTGGAACACAAAGGTGGTTTGCTTGACTTTATTACTAAGAGAGGATGAGATTTGTGAGAGGTAAGTGAACTCTGTAACTCTTGATTTTTTTTTTTTTTTTTTTTTTGGCCTACAGGGTGATTTCACCTGGAACAGCATGTCAGGCCGCAGTGTACGGCTGAGGTCAGTCCCCATCCAGAGTCTCTCAGAGCTGGAGAGGGCCCGGCTGCAGGAAGTGGCTTTTTATCAGTTGCAACAGGACTGTGACCTGAGCTGTCAGATCACCATTCCCAAAGGTAAGGCCTCTTCTGCCTTTCTGCCGGGGAACACTGCAAGTCAAATATTGGCTCTGCCAAAGCCGTGAGCTGTGAACTCTTCTCACACCTAATATTCACACAGGAAGGAAACTACAGCTTCTTGGTTGTTGGCTGGCATTAGTGTCCATTTGAAGGACATGTTCAAGAGGGACAATTTGCATGTCAGGTAATACATTTATTTAAAGGGAAGGTCAACTTGGAGCATTACAAAGGAAAGCTGTGTGTATATCAACAGTCTATATGGATTCTGAACAACCAATTAAAAATAATTTTCAGGAAGGTCATCTTAAAGGGTCAGAAGAAAAGCTGTGTCTATCTCAGTTTGGTTTCAAAATAACCCATTTGAAAAGAATGCCTTAACACTCTGTTAAACTTGTCGTTTGACCCTATGCCAACTCAGAATCAGGGATTTTACCGAACCTAACTCCTTTTTAGCCAGTTTTTCAGCTGGTGTGTTGTATGTTGCACTGGAGCCAGTGCACACCTGATTGGCTGATGTTTGTTTTTTAAACAGATCCTGATTCCAGTAAAGATGAGACACATGTACTTGAATTCCTTGAATCCATAAAACTTTGTCTCTGTATGTTTACTGTTGTCTATAAAGGCACTTTTTTTTTTTTTTTGAGATGGAGTCTCGCTCTGTTGCCAGGCTGGAGTGCAGTGGCACAACCTCAGCTCACTGCAACCTCCACCTCCTGGGTTCAAGTGATTCTCCTACCTCAGCCTCCCAAGTAGCTGGGATTATAGGTGCACACCACCACGCCCAGCTAATTTTTGTGTTTATAGTAGAGACAAGGTTTCACCATGTTGGCCAGGATAGCCTCAATCCCTTGACCTTGTGATCTGCCTGCCTCAGCCTCCCAAAGTGCTGTGCTGGGATTACAGGCGTGAGCCACTGCACCTGGCCTATAAAGGCACTTTTTAATTTGTATTAGTATGTAGCAGACAGCTACTTTGAGGCAGAATGAAAAACTATGATGTTATACACATAAAGTAAATCTGCCATGAAAAGCAACATTGGGCAGGGTGCCTGAAACTTAAAGGAAAGCAGAAGAGGGATAGGAAGCTTCTAGAAACTAGAACATTTCCACGGAGGATTTTGGTATCTGCAAAACTTCTCTTCTACTTTGTTTTCTTTTGGAGGAGGTCGAGGGGATGCTTCATGAATATTTATTCATAAATAGTTCATATATATATACACAACATATGTGCATATATATGTATACACATATACACACAAATAGGTGGTTCTCAAGCAGGGTTGATTTTGCTCCCCATGCCCTGGGGACATCTGGCAATGTCTGGATATACTTTTGGTTTTTGCAGCTTAGGGGATGGATGCTCCTAGCATCTAGTGGGTAAAGGCTGAGGATGCTGACCAACACCCTATAATAAATAGGACAGCCCCCTGCAACAAAAATTATCAGGCCCCATGTGCTGAAGTTGACCTACCTTGCTGTACACACATACATTCACATTCTGTCACCCACAGTGCCAGTGGTGCAGTTCTCTTGGCTCAGCTGTGGCTAACAGAAAGAATGCTGGCTTGGAGGTCTAAAGACTAGGACTTGTGAACTCATCCTGTCACTCCTCACACCTGTGAGCTTGGGCGACTTGCCTCTGCGGTAGGAGGCTCAGTTCTTTGACCAGAAAGAGTAGCACAAAAACACTGACCAGAGTTTTTCTTTGGATAGTGAGTCTTAGGGCCACGTTTTTTCTTGAAGCAGAACCTGAGACTCCATTGGAGGTTATGACAGAGTTCAGAAGAGAGAGATAGACAAGGCCAATGGGCTGACAAGACATGCATATTTCACTGGCATATGCCTTGCACCTTTGGCTTTCTTGTCACGGTTTGTTCACTACCACAACCACAGCATGTTGTTTCCAAGAGGAAATCCCCACCCTGTTTTATTTTTTCATGCTAATCTCACACATAGAGACCCTCAGCTCAAATAAGAAGAAAATCACTTAGGCAATTGTGAAAAATGAATACTAGTGACTGTCAGGCCGTGTCGCTCTTATCCTTGAGAAACGCCCTCCTGCCTTACCTGGTATTGGTTTGGTTGTAGGGTGGAGATGAGGCCTGTTCTCCCTCCAACATAACTCACAAAGTGGCCCATGTGGGGCCCGGGCCAAGAGTTTTGTCTCCCTTTAATAAGCACAGACATTCTTTTCATTCCTAAGGAAAAAAAAATGGCAATATTGTTAGCAAACTTAATTTGTAGTGAAGAGAATGATGACTTTGAAAAGTTTTTGAAACTTGGTTTGAATGCACATCAGATAAGATATCAGGGAACAGATACTCTCTGTGGCTTTGTTTTTAAATCCAGTTGATTTTTTTCTTTGTTCCTGCTTGTTAAAGAGTCCACTAAACAAATAACCTTTACCAAAAACAATTTTATAAAACTTGTCTACTAGAGGCTCTGTCTCCATTAATTATTTCTGAGGCTGTGTGGTTATCCGCACATCCAGAGAAAGATTTGTGCTATCGAAATGTTTGAAGATATTCCCAGGCCACAGCAGTTATTTTCATATTTTCTGTCAAAATAGGAACTAATGATTTACAAATAATTTTCTCATTTATAGAGGAGAGAGGGAATTGTGTGGCTGGTGAAAGAAACAGGCATCGCATGAGGGTTTCTGAAGCTACTGAATTGGGCATATGAATATAGACATCAAATATTTACTGAGATCCTTGGAATGTGTGGCTGGTGGCAAGCTCTATGACAGTAGCTTTGGTCTAAATGTGGCCACTTGATCCCCATGCAAACCTTCAAATGGAGGTTCTCAACAGGGTCAGATTCACTGTGTGAATAATTTTCACAGGAAAATAAATACTGTAGCCAGGACCTAAAGCCTAAAGAAATGATGCCAAACCTAATAGGATATAATGAAAATCATGATACAATGAAAATGGACACATAGTCAAGCTCACATTTCTGTTCTCTGTCACATTAGGATGATCATAGGGATTTATTTGTGGTTATCTATTTGTAGAACCCTCTCCTGTGAGTCTGGTGCTTCCAGGGTTCAAATGAATGCTATTATAACATGATCATCAGCTGCCAGAATTTACCATAGAGAGGAAAGAATTGAGGATGGGGGAGTTGGGAAATTACTGGGTGATTTCCTAGAGTAGACCACAAGGGTGGGATCCAGAGCACAAGTGGAGGGTTTGACCTTCTTTTACACTATAATGATAGATGGGCATTAGTTATATGGACACTGATGCAAGTGAGTTAGAAGATGGTGGGAGGGCACGTGGGATTTTACTCCAGATTGCGTCTCAGCGTCCAACAAAATAGGAAGCAATTTAATCCACTAGGCGTGAGGATGGCGAAGAGGTCCTGGAGGTTTGAGGAAAGAGGAGAGGAGTGGAAGAGAGGGCAGCTAACGGGCCAGCAATGTCACAGGATTGCAGGACAGGCCAAAAGGTCCGTTTGAGGTTAGTAGCTGGGAATTTTAAATGAAAAATAAACATCCTGGTATCTAAACACTGTTAAGCTAAATACACCATATCGGACTTTTAATTCCCCAGCCTTAGTTAATCCAAATATCCTCTTTTGAGTTAGGACTTTTCTAGTTCAATTCAATGAAGGTGAAGAGGGACATGGCAGTTGAGAATATATCTGTAGTAGGCAAAATAATGGACCCCCAATGATGGCCACATCCACATCCCTGGAACTTGTGAATATAATACCTCACAGGCCAAAAGGAACTTTGCAAACGTGATGAGTTAAGGTCCTTGAGATAGGGAGATTATCCTGGATTGTCTAGGTGGGCTCAAACTAATCACATGGGTACTTTAAAGTGCAGAAATTCTCCCAGCTGTAATCAGGGAGATATGTGACTATGGAAGCATGGTCAGAGAGATGCAATGTTGCCGGCTTCAAAGATGGAGAAAGGGGCCATGAGCCAAGGAATGCAGATGGCCTCTACAAGCTAGAAAAGTCAAAGGGACAAATTCTTCCCAAGGGGCCTCCAGAAAGGAACAAAGCTCTGCTGACACCTCAATTTTAGCCCAGCGAGACCCATTTCAGATTTCTGGCCTCCAGAACTGTAAGATGATAAATTTGAGTTGTTTAAGACACTAAGTCTCTTGTCATTAGTTATAGCAGCACTAGGAAGCTAATACAGTATCCAAAGGAATGATTCTAATCCCACAACACAGAGTCTCAACTGGATAAGAAAGGAAATTAGGAAGTAATTCAATAATATAAAGCTGTAAATTTTGTCATTAATTATCTATAAGCTGAATGTGATTCCAAAATAAAGTACCAACAGAATTTTTCTTTTTGATGATTTTACTAAATTAATCTAAACATCATCTGGGAAAATAATTAAGTGAAGGTAGTCAGGGGAAATCTGATAAAGAGATAAAATGGAGATTAACCCTGTCCATTTATTAAAATGTGTCACAAAACTGAAGAATTAAAAATGAACCAAAATACATATGAAAATTTATTACGTGATAAATACGGTATTTTTGTAAAGGGAAAAAGATGGGTTATTATTGTATTTGAGATAATGAGACAATCATCATTAAGAAAATAATAAATTGATATGGAAGAAAGATTTAAAGATTAAAAAATGAAACTATAAATGATGCACCAGCAGAAAACATAGGTAGATATATATTTTTTTACACTAGGGAAGGCCTACCCAGAAAACATAAACAAAGAGAGGAACAAGTTTCACTACATTTTAAAAAAATAGAATTATCTCTGACAGATAAGCAAATAACTAAACTTTATAGCACATTTGACAAACTAAAGGCTAACTTCTCTATTGCATAAAACTTTATTACAAATTAATATAAAAAGAAAATCTAAAATATAGACAAATTACAGGTGGCTCACAGAAAAATACAAGTGGTATAAATAGATTTGAAAAGATGCTCTCCCTCACATTCATTAAAGAAATGCAACCTAAACACCAAGGAGATTTTTTTTTTCTCTCAGAGTGGCATGGCTCCAAAAGTTGGATGATACACTTCGTGGGGAAACAAACACTCTCATACACTGTTGGTAGAGGTGTAAATTGTTGCAACAGGGTGCAAGGCAATTTGGCAACATTTGTCTAAATTGTATTTATTTATTTATTATTTCCATGGTTTTTTAGGAACAGGTGGTATTTGGTTACACGAATAAGTTCTTTAGTGGTGATCTGTGAGATTTTGGTGCAGCCATCACCCAAGCAGTATACACTGAACACAATTCATAGTTTTTTATCCCTCACCCCTTTCCCACCCTTTCTCCCTGAGTCCCTGAAGTCTATTGTGTCATTCTTATGCCTTTGCATCCTCATAGCTTAGCTCCCACCTATTAGTGAGAACATACAATGTCTAGTTTTCCATTCCTGAGTTACTTCACTTAGAATAATAGTCTCCAATCCCATCCAGGTCGCTGTTAATGCCATTAATTCATTCCTTCTTATGGCTGAGTAGTATTCCATCATACTTATATATATACCACAGTTTCTTTATCCACTCATTGAGTGATGGGCATTTGGGTTGGTTCCACATTTTTGCAGTTGCGAATTGTGTGGCTGTAAACATGTGTGTGCAAGTATCTTTTCTGTATAATGACTTCTTTTCCTCTGAGTAAATGCCCAGTAGCGAGATTACTGGGTCAAATGGAAGTTCTACTTTTAGTTCTTTAAGGACTCTCCACCCTGTTTTCTATAGCAGCTGTACTAGTTTACATTCCCACCAGCAGTGTAGAAGTGTTCCCTGTTCACCGCATCCACACCAACATCTATTATTTTTTGATTTTTTGATTATGGCCATTCTTGCAGGAGTAAGGTGGTATCACATTGTGATTTTGATTTGCATTTCCCTGATCATTAGTGATGTTGAGCATTTTTTATATGTTTGTTGTCCATTTGTATATCTGCTTTTGAGAATTTTCTATTCGTGTCCTTAGCCCACTTTTTGATGGGATTGTTTGTTTTTTTCTTGCTAATGTGTTTGAGTTTGTTGTAGATTCTGTATATTCGTACTTTGTCAATTGTATAGATTGTGAAGATTTTGTCCCACTCTGTGGGTTGTCTGTTTATTCTGCTGACTTTTCCTTTTGGTGTGCAAAAGCTCTTTGGTTTAATTAAGTCCCAGCTATTTATCTTTCTTTTTATTGCATTTGCTTTTGGGTTCTTGCATTTTTCTAAATTTTAAATGGCCCAACCATTCTACTTCTAAGACTGTATCTCACAGATACATACTTGTATTTGTTGGGGTAGGCTAACCACTCAGTGCCTTAACACCACTACAAAAGTATATTTCTTACTGAAGCACTATCTAATGCAGGTTGGCAATGGGGTGAGAAGGGCAAACTCTCTTCCAGGCCGTTATTCAGGGACCCAGGCTTCTTGCATCTTGTGGCTCCTCCCTCCTGTATATCCATTTAGCCTGGAGATGTACACACTGAATAACTAATAAGATAAAATAGCTGATGAGCTTAATTTGTTACCCCTTCTAAACTTAACATGGTTCAAAAAGAGACTTTTGAAAATGCTTTTGAGAATCTGGAGACATTTTTAGTGGTTGAAATCAGGAACCAATCATTTTCCCTGTGAGCCCAAAATTACTCCATGGAGGCAAGCATGGACTATCTGATTATTCAAATGGCTACTCTTGGCATAGGCTCTTGGATCAGACTATCTAGTTTGTAAATGGCCAACTCTTAGTCACAGAACCAGGAAACAAATGTAAAAAATAGTCAAGAAATTAAGCAAAACCTAATGGTCTACACAAACTTTTCACTTATTTAAAACACATCCAAAGAGCACTTTTTGTATATCAAGTAGTATGTTAGGTCCAATTAATATTATTTTGGTAACATTTTAATACAAATGGTCAAAATCAGGGGTTAGCAACTGAACCATGGCCAAACCAAGCTTACCATCTGTCTTTGTAAATAAAGTCTTACTGAAACACAGCCATGCTCATTCATTTACAATTCGTCTATGCCTGTTTTCACTCAATGTCAGAGTTGAGTAGTTGTGACATTGTCTCAGAAGTTTACTATCTGGCCCTTTACAGGAAAAATTTGCTGATGCCTGATCTAAGGTAAAATGAAAGAAAATAACTTATTCCTGCCACAATCACTATAGCACGTTAGTGTAGGCATTATGGCTTAACCTTATTATATTGTAAACCAATATTTACAGTTGAATGGTTCTATAAGACAGAAATGCATATTTGTGTTTTCTTTAGAGCTGTTTTCTTCTTGTATCAGTTCATTTCTGATATCACAATTGAGAAAGGCTTTGTTTATGCATTTTGAAAACAGTATCATGGAATGAGGAATAGCTGATGGTTTAAGAAAATATGGAGAAGAGTCTCATAAAAGAGTACCCCAATGCCTCAAAATTGCTCAATTATATGGCTTCCTTATAAAATGATCCCTCGCCATTATCCCTTAGGCAATGTCAAATCCAAGTACACAACTCAATGAAATAAGGAAAATTACATTCTTGCTAGGCCAACACTGCAGCTGTCTTCAGTTTGTGATTTAAATGTTGATTTAGAAAATAAAAGTAACCTGGTAGGCAAGGAAATTGAGATTGGGTGTTTATATAACAACCCTTGACAGAAAAATTTAACTGTCCTATTTCTGTTATTCTTTCTGGCAATGCCCAGTTGAAGAGGTGATGTGCTAGAACTGTCTGCCAAAGCCTTTTGTGTAAGTAAAAATAAGGTTGAAACCTGGTGCAGAATCCACAAAATCCACTGTAGGTAGAAATGCCAATGGGAAGCAAACACCACCAAATAGGGATGATCACGGAATAATGAGACCACTGTGCCCAGAGGCCCTCAACAAAGGTCTCTATTCTGTGAACTGTGGAGCTGATTGTACCTTCTGTGTGTCCACAATCACCTTTTCTGTGATCTTCACACAAAGGATGGTGACTTCCCATGGAGTAGGGCTACGTCTTATTGGTCTTTGATCTGGAACATCATCTGTACTGCCTAATACACAAGTGGCCCTCAGCAAATCTTTGAGATGTGAATGGATGCGTGCAGGCATATTATTTAATAATAAGCTTTTAAATTAAGCTCTTTCTCTCACTCTTCCCCATATCTCTAAAGAGCATCGATCACCTTTCTCCCACTGTCCCCAGTGTCTCCAGTAATGATTTTAAAACAACCTCAACACTTCCTTACTCCTTCACTTCATGCTCAGTTTCCAGCTTTCATTGATGGTCTCATAGGGTTGATGTGAGATTTAAATGAAATAATAACCATAATGAGCTTAAATCACTTCCTGACATCTTATATACTCTCCATAAAACTTATCCATCACCATCATCATCATCATCATTGTCATTTTTGCCATCACCATATCACTTTGTCCTGTATCTCCCCTCAACCCTATGTCACTGCATCATTATGCTTGATTTTAATTATAGTCATAGAACCCCTACCTACTTTCCTCAATTCAGGGCTTCTCCTCTATTCTATCTACCACACGTAAAATCACCAGAGTGAAACTTCAACCACAGTGGCTACTCCTTTGTTGGAAAAACAAAAAGCAAACAAAAATCCCAAGGCTCCCTATTGTCTACTGATCTTACTATCAAAGCCATTTTATATGAGATACTATCTATTTCATATAAAAGAAGAAATCCATTTAGTTTGCAGCCTGTTCTCAGAATGCACCACAGACTTTTATTTGTTTACTTGTCTTAGAACAGCAGGTTGCAGATTTTTTGTCCACAACCTATCTGCAGTGAGAAGTACATTTTACATCTCAGCCCAGGAAATGCATGAAGCCAAACAGCTTATCTTTATCAGAGATACATTTGGATATTCTTTATAATATTCTCTCCTATCCTCTTCTATCTGATTCTCTTTCATTTTCAAAATATGTTTTCATGATCCACTGAATTTTCTTGATTTATTAATAGGTTATAAACCACTATTCAATAACACAGTCTTGGAAGGTATATGGAATAGAGAACAGGGAATCACAAAGGAAGCAACAAAAATATCAGTATGGAAAAATTAGTTGATCTTTGCTGTGGCTCTCAGGGCCTTGATAAGGTGGACGGGAACTTCTTTTTCCATAGGGCCATGGTGATGAACCTAAGGCTAGAGCCATACCTGAGTATCTTATGCCTTCTCTCTCTAGAGCCAAACTGAGGGAGTGACACCCAGAGGGCTTCCTACAAGGCCTCACAGCTCTTTCCTCATAATACCAAGGGTTATGCAACCTGAAGGAGATACATATGTGGGGCTTTAAGGTCTAGCTGCGATAGAGGATTCAACACTATGTCAAAAGGAGTTCCTATCATCGAGTAGTTCCTAGTCAATAGACAGAGAAAACACAGATGCATCAATTATATTAAAAGATAGAGCAGTGGAGATGATCTGTCCAAGTTGACTTTGGTGACCCTTTAGATAGAAGCTGCCTCATCCACCCACTCTGGTAAAAGCCAAGAATGACAAAGACATTATCCTGCAGGTTATTTTGTAATTTTCTTCTTGGATGCTCTTCCTAGCACCCCAGGGTTTTTACCATGTAAAGTTCTCAAGTGTCTGCTGCCACTATATGATGCTATGTTGGTGCCAAGCAGGTGTGGGATTCTTTAAGCCATGTGCTTTGTACCATGGTATTCACAAATTACTTCCTTTATGTTCTCAGACAATATCGTTTTCTATCCAAGGTCTTGTCTCAACTGGTCATATTTATACATATTCGTATGTCTTGTTGGAGCAGCAACCACTATTGCACAAGACTTTGGCATCTTGACCAAAACTTCTGTCACTGCAGTTTCTGAAATATTCTGGCACCTTTCAAAGATTTCAAGACTGCACTATATTCTCTTTTGGGATCATAGCCCAAAATAAACTTGATAATTATGAAGAATATCCCATCCTTCAAACATGAACATTTTGCCTTTTTTCTTGGTTTCCCCATGGGCAAAATAAAAGCAAATACGTATACGTTGAAATTTAATGCTGAGTGTATTTTTTAACCAATCAGCCTTTTTAGGTCATTTGGAATCAAGCCCTCAAGATTACTTAAAAATTCAACTAGTGGGTGTTACTAGAGCTTTACATATGGAAAGCTCTGGAAGAGTAGTTTAACAGGTTTTCACTTAAGATAGATGTGGGCAAACTAAGCTCATGGGCCATAGCCAGTCCATTGCCTGTTTTTATATTTTTATTAAAACCCAGCCATGTCCATTTCTTTCTGTATTGCCTGTGACTGCTTTAGTGCTACAGTGGCAGAGTTGAGTAGTTTTGACAGAGACCTTATGGCCCACAAGATCAAAAGTATTTATTCTCTGGATCTTTACAGAAAAAAAGCTTGCCAACCCCTAATTTGAAATTAATATTATAGTAATTCATTGTTATTTTTTATGCAGTTGTTCAACTATACTATTCCTGTTCATTTCAATTTCTTCATTATTTTAATTTCATGATGTAGTAATTGTGTGCTTTTTAAGGATCAGACCTTTGTTATTCTTAGATGTTTTAGTGCTTATATTACAGTCATGCATTGCTTAATGACAGATTCATACTGAGAAATGCATCATTAGATGATTTTGACAGTGTGCAAAACTTAATAGAGTATACTTACACAAACCTAGATGGCATAGCCTACTACACACCTAGGCGATATGGTAGAGCCTACTGCTCCTAGGCTATAAACCTATACAGCATGTTCCTGTACTGAACACTGTAGGTAATTGGAATGCAATGGTAGGTATCTATGTATCTAAACATAGAAAAGGCATAGTAGAAATATTGCATAAAAGATAAAAAATAGTATAGCTGTATGAAGCACCTCCATTATAATCTTTTCAGACCACTGTCTTATATATGGCCTGTTGACCAAAGCATTGTTATGTGGCACATGACTGCATATGTGACCAAATATTTTTTCAAGGTGAGATGAGTTCCTTTGGTGGCATTAAGCAAAAAATAAAAGTCAATATTTTTATGACTGGTTTAAACAACTGATGCCACCATGCAGTCTATAGACACATGAGTTATGCATTAAATGGGTAACTTTAATAAGTCAATCTTCATTACAAGTTATTACTTTCACTATTACTATCTTGTTTGATGACTGAGAAGTTAGCAATATTCCCTTCTCATGTCCTAGAATTGCAACACCTGCCAGTGCCCAAATCAATACTGGGAAGTAGAAATAAATCACTGGGATTGGCTTGAACTAAGGGTTCATTTCCCGAGTTTGGGGTGATAACTCATCCCAGGATGAGTTGCATGGAGGATGAGCAACTGACAAAATGGAGCAAGGAAGAATTGCAGTGAGTAGGTGGAGGGGAGCAGGATAGAGATGGATTTAGATTAAAAACTACTGGTATACGGAAGAACATTGTCATCTTCTGCCATTGCAGACAAGTGATAGAGAGGAAACCATTCTTATTTTATTTGCTTTAGCGTCTAGCACAGTGCCTTATACATACCTACAGCACAATAAATATTTGAAAAATTAAATGAGATACATTAAAAATTCAATCATAGCACATTTATGTATATAGTGTTTCCATAGCATATGGAATTGTTTTGAATGGCTCAAAGGATAATCAAAAACATGGAATGGATAAGAAAAGGATAGGTAGTATAATAGTTTCATTTAATTGCATCATCTTTTCAGGTACTGAATCAGAGAGAGCTGTTTTCATGGGAGCAACTGGCAGGAAATTCTAGGCATTTCCAAGACTTTAACAAGTAATGATAAGACTCCCAAAATTTGGGTTTTAATTTTCTTGAGTTAACCACCTAGAATATTTATTAGGGAAAAATGATTTTTGTATTTTTGTTCTCCTGCCTACTTCCTTTCATTTACACTCCAGGAATGAAATGTAGCTTAAAAAAATGACTTGGCAAAAGCCATTTTCCCTGCCCCGATATTTGGAAACTCCTGTCTCTACAAATACAGTGCCTACCTAGACTAAACTAAAAGTATTGTCCTCCATTTAAGGACTGTTCAATGAAAGATACAAATTCAGGAGCCTGGAAGGACATACTAGCTCCTAGATCATGAAAAGTCAGCAGCAGAGCTGCCCCTTTGAGACATGTGCTGAAAGCTTTGAAAAAAAAATCTTCTTTAAAAAAAATCATATAACTTGACTGTGGAAAAATGAAAGCAAGTAAAAGATCCTTCTAGGGCATAATTTGATCATTAGCAGTTCTTACAGCAAGCAGTGATTACAAAGAACACCTAGTTAAGGAAAAACCATAGTTGAGCCTTTAAAGCTATGGCATCTAAACCATGAGATCAGCTTCCCTACCTCATGTTTTGACGGAACAAGGAGACGTGTTCAACAAATCAAATATCTTAATGATTTTTCTGTAATAGAAAACCACTTGCTTTGAGGTTCGAGGATCCAGAAGTTTTTTTTCTCCTCTTGAAGATGATATAGAAAAATTTTAGAACTAATCACCCTGCCAGAATAATTTACACAAAACAGAATAGGTTTCTTCTTAGTGTTTAACTGAAGGCATGGTGACCTCCAAGAGTCGACTTTCTCTACAGCAGTGAGAGACTCACAGAATGTTCTTATTTTCTGACCACACCTTTGATAATTTCACCACCACTTCAACATGTAAACTGTGGGGATTAGTACATTTCACAAGTACTTTGGGGAGCCTCAGCCCTAAGGAGAGGCATCGCTATTGCTTAAGAATACCATAAAACATTTTCTTCTCCAGGGAAACATAGACACTTTGGAAAGAGATTTTGGAAATCCTAGCCCACAAAGTGCTAGCAGGAAAAAGAAAGTGTTTAATTCACTGGGACTTATACCAACAAAAGTGAACCAATCACCCTGTTCCTATCTGCCTTTGTCTATTTCAATTAAAGTTAGTGGAAGAACTGTTAAGTATAAGTTAATAAGCAAAAACTTTGATAACATGAGTTTGGTTAAATAACCAACAATCTAGGGTATGAAAGATTTCTTGAAGATGACACACGCGCACACACACACACACACACACACACACACACACACACACACACGTATCCAGCATTGCCTGAATGATGGGACCAGTTTGGGCTTGAATACGTTTTCCATTATTTTCCATATAGATTGTTTTCTTCCACAATTATTATTTTCCCCTCTCTTGAACCCTGGTTCCCACTTAAGAAACTAGCAATCCACTCCTGAATTTGCAATTTTCTCATCTTTTTCACCAATAGAATGCTTAGTTGGTAAAGGGTTGGATTATAAGGAATCAAACATTAAAAGGGATAGGGTAATCAGAAAGGAAGGATGTCCTAAACTAAGCTGGTGGAAACCCCCACCAAAATTCAAAGACCCCAGAGAGGGATAACTTCATCCCTTAAGGTTGAACTCAAACATTAGCCTTTGCAAGCAGAACTGGAAGCAGTCTTCTCTCTTTTGTCCTGGCACCTAGTAAATGTCTTCTCCTCACTGAAGCATTTCTTCATATTGCTTTTTTTTTTTTTTTTGTCGCCCAGGCTGGAGTGCAGTGACACTACTCTGTCGCTCCGGCTGGAGTGCAGTGACACGATCATAGCTCACTGCAGCCTCAACCTCCCAAGGCTCAGGCGATCCCCCTGCCTCAGCCCCCCACCCCACCCCACCCCACCCAGTAGCTGGGACTACAGGCACGTGCCACCATGCCCAGCTAATTTTTGTATTTTTAGTACAGACAGGATTTCAGCACGTTGCCCAGGATGGTCTCAAACTTCTTAGCTCAAGGGATCCACCTGCCTCGGTGTCCCAAAGTGCTGGGATTACAGATACGAGCCACCATGCCCGGCCTCATTTTGCTTTAATTAGGTTTCCACATGTCTATCTCTAGCACTGAATTTTGAATTTTTCAAAGGCAGAGATAGCATTCATTCATCTGGGTTCATAGCACCTAGCTCAGAATCTCACCTATTGATCAATCAAAGGGTGGATGGGTGGATGGATAGATCAGTGTATGGAAGATGACATTTAAACAGATAACTATTATATTGTAAATAATATTCCCAAGCCAAGAATAGTCATCATGTTCTATGGTACAACATCCCTGGGCAGAGAATACTTGCTTAAGAATAGGGAAGAGATCCCTGTTTTGGCTCCCTTCCTAAATCTCTGGGATTCATCCCAGGTTAACTCTTAAACCAGAGCATTGCATTGGTCCCACTGTTTTCCCTTTCCTGGTCCCACTGGTTTCGCTTTCCTAGATTACTATTCCTCTTTTCTATCAGAGCTGCTATCCATTCCATTTCTTGGGATAGACTTTGAATATGAAGCAGGCAACTCAAAGTAGAAGGAGCAATTTTGAATTCATTCCACTCGGGGTGGCAATGGCAGTAAGTGGATCCTTTGTCCAGCCTGACTTGTCCTCAGGTAACACCTGTTTTCCTATGTAAACTTACTGGGCCAATTTAACTTATGTTGCTGGGATTAATCATTAGAAAGCACCAAACATGGAGTACAGGCACAATGAATGGCTCCCAAGTGCCAGGGGTCATTAATAATATTGTTACTTCTTTAACAAACCTCCTGTTCCAAACTGGAAATAAAATATCTGGTTCAGTCTTTCTCTTGCCTTATTTTTTGGGAGGTCTGTGGCTTGAAAGCCACAAAGAAAAGCCCTCAAAGTGAGAAATAATGAGATGAAATAATGAATTTTAGTTTTAATAAAGGACAAAATATGGTATTACTAAACCTTTTTACAGGATATCCACAGATCATATAACTCAATTCACATTTATATGTACATATATATGTAAAGAGATGTTATATTTTATTTTAAAAACAATATTTTGGTTTACAGAATAGGCATTGGAGCTTAAAAATAGATTTCTGTACTAATCAAATAATCGGTGTTCATGAATGCAAATGAAAAATACTGTCTGGATAACTTAAGCAGAAAAAGGATTTAGAGAACCTAAGATTTAGAATCTTACAACAACCTAATAAGCCACCTATGAAAAAATCACCAGCCCCATAAAAACAAATCTGGTCCATCTTGTTAGCTGTCCACTCCCTTTCCAGCAAACAGGCTCCACCAGAATGGCAAACATAATAGATGTTTCATGTCAGCTTAGGCACATGTTTTCTTTCAGATCAAGGAGATGCAAATAGGAGATTATTTCACTAGTTTCAGCCTGGCTTGTGAGTCACCTCCCTTCTTGTCACTAAACTGAGCTTTCAGTTCTGTGGAGCACTTCAGTGAGCAATACAGGCCTCCATTTTCTCACATGCTTGATAAGTGAGTTTCCAACCTTTGCTTGAATACATCTGGTGCCTGGGAGAAAGGACTTATTTTTTTTTAATTTTGGAATAATTTTAGAATTACAGAGAGTTATGAAGATAGTATAGAGTTCCCTTATGCCCCTTACCCAGTTTGCCCTGTTAACATAATAACATAACCTCAATGCTATTATGGTAACATTAATACCATAAATGTATTACCTTGGTACATTTATCACAGCTAAGAAACCAACATTGGTGCATTGCTATCAACAAAACTATAGACTTCACTCAGATTTCACCAGTTTCCACACTAATGTTATTTGTCTCTTCCAGAATCCTATTCAGGATACCACATTGCATTTAACTGGGCATCTTTTCTTATCTTTTTATTTTTATTTTTCAAATAACAAACATTTATCTTGTAAAACAGCTTCTGTGAATAGCTTAGCTTGGGTGTTCTGGTTCAGGGGCTCCTGTGAAGTTGCAGCCAAGCAAAGATGGGGCTGCAGTCATCTTAGGGCTTGATTGGGGCTGGAGGAGCAGTTCCCAGGCTCACTAGTATAGCTTTCAGCTGGAGACTTACCCCTTAGCTTTTTGCATAGGGCTGCTCCTGACCTGGTTTCTCACAAAGTGGAGGGGTGCAAGACAGAATACAACCAAATGGAAGCCACAATGAATGATGCTTTGTTTTGAGGCAGCTCATTCCACTGGTTCCATTTGCTGGCTAGACTGTCTTCCTATGATATCTTCCTGAATTTTCATTCTGGCCCATGGAGGGCTGGCCAGTAAGTCTCTTCATCCACCATGTTTAGTCCTCTAAATAAAAGGAAAGAACCACAATGTCTCCTGAGTCTTCTCTAAATGCTAAACATCCATTCATACAACTGTTGACTATCAGAGGGTGTTCCATACCTGATCCTGCCCCACCCAAGGAGAAAAAAACAGTTCATATAAAGAAATACAAGGCTATTTCCTCAAGAAACTTGGCTTATTCCCCCATCTGTAGTCCTAGAAATTTGGTAGAAAGATAATTATATGCAGACTCCCATTTCTTCGTAAATTAAAGAAAATTGCTATTGTGTCCCAAAGTCAGTGTGATACATAAAGGCTTCATAATTTGTAAACACTTTTACATTGTTCTGTTTAAAACAGAAACTGAGATAAAGTATAACTTGAGCATTGTGACAAGTGGGAAAATGTGAATGTTTTGTTCACATTTACATGATTTGGGTTCATAGCTGCTCTCTAAGTTGAGTTATACATAGACCAGTGGTTCTCAACTGGAGTAAGTTTAGTCCCTGGAGGACATTTGGTGATGTCCAGAGACATCGTGTGTGGTCACAACAGTGGTGGGGTGCTCTGGCATCTAGTAGATAAAGGCCAGGGAATGCTGCTAAACATCCTACGAAGCACAGGACTATTCTCCACTGAAAAGTTATCTGGCCCCAAATATCGCTAGTGCCTAGGCTGAGAAATCCTGGCACAGATTATATGCAGTTTCTAAAGGGCCACTTCCCTACTCTGCCACCCAAGTGTATCTTTTTAAATCATTTTCCCCTCACTTTTTCATTGAGCTCTCCTCATTGCCTATGAATTTCATTGGTTTGCTTTCTCCGAGAGTCAATTTTATTGGTCCAAATACATAGTAAGGCAGCTGTGGCTAATGAAACAGGAGATGGTGCCAAAAAGCATTCCTTCAGTCTTTTCTCAGCAGGATTTTTTTCAAAGCTTTGAATAAGCTAGGACCTTCCTTTTAGGCTAGGGTAGGTTCACAAACTCTGAGGCATACCAGGTAATGTAAGTGGGTACAGTGGCCCAGGGTTGGGTGCCTATGCTGCCTTGGGGCACATGTGAGGAATGTGGGACCCAGTGTTGCCAGCTCTTCCACTTTCCTCAAGAGGCTGGAACTCTAGATATGTATGTGAACTTTCCAAGATTTTGCATTAGGACTTAACTTTTTATAAAACTTTGTGTGGGCTAAAAACCACCTGAATAGTAGGGGACTGGATATGGCCATTTTGCACCCATGAGGCTGGAAATTTGCCTGTGTGTGTAGCAGCACCAGAGGAGGTCTTTGTCCCCAGCAGACATTTAGATTCTTTTCCACCCTCATGTCATATTTCAGTGCAGGTGATTTCCTTTCCTTTCCAGTAATGTAATCTTTATTGAGCTCTGCAAGTGAAGAAATTTAAAAGGGCTTAAACATTGATGCCATATCCCACATTCAGGTGCACCTGTGAATTGAGGCTGTTTACACTCATTCCCCATGATTGCCTGGATGAGAAATGAGCCTTAGCGCTTCTTGCCCATCATCCAGACTTCTGGGAGGGCAGAGTCTAAATGCATTGCACAAATGGATGTCCGCTGTTTTACAAACACCTCCTGGATAGGAGAGCCCTGAACCATCTCTCATGTTGCAAAGGCAAAGTGACCTTAAAGAAGGACTTCCAGCTTCTCCTCATAGGCATCTGGGTTCTGCTCTTAGCCACACCTCTCAAGACAGAACTGCGCTTATTGGAAAGAACTTGAATTTGGCATTGAATGTCAGCCCTGCCACCTACCAGTTCTGTGATTTTGAGAGAATTTGCGTTAATTCTCTGATTTTCAGTTCTCTCAATTGTAAAATGAATAAATCAAAATGCTATCCCAATGGATCGTGTGTTGACACGTATTAGGTATATGATATAAATATTTCATATCATTAAAAAAAAGTACTTCTTCCAGTGCCAGTGCATATTTAGAGCTTGGAAATTGTTAGTTTTTCATTCCCCTCCCTCTCTAACTCTATGTTACCTTGGGCATGCCAGTTCATGTATCTGGCTCTTACTGTCACATCCCTGAAATAGGCACCACATTTCCTCCACTACAGCGTAAGGTAGAGGTTAGAGCATGATATGGTTTGGCTGTGTCCTTACCCAAATCTCATCTTGAATTGTAGTTATGGGAATATAATACCCATGTGTGGTGGGAGGGACCCAGTGGGAGGTAATTGAATCATGGGGACTGTTACCCCCATGCTGTTCTCGTAATAGTGAGTTCGCACACGAGCTGATGGTTTTATAAGGGGCATCCCCCACTTCGCTCTGCAATTCTCCTTGCTGCTGCCATGTGAAGAATGACATGTTTGCTTCCCCTTCCACAATGATTGTAAGTTTCCTGAGGCCTCCCCAGCCCTGCGAAACTGAGTCAATTAAACCTCTTTCATTTATAAATTACCCAGTCTCAGTTATGTCCTTATAGCAGGGTGAGAATGCACTAATACAATAAATTGATACCAGTAGAGTTGGGTGCTGCTATAAGGATACCCGAAAATGCGGAAGCAACTTTGGAACTGAGTAATAGGCAAAGGTTGGAGCCATTTGGAGGGCTCAGAAGAAGACAGGAAAATCTGGGAAAGTTTGGAACTTCCTAGAGACAGAGGGCTCAGAAACTTTGAAACTTAGAAAGTTTGAAAGTTTGAAACTTCCTAGAGACTTGTTGAATGGCTTTGACCAAAATGCTGATAATGATATGGACAGTGAAGTTAGGCTGAGGTGGTCTTAGATGGAGATGAGGAATTTGTTGGGAACTGAAATAAAGTTGACTCTTGCTGTGCTTTAGCAAACAGACTGGTAGCATTTTGCCCCTGCCCTAGAGATCTGTGGGACTTTGAACTTGAGAAAGATGATTTAGGGTATCTGGTGGAAGAAACTTCTAAGCAGCAAAACCTTCAAGAGGAAGCAAAGCATAAGAGTTTCGAAAATTTGCAGCCTGATGATGCAATAGAAAAGAAAAACCCATTTTCTGGGGAGAAATTCAAGCTGGCTGCAGAAATTTGCATAAGTAACAAGGAGCCAAATGCTAACCACCAAGACAATGGGGAAAATGTCTCCAGGGCATGTCAGAGACCTGCACGGCAGCCCCTCCCATCACAGGCCCAAAGGCCTAGGAGGGAAAAATGGTTTCCTGGGCCTGGCCCAGGGCCCCCCGGCTCTATGCAGCCTTAGGACATGGTGCCCTGAGTTCCAGCTGCTTCAGCTCCAGCTGTGGCTACAAGGGGCCAAGGTATAGCTCAGGCTGTTGCTTGGTGCAAGCCCCAAGCCTTGGCAGCTTACATGTGGTGTTGGTCCCGTGGGTACACAGAAGTCAAGAATTGCAGTTTGGGAACCTCCACCTAGATTTTAGAGAATGTATGGAAACACCTGGATGTCCAGGCAGAAGTCTGCTGCAGGGGCATAGCCCTCATGGAAACCTCTGCTAGGGCAGTGTGGAAGGGAAATGTGGGGTTGAAGTCCCCACAGAGAGTCCCCACTGGGGCACTGTCTAGAGGAGCTGTGAGAAGAGGGCCACAGTCCTCCAGACCCCAGATGTCATCTATATAGCAGGAATCATACAGGCTGCAGCCTCTTCAGATTGGCTTCTTTCACTTAGCAATATGTATTTCAAGTTCCTCTTGATCATTTTGTGGCTTGCTAGATCATTTCTTATAATTTCTGAATAGTATTCCATTGTATGAATGTACCATAATTTATTTATGCACTCACCCATTGAAGGATATATTAGTTGCTTCCAAATTTTTGCAATGATAGATAAAGCTGGTTAAACACTGGCATACAAGTTTTTGTGTGGACGTAAGTTTTCAGTTCATTTGGGTAGTTACCAAGGAGTGCAACTGTTAGATTGTATGGCTCAGCTATGTTTAGTTTTGTAAGACTATGCTTAGTTTTTGCAACATTTGGCAACCCTATTCTCAATGAGTTGCACCTCTTTTGAAGAGGTAAAGAACAAGCATATACTTCAATGAGAAAAGCCATAAAGGACATCTGAAAGTCATGTTCATTCATTCATACATTCATTCATTCACTTGATATTTGAGCACAGTCATGTGCTAGACCCTGGAAATACAAACAAACATTGGCAATGGAAAAAATGCATGCTGTAAAACAAAGCAAAGCAGCATAACAAGGGCAGTAGGAAAGGCTCCAAATATGCAAGTGACAGAACAAAGATGGAGAAATTTTCCCTGCAGCAGTTTCAAGAGAGGCTCAGAGAGGTATGAACTAGTGAAGTAACACATTTTTTACCCTTCTCCTACACTGGGTCTGAGGACACAGCTATCGTGAAACAGGTGACCCCACGCAGGATCCTACAGAAAAACAACTAAATCACGTTTGTGAAACTCAGAACTACAAGCTCTTCCTCATGATTTGGACAATAGATGCTTTCAAAGAGTGGTTATTTTTCCTATATTTTCCTTCCCTTCTCTTAATGGAGAATTCCTTCTTCCACCCTGAAAAGGAAATACGACCATCAGTTTCCCAAATAAAAAGAGGGAAATACATATGTGTATAAACGGTGGTGACCACCTAGTAGAATTTTAAGCCTTTGTTTAAGGATATTTTCCCCCTAAGGACTGCAATTTCCTAAGTTGAGTCAACATTCAGAACTTCAGTTACCATTGTCCTATGTGAGATTTGTGTGTCTTGTATCCAATGTACTAGTTAGGTATTTCTTTATAGGCTTTTTAAGATTTACAGGTGTACCTGATCAAAAATAGCTGGAAAGATCTGAGATGGTTTTTACTGGATAATTTATTCCATGTGTACCCAACAGCCAAGCACTTGGCAAATGACCAAAAAATATGATTTTAAAAGCCAGAATAGCTCATGCAAGAAATAAGTAGCTGAGAGATAAAGAAAAAATGGCAACGTTATGCTTTAATGGCAATGTAAACTATCTAGAAGGGACATTTATCAGTTCAACAAGAATTAATTTTCTTCACTCTCAACTCCTATGAACAAGCCTTCTCCTTCTAAAAGGTAGGAATGTCTGCCCCAGTAATTAATTGTTTATGGGTAACTAGTACATCACGAAAATCTCTATAAGACATCTTTCTCTGGCACATATTTTATCTTTATACTAGATGGAAGATAACAACCAAGTGAGCTGTTTGTTGAATAGGGCACACTTCAAAGCCAGGTATGGATATCTGATTTAATGCGCATTAGCAGGACATCAGTGCAATTGTTGTGTGAGTACTGAGGCAAGTAGGCAAATGGCGGGGTGAACTTCACTCCTTAAAATAGTGAGCTAAACAGACGTGAACTACCTAAGTTGTTTGAATTTGTTCCACATGCTCTTTTAAAATGATATAAGACAAAAGAGATTTAACTGGTTAATTAGTGAAAATCTAGTAACAAAAAATGTCTGGTTAATTCATGGAAAATGGGAACTTTGAATAAATTTCAAGATAACGTTTGAATTAGGCCAATAAAGTTAATTCTTGTGTTTGCATAAACACAAAGATTGGAGAATTGCTGTGTATTCACCATTTACTCTTTCAAATGACCATTACTTTATTTAGTACGTGTGTATTGTGCACCTCCTGTATGGCTGGGAACATACCAGTTTCCAAAAATAAAATTAGGACTATGATAAAGTTTTTACACTCTAGGGTAACAGTTCAGTAAATAACAGCCACAATACAGGGTTTGAGAGGTACAGAACCACTAAAAGAGAGGAAAGGGGGCACAATTTTGTTTGAGAACTAACAGGGTCCAGAAAAGGTGAAGAACTAGGTGGTCTTTGACACAAGTCTTAAAAGAGTAAGTAGGCACTTGCCACACATAGAGGAAAGAAAGTGTAGCAGACAAATAGACCAGTCATGATTATTAACTATCAACTAGTTCATCTTTTTTATTTTTTATTTTTTTGTTCCTTTTTGAGATGGAGTCTCCCTCTGTCGCCCAGGCTGGAGTGCAGTGGCATGATCTTGGCTCACTGTAACCTCTACCTCCTGGGTTCAAGCGATTCTCCTGCCTCAGCCTCCCTGAGTCACTGGGACTACAGGCACACGCCACCAAGCCCAGCTAATTTTTTTTTTTTGTGTGTATTTTTAGTAGAGATGAGGTTTCACCATGTTGGCCAGGCTGGTCTCGAACTCTTGGCCTCAGGTGATCTGCCGGCCTCAGCCTCCCAAAGTGCTGGGATTACAGGTGTAAGCCACCACACCCGGCCTGTCTTTACCATTTACTTGCTTTTCATTCCTGGACAACACTGATCTCAGGGAGGTAGTGAGTAGAACGGTGGTTACCAGAGGGTGGAAACAGTAGCAGGGTTGACGGGGATAAAGAAATGCTGGACAATGGATACAAACATACAGTTAGAGAGAAGAAATAAGTTCTAGGGTTCAATAGCACACTCGAATAACTGTAGTTATCATGTATTTCAAAATACCTAGAAGACATTTGCGATGTTCTCAACACAAAAAATTGATAAAAGTTTGAGGTGATGAATATCCCAACTACTCTGATTTGATCTTTACATATTCATGAATCAAAATATCACATTTACTCCATACATATTTACAACTATTATATATCAATAAAAATCATGAAGATATTGGTAACTAATAGCTAACATTTATTCAACATGTACCATATGTCTAACCTTCTCACCATCATTGTTTCCTGTGACACAGTAACCCTCTGACACAGATACCATCATCACTGTTTTACAAATAAATAAGAAAAATTATTTCAATGTGCTTTGGGTGAGCAGCACTGAGAGAGCCCTGATTCACCTGGATAAGAATGCAATGTGCGGCCTGGCTCAATTTGACATCTCAGAGCTTTTGTACTCTGAGTGCAATAAATCAGGTGTATGCACAGAAATCAGGGCAGACTTAAGCTCCTCCTAAGGAGTGAGTCAAGTATTTTGTGATTTGACTGGATCACCTTAATTTAGATATCTTCACAAAGATATAAGCCTAGGACTCCAAGATGAAATTTTAACATCAGGGAAATGAGATGGTCCTTTCCCTCTGCTATCAGGAGAAACCCTCTCCAAGAGGCAGGGAGGCAAAAGACTGTTTCTCTTCAGTTTCAGTTGCTGAAATAAAGGACTTGCCACTGGTCTGTGGGCAAAATTTCTTGGGCACTGTCTTTGCATATGACCTCTGAATTTTGTTCAGTACATCACTGCTCTAAGGATATATTTAGTGCTTTTACTTTGCATTTTAACATTCAGCTGCTGAGTGAGACAATATTAGGAGACATGATGCTCTTGATATCAGCCATTCTTCAAAGCGGGTGTTTATTATGGAATAAAAGAAAATACGTGCTTCAGTCTAGAATTTAAAAGCACTAACTGCAATTTTTCAAGCATATGTATGTAAATTAAAGTTACCTGTCTTACCATTTTCTTGAGAAAAGTGTATCTTTACGTTTGTTTTAGTGCGACTTGTTTCTGATATCCTAACCTAAAATTTCATGGTCACAAATATATAAATTAAACGTTATCTTAATGAAAAAATAAAACAGGGGCTATAGCACAAGAGATGTGAGGAAAATAGTCACACACACACAAAAAGTAACCAAGAGTGAACCCTGAAGTAATCTATGGACTTGGGGTGATAATGATGTGTCAATGTAATTTCATGGAGTGCAACAAAGGCACCACTCTGGTGGGGTACATGGATAGTGGGGAATGCTATGGTGGCAGAACAGGGGGTAAATGAGAAATCTCTAGACCTTCAGATCAATTTGTTGTGAACTAAAAACAATTCTAAAAAACAAAGTCATATATATGTGTGTGTGTGTGCATATATTCACATATACGTATATGCATATATATATGCATATTATCTATATACATACATGTATATGCATATATACATACACACACACACATATATACGTATATACACACATTTATACACACACACACACACACACACACACACACTCCTAATAACTTTTAAGGTCAAAAACTTTCTTCCCTTCAGAATATCTGCCAGAGTGACTTCAAGTACACAGTTACTCATTTGAGGTACTAAGGGGTGACATAAATATCAACTTTTGGCCGGGCGCGGTGGCTCATGCCTGTAATCCCAGCACTTTGGGACGCCAAGGCAGGCAGATCACGAGGTCAAGAGATTGAGACCATCCTGGCCAACATGCTGAAACCCCGTCTCTACTAAAAATACAAAAATTAGCTGGGTGTGGTGGCGTGTGCCTGTAGTCCCAGCTACTCGGGAGGCTGAGGGAGGAGAATCGCTTGAACTCGGGAGACAGAGGTTGCAGTGAGCCAAGATCATGCCACTGCACTCCAGCCTGGTGACAGAGTGAGAAAGACTCCTTCTCAAAAAGAATAAAAATAAAAATAAATCAACTGTTCCATCACTAAATACCTTGTGGTGTCTTTCTCATCCTTCCACTGTAGAATAGTCAGATAGCCCAGTATGTATAATAGAACTCTCACATGGACCTCTGCAGTGCTTATTTTGCCTCTGTAACTACTGAAAGAGATCTCAAATAAGGATCTTCTTAGAAACTTGAAGTAGTACTTAGACTTACACATCAACACATGCTTTGGGTAAAAGGAAAATCCTTTATGAAAATGCAAGCTTTAAGAATTAAATGCTCCCCATAAGGATTCACTTATTCCTGTATAAGTGACTGTAGGCAGAAAAACAGAATCTGAATGAACTTTTTTTTTCTTTAACTTGGAAAACCTTGAAAAGATAAGAGTGGTATATAGGGGCCAATTAAAATGAAAAGAACAAGGGAAAATGAGAGTAAGTCTCTCCTCTCCTCCCAATGAGGGTATTGTGTTCTGAACAATTCATGAATGGAATTTCAGAAACTCAGCAAAAGAATACATTTAACTGACTTATTCCAAATATATTCTGAATTTCATATTTACTAAAGTGTTTCCAAATGAACATTTTGTATGTTATGTGCAAAAACTGCACATTAAAAAGGAAAGGTAAGAGAGTTCATCATACAAGATTTTAGATGCATGCATACTTAAACTAACTTCCACATACTCCACAAATACTAAACTTAAAAAACAAAGCACCCTACATAATTTACCTTGCCATAGATGTGAAGTAATTGTTAAGCATACATAAATGTTAATAAAATACTTTGAATCAATGCTGAGGGGTGGTATCATTGAATGGTGGACCAAAACAAACTAAATGGCATTTTGATGTCTTTGGAAATGACATACCCACAAGCCAATGGCTCAGCACTGACATTTATATATCCTGCTCAGTTGTCTCAATCATTTATAGTAGTTTAATTTTTTTCAAGAACACAGATGTTAAGGTAAGTTTAATAATTTTGAAAGGCCATAGAGTATATCTATTTTTTGAAGTCATACTTTCATTGGAATTGTCTCTTTAACCTAATGAATAAATACAAAGAATGCACAGATAAAATAAGTTTTGTCTTCTTTTATTAGAGAAAAATGTACTGTTCCATGCCTGTGCTTTCTACAGTTTTGGAACGGATACAGATCCACAGAGGCCAAACCTAAAACTAAATTATCTTTAATGTTAAAATTTAACTGACCATGTATATAACTGTGCAATTGCTGCTTTCTCACAGAACTGTCTAGGGTTCATTCAACAGATCACAGTAACGAGGTCTGGCATTTAACAAACAAACTAATGATAGAGGAGATACACTAATTTATACGAGAATTAACTAAATACTGTCATGTGGTTTAGTGTAGCTCAAGTTATGCTTGTATCATATAACATAGGTTCAAGTTTTTTCATCAGCCATCAGAATAACAGTGGTTAAAGAGACATCTGAATAAGTGCCAACTCTTACTGCAGTTGTCTCAAAAAAAGAAATTTAAGTAATTGCAATATACATTTCTACAAATAAAATATTCCAGTGCTTACATCAATCCTGAGTTTTTAAGATTAAATATGCAGTACTTATGGTCTCCGACACAATTTTATTTTGGAACACGGTGATGTATTTTTTAAGTTGACTTTCTTCACCACTTTCTTCACCAAAAAGAGGGCTTTCATTATACTCTTCCAAGTCCTCAATACTCTAAAACAAAAAGTCTAGTTCACTGACAAACCATCACTTTACATCTCAGGTTTTAAACAGGGTAAATTAGATGTCAAAGGAAACAGCTTTTAATATTCAAAGGATGCTGGTTATTTATTTCAAATTTAAAAACTGTAATCAATACATGGAGCTCCAAATACTTAAATTTTTTAATTCCAGATTTCAGTGAAATATTATTATAGCAGGTCCAACAGTCATGTAGTTTGCTTGAATAAAATGGCTTGATGAACATGTTACAGACAAGATGGACCAAAGACAGAAAAAGACTGTCAGTCTTATATCATGGAATACCATATTTTTTCACCAGGTAGTGACCATTTGTTATCACTAATAGTCCACATAACGTGGTTTTCATTGAAGGGATAAAATGGTCTGTGATATGACCTAATCAAGTTGGGGAAAACATAACTACGTATGAAACATATACTAGTCCCTCAACAAATAGTTCAGCAGTTCATAGTCCCTAAAATGTTGTATGTTAATACTGAGGAAGACGTAAAAAATGAGTACACAATCTCTTCCGTATTCCTGTGACATGAGCAAATGCACGAATAAAAAAAAAAGTAATACAAAACTTGTGTTACTGCTATGGAAGAGCAACTCACTCGGACATGTAGCCAAAAATGGAGACTGATGTCGACTTAGTTGGCACAAGATTTCAATCAGTCAAAAAAAAAAAAAGAAAAAAGAAAAAGAAAGATTTTAAAAGCATTTGGAGGGAAGGGCATGAGCAAAGCATGGGAGTAACGGTGAGTTCCTTCAGGGAAGGCTGTCAATCTGGAGAGTTGGGAGGAAAGACAGAGGGTGGCAAAACAAGCCTAAGAGGGGGTCATGTAAAGGGGAGAGTCTCTGAATATCTAAGAACTGAGACATGGGCACCACTGACAGGCTGGGAAGAGGGAAGGGCTAGGAAGCATTTTAGAAAGGGGAGAGTGTTAGGAAGATAGTATTGCCCATCAGTGAAGGATGGCTCAGAAGAGAAGAGATAACTCAGAAAAGAGCTTAATAATACAAGCAAGGAAGAATGAGGTCTTGAACTAGGGCAGCCTCAGTAGGGATTTAAAGAAAGAAATTAAAGGACCATTACAGCGGTAAACGTGCCTCGCAATAACTGCATGGGAAGGATAATGGACTCAGAGGAGTCCAAGATGATACCAAAGTTTCTACCCTAAGGGGTAACATGTAGCATTAACATTGACAGGATAACTTTTCTAGTTTAATGTTCATACCAATTAATAAATAGTTTCTGAGGAACATTATAGCAACATGTTCTCTTCTCGTGACTTCTATGTAAATAACTGTTTGTGTACAGATCATCCTTAAGTTGCTTGAAAATTTTATTTTCAAACGCTTTTCCTAGTTTATTTAACACATCTCAGTTAGTGTAGAGGAGTGACATATGAGCATGTCTTTTCACAAGGTTATTAAAAAGAATACCTCCCAAAAGAAAATTACATTGTTTCCTAAATAATATACATCTACATGAAGAAGAGGTCATTGTCCAATAACGATTAGCTAATATGCTATATGACAGCAGATAATTCACAATTCACAAAGTGTTAATAATCTGCTGGCTTTCACATTCTGTTATACATCTGAACCATCTCTTATGATTACAAATTTTCATGTAAAACCATTACTAGTCACTAATAGTTTTGAAAGGGAATATGCCATAAAACACTCCTACATTCCAGCAGGAAATAAAAGAGATACTCAGTAGTCAACACTTGCCTACTTCCTATTTAACTAAAACTGTTTAAACAAGACAAGTAAAAAAGACATCCAGTAAGGATTTATGGACTTCCTGCATTCCACTAAAGATCTGTCGCTGATCTCCTAAAAACTGAATATGAAATCTTCATTAATGTATTCATAAAGTATCAATTTTATACACAAGATTTATATTTCCAGGTAAAATTTCCAATTTACCTTTTCCTGTTTTAAATAACTCCCACAAAACTATTCATGAATCCTAAAAATACACTTACCAATTATGTTAAATCTGGAACAATACAAAGTGAAAATGGTAAGTAATTTATAATGTATAACCAAAAGGTCTGTCCACTTGGAACCAACCCAAATGTCCACCAATGATAGACTGGATTAAGAAAATGTGGCATATATACACCATGGAATACCATGCAGCCAAAAAAAAGGATGAGTTCATGTCCTTTGTAGGGACATGGATGAAGCTGGAAACCATCATTCTCAGCAAACTATCGCAAGGACGAAAACCAAACACCGCATGTTCTCACTCATAGGTGGGAATTGAACAATGAGATCACATGGACACAGGAAGGGGAACATCACACTCTGGGGACTGTTGTGGGGTCGGGGGAGGGATAGCATTGGGAGATATACCTAATGTAAATGACGAGTTAACGGGTGCAGCACACTAACATGGCACATGTATACAATGTAACAAACCTGCACTTTGTGCATATATACCCTAGAACTTAAAGGATAATTAAAAAAAAAAAGAAACTCTCGGGGCCAACTGAATTTTATAAAAATGAATTTGTTGTTTGGTGAAAAAAGTAAAAACTATAAATCCTAGAAGTCAGTTAAAGGATACCTGTAAAGCTCTGTGGAACAAATATTAATAAAGTCAAACTGATCAAAAAAAAAGGTCTTTCCATACATTCAGAAACAAGCAGACTGTCTTCTATTTTTGTTCATGAGTTGTATTTTATAAGAACGTATTGTGTTACCAAATAGAACAGACCTTTGTGAATTGCTCATGTGGCGGCTCAATCTCTTTCAGTTCCTTTCCCATCTTGTTGCCGTCTCTTTTGTTGCTCTTGAAATATTCTCTAGAAGCACAAAACTAAAAAGTGATTAAAATCGGATAAATTTTAATACTTACAAAACATAATTCTGCATTAGCTTTAAATGGATACTCTTTAAATCAATACTTCTGAACACTATTAGACAACATTTATGACCAATTTTAAACAGTTGTGTTCACCACTCATATGCTAAAACAACATAATCTTTCTCATCAGTCATGGAGTAAAGAATATTCTTTCTTATATATATTCAACATGTATGTCCTAATTCTTGGTTTCAAATGAAGAGTATTTGATGACCCTTCCTACAATTTGTTGACCACAGATAGTTAATTTCTAATACAGATCTTTCTTACCTAAGAAACATTCTTTTTTACTAAGATTTTAAACACTTGGTCATTTCAGTATGCACATAGATGAACCTTCCAACAATGATTGCCTTTCTGCACCTTGACCTAATCTCCAACAACAGTGTTCTCCTCTCCTCTATGTGGCACTCACTCACACAGTCATCCCCTAGATTTTGTCATTCCCAATGGCTGCAACATCTCCCGTAATAATAATAATAGCAATGATAGCAACGATAAAGAGCAACCATGGGTGAGATCGCATCCTGAAAATTTTAAATAAACCCATTACATAAGAACCCTTTAATCCTTCAAACAACTCTGAGGTAGGTACTCTTACCATGTCTCCTTTCATAGATAAGGCAACTGAGGCACAGAGATAAATAATTTGCCCATATTTCCAAGCTAGCAATGGTCAAACTGGAGTTGGATCCCAAGCAATGTGGCTGCAGAGTCCCAGCCCCTGACCACTCCACTCAGCTATTTCTCCATCTTCCCAACATACACAGCCACTACCTCCCTGTCACTGTAGGTCACTCACTTCAGTACTACAGCTCAGGAATCTGTAGGGACCCAACACCCAATGGATGGAGCACTTTTCACTGCCCAATGCCCACCCCCATGTGCTCCGGTAACTCAGTCCCAGCTGAAATTCCACAGCCAGTCATCATAACCGCCCCCCCTCCACCAACATATATGCCCTGCCCAACTCTCCCTCTATCAATGTGCTCAGCTACACCCCAACCCAGGAAATTCCAACCCTAAAGTTACTCTTGCACAAATATGCCATCTGGGCTGACTTTAACTTCTTAATCCCTATGACACTGACCTCAGTTGGACCCCTAATGCTGCATGGCAATTATATTCCCCTAGTCCATGAGTCCACTAATGGGCCCCGCTCTCTGGGTTCATGCTCTCTTCCTTCTTTGCTGGATTTCTGCATGAACCATTACTACCTGAGACATTGATACAATAGGTTAATTGTAAAGCTAAGCCTGATACCAACAATTAGTTCTTCTCCTTCTTCTCTCTTCTTCATCTTTCTGCTCACCTGTGATGTATTCTTCAAGGGTATTCGGCTCCTTCTTCTTTCTTCTTCATCTTTCTGCTCACCTGTGATGTATTCTTCAAGGGCATTCAGCTCCTTCTTCTTTCTTCTTCATCTTTCTGCTCACCTGTGATTCAAGGACAGTCAGCAACTTCAGAGAACGTCCATAACTACATTTCTGCCTGTAACACATAATAAGTAACACGGTCATATGTCATAGAGAGATGAAAAATTAATCCTATTCAAACCAAAACTGACTTCACATAATTTATACTATAAAGTAGCAAGGGAGTAATGGCAGCTGAAATCTTCTTTTTGGGAAAAGGTGAAATGAGTTACTGTCATTCTGAAAGGATCCCTTCCTAACTGACTACTAGAGCAGCTATCTTACATTCTTTATGTGCTGAAAACAAAGGAGAGTTTACTGCACTATAAATTTCCCAGAAACAATAATTTTCTCTAACAGCAGTTTACTTTTCATTTCCTCAAACTAAATAACATGTGGGTTCTCATAAGTAGGTTCAAGAATATCATAGCCATTCATCCCGTAAGATTTCCCAAAAGAAATACTTCACTTAACTCTCTCTCCACTTTGGTACAACAATGATTTTCTAAAAGGAATAGTGAAAACAATTTAACTAAAATAGATAACCTATTTACGACATAAGGTTGTCCCTTTCTACATAACTTAATATTGTTAAGGATCTACAGACTAAACGTTGAAGACATTTATCTTATATGCAGCTGCCATATTTCTAGAAATGGATAAAAATTAATTTTACAGGAAGACTATTTTTATCTGGAAGGCAAAAAGAGGTCATCTTCATTGGCTTTCTAGATAATATACCTCAATTCTGTTAAACTTAGGTTATAAAACAAAGAAACTTACCTGCTTAAGGAACAATCAAGTAAACATATTGTTCACTACAGACACCAATATGTACAAGATAGTTTTTGAAATTATTTGCACCAATGAATACAAAGAAATGATAGAAATATCCTTATTCAAAAAAGCCAACAATCATGCATTTTTAGTTGTATTGTTCTCAAAATACGTTTAATTTTGTTGTTTGTTTCGTTGCAAGCTTTTGCAACGCTTTCAATCCTTTTTCTCTTTGCAGCAAGACCCTTTTTAATGTCAGCTAGACAGTAAATGAAAATGCATTAAAAATTAATGTTGAAAAGTAGTTTATTTGCAGATATTGAAATCAATATGGGACATGATGGTTCAGCAATATCAGAAGGATATTTAAAATGCAAAATGGAAAGATCGTTTCAAAAAAGTAAGATTTAATCCTTTTCTGTAAAACCTTTCAGGTATTAATAATAGTTTTCCAATTCCAATTGGTATAACAGCAAATCACTTAATTGACAGATGATGAAAAAAAGCAAATAATTAAAATAGTTTCTATTTTTTAAATGTGCAGAAAGGGTAACAAACACAGACTTTAATTTCTACATCATAAAATGTCCAACAGTTCAAACGACATGTTTCCATGAAATACTGTCACAACTCATTAAGTAAAGCACATAAAAGTAAGACCATCAAAAGGGTAGACATAACATAATACACAATAAAGTATTTTTAAGCAATCTAGTGATTGATGCTATTAACTGTATTTTAATAAAAGAAGCAATGTCCATGGGTATAAAAATTTAGGTTTAAGTAGATAAAGAAATACACTTAAAAACACGTTTGAAATATTTTCTGGGAGCTTTTTATATGACATTTTTATCCACAATGCTGTTTCTGAAAACTGTATTACTGCAAGGAATGCTTTCCTAAACATAGTTTCACATCAGAGATCCACCATCAATTGCTAAGAATAGTTTTCTGCAGTCATAAAAGATCTGCACCATAATACAAATATTTTTTACATACAGTATCCATCTATAGTGGTCGATGTATTAGGCAGCTCACAAAACCAGCACTTTGTCACCACCAAGCAGAGCAAAGCTTTCCAAATATACTGCTTATATGAATTATTGCTATAGAAGAACTGAAAACTAAAGTAAGCTTTTTAAAAATAAGAGTGTTGTCTCCATCGTCTCTACAGAAATTTTCTCAAACTTTTTTGAATAAATGGTCCTATAACAGTCAGTACAACTAATATTTCACATGGCAATATAAAGTTTATGAGTTTTTGGATCCAATTAATTACATGTTTCTCACTGGGTAGAAAAGTTGTCTTTACTTTTCTACTACACAGTTTATTACTGGAATAATAATAGAAAATAATCATTTTAGAGAATTCAATTTTTTCTCATACTTTAAAGAAAACAAAATCAGAAAGCTGTGACAATAGAATAGCTAAATTAGGAACATGAAAAACTCATATTAAAAATTCTGAGTACATATGGACAGGAAGAGGGGAACAACAGACAACTGGGCCTACTTAAGGGTGGAGGGTAGGAGGGGAGGGTGAGGATCGAAAACCACCCATCAGGTACTATGCTATAACCTAGGTAACAAAATACAAAATAACAAAATAACAAAAGTATCTGTATACCAAACCACTGTGACACGCAATTTATCTATATAACAAACCTGCACATGTAACCCCAAACCTAAAATAAAAGCTAAAAAAACTGATATGTGACTTAATGTGTGTACACTAAAAGGAACGAATAGAGCTGTTTCTCCTCCAGTGTCCTCTAATATCCCCCAAACATTAAATTTCCACGTGTATGAAAGAAAAGCCATCCCTCTCACTTGCCCATTATTAGAAGCATTCTCACATTCCACATCAACAATAAAAAAGGAAGTAATACAGATTTATCAAACAGACTATGTTAAATGCTATATATGAGAAGAAGGCATTTAAGACAGTCTTGTCCACTAATTCGTACAGCCTATTGTAACAGTTGTATGATTGAAAACAATTTTCATAAACTACAAATAGCTCCTAAAACATACCTGCAATATCTTCTAGCTTCTGGATATCAACCCTGTAAAAAAAAAGTTACATCAGGGAAATTTATAGCACTAAATGCACACAGGAGAAAGCAGGAAAGATCTAAAATCAATACCCTAACCTCACAATTAAAAGAACTGCAGAACCAAAGGCAAACAAATGCAAAAACTAGCAGAAGACAAGAAATAACTAAGATCAGAGCAGAACTGAAGGAGAAGGAGACATGAAAAACTCTTCAAAAAGCAATGAATCCAGGAGTTGGTTTTTTGAAAAGATTAACAAAATATATATTTAGGATAGTTAGCTCTTCTTGTTGAATTGATCCCTTTACCATTATGTAATGTCCTTCTTTGTCTCTTTTGATCTTTGTTGGTTTAAAGTCTGTTTTATCAGAGACTAGGATTGCAACACCTGCCTTTTTTTGTTTTCCATTGGCTTGGTAGATCTTCCTCCATCCTTTTATTTTGAGCCTATGTGTGTCTCTGCACATGAGATGGGTTTCCTGAATACAGCACACTGATGGGTCTTGACTCTTTATCCAATTTGCCAGTCTGTGTCTTTTAATTGGAGCATTTAGTCCATTTACATTTAAAGTTAATATTGTTATGTGTGAATTTGATCCTGTCATTATGATGTTAGCTGGTTATTTTGCTTGTTAGTCGATGCAGTTTCTTCCTAGTCTCGATGGTCTTTACATTTTGGCATGATTTTGCAGCGGCTGGTACCGGTTGTTCCTTTCCATGTTTAGTGCTTCCTTCAGGAGCTCTTGTAAGGCAGGCCTGGTGGTGACAAAATCTCTCAGCATTTGCTTGGCTGTAAAGTATTTTATTTCTCCTTCACTTATGAAGCTTAGTTTGGCTGGATATGCAATTCTGGGTTGAAAATTCTTTTCTTTAAGAATGTTGAATATTGGCCCCCACTCTCTTCTGGCTTGTAGGGTTTCTGCCGAGAGATCCGCTGTTAGTCTGATGGGCTTCCCTTTGAGGGTAACCCGACCTTTCTTTCTGGCTGCCTTTAACATTTTTTCCTTCATTTCAACTTTGGTGAATCTGACAATTATGTGTCTTGGAGTTGCTCTTCTCGAGGAGTATCTTTGTGGTGTAAAACAGCATGGTACTGGTACCAAAACAGAGATATAGACCAATGGAACAGAACAGAGCCCTCAGAAATAAGGCCGCATATCTACAACTATCTGATCTTTGACAAACCTGAGAAAAACAAGCAATGGGGAAAGGCTTCCCTATTTAATAAATGGTGCTGGGAAAACTGGCTAGCCATATGTAGAAAGCTGAAACTGGATCCCTTCCTTACACCTTATACAAAAATCAATTCAAGATGGATTAAAGACTTAAACGTTAGACCTAAAACCATAAAAACCCTAGAAGAAAACCTAGGCAGTACCATTCAGGACATAGGCATGGGCAAGGACTTCATGTCTAAAACACCAAAAGCAATGGCAACAAAAGCCAAAATTGACAAATGGGATCTAATTAAACTAAAGAGCTTCTGCACAGCAAAAGAAACTACCATCAGAGTGAACAGGCAACCTACAACATGGGAGAAAATTTTCGCAACCTACTCATCTGACAAAGGGCTAATATCCGGAATCTACAATGAACTCAAACAAATTTACAAGAAAAAAACAAACAACCCCATCAAAAAGTGGGCGAAGGACATGAACAGACACTTCTCAAAAGAAGACATTTATGCAGCCAAAAAACACATGAAAAAATGCTCACCATCACTGGCCATCAGAGAAATGCAAATCAAAACCACAATGAGATACCATCTCACACCAGTTAGAATGGCAATCATTCAAAAGTCAGGAAACAACAGGTGCTGGAGAGGATGTGGAGAAATAGGAACACTTTTACACTGTTGGTGGGACTGTAAACTAGTTCAACCATTGTGGAAGTCAGTGTGGCGATTCCTCAGGGATCTAGAACTAGAAGTACCATTTGACCCAGCCATCCCATTACTGGGTATATACCCAAAGGACTATAAATCATGCTGTTATAAAGACACATGCACACGTATGTTTATTGTGGCATTATTCACAATAGCAAAGACTTGGAACCAACCCAAATGTCCAACAATGATAGACTGGATTAAGAAAATGTGGTACATATACACCATGGAATACTATGCAGCCATAAAAAATGATGAGTTCATGTCCTTTGTAGGGACATGGATGAAATTGGAAATCATCATTCTCAGTAAACTATCACAAGAACAAAAAACCAAACACCGCATATTCTCACTCATAGGTGGGAATTGAACAATGAGATCACATGGACACAGGAAGGGGAATATCACACTCTGGGGACTGTTGTGGGGTGGGGGGAGGGGGGAGGGATAGCAATGGGAGATATACCTAATGCTAGACGACGAGTTAGTGGGTGCAGCGCACCAGCATGGCACATGTATACATATGTAACTAACCTGCACAATGTGCACATGTACCCTAAAACTTAAAGTATAATAAAAAAAAAAACAAAATAGACTGCTAGCCAGACTATTAAACAAGAAAAGAGACAAGAATCAAATAGACACAATAAAAAATGATCAAGGGGATATCACTACTGATGCCACAGAAATACAAACTGCTATCAGAGAATACTATAAACACCTCCACACAAATAAATTAGAAAATCTAGAAGAAATGGATAAATTCCTGGACACATACACCCTCCCAAGACTAAACTAGGAAGAAGTCTAATCCCTGAATAGACCAATAACAAGTTCTGAATTTGAGGCAGTAATTAATAGCCTACCAACCAAAAAAATCCCAGGATCAGGCGGATTCACATCTGAATTCTACCAGAGGTACAAAGAGGAGCTGGTACCATTCCTTCTGAAACTATTCCGAACAACAGAAAAAAAGAGACTCCTCCCTAACTCATTTTATGAGTACAGCATCATCCTGATACCAAAACCTGGCAGAGACACAAGAAAAAAAGAAAATTTCAGGCCAATATCCCTGATTAACATTAATGTGAAGGAAATAAGAGAGGACACAAATGGAAAAACATTCCATGCTCATGGTTACGAAGAATCAATATTGTGAAAATGGCCATACTGCCCAAAGTAATTTACAGATTCAATGCTATCCCCATCAAGCTACCATTGACTTTCTTCACGGAATTAGAAAAAACTACTTTGAATTTCATATGGAACCATAAAAGAGCCTGTATAGCCAAGATAATCCTAAGCAAAAAGAAAAAAGCTGGAGGCATCACGCTACCTGACTTCAAACTATATTACAAGGCTACAGTAACCAAAACAGCATGGTACTAGTACCAAAACAGATATATAGACCAATAGAACAGAACAGAGGCCTCAGAACAATGCCACACATGTACAACCATCTGATCTTTGACAAACCTGATAAAAACAAGCAACGGGGAAAAGATTCCCCATTTAATAAATGGTGTTGGGGAAACTGGCTAGCCATATGCAGAAAACTGAAACTGGATGCCTTCCTTACACCTTGTACAAAAATTAACTCAAGATGACCTAAAGACTTAAACGTAAGACCTAAAACCTTAAAAACCCTAGAAGAAAACCTAGGCAATACCATTCAGGACATAGGCATGGGCAAAGACTTCATGACTAAAACACCAAAAGCAATGGCAACAAAAGCCATAATTGACCACTGGGATCTAATTAAACTAAAGAGCTTCTGCACAGCAAAATAAACTATCATCAGAGTGAACAGGTAACCTACAGAATGGGAGAAAATTTTTGCAATCTATCCATCTAACAAAAGGCTAATATCCAGAATCTACAAGGAACTGAAACAAATTTACATGAAAAATGACAACCCCATCAAAAAGTGAGTGAAGGTTATGAACAGACACTTCTGAAAAGAAGAAATTTATGCAGCCAACAAACATATGAAAAAAAGCTTGTCATTGCTGGTCATTAGAGAAATGCAAATCAAAACCACAATGAGATACCATTTCATGCCAGTTAGAATACTGATCATTAAAAAGTCAGGAAACAACAGATGCTGGAGAGGATGTGGAGAAATAGGAATGCTTTTACACTGTTGGTGGAAGTGTAAATTAGTTCAACCATTGTGGAAGACAGTGTGGTGATTCCTCAAGGATCCAGAATCAGAATACCGTTTGACCCAGCAATCCCATTACTGGATATATACCCAAAGGATTATAAATCATTTTACTATAAAGACACATGCACACATATGTTTATTGCAGCACTATTCACAATAGCAAAGACTTGCAACCAACCCAAATGCCCATCAATGATAGACTGGATAAAGAAAATGTGGCATATATACATCATGGAATACTATGCAGCCATTAAAAAGGTTGAGTTCATGTCCTTTGCAGGGACATGGATGAAGCTGGAAACCATCATTCTCAGCAAACTAACACAGGAAGAGAAAACCAAACACTGCATGTTCTCACTCATAAGTGGGAGTTGAACAACGAGAGCACATGGACACAGGGAGGGGAACATAACACACTGGGGCCTGTCGGGGGTGGAGGGCTAGGGGAGGGATAGCATTAGGAGAAATACCTAATGTAGATGATGGGTTGATGGGTGCAGCAAACCACCATGACACATGTATACCTATGTAACAAACCTGCACGTTCTGCACATGTATCCCATATAACTTAAAGTATAATAAAAAAAGAAAAAAGTTACATCAAAATTTTAACATAATGCTACACAAAATGCCATGTTTGTTTAAGAAGAAGAAATGTCTTATGTGAAATGGTGAAATGTTCTGCATAGAACAGTGATTATATGATCCAAAGCTGACTTCTCTGCCTCCCAGATTCAAGCAATTCTCATGCCTCAGCCTCCTGAATAGTTGGGATTACAGGCACATGCCACCACGCCTGGCTAATATTTGTATTTTTGGTGAGACAGGGTTTCACCATTTTCGCCAGGCTGGTCTCAAACTCCTGACCTCAAGTGATTTACCCACCTCGGCCTCCCAGAATGCTAGGATTACAGGCGTGAGCCACCATGCTTGGCTCCAAAGCTGATTTTTCTTAGAAGACGTTATCTGACAGGCAAAACTGACTTAAACACTTTACCCCTTGTCTTCCGCATCGATTTCAGCAAAATGGTCTCTTTTCCGCTGCTTATCAATTGCTGGAGTCTTTCCTGCATTAAAATAAAAAAGACACACCTTTTTTTTTTTTTTAAGAGGAAGACGCTGTTGTGGACATTTTTTTGTGGAGAAATGTACTATTTGTGGACCCTTTTGGCTCTCTGCCCATTAAAGCTTTAAAGCAGCGCTATACATGGAATCACTGGGACCCTGACCATTTTACAGAGGCATTTTTGCAAGCTCTTTGCGGTTTAAGTCCCAGTAAACAAGGCACTACGTGTCAGATCCCTTGGACGTCAGGACCGCATCCATCGAGAAGAGCTGCTCTAAGAGTATCTGTAACCCTGGTATGAGGGAGAACCTCCCATGGGAAACCTAAGGCTCTTGAGCCTGCTTTGAAAAGCTTGGGCATCTTAGCACGTGCAAGGTGAACTCCAAAGCAACATAGGGGCTGGGGGCCTCGGGCTGACTGTCTGCTGCCTGTGTGCCCCCCGCGCAGAGAGCAGACAAACCGTCCCCTTGGGCGTGCACCTTCTTCCGGCTCCCCTGGACTGTTTTTAACTCCATGCTCCATTTCCTGGTTGGCCGTAACCTGAGCCTCCACTGGGTGAGGCCTTCGCAGGCTTCTCCATGAGCTTCCTGCCCACGGGCTCCATGGCTGGTTGTCCTCGGATGTTAGAGGTGACTCCTGAACCTTGTGAGTGCAAAGATACAGTAAGGAAACAGGGTGTGTGAAAGGAGAGCTATCGGGATGGTGGGTTCAAGAAGCGTGGGGCTGGCCCGCCCCGAGTCTCCTGTGGGAGCAGGAGGGATCGCGGAGAATATGTCAGCATCCCCTCCTGTCCTGGCCTGTACAGCCTGTCCCTGGGGCTGGCCGCAGAGCTCGCAGCTGCCGCGCACACCTGAACTCCGCGGCCTCTGGGGGATCCTCGCGGAGCCATTGAGACAGAGCTCGGCCCTGCTCCTGGGTCCCCCAGCGACCCCGTGTGGCCGGAAGAGCTGTGGGATGACAGAGGATCTCCCCAGCTATCTCAGTGGGAGTCACCCGGTGTGCACCTGTTTCGGACAATCAAGGGTGGGCACTGCTACTCGCCCGCCTGGATGCCCAGGGGACCTCCGGTGACCCCAAGTGTCCTGTCCTGCTGGGCAGCCAGGCAGGAGGGACCCACACCGACTCCCCAACCCCTGCACATATGCACAGGCCCCTGGGGCTGCTCCTGGGCCCTGGGAACCACCTGGGCAGCTCCAGCTCTCAGCCCTGGCCCACCCCGGCCTGCCCTCAGGGCCTTGCCCTGATTCAGGCCCCAGACAACGACACTGGGGCCATTTCCTCACAGGTCAGCCTGGGGCAGCCCGGTGCTTCACACGGTCATCCCCAAAGGGCCTCATGCCGGCTTTCCCCGCCTCCCCACCATGGGCACAACACCTGAGGGACCCCCCACATTGCTCCCTCAGTGGACCTGCAGACGCTGGCACCACAAGGCTCCTCTGAGGGCCTGGGTCCTCGGTTCTCTTGAGAGCAGCCAGCCTGCCTGCCCGCACTCCTCGCTGATTGGTCGACTCAGTGCACATGTGGGTGGTGGGCCGCTGGGGCCACGCCCCCTGCAGGCATGCCCTCCCCCTCAGGGACCACCCATGGTAGCTGTGGACTCAGGGAGAGGGTGGCTTTCTGAGGTCTCTGTCCCCACGATATTCCAGCTCCTCATCCTGGCAAAGGAAGCAAGGACCCAGGAGTGGGGAGTGCCAGGGGACCCTGCCCTAAGGAATGGAGGCCAAGTGAACGGGGCCTAGGACCTTGCCCCCAGGCTCGTTCCAGCCACCCCTACCCCTTTGGATGCAATGGCCATCACCCTGAGGGTGGAGCCCAGGCTCCCTCCCATGCCCTGTGTGCTTCCAACATGCCCAACTGCATTCTTTTTATCAATGGATTGTGCTTTTATGTTTTATCTAACAAAATTGAAGTTGCCTTTGGAGGGTAAAAATATATATATGTATGTGCACACACACACGTGTGTGTGTGTGTGTGTGTGTGTGTGCTTAAGCAAAGGTTTTCCTTTTATATTCATAGATTACATTGCAGAGGTATAATGGCATACTTTTTATATTCATAGATATTTTATATCCTTTTATATTCCTTTGTATTTCCTTTTATATTCATAGATAAATTGCAGAGGTATAATGGCATAAAATGGGCATATTTAAGCCTTTGGGTACTTCAGTTAGAGAATATTCCTAAGGCAAGAATTAAGATGTATTCATGCATCATTTCTCTTTATAATTCTGTTGTCAAGTATTATAGAAATGTTTGTCGGTTTCATTTTTATCACCAGGAATGATTTTAACCAAAAGCTTTCAAAAACCCTTTAATTTTGACCCAGCAAAATCAAACATTTATTCATGTATTTATTTATATAAGTTTAAGGGCTACGAGGGCAATTTTGGTACATGGATCTATTGTGTAGTGGTGAAGTCTGGGCTTTTAGTGTTCCCATCACCTGAATAATGTACATTGTATCCTTTAAGTAATTTCTCAACACTCTCCCACCCTTCTGAGTTTCCAGTGTCTATCTTTCCACTCTCTATGTTCCTGTGTACACATTGCTCCGTTCCCTTATAAGTGAGAACATGCAATATTTGTCTGTGTTTTACTTGTTTCACTTAAAATAATGGTCTATAGTTCCATTCGTGGTGCTGCAAAAGACATGATTTCATTCTTTTTCATAGCTGAATACTATTCCATTTTACATATAAACCACATTTTCTTTATCCAGTTATCCGTTGTTGGGCACCTGAGTGTTGATTCCATATCTTTGCTATTGTGAGTGGTGCTGTGATAAACATATGAGTTCTGGTGTCTTCTTGATGTAATGATTTATTTTCCTTTGGGTAGATACCCAGTGGTGGGATTGGTGGATTGAATAGAGTGACATATGCTGGGGAGAAACATTTAGTCTATAGCAGGGAGTCAACAATTTTCTTAGATAAAACATAAAAGCACAATCCATTGATAAAAAGGATGCAGCTGGGCGTGTTGGAAGCACACAGGGCATGGGAGGGAGCCTGGGCCCCACCCACGGGGTGATGGCCATTGCACCCAAAGGGGCAAGGGTGGCTGGAACGAGCCCGGGGGTGAGGTCCTAGGGCCCATCCACTTGGCCTTCATTCCTCAGGACAGGATTCCGAGCACTCCCCATTCCCGGCTCCTTGCTTCCTTTGCCAGGATGAGGAGCTGGAATATTGTGGGAACAGAGGCCTCAGAGAGCCACCCTTGCCCCCTAGGTCCTCAGCTACCATGGGCATGCCTGCAGGGGGCGTGGCCCCACACGGCCCCACTACCTGCATGCACACTGAGCCGACCAATCAGCGAGGAGCACGGGCAGGCGGGCTGGCTGCTCTTGCAAGAACCCGGGACTCAGGCCCTCAGAGGAGCCTCGTGGTGTCGGCATCTACAGGTCCTATATATATTTTTTTATTTAATCTTTATTTTATATATATATATTTTCTCAAAGTATGTAATTTTGTGGCTGAATTTAATTTTATCTTTGTGCATAGAAATCTATAGACAATCATAATGCAGGGACACTTTATTAGCATGACCTAACCTTTGAAATCTTGTCTAGGTGAGTCACGAATTTAGTTCATTATCAGTCAGTTCTCTCCTAGCTGGGAAACGTTCATGCAGACACACATGGAACTCAATTAGACTGGGTCAGTGTGATATCTGCAGGGGCTCTAGTGATGTGTGAAACACACAGGGAGACGGAGATCTAATTTTATGATCTTCACTGTCAATAGGAGAGAAGAAAAGGACTTCTGAATAACATCACCGTCAACTGCCTCACAAAATCTCTGAAAGCAGTGCTCTAGGAGTTACAGTGATTGCATCAGGAGCTGCAGTTTTGGGGGCAATTGAGAAGGAACTCCTTTCTCTGTATAGGCTGCAGAGTTCCTGAAACTTCTCCCCAATTAGAAACATAGAAAATTATTAGCCTTACTTACCAGTGCCATATGACCTGGGACTACTCAGAGGAAAGGGCTGATTAGTTAAAGAAAATATGTCTAGAAAGAAACCAAAGAACATTACTCCCAAAAGGCACCTTCAGGAATCCAACTATAACATTTTTGGGTAGATTAATATATAATACATATATAGTCTAATATTCTAATAATATAGTAAAACGGATGAGGTTTAGAACAAATTAGGAGACACATTCTGTGTCAGATGCCAACTGCATCTGCAATTTTGGGCAAGGTAATTAACTACCTGGAGTTTCTGCTAAATTGAGGTTGGCAGGGGCACTGGGTTGATTAATTTGATCTTGAAAGTGCCATGAGGTCATGGACTATCTTCTTATCTTTATTAGGGAGCTATTTCTTACATTTATAAGACTCCTTTACTAAGTTAAAGGTGTTTTCCTTCCTCTACCATATACAATTTTTAAAAACTGTTCCCAGCTGGGCGAGGTGGCGCACACCTGTAATCCCAGCACTTTGGGAGGCCAAGGTGGGTGGATCACGGGTCAGGAGTTCGAGATCAGCCTGGCCAATATGGTGAAACCTGCTATCTACTAAAAATACAAAAATTAGCCAGGTGTGGTGGCGGGTGCCTGTAGTTCCAGCTACTCGTGAGGCTGAGGCAGAAGAATAGCTTGAACCCAGGAGGCAGAGGTTGCAGTGAGCTGAGATTGCGCCACTGCACTCCAGCCTGGGCGACAGAGAGAGATTCTGTCTCAAAACAACAACAACAACAAAACTGTTCTCATAGGCCAGGCGCAGTGGCCCACGCCTGTAATCCCAGCACTTTGGGAGGCCAAGGAGGGCGGATCACGAGGTCAGGAGATTGAGAACATCCTGGCTAATACGGTGAAACCCCGTCTCTACTAAAAATACAAAAAATTAGCCAGGCGGGCTAATTAGTGTGGCGGGCGCCTGTAGTCACAGCTACTCGGGAGGCTGAGGCAGGAGAATGGCGTGAACCCAGGAGGCGGAGCTTGCAGTGAGCCGAGATCGCGCCAGTGCACTCCAGCCTGGGCGACAGAGGAAACTCCATCTCAAAAAAAAAAAAAAAAAACAGCAGTTCTCGTAATTTATCTCTATTTCTGTTTTGTATTTGAATGAATGACACTTAATTCATCGAGATTTTTTAAAGAGCATTGCAGAACTCTCATAAGATGAGGCTGGTTGTATCATTTATAAAATATTTACAGCATCTCAGAGAGCTCTGAATAATAAATGACTTCCATTCAAATAATAGACTTTTAACATTTTCAAACTCGGCTTTTCAGTAGATATCAACACTCTCAATCTCATTCCATTTGTGAGTCTACTTTAAAATACCTTTAATCAAATGTGTAACTTAATAGTTCTATTGATAGAAATATAATTTTTCTCTATATGTTTTGTTTTGTTTTTCATAATAATAGTAGCAAAAGATACAAACCAAAATCAATTTTCTAGATTAATGTTGGAATCTCCTGGTTTCACTTTTGAGAAACCACTCCTAGTCTAAAATGCATTATTACATTGTTTGTAATGATATTTAAAAGCTGGAGGAACATAAACTCCGCAATAACTGCTTCATTTTTAAATTTGACCCATCTTCGGTTTGTGGAACGTGTCTGAAATTGCACAGCTGTTTTTATTTATAGTCTAACTGGGGAATTTCACTTGTGAAAGATGCTGTAACAAAATAAATGTCCCTGTGTCCGTTGCATTCTGTGGCATTCTAAGCCAACAAAATGTCAAGAAATACCATTCAAATCCTTTCAGCTACAATGAGGCTGAATTATCATTCTTTTCAAGTTCTTGTTTTTGAGGGACTGTTATAGCAGAAATTCACATGCAAAAGAATTGCTTTAATTTATGTACCATGCTACTATTTTTAACTTAGAAAAAAAAGTCAGACTCCTCTTTGGACCTCAATACTGACAACTTTCATCAGTAATAATAGGCTGTACTGTTATTCTGTACTACCTTTATTCAGCAGGAATAACAGGCTGTACTGATGGATGTACTACAGTGATGCAAGGACTCCAGTAAACTGGCAGGCAGTGAAGAGGTATGCTTCAGGAGTGTCACAAAAGTGGTGATGACTTTGCAGAGAACAGAGCCACCCGTTTATCGGCCTGCCTCTGCTTAATGCATGTTGCTCAAATGCCTCTATGAAAATACTGCCCCAAATACAAAACTATACTATTGGACTGCCCTTCCTTTATAACTTTGAGGGATGGTCATTGCCACTTGCTAATTGCCAAGCTCTCTTACAAAGTACATATTCAATTTATTTCCCTGCCTGCAACTGTATGATGTATAGTTGTTTCCAAGAAATGATGACTAAGAGGTACTGAGAGATTTTTGTCATTTTTTCTTCAAAAAAAGTCAACTGGTTTCCTGCTCATTCTTTCCATTTAAGTTGGCCATAGAAATCCCAGTGGTGACCCTCAGGTTGTCAAAGGCCTTTCTTCTTGTTGCTGTGAGGTTGGCCTGCTGATAGTAACAGATACACCCCACTCACAATTATTTCAGGATCAAGTAGATCCATTGGCCATGGAGTGATGGTCTTTTCAAGTAAGGCTATTTTGAGAGGTAATAAAATATTCATACACTTAATTTTTCTTTTGTACTTGCTTGTTTTAAAATACAGTTCTGTACATAAATATTTTTGACAAGATGAGCAATAGATCTATTTTTTCACATTATAAAACAAAATTATTATAAAGATAAGTCAAAAATGACTAAGTAGAACATTCTATTTGGTTATTAATTTTCACTGGACTTTCAAAACACTTTTCTGTATAACATATTCATATATTTTGAATTCAGCAGTGCAGTCAGATGTTTCATGTAAGTGGCTGGGCACAGTGGCTCACACCTGTAATCCCAGCCATTTGGGAGGCTGAGACAGGCAGATCATTTGAGGCCAGGAGTTTGAGACCAGCCTGGCCAACATGGCGAAACCCCATCTCTCCCAAAAACGCAGAAAAAATTAGCCAGGCATGGTGGCACACATCTGTAATCCCAGATACTCGGGTGGCTGAGGCACAAGAATCACTTGAACCCAGGAGGCAGAGGTTGCAGTGAGCCTCGATTACGCCGCTGCACTCCAGCCTGGGCAACAGAGTGAGACTCTGTCTCAAATAAAATAAAATATGTAAGTGTAACATGTAAGAGTAAACATAATCTTACGTAGTGATTATCTGAATTATTTTTTCTTTACTTTTATTCTACATGGGTATTATAAAGAGTTGTGTGTTCATAATAAAGGCTCCCTTTTCTACATAGTTGGTCTTCCCTTCTTCCCTCAACATTTTAAAAAAATTCTACAGAATTTACACAATCAACATTCTTCCTTTTAAGCTACATTATTAATTTCTCCCCAAAAGAATTACAGTTTTTCAGCAGCTGGGAAATGGAACCAAATGATGTTTAATTCTCCCAGCAGTGAGGTGAGGAAACATGCACAGAGCATTGCTGCCCAGGGAGCTCCCCCAACCCTGGCATCCAGTATGGTTTTGGGGCGTGTAGTCATGGCAGACTGTCTGCATGACTGAACTCAGTTGCCAGCCCCTCCAGAGGTCAAGACTGATACAGGTGGCCCAAAGCTTCCACTATAAATCACATTGTTAGCATTAACTATCTAGCATAACTCAAAGCTCCAGGTAAACAAAGACATTATTATCAGGCAGGATATTCCAAGGGCTTAGAGGTTATCTCCTGGAAGGCTGTCAAAGAGCAGATGTTCTTTGGAAAGTGCAGGGTTTGGACAACACAGATCTGCTGAGCTAACCTACTACTGCACTCTTATTCAGCTCTTATTCTGAATTCTCTCTCTCTCTTCCTAAAATGTGCAGATCCTTACGGATGGATGGGAAAATCTGGGAAACACAGCACTCACTGTAAACACACCATGCCTAGAATTTGGCTCCTCTTCAACAACCCGGGCTTTTGAACTGGGTCGAAGTCACTATGCCAGGATGACATTTTTTTACGTTAGAATGAATTCCCCCCTGGTGGCTCCTCATCCTCCAGGTATACAAGGCTCCTGGATGACCCATGGCCTCCACGGGGCACACCACAGTCTGAATCACAGCTGATTTTCTGGATTGCCCTTGGACTCAGCAGGATGATTCCACATCTTCCAAATTCTAGATATCCTGATATCGCAATATTTTTTATCCCTGTTTCTTAATGAAAGGGTAAATGGAGGTAGAGGTGTTTCTCAACAACCTGCAACAACACATGTTTCTTTCAATTATTCAGTACTTAATTGGAAATCAAAGCCCCTTTCTAATGTATCGATAACATTGGGAATTGATGACTATTGTGTAGTTGTACTTAATCTACACCATGCTAATTCCTAACATGGGCTATGGAGGCAGCAGAGCGGCAGGTGACAACATATGCACTTCTCTCCCTCTCTGCCCAAAGCTCCTGGTAACTGTCAAATGAGCAGAGGACGGGGAGACAATAGGAATATTTTAAAACTGTGGTTTTCAGGTTGGGAATATATTAATATCATACAACCTAATTATTTCCTTACTTTGTCTATATTGTTGTATATTACCCAAGCTTCAGAGCTGTCAGAGCAAACCTCAAAGATGAGGAGCCAGCTGGCAGGTAAAAAGCAAAACAAAAACAGCCCGTTGCTCAATGACTAGGATTTTTAGTTCAATTACATTTCCTTGCCATCTAAATAGCCAGATGCAATGACCCATAGATAGAGCCAGTGTAGAACAGATGCAGTGACCCATAGATAGAGCCAGTGTAGAACCTAACATAATAATGTCTAAAGGGGTTAGTAATTGTTCTACTCAATTTGTTTCAGCCATTCTATTGGAATTCCTATTAATTGGAATTGATGGTAAGTATATGGAATGTCATGTAGTGAAACAAACAAACAATTTAGAGCACACCAAGTTTCATGGACAACAAATAACAAATCACTTTTTAAAAATCAATACCAACCAGGCCAGGTGTGATGACTCACACCTGTAATCCTAACACTTTGGAGGCTGAGGTGGGAGGATTGCTTGAGGCCAGGAGTTCAAGACCAACCTGGCCAACATAGTGAGACCCCCATATCTAAAAAAAAAAAGAAGAAGAAAAAAATGAATAACAACGAGTACAGTGAGATCAAAGAACACTAGCTACCATCTACCCTTGGTTTAATACTCTTGAGAAGGCTGGCATATGTGGAGTCTCTCCAGGAAGACATTTGAGGCAGAAAACCAGAATAGGGGCAGGAAATGTATTATTTCATCATCTGAAATGGGGACTTTATTAACTCTCCTGAGTATAAAGTCAAGAAAGAAGGTATTTTTCAGGACTGTTTAATTAAATGTCATTCTGTTTATCAAAACAGAGAAACCTGGCAGGCATTTCTAACCATATGGGATTTTTGGAAATACATGAGAAACATGTGATTACGTGTTTAGCTGAATATTATTTAAAATGTATGCAAAATCCTGAGAGGGCTTTTGAACTAAGTTCCTAAAATCATCCTCTGATGCATCCTATTTGATATGCTGCTGTGTGCCTAAAATTATTCCAGTAGAAATAAAGCAGAGCCTCAATAAAACCAGCCCCTTTTAATGAGCTGCTTCTTGTAATTATAATTATCCATAATCATTTATTTTGACTGTAAGTAATATAACAAGGCAAAACCTATAATTTTCTAAAGTAATATAATCAATATAAAAACAAAGGTGTTTCATACTACTAACGGAAGATAAATGTATCCTGCAAGCTGAATGTTGGCAGATCAGCTTGTGCTCTTCTAAATCATCTAAATATCATCAGTGCCTTTGATTACAGCCTCGTGCCCAGTGCTTTAAAAATCAAAGTTTGCTTTTAAGAAATGTAATTTAAAAACTGCTGATCATCTAAATCTTGGGAGGTCAAGGGCACTCTTATTTCCTTTATACTTACAAGTTTAATTTGATGTTTTCCAAAATAGACTTGGGTATAAATTTCACATCAATATGCTAAGCAGAGCCCCATGCAGAATATTTCTGAGTGGGATTTATTGAATATAAGGTTATTTTTATGACTGGGACATTACAGTTGCAATCATCAATGAATAAAAAATAAATTTAAACAACTGTCTCTAGCATCAAGTTGAAACTCAAGTCTCAATAGAGCAAGTTTCAGGAAGAGGTGGGATTTCAGGTAACATGGAGAACAGCAGCTCAGATCCTTTTCTTAAAGGACGATTCCCCCTTGACATGAAGCCAGCAACTCACTCTGCATGCAGAACATGCAACACATTTCCATGCCGGGGAGAGAAGCATGTGACGTCATTCATTCACTCATTCAGTCATTAGTCATTCCCTTATTCGTCTATCTAATAGCTGTCAATACTCCTAGTATGTGTTGGGCATTGTACTACATGCTAAATATATAGAATCTCTTTTCTAAACTCAAAAAGTTATAAGTAGATGGTAGTAGTGGTCAGGGTAAAATACATTTGTGAAAGGAAGAAATTACAGTGACAAGTCCTATAATAGATGGCAAGTGATGTAGGATCCATAAGGAAGAAGGACAAATTATTTATAGTATAGATAGGGAAGACTTTACAACAGGAGAAATTATCTGAGATTAGTTTGGAAGGATAAGAACAAAAAGGTACTCCAGTAGAAAATTGGGACAAAAAGTAGAAAAATGGGGCACTTTAGTCTGGGAGTCATAAAAGGTGGGGTATACTTGGAAAGAATAAACTTTTTGTAGAACTATAAGAGATTTCAGGGTCTGTGTGAGTTATAGTTTCAGGAGATTAAGTTGAAGATATTTGGGTACAATATATTGAGGTATATCATAAGCCAAGAGAGAATATAGGTTTTATTTTTGCAGGTCAGTTGTTCTCAACTGGGGGCAACTTTGTGCCCCCTCCCTGGGATATTTGGCAAGGTCTATATTTTGCTGTTACAACTGGAGAAGGGGGCAGGCTACTGGCATCTGGTAGGTGGAGACCAGGGATCCACTAAGCATCCTACACTGTACAGGACAGTCCCCACGGCAAAGACTCTGCCCCAAATGTTGACAGTGCTAGGGTGAGCAACCTTGCTCTAGATAATGGAGAGTAACTGAAAGATTTTACATATGGGAAAGAAGTAAAGAGGTACTTTCTAGGAAGGTGATGCAACACCTCCTAGGAGGTTTGCCACATCACGGTGGTCATCAAAACACTGGGTGTCAATAAGAGAAAAAATATTCGCCTGCAGGGAGAAAGATCAACTAACTTCTTGAGCATCTACTCTGTGCTGGACATTCAACGTATTATACCAATCTCCCCATGATATTGGCAACTGCTACTTTCTGCAGCAATGGGGACTACCAGATGAAACAGGATGAGACTAGAGGCTGGGAGACCATTATAGATCAATGTTCACTCTCACATGGAAACAGTGGAGGTCTGGACTGTAGCAGTGTCCATGGAGATGGAGATGTGAGAGCAAAGAGGAAGGTCAAATCAAAAGGAGTTTTTTACCAATTAAATGTGAGAAGGGTTTAACCACCAAATGGAAGGTTTACAGAACGACTTTGAGGTGGCTGGTTCAGAAGACTAAGTAGGTAGCTGGAGAGACTGCAAAAGGAAGTCTCAGAGGACAGGTACAGGGCTACCCATACTTGTGACCTTTGGGGTGCCCATGGGAGGTTCAGATGTAGATGCCTGGTAAGCAAAGGGAAAAATAAGTCTCCAGTTGTAAAGAGACCTCAAACAGATATGTGTTTAAGAGTTTGCAACATCACAATGGTCATCAAAACACTGGGTGTCATTAAGAGAACAATATTTGCCTGCAGGGAGAAAGATCAACTAATTTATTGAGCATCTACTCTGTGCTGGACAGTCATTATGTTATCGTCTCAGTCTCCCCATGATATTGGCAAGGAGACTGAATGCAGACAGGCCCAGGGAGGTGCTCAAAGTCAGGCAGCCAGTCAGAGGCAGAGCCAAGCTTGGAATAGTGTCTCACCAAAACCAATCCCCATCCATTCATTCTTTCAAGATTATTTATAAAGTGAATTGCTGCGTGGAGAAGAGAAGCCACAGAACAGGTTGAGAAAGAAGACCCTGAGATAGGAAAAGAAAAAGTGAATGATATCATCAAGTCCAAAGGAAGGAAGAGCTTCAAGTAATAGTTTCAGTTCTCAATTGTAAAAAGATTCAGAGTCAGACCAGAGGATGCTTCTGCCATAAATTGCTATCCAAATGATATCAAGTCATGCACACACACACAGAGTTTATATCAGAGTTAGAATGTGTACACTGCATTAGACACTGAGCATCATCAGGGTCTTGCTGGAGGGCAAGGAGCAAAAAACAGACCATAATTGGTAGAAAAGTACTTAGAGTTTGAGGAAGTAGAGCCAGGAAGAACAGAAGGAAGGTAGGGTGGTTGCTAAAGGGAAGATATTTTACAGATGAAGATTCAGACTTGAGCGTAGATGTAGGCTGAAGGACTTGAGTGGAAACACCAAAGTTTGAGTATGTAGGAGTGAGGGTCTAAATGAGAGAATGAAGGAGTTTGGCCTTGGTGTGGAGAAGGGTCCACTGTTTGTTTAAAATAGTGGTCTTCAATCTTGTTGGGCCAGTAGACTCTCTTGAGAACCTTGTGAAAGTTTTAGATGTCGCCCCAGAAAAACATCTGTAAACATTTACAAAACTGGGTATGATCTTAGGGAGTTCTTGCTAAAATCTCCTAAGCATAAAATTTAACAGGCTCTCCTTGAGAGTGAAGAGGTGCTATTAATGTTATTACAGAGGACAACAGCCTCCATCTAAGCTTCAAGCAATCCCAGATTGGTGAATTGGAAGTGGCTGGAGAATGTGATGAACTGGATTTCCTCTGTGCCGGCATTGATTATTGTGGCGTGACTGAATCACAGTAAGAGTTCCCCTGAAAAGAGCAGTTTGAGTTTGTTAGAAAAATGGCACTCTGGAAATTGATTTCTTTCAAACAATTCAACCCTGTGAAATCCTTGCAATATCCTTGTGTAAAGCCAGGGTTATGTGGATGACCTCTGAAAGCCATTGATGTGGAAATTCCTAATTTAGAAAAGTTATCAGAAATGTTTCTGGAAATGTTTACACCTAGAAGAGCAATTTGGTATATCCCGGGGGAAGTATCCAGAGCGAGGAAATCAACAGGAGCCCAAAGTTTTGCATTCTATTTATTGAGTAAAAATATATTGATTGCTAGCCACATGACAAGACCTGTTCCAAGTGCTTTATGAATGAATTCATTAAATCTTCATCACAAGCCTACTAGGTAGGTACAGTTATTATCCTCCATTTCACAGAGAGGGTAATGGAGGCACAGTGAGATAGCAGGGTTGATCTTGGTTTGGGTCAGGGAGTAGATTTGGAACAAGGCTGTCTGTTTCCAGAGTCTGACCTCCCACTTTTACTCTATATTGAGAAAGTTTACATATTATAATATGTTCACACATTTACTCAGTCAGTTCTTTTTTTTTTTTTTTTTTTTTTTTTTTTTTGAGACGGAGTCTTGCTCTGTCACCCAGGCTGGAGTGCAGTGGAACAATCTTGGCTCACTGCAACCTCTGCTTCCTGTGATTCTCCTGCCTCAGTCTCCTGAGTAGCTGGGATTAAAGGCGCCCACAATCACACCCAGCAAATTTTTGTATTTTTCATAGAGATGGGATTTCACCAGGTTGGCCAGGCTAGTCTCGAACTCCTGACCTCAAATAACCTGCCCGCCTGGGCCTCCCAAAGTGCTGGGATTACAGGTGTGAACCACCATGCCCACCCAATTCTTATAAGCTTTCAAATATCATATTTGTTTAAACACCTGTATTCTTTAGTGTTGTAAAGGTAACTATCCATCCTCTGACAGGGACTGTAGATGAGAGGAAATGCATCCAGGAATCTAATTTATCACACCAGGGTCCTATGGATAGATTTAGGGTTATGGGAACAGTACCTCATCACCGGTTATAGATTTTGAGAGCCTTCAATGAGCCACCTCTGAAGCCTTTTTAAAGATGGCTGGACATGCTTAGGCAGAAGGTCTCTGATTTGTGTGCTAAAGCTCCTTCAAATGAAGAAGTTTCAAGTGAACAGAAATTCTCAGGTGTTAAATGCTGCTACAACTCCGGAAAGACTGCCAACTCCTGCCAGGTGACCAGAAACTCAGTCAACTTCTCTGCTAACTGACCTCCAAGCAACTTTACCCATAATAGCTAAGAATACCAGCCAATACTTGCTGAGTATTTCCTGTGGACCAGGCTACACACACACACACACACACACACACACACACACACACACACACACACACACACACAGATCCAGATGCTCAGTTTGCACACAGTGGTACAGTAGTGGAGGGTCATAAAAATAAGCATGCAAGTTGAAACCACCTGATATGGTTGGGTTATATTCCCCACCCACTCTCATCTTGTATTGTAGTTCCCATAATCCCCATGTGTGGTGGGAGGGACCCAGTGGGAATTAATTGAATTATGGGGGCAGTTACCTCCAAGCTGGTATTCTCGTGATAGTGAGTTCTCACAAGATCTGTTGGTCTTATAAGGGGCTTTTCCCCCACTTCACTCTGCACTTCTCCTCGCTGATGCCATGTGAAGAAGGTAGTGTTTGCTTCCCCTTCTGCCATGATTGTAAGTTTCCTGAGGCCTCCCCAGCCATGTGGAACTGTGAGTCAATTGAACTTCTTTCTTTTATAAATCACCGAGTCCGGGTATGTTCTTATGGCAGAATAAGAATGGAGTAATACAGAGGACCTGCTTTGACATTGGATAGTCCTGTGAGCAAGTTCTGAATTTATCATCTCACAGCTCCTGCCCATGTACAAGTTACTTACTCTGTCCTAATCTCAGTCTCCTTATCTGTAAAATGGAAAGAATAATAATATTGGCTTCATAGAATTGCTGTGAGGATGTAATAGGATTTTGGATACTAAGCACTTAGCTTATAGTACTTACTCAATAAACACTATTTATTACTACTGTGTGCTGTATCACAGGGAAGTTGTGGTGGTCAGATGAGATCATTGGCATTCAGATATTTAGAAAAGTTAAACACTTCAGAACTTTCTTCTGAAGGACTTTGTTGCTGAGTTTTCAGCCCCATTCAGTGAATGTAACTAACTCTCATATTAGTGCGTTTCTGCAAAAATGATGAGGTCTTTTGTTATTACTTTCATTGAGGAATAACATATATAGTAATGTACATAAATATGAATGTGCACAAATACAGCTCGATAGGTTTTTAATATGTGAATGGCATGTTACTACCAACCAGATCAAGATGTAGAACATGCTCAGCACCCCGGAAGAGTCCCTCATACCCTCTTTCAGGTAATATTTATTCCTCAAAGGTAACCCTTACTCTTCCTTCTGTCACCTAAACAAATCTTTCCTTGGACAATATTTCTATTATTATCTCTAGAATTAATTGTAATATGGAAAATACTGTTTTATAAGCCTCATTCTCTGAATCTGATCACTTTAAAATTAGGAGGTATGCACTTCATTGCTCAGACCCAACCCAAGAGTTCCATCTGACTTCCTGGCTTTGGACAGTGCTGACAAGTCCTCAGGGCATGCCCCATGCTGGGCTATTCACTTGGAAGGAGACAAATGCCTAGGAGGCCTGGTTTCACCCTCAGAGAGCTAGTCTAACTAGAGAAAGAAGCCTTAAAATGGAATACCATCCCTAACAGCAAATGAATCCATAAAAATCATGTCTCAGGGAGCAATCTCATGTTTTCTTGTTTTCGACCGTCCTGAAGACACTGTTTGGTATTGGTCTTTCCCAAGAGGATGCCCAGATTAACCACCTCCCACACAGTTGGGTCCTTTGCTTTGGGGTCACTAGGATGTGGAAAGCTTGCTGCCTTGCCATCTGCTATTGTGTCACAGGTGTCTGTGAGGTCTCTCATGTAGGACATGGTTTCCTCTTGACACATTAGTGAGGACTTCCACAAAAGAGGGCAAAGGGAGGCCAATCCCTATGTGCTTATTCCAAGATGTATTCTATCAGGACATGTTACCCCAGTTGTTCCTGCAGGTCACTGTTGTCTGTAAGACAGTGCACACACTGGGAGCAGTTAGCAAGCATGCACTCATCACCATATGCACCATGAAAACACTTCTGTGCAGTATTGGTAGTTGTGGAGCTTGCATTTCTTTAAAAGACAGAATGGCATTTAACCACACTTATTGCCATCCAAGGAGCTGGTGGAACATAAACTGTTCTGTATGGTTGCAAGCACATAAGCCTCTTGAGCAAGTTTTCTATGCTTTATGAGAACAAAAGATGAGACATTTTATTCTTCAAAAATGGGGGACTCCAAGACAAACCACAGATTAATCACAAAGGAGAAGAGGAATAAGCAGTTGCATTGTGCATCTCTGGTCATTTTGCTGAGGATTTTAAAAGAGAAAATGGTGTGCTAAAGCAATGCTTCATTTCACATTATTGCACGTCATCCATCATTTTGTATAGTTACCTATTCGTAACATTCACCGCTATCTAATTAAGTGAAAAAATTTTGTTGTAAGTAATTAAGTGTTTTTTAATAGGCCAGCATTCTCAAAGATCATACTTTGCCTGTAAGGAGACTTCAAGATGTTGTCTGGAGTTTTGGAGTTTAAAGTATATATTATCCTTGTGAGATTATGTAAACTCTCATATTTGTGGGAATACAAATGAGCAAAACTATTTTGAAAAGCTTGATTTTACCAAATAAAGTCTGAGATTGCATATACACAGATCCAGCAATGCAACTTTTACATATACACCCTGGAGTGGTGGTTCCAGACTTTAATGTGAACCAGACTTTAATGTGCACCATAATCCCCTGAAGGGTGTGTTCAAACACACATTGCTGGGTGACACCCCAGAGTTCCAGATTTAGCATATCTGGAGTGGGACCATAGAGAGTTTGTACCTCTAGCAGGTTCCCAGGCGATACTGATGCTGCTGGTCCCAGAACTACATTTTAAGAACCACCGTCTCAGGGAGACTTGTGTACATACACGCTCATAAGAAGACATGAGCAAAATCTTTCAAAAACATTGTTCCTAATAACCCCAAGCTAGAAACAACTCAAATACCATCAACAGTTCAATGAGGAAATGAACTGTGGTATATTCATACCAAAAACCCCTACTATATAGCAATCAAAAGGAATGATCTACAGCTACCTGCTTCAACAGGATGAATCTCATGAAGTGTTGGTGAACAAAATAAACAAGGCAAGAAACAGTATCCATAATGTGATTCCATCTGTATGCATCCCAAAACAGGAAAAACAAAATCATATTCTTTACAAATGCATGAACAGATGGTAAAACTATGAATAAAATCTGATAATTGATCATTGCAAAAGTCAGACTAGTAATTATCTGGGGCTAGGAGGAGGGAAGCATACAGGTAGTTTCTCAGGTACTAGCAATAGTCTACGTCTTAACTTGGCTTAACTTGGCTATTAGATATGTTGGAGTTGGACTTACGATTATTACTTAGACAGAACATTTGTATTTATACACATCTACATAGAATACATAAGTTTTAAGTATTTAAGAATCATTTTATCTTTTAAAAATAATGTCCTCTATCTGGTATGTATTCTGACTTTTGGCAACTTGTTTGAATTTTAGGATCTGCCCATTGGTTATGAAAAATCAAATCTTTTAAGCTTTAATAGATGGTTTAGTTATTCTGCTGGGTCAACTATTGAAATGAAAGAATTTTTGTTACTGCCAAATACATTTGAGATATGAACTAGCTATGAACAAAGTGTTACAGAGTAAAAGACCTGTAAGGCCTAATTGGAGAACAGATTAGAATCTTGTACAGTTAGCATGTTTATGGTCTGTGTAATAAGTCATGACAGGCCCTAGTAGATCATCTTTTAGATGTTGTTCATATCTATGAACACATACATAATGGGAGAGATTGACGGCTGTTGCCATCAATTACATTACATTAAAACTGATTTACATAATTTCCCCAATACAAATTGCGTGACTACAAGAGTGAAGATTCTTATGAACTATTTTCTTTTGGTGGCAGGAGAGTCATTTTTGAAATCTTTGAAAAGAAGGAAGGATTGAATGTGCCTGTTGATTATATTGTGATGTTCTTTTTCCTTCCAAAAATGAGGAGTGGGGGACATCTGTAACTCTGTGAGGATACCAGGAATGCTCATTTCTGTTTCATAATGCTTACTCTGTTTTATCCTGATATTATAGTCTTGCTTTTAAATGTATTGGGCTGAATCTCTTTCTTTACATTTTTAGTGTGTCCTGTACAAACAATTCTTAATCATTTTTTTCACCATATGTTTCCTTGTGGCATGGTCTGCATGTCCCCTATTTGATCACAGTGTGGATTCTGAATTTGCACCTCCCACATGCTAAGTTGACAGCTGCATAACCTCAAAACGCATTCTGGCAATGATGAATGCCAATATTTTATGATGACAGCCCAAGAATTTGATTGCAGCTGCCCACTGATATAAGTGGTATCTTTATTATTTGGTGAGTTAAGCAGACACATTAAGTACATTTGTTGCAAATACTAGACTGTAAAAGAATGTATTTCTGACTTATTATAGTAAACAGTAAGAAACAACCAAAATGTTCATCAATGGAGGAATGGTTAACTAAATTGCAGTATAGCTATACCATGGAACTCCCCACAAAGAAAGTAGCCTGAACTGTGTTAGACTCCCTATGAAGAGCTTTATATGTGTTGTTTCATTTAATTCTCACAACAACCTTGTGATATTCCCATTTTATAAATGAGGACACAAAGACTTGTCCAAAGTCACATAGTAAATTGTGCAGCAATAGTTAGACCTAAGTTCTATGGACCTCCAAATCCATTTTCTTATCCAGTTATACTCTCCTAGCTCGTAAATGTCAAAGCTATACATGCTGTTGATTCTCTTCTCATGGAGATTAGGTTCAAGATGAACATTAAGTTATGTAACCACAGAGAAGAGGAAGAGACTTAGATAATAGTAAAATTAAACCTATCTAAATGTCAAAGCTAAATTACTTCCAAATGAGGTAAGTTTCCTATCATTCCATGACTGAAAGGAAATTCAAGAATATACACCAAAATTCTGGTAATATGTGGTATCCAAGTCAGGATTTTCATGTATTCTCAGAGCTGTTACTCTGCTTAAAATGTCAAATTATAAGTGAAGTAAGAGAAAAGCCATGCTTTTGCTCAAATGTAATTATCGATACTGTAAAATATCACTTATATGTTTATCTTTATAACTTCTCCTTTTAATATTTACAGATGGACAAAAGAGAAAGAAATCTTTAAGAAAGAAACTGGATTCACTAGGAAAGGAGAAAAACAAAGACAAAGGTAAAGGGTAAAGTACCCAATGTAAATGCATCTTCCATGGAGCATAATGGTTAAATTTGGTGGGGTTATTGAATTGCATAGATATACGTGGTTCAACTCTGTTATGAAAACTGGATTTCTACAGTGGAATGTCATTAAGGGCTGTTTTGGTCTACTCTTCTGTGTTTGAGCAGCCCTGTACTGAACTGATGAATTCAGCTGGTTTGAGGAGAGTGTGACCTCGGCCAAGTTTGTGGTTCCAATTATTATTTTGACCAATCAGCTATACATAAAGAGGACCTGGGTTGAGAAGCTATGGAGAGCATCTCTAATGCTAACCAGCTGTCTGGCAAATCCAGACAGGCAGGGTTAGTTTAATGAGAGTTTGAATTCACCTACCACCACTACTGGAAAGAAACAGTCTCATCCTCATGGGTTACTGAAGATAGGCCATTCTCAGCATTTTTTTTTTCACCCAGTTGAAAAATATTTATTTGCAACTAACCTGAATGCTTACATTTTACTTTGTTACATTGCCTCAGCCAAGATAGGTTAAAGCAAATGCCCTTAATATTTTGGGGGTCACAGAGCCCTTTAAGAATCATTGACAATGATGATGCTCTATCAAAGGCCTGAAACTCACCCAATGCCCACCCTACCACCCCCTAAATTAAGAATTCCCAGATTAGATATTCACTTGAGTTAACAAGTATTTTCCTTTTTAAAGATCCAGGAACTTTAGGGAATAGTCAGTGGCTATTAGTTTTTTTGTTTTGTTTTGTTTTGTTTTGTTTTGTTTTGTTTTGTTTTTTGAGACAGAGTCTCGCTCTGTCACCCAGGCTGGAGTGCAGTGGCACGATCTTGGCTCACTGCAACGTCCACCTTCCAGGTTCATGCCATTCTCCTGCCTCAGCCTCCCGAGTAGCTGGGACTACAGGCGCCCACCACCACAACCGGCTTTTTTTTTTTTTTTTTTTTTTTTTTTTGTATTTTTAGTAGAGACAGGGTTTCACCACGTTAGCCAGGATGGTCTCAATCTCCTGACCTTGTGTTCCACCCGCCTCAGCCTCCCAAAGTGCTGGGATTACAGGCATGATCCATCGCGCCCGGCCTAGTATTTTTTTTTAACTCTTGTTTTAGGTTCAAGGGTACATGTGCATGTTTCTTATATAGGTAAATTGTGTGTTGCAAGAGTTTGTTGTACAGATTATTTCATCACCCAGGTAAGCACCATAGTACCCAATAAGTGGTTTTTCAATTCTCACTTTCCTCCCACCCTCCACCCTCAAGTAGGCTCCAGTGTGTCTTGTTCCCTTCTTTGTGTCCATATGAACATGTTTAGCTCCCACTTGTAAGTGAATTCTCAGCATTTTTATGTTAGATCACAGTATACTCATCTTTTGCTTCATATGTTTTGGGAATTGTTTACTCTCATCTTACTGTTTTGTGTCCCCTTGTGCATATATTTAGGAAACTAAAACTTTAGCCACTCTCTGAGGTATTTATGGTCATTTAAAACTGATATTCAAGCTCACATAATGGACACCTGAGCCCCATTGACGCAGTCCAATTTTTTGTGCCTTTTTTTTTTTTCAAGACAGGGTCTTGCCCTGTCGCCCAGGCTGGAGTGCAGTGGTGCAATCTCGGCTCACTGCAACCTCTGCCTCCCAGGTTCAAGCAATTCTCTTGCCTCAGCCTCCCAAGTAGCTGGGATTACAGGCACGCACCACCATGCTCAGCTAATTTTTGTATTCTTAGTAGAGACGGGCTTTCACCATGTTGGCCAGGCTGGTCTTGAACTCTTGACCTCGTGCTCCTCCCGCCTCAGCCTCCCAAAGTGCTGGGATTACAAGCATGAGCCACCGCACTTTTTGCTGCTTATTTTTATAGTCTGTTATGAAGTGGTTGCTGAATGGTATGGTTGTATGCATTTATTTTCACTTTATGTGACACAGTCAACGAGTCTTGAATGAGAACAGCCATACACATCTCATCTTGGAGTCCTTTTATATAATGATAGAATTTCTGCTTTAAAAGTAATGGAAGGCGATGAAACCAAGGGTATTAAAACATGCATTGGGATCAGTATTGGACAAGAGCTATTCCATACCATTGATCTCAGTCTCTACACCTATATCTTGAACAGTCATGACATTTGGTTCTTTAGACTAAAAAAAGGTGAAGAATTCTAAAGAATGGAAAACCATTGTTTTACTTCCTTTGGAGTGAGGTTACTCAACCTTGCTACTGTTGTCATTTTAGACTGGATAATTATCTGGGGTAGGGGCTGTCCTGTGTATTGTGAGATGTTTAGCAGCATCCCTGGCCTCTACTCATTAGATGCCAGTGACACCACCCTCAACCCAAATATCTTCAGACATTTCAAATGTTTATCTCAAATTGGAAAAAAGAAGGTGAAAGTGTCAGTGATCCGCACCCCTGACTACACAATAGAATCACTTGTGGAACCTTTAAGAAGTCCAAGACCCACACCCCAGGGAGTCTGAGTTCGTGTTCTTCAGGGATACCTCAGGCATGGGTGTTTTTAAGAGCGTCTAAAGTGCAACTTCTAGATAAGAATTTTGATCCATATTAACTAGGATACTCACCAGGCCACATTCTGTCACAGCAGAATCTGCTGCTGGAATAATGAGGGCTAAGGGTTGTCCAGCTAGCTATTATAGTCTGATAAATTGTGTTATATTTAATTGTTGATATGTTTGTGCCCTTATTTTTGTAATGACCTAAATATTAATAGCCAGCATTGCTCTTTTAAACTAGAGTTTTTGCTCATTCTATTCCTGCAGTAGAGCACTTTTATGTCTCCAGATTAGAGCAATTTTCCATATGTATAGAGCATATTAAAGGGATCACTCAGGTTGGTATTAGTAATGTATTCTCTTTTAAACTTGGTTTATTCTAGGATGATGATATTGATATTGGGATTCAAATACATCTAATGTGGACTTTAGGTGATTTTTCAGAAAGTGTCCATTTGGCTAGACTAAGCAGAATGAGCATTTTTGCAGGAGGTTCCCTCAACAGAATGATGAGATGTTCCCTCAACAGAAGGAGATGTATGTTTGCTTGCATGTATTATATATACAAAGCAGCAGGAAGCAAGAATTTGAATTAACATGGAAGGAAGGGCTAGGGAAGTAATCGAACAATACATACTGGGCCATTATAGATTTTTTAAACTAAATCATATTTACATAGGCTCAGTGAAAACTCTGAAATGTTCTATAGTGCCTCGAAGGTAGCTAAGTGGGAAAAGGAAGGCAGATCCTGGTGGTTCCAAAGAAAAGACATATCACCCACCCAACTAAGGGGAGAAATATCAGGCTTCATGGCAAAACAAAACAAAAAAATTTTAAGTAGCTTTAATGTTTAAAAACAAACTAACCTAGGCTTAAGTGAAGGTTAATTACATGGCATCTTTTCAGAACATAAAGCCCTGTCCATGTCAACACTGAGAGTCATTACATGGATATCCTGGGAACCAGGGTGTGAGGAGGACGGGGTGCCGGTCTGGCACAGATGTAATCTATTCACATTATTTCCTTCCAGTTGCGTATTAGCATTTGGATTTGTAACAGCTGCACATGTGAAAAACGATCATTTGAATCCAAGAGTAAAAGAAGGAAAACAGGAAACTCTAAATGATCTCTTGAGTTAGGTCATCTAAAAATAAATAGAAGCAGCCTTTTAGAATCGAATTGCTCTCCCAATAGTGATTCATAAATGGTTGATATGCTACCATATTAATTGATTTCATCAGAATGAATCATATCCTGTATGTTATTTAATTGCCTTGATATACAGCAGATCTTGTGACACTCCTATGTTCCTCATGCCACTTAGGCAGTGCCCATGTGACTTTTGATTTACATATGGGAACTAATTCAAGATTGACACTGATCAGAAAACATATTTTCATACAGAATAATTCCAAGTCCTTAATTTCTCTTAGTTATATTTCTTGGCAACCAAAAGTGTTTTTAAAACTTTCAGAACTTCAGAAAATTTCTGTGTCAAAAGTAATTTTAAAATTAAGTAATTTTAAAAATAGCTACTTTGTTTTATTAATGTGCTTCCTAAACTGAGCACATGGGGAATAGGTTTTACTATGATGTAACTCTGGGAGATTGTACCCCCCACAACCCCTGCCAGGACATTTTCAGATTATGCCATATATGTATCTACATACAATCTGGAAAGAGTTCAATTCTGGCACTGTTCTTTTTGGTGAAAGCATATTGTATCATGTTTTCTTTTCCTCACTGTCTAGGTATGTAACTGTATGTGAGCTGTGAAGTAACACTATATACAAATAGCTCATACAACTTTTAATTTTGCTCCACATTAAATAGCAGAATAATCAAGTTATCAGTTATCACTATGTAGAAATTCTCAAAGAACATATATTGAATGTTGTCATTGAGTGCTAGTACTTCTAGGATAAGAAGAGAAGAAAGAACCAGGGAGTGTGTGGTTTCTGAGAAGGTTAGGAAGGGGCCAGCTCACACAGTACTGGGCCACAGCATGACTTCTGATTTGGAAGTTCAGGAGAAAGATAATGGTACCTTAGGCTAGGGTGGGAGTGATCGTGGAAGTGGAGAGAAGTAAATGGAAAAAAGAGATAATGTGAAAGTGACATGATAAAGATTTGATGACGGAGTGAAAATGAGATGTAAGAAGGAATGAAGTATCAAGGATGACTCTCAGATTTCTGGTTCTCCCACATGAAGAACAGGCAAACTTTTGGAAATCTGAGTAAGACCTGATAAGGGAAGATGAAGAATAAGAAATGCCTTTGGGACATCCAGATATGAAGGTGGAAGAAGTGGTTGGTGCTCAAGGAAGGGGTCTGAGCTAGAGGTAGCAATGAGGTGTGAAATATCTATGGATGGAAGTTTAAGTTACGGGCATCGTGCTGTCACTTACAGAGAGAGACCAGAGTGATGAGGATGGTTAAGATTGAGCTCTGAGGACCTTCCACATTGAAAACCCAGGTAGAAGATGATAAGCCAGAAAAAGGGGCAAGAATGTAGCCAGAGAGGTAGAGAAAAACCCAGTTAGTATATCCAGGATGCAAAGGACAGGGAGCATTTCAGGAAATGGCGATCAGGGTTAAAGGCTGACAGAAGGGCAAATGAAACAGAGCTGTCAAAAACACTGAATTTAATGACCCTGAAGACAGCAATGATTTAGAGGGAGCTGCTTTAGAATCTAATGGAGGTACCAGCTAGACGGGATGAAGTGAGGAAAGAGTGGTAGGTGAGAAAGTTATAAGCTAGAAAGTAAAGGGAACACTTTAGACAATTTTAACTGTGGCAAAAGGAGAGGGGGTAAACCATGGAGAAAAGAAAAGAGTGGGTCGAAGGTTGTTTATTTTTTTAAGAAATAGCTGCTTGAATAAATTTAGTACAAAATATCTAGTAGAAAAAAAGAGGTTGAAGATACAGGCACAAGAAGATGTAATTTATAGCAGGGGTGGCCCACCAGCCGTCTTTGTAAATAAAGCTTTACTAGAACACAGCCATGCCTATTCATTTACTTACTGTCTGTGGCTGCTTTCCTGCTAAACTGGCAGGTCGAGTAGCTGCTACAAAGACTGCAACCTGCCAACAGTGCGGAGGCTGGAGTGAGACAAATTGAGCCCCTAGGCTACAGAATTGAAAGAAATGCCAAGTCTGCATGCTGACTCTGCACTTGCCCCACGCTGAATGCGAGCACCTTATCATTTTGCATCCTAGCCATTCTAAGCCCCAGCCGTATCCACAAAGCCTAAAATATTTACTATCTGGCCCTTTACAGAAAATTGCTGAACGCTATTTATACCTAAGAGTATTAGGATAATTTTTTTGAGCTCTTGAGTGCAGTACACCATTATCCATGGTTTAAAGTTATCCATAGTTGAATGGCAGGTGGGAAAGCATGGGAACCAGGGAGAGGCAGAAAGGCTGGCAGGATGCCAAGTCACACCTACATCTCATGCAAAGGAGGGTGGTGGAGGGCACAGGTACAGCAGGTGTGAAGAGTTGGAGCCTTTGCACCTGCTGGTTGCTCTTCTCCTGAAACAGGAGGCAGAATTATTTGCTGGTGGGGAAGATCTGCCCCAGAGGTATAAGAAGTCTCTAAACGAGTCTGGTTGGTTTTCCTTAGATGGAAAAAAATGACTGGGAAAGGGCTCAGTAGTCCCTATCTTATAGTAAATCCCTGCCATGCATATGCCCACCTGAGCAGACATGTCACTTGCTACATTTATCAATGTTCTTTTCACTCTTATTATCCCCTCTGTTTCTGTTATTTCATGTAGCTGTCAGCCTTACCATCCACATGTTTCCAGACTCTTCCAACCTTTTAAAAGTAATATTTGATCATTTCTACAGACAAGATTATATGTATGTGTGTGTGTGTATGTATGTGTATATATAGAGATATATCTATATAGATATATGTATATATATATATATATATATCTCCTCAGGGTACATAACAGGAGGTCTGGTACTATCCCCTTTGGTTTCTAATTTTGCTAGTAGTAGACACAGCCTATTATCAATAGTGAGAATTACACCTCACTACACTGTCTAAATTGATCACTCAAAGGAGAAGTACCTAATTATTTTTTATTACCATATATCACCTAGCTTGTTGCTAAAGAATGGCAAGCATCCTCTGAAAATCCCGAAATACTAAAGTTTTGACTTTTTTACTTCAAAACAAATTGCATGCTTTGATAGAACCAGAGGTGCAGGCTTTTCAAGTAGCATTTCTGCTTTTAATGTAGACTTGGTCATTAGCCCAGTGATGTTTGAAATATTGCCATGGATCAAGGAGGAAAACCTTTTAAAGTCTCTTTCTACCTGATTTAATGTTAGCTTTTTCTTTCAAAGAACAACCAACCTTAGAATTATTTTCCCTTGATCATTTTAGTTTCATTCATAGGGCTTATAAAAACAATGGAGAGGTTAGATTCCAACTTACTGCTGCTAGGAGACCTAATTTGGAGTCTAAAAAGAATAATACATTTGATTACATTATTTAGTGCCTTTCAGCATGAATCTAAAATATTGCCAATAAAACTCCTGGCCCTAAGGATCCAAGGTACATGTATACAAACAGATTTACGACAGAAATTCAGAAAGGAACTCTATGTATGTCTCCAAATAAAGCCATTGATTTCTGCACTATGCCCCTTTCCCCAAATTCTCCTTACTAAAGGATTTAACAAATTGTTTCCTGGGCCTCCCACCAGATATTTAGTGGCTGAGTCCACTCTGCATGTGGCCAGTAGAATGGCTTGAGTGTAGATCACGAGAGTGACAGCCCCAACATAGCTGGCTGGAAATAGAATGTAGGGATGAGGAACACAACGAAAACAGAGTGGACTTCTTCCCAACCAGTTCCCAAGCTGCTCCTCTGCCTGTCAGGTTATCATTTCACATGCTAACTCTTACTGGGAACCTCAAAGTGTATTCAGTTAACTAAATTTCAGCCTTAGTTTCATGCATCTCTCTAACACCTGATACTCACTCTGTTATCATGATTTGCATTTCTGATTATCCACTCCTTCACCCCAACCCACACTCTGAACACCTCAGGAGAAAGGACTGTACCTTTTATAAGCTTTGCGCCTCCCATTGCCTAGCTTGTTGTGGCATGTAGTAGGCATTCAATAAATGCCTGTTGAATGAATGGATAGACTTGAAACATGGAGAAAAACTAGAGACCTAAATGTCTAAGATGTGTGTTTATAAATACTAGTTTTCTTTATTGAAATGGAAACTTGGGCCATTCTGATTAACACAAATGTCACCTTTTTGATTGATGAGTCAATTCTTCAGAAAACATTCCTTTGAATATGTCTGTTCTTACTTAGGTCTGAAACATAAATGAGAGTGTTCACTGGACCAGTCAGTCTCTGAAAGTGAATGTCTGTTTTTTGATTCCAGAATTCATCCCACAGGCATTTGGAATGCCCTTATCCCAAGTCATTGCGAATGACAGGGCCTATAAACTCAAGCAGGACTTGCAGAGGGACGAGCAGAAAGATGCATCTGACTTTGTGGCTTCCCTCCTCCCATTTGGAAATAAAAGACAAAACAAAGAACTCTCAAGCAGTAACTCATCTCTCAGCTCAACCTCAGAAACACCGAATGAGTCAACGTCCCCAAACACCCCGGAACCGGCTCCTCGGGCTAGGAGGAGGGTGAGGTGGCCAGTATTTGCTCTGACACCAGTGCTAGGAAAACTGAAGATGTACAGTTATTCTTTGCGTTTTTGTTCATGTGAAAACTGGATATGTAGTTGGTGTTCAGGTATCTGTCAACAATGCCATTAATGAAGAATGTGCACTGGGCACGTGGCACCTTGCATAGCCTCAGACCTTGTCCTGACTCCTCTTGAAGCTGTTGGGTGTCCCTCCTTTGTCACATCTTTGCTCCATGCTCTCCTAAACATTCGGCAATATCACCATTAATTCTGGTCTCTTGTAATCTGTCAGTCTTGCCATACTTGCCCACTAGACTGTGAGGCTCGAGGGCAGGGCCTGGTGTTTTAGCTATTAATACTTTCTTCATCACCAGTCTGAGAACATGCCTGGCCAAATGAATTGGCGGTGGGTCTTCATAAACAATGAGCTTTTTCTTTATCAATGGAGCATTTCTTTTTCTCAAACAGAACCATAGAATCCTCTATATATCCTCTTTCAAATACTCTAACTATATGGTACCAATTGTTAAGTACTATGTTCTAGGTACTGTGCTATTATTTGAATTGTTCATGCAAACTGGTTGGTGATTGGCTGAGTCAGTTGATAAGCATCTCTAAAGCTTCCAGGTCACTGGAAGATCTTCTCTCCCTTTTGTAAAACAAATCTGCATTTTATTTTTATCTTTTATTTTTTGACTCAGGGTCTTGCTCTGTTGCCCAGGCTGGAGTGCAGTGGCATGATCACTGCTCACTGCAGCTTCAATCTCCCGGGCTCAAGTGATCCTCCTGCCTCAACCTCCCCGGTAGCTGGGACTACAGATGCGCACCACCACGCCTAGCTGTTATTATTATTATTTTTAGTAGAGATGTGGTCTCATTGTGTTGCCCAGACTGGTCTTGAACCTTCGAATTCAAGTGATCCAAAGTGCTGGGATCACAGGCGTGAGCCGCCACGCCTGACCCTCTCTCCCTTTTTCCTCTGTCACGTGGAGACCTGAAATTTTTGCCACCTCCAGCTGTTGAAGACTGCCCTAGTTAAAACCCCAGACACTTCCCACTTAAAACCAACATTTTTCAATCAGCCCCTAACATTTAGGGCTTGTCCAAGGTAGAGGGGGACCTGATCCATTGCTGTTTTTGCAGTATTGACTATGTTTAAAAATGAAGAAATTACAAAATTATGGAATTCCTGAAGTTGCATGATGGAATTGTTCTTCTAATTCTGTCATTGTGTCTCAGACTGTGTATTGTCGTACAACAATAACACTAAAACTCTAAATTTTAGCTTTCTGGGAATGTAGGACTCAGGCAATGGTTTTCCCAAATGCCCTCTCGTCTGTCCAGGCCTGGCTAGCCAACTGCTTTCTCAGTGCTTCATCAAGTATGGGTGCGGCAAATGCGACTGGTGCCCTGCTCCCTTTCCCTGACCCTTTACCATTCCTAGCATGCCAGCTCATCTTCCATCTGCCAACACCTTATTTATTTGCTGAGGGCTTTCTCTGATGCCAGAGGCACCCAGCCTATCCAAATGGCAGGCTGTAAGTACTTAGGAGATAATATTATCTCTCTGCCCCCACCAGAGGCTACCCTTAAGCAGTGATTCCTGAGGCCTGGTGTATAAATACCCCAGCTCTCTCACTTGATAGGGATAGCTCTAAGGTGCATGATCTACAGCTGTCTCCTAGAGCTCCCCAGAAAGATTGAGCTCCAGTTGCCCACAATGATAATAGGCTTGATAATGCTCCCTTCATCAGCTGCCTTTCCTTCCTTGTCTCATTTCCCCCCTCCCCTACAGGTGTTTCCCAGGACCACTTCTCTAATAAAGCACTTTGTGTTGTTTCTCGGGAAAACTAAGCTAAGGCTGTTTTGTGGAATCATTCTATTTTAAAAATATACTTCCTAGAGCCATAGTTGAGTTTTTTATTTACAAGACTTCTCTGACTACCTCATTGATTGAGTATGTAATTTTTTTCTTGTTTCAAGAAATGAAGTGGTTGGGCCAAAATACTTTAATTATATGTTTCCCATCGCTTGTTCTTCCATTTGGAAAATGTTGTCTATTGTTGAAATTGTAACTGCCATTAGCTTGAGGAAATCTTGTAGAGGTTTTCTAACTTTTTCAAAAGGCATCTTTTTTCTTTTAATTTACAAACAGAACAATTAAAGAAATCAAGCAGTAGTATTTCAAGTGTGATAAAGAGTCATGAGCAAAAGTATGTATTGGTTAGCATCTGGGGGCAGCTGGGTTTTTTGGCTATCTGTACTTTATGTTCACGGCTCTGTGTCACTTGCAGGGTGCCATGTCAGTGGATTCTATCACCGATCTTGATGACAATCAGTCTCGACTACTAGAAGCTTTACAACTTTCCTTGCCTGCTGAGGCTCAAAGTAAAAAGGAAAAAGCCAGAGATAAGAAACTCAGTCTGAATCCTATTTACAGACAGGTCCCTAGGCTGGTGGACAGCTGCTGTCAGCACCTAGAAAAACATGGTAAGTAGACTTGTCTGTCTAAAGTACTAAGGACTTTCATTTATTCAAGCATCATTCACTGAAGTACCCAATGTCAATTCTGCTTGATCAAATGATCAAGCTCTGAACTGAAATTTACTGTGTGAAAGTGTACAGATGTGAGTGTTTGCTTAAGAGATTGTGGGGCTAAACAAGATTGGAGAAGAGGGTGAATCAACTTGATGATATTCAGACTGCTTAGCTCCCAGTAGTCCTCAGAAGTTACCTTGGAGGCCAAGCAGTTTAGGGAATGATCAGATCTGTTGGGCTGGGTTTGTCACCAGGACCTCTTTCAAACAGACCAGAGCCACTTTTATTGTTTATACATAAAAGTAGCCTAGGAGGTTACTCACAAAGTTTCCTTTAAAAAGTAAGAGTCCAACTTAAAAAAAAAATTGGGGAATCATTGCTTAAGTGAATAGAAAATACATCATTTTTGACAACAGGTTTACATATTGCTATTTGCATTTTTGTGGAAGCTGTCCACTTAAAATTTCTCCAAGCCACCCTTTGCAACTCAATTCTAGTTACTAAGTTGACTTAAGAATGATATACAGTTCTTCAAAAATGTTTCTGAAATTTAGACTTCTGGCTTATTAACTGCCATTTTCATAAACTAAGTTTGTATGCTATAGTGTTTGTTAGCACGTGTTTTATATACATGGGAAAAGCTTAATTACTTTTTTTAACTGTAAAAATAATATGCTCATTGTAATAAAAAAGTAAACGTGAAAGCAAAGAAAATTCTGAGGCTACCATATAGATATAACTACTGTTAACATTCTCATCTATTTCCTTCTAATAAAAATGGAACTTTATTTTAAAATCATTAAGGATATATTTAAATTTCTTAATTCATTACAATGGAAATCATAGGATAACATATGGATGACCTAATAAAACTAATGTAGCAAAATCTTATTTGTTTATACAAAATTTTAAGTGTAGGTTCTTTTAATTTTTTTCACCTTATCTTTCACTTGCCTGTGTATCACCTATGTATCTTGAATATACATCTCTTTCTCTATACACACACATACACACACACACACACACACACACACACACACACACAGTCATGCACCACATAATGACATTCCCCTCATTGACTGACTGCATAGGCAATGGTGATTGCATAAGGTTATAATACTGTATTTTTACTGTACCTTTACTATATTTAGATACACAAATACTTAAGATTTTGTTACAGTTACCTACAGTATTCAGCACAGTCGCATGCTGTACAGGTTTGTAATGTAGGAGCACTAGGCTCTACCATATGGCCTAGGTGTATAGTAGGCTATACCATCTAGGGTGGTGTATGTACACTCTATGGTGTTTGCACAATAATGAAATTGCCTAATTTATTGCTTCTATCACTTTGGAAGCTTGAAAACCGGATAATCACACTATTTAGAATAAAATACAGGATTATATTTCTTCATCTGCAAAATGAACGTAAGTACCCACCTCAAAAGTTGTGCAATGATTCAATTAATTAATGTGCATACAGTACTTAGAATAGTACCTGGCATATATTATTATATAGAGAGAAATAGACTCTGAGTGAACTGAATGAATCTTCTATGTACGAAATAGAAAACTTCAATAGTAGGTCACAGTAATTTTAATTTTGGCTGCATTTATTTTTTTATTTTCACATGGTTTCTGAATAATTAAAATTTCTACAGAAGCAAGATATCACATAAGGACATTTTCTACACAGGTGGGACTATTCTCTTTCTACCAAGAGATAGAAAACACAACTAAAACAAATTGAGATGTTTACTTTGTTTCTGGATGTAAAGAAATAATGTTATAAAGATTTAAGGCTGGGCACCGTGGCTCACGCCTGTCATCCCAACACTTTGGGAGGCCAAGGCAAGAAGATCCCTTGAGCCTGGGAGTTTGAGACCAGCCAGGGCAATATAGCAAGACCCCAATTCTATATTTAAAAAAATACAATTCTTTCTGATTTAATTATATATTGTACTAGTCATAAATTTTTCAGTGGCAAGAGAAAGGAACTCAGAAAAAACTAGATTAAGCAAAGTGACCTCCCCCAAATAACAACAACAATCTTTATATACTGGGAGCGTGATCTAGATTTAGGCACGGCTGGATCCAGGATTCAAACGATGTCATGAGTGTCCTCTGTTTGCTGGCTTTATTCTCAGACAGTTCTCTTCATGTGGCTTCAAATGGCGGTTAGCAGCTCCAATATCCCATCACTCTCATAACTGATTGTCTCAAATGAAGAGAAAATGAGCCACCAATGAAAGAATTAATATACATGATGCTCATCAATGGCAATGATCAATGACTGGCATAGAAAAAGGAGAGCCATTCAGACGTTTCATGCTCCCAAAGGAAGTACACAATACTTTTTGTGAAGTATTCTTGCCCTATAAAATCACACCGCAATCAGAGTAATGTCTGGCTCTAGCTATCTCTTTACAGAAAATAAAAGAGGGAGAAGAACATACAAATGACACTATGGAGTGTCCAAATCCAAACAATATGAAGATCTACAGTAGGAAATCACTGAGATTTCTTCACCAAAACAATTATAAGGAAAAAGGAGACAGAGGGAGGAAACACAGATTAAGAGACTAAAAGGCACATCGACCATATGACAGTGTGTGACCTTTATGTGGATGTTGACTGGAAATTTAATGCTATTAAGGAACTATTGTTGAAATTTCTAATATGTGATAGTGAAATTACTTGTGTTTTTAAGAGACCTAATTTTTTAGAAATGAGTTTCTCAACCTCAGCACTGACACTATATTTTCACATCTAGGACATGATCCTAGGAAAAGCAATCAGAAATGTGAACAAAAACGTGTGCACAGAATTGTTCACAATAGGGTCATTTATAGTAGAAAAATAAGCATGTATATTTTGGGGACCTGTGCACCATTCAGAGGGGAATATGGAGTAAATTATGGCCCATTCATACAATAGAATATTTTGCATCTTTTTTATATCTCCATAGATTTTGGGGGAACAGGTGGTATTTGGTTACATGAGTAAGTTCTTTAGTGGTGGTTTGTGAGATTTTGGTGCACCCATCACCCGAGCAGTATACACTACACCCAATTTGTAGTCTTTTGTCCCTTTTAAGTGACATTTATAAGGAATTGTTACTAGCATGAGTGAAAATTCATGCGACACGATAGTGAGGGAAGGCAGTAACATTCTCTCTGTCAATAGATATTATATATATGCAGTGTGATCTCAACTATGTAAAAATACCTACATTCATGTAGAAAAGGCTGGATTTTAAAAAATGAAAGATTAGCTAGGCACAGTGGCTCACACCTGTAATCTCAGCAATTTTGGAGGTTGAGGCAGGTGGATCGCTTGAGCCTGGGAACATGGCAAAACCCTGTCTCTCCAGAAAATACAAAAATTAGTCAGGCATGGAGGCATGTGCTGGCAGTACCAGCTACCCTGGACGCTAAGGTGGGAGAATCACTGCAGCCCAGAAGGTCAAGACTGCAGTGAGCCGTAATCACGTCACTGTACTCCAGCCTGGACAACAAAGTGAGAATCTATCTCAAAAAAAAAAAAAAAAAAGAAAAAAGGAAAAAAAAGAAAGAAAGAAAAGAAAAGAAAATGAAGAGTGATTATTTCTGCATCAGGTATTTCTAAAAGTATATTATTTTTACATTTTTCCGCATTTTCTAGATTTTCTTTAAGAAGCACACTTTAATTATGATCAGACGAACAAGAAATATCTTTTAGAAATTAATAAAGAGTTAGAATCCCTATAAAATGTGTGTTTAGGTAATAATTCTGGATAATGGACAAAAGCTCATTTTCTCTGATAAGGAGAAGATTAGAAATATAAAATATCACAAGAAAAATATTTGATCAGAAACATTTAACGTAAAATTCTGGTGCTTAAAGGGCTGACCTTTAAGTATCTGGATAATAGAAATAGTGTGAGATGAAAGAAGCATTACTGTATGCTGTCAAGTTACTATTGCTCTACATGTTACGGCACTGTGCTGGCATTCTGCTCTGTATTTTGATTTCCTCCAGGGTCTCAAGCCATGAAACAAGACTGTTCATTTTGTTTGCTTATTTGCAGGCCTCCAGACAGTGGGGATATTCCGAGTTGGAAGCTCAAAAAAGAGAGTGAGACAAGTAAGTGAAAAGTAAAGATTATATTTTGTTTCACATGACTTTCAATTGAATTACCTTTTGCAAAGTTCAAGTTTATGCAAATTCCATTTTGATTATCTTTTTTTTTTTTTTTACCCTCCAAGCTATTATAATATAATTGAATTCCAGGAGGTAAAAGGCAACAACTCAGAAATGTTGTTACAGTTAGGATCAAACACTTGAAAGCAAAATGTCTGGATGTATCTGTGCCACGTGCAGCCAAACAAAACTAATTTATAAACATCTTATTGAAAATTGCAAAAGCAGGAAATTCAGAGTGACTGATCAATAAATGATATAAAGTTGTATGTAGCACCCGCTTTTACTAAAATGTGATATGAAAAATGCCATTAACATTCCCTTCACATAAGATGCTATGTTTATAGCTTTACTTTATCAAAAATAAATAATTCTTATGAAGTTTCCATAGAACCATTGACCCCCAGTTTGCTTTTCACATAGAGACTGTGCTCCTTTGTTTCCTTCAGCCCTGTGCAACATTCCTGCAACTGAAGTTTGATATTAGACCTTCAACAATAGGTTCCTGTGATGAGGCAGGTATTTGTGTTCATGATGGCTTCATAAAAGGCAAACCATCCTTTGAGAAAAGAGTTCATTTGTTGGTGAAGGAAAATTAAAGCATTATTTTCTTCCTGTTGTTTTCAATGGAAGGAGATAAGGAACTCAGCAACTCAAAAATGAATTCAAATGAAAATAAATTTTAGTTGGAAGAAGCTGAAGAAATGATATTTGTTCATATTATTGAAAGTAATTGAAATAAATACCTCATTTATCTTTTTTGTCAAGACAAAAAAGGCTTTCAACAGAAATATGTTTTCTGATTGGTTGGTTGGTTTTTATTCTTAATAGTTACACAAGAAACATTAAATGGATCAACATTTAATGTTTCACAACAGAACTTGCAGGAAGAAAGATAGTACAGTAACATTTCTGTGCAGAATTGCAGAATATTTTTACAAATATTATCTCACTGAATCTGCCAACCGGCTGTGAGTGTAGCCCCTTTGACCCACTTCTGTCAAGGCTTATAGAGATTAAGAAACATAATTCAAGATCACACAGTTTAACCAGTCACCATTAACTTCATAGGCCAAACTCTTTGCATGTTCCATTCTTTCTGCATGTACGTATACTCAGAAAAGAAGCATGGTGTGTTTGAATGATCACAAGTTGGAGGAGTGCCAGTGGAAGTCTTCTTTGTTTTGGCTGCCTGACACACGCTGATGGCGTGCTGTCTGGAATCAATGAGTAGTTCAGGACAGTGATGGGTATTCATTCTCATCAGGTGGACAGGTAGCGAGTGCCAGAAATTACTCATCAGTTATATCGGGATCCATTAAAGGGGAAACCTTTGCATGGAGTTGTATTTAAGGATTACCCAATAAAAATATAATTAGTGTTTACTTAGAAGTAGATTTCAAGTATGAAATATGCCCTAACTCACTCATCATTTTACTTTGTTATATAACCCCTTAGCACCCTGCACTTTTTCCTTAGATCACTAGCCACAATGTTAAGAGTGAATTATTTGTGGGATTACCTGCTTATCACATTGTTTCTCTAGAGGGACTTTGCCTCTTTACTCACTAGTGTATTTTGTGAGCCTGTAACAGGGTCTGACACAGGAAATGCGTAGTAATCTTTGTTGAATGAATGGATGGATGAAAGATTGAAAACAAATGAACTCTTAGAGAAGTTTTTTGCATAGTGTAGGTTTATGAAGTTACATAATTATTTCTACAGCAGAGAACAATGCATACGAAAAGTTGAGCTGCTAGAGATAAAAGTAGGGTGTGGAGTTATTACTCCCTTGCTACTGTGTTTTCTTGCTGCTGCAAGTGATAATAGACCTAGTATAATGATTAAGGCAGGGAATCCTTCTGGTAATTGTTAATAAGACTACTTTGACAAATCTAAGACAGCTTTTATTTAGTTATTGTCATCTTTTAAGTCTTAGTCATAAATGTGTTATCAGGGCTCTTAATTTCATTTTTGCAGAAAAAAAAAATCTCTTTGCTTTCTTATAGAGTGACTCAGTAAAATATCAACATCCAAACATGGCAGGATTGGTGACACACAGAAATGCTGTGTAATAGATTAATTCCTCCCTCCCACATTTATAGCTGACCTAAATTGTCTTCTACCTCTTAGGTGTTCCTCCTAACCTGGTTGTCATTACCAAGCCCTTCTGCATACATCATTAACAATAAATCCACAGATAGTTTTATTTAATAATGCTTATATATATATATATATATGTATACATATACATATATATGTATATACATATACAATACATATATATACAATACATATATTGTATATATGTATACATATATACATGTGTATACTCATATATATACATATATATGTATACACACACACACACACATATTCATAGCTGGACTGTGTCAACTCGGCAGATCAAGGTGAGGATGTTGTTTGCTTCCCCTTCTTGGGGTCTGTGCAGTCTTAATTCCAGATGCTACGTGTCACAGCACTTCTCCTGCTGGGCACTGCTCATTGAGGTATGGTGTTATGTGACTGCCACTCGAACCATTGTTCTTCCAGTTACGTGAGGAATTTGACCGTGGGATTGATGTCTCTCTGGAGGAGGAGCACAGTGTTCATGATGTGGCAGCCTTGCTGAAAGAGTTCCTGAGGGACATGCCAGACCCCCTTCTCACCAGGGAGCTGTACACAGCTTTCATCAACACTCTCTGTGCGTAATACAGCCATATGTGGGAAAGTGGCCCTGGAATACTAAGATGTCCAACTCATTCATCATAACTTTATGCATATGTTTCCTGATAACTTTTTGTCCTTATTTATCAATCTCTAAAGAGTGAGCTATTTGAGGGAATTTCTCAGATTTACCCTGGGAATAATTAGCAAGAAGAAAGTTACAATAAAACAAATGGAAATAGCCAAGAAGAATTTGAGATGCTTTCAAATAACCCAAGAACAGTAAAAAGTACTATGAGTTAGTGCTTAGAGTACCAACAAGAGTTCACATTGAGTCTGTGCCTAAAAATGAGTTTGTGTTTCTGGTACGAAGAAGGAGGGAACCACGAGAACCCAGAGTGAGAAAGGAGGGCAGCAACATTCCAGGAGAAGCAAGATGCCATAGCCCAGTGCCAGGGCTTTCAACATAGCTGCTTCTGGGCTGTAGCTACAGATCCCATGAAGAAGAAAAAAAGGAGGAGGTAGAGGAGAGATAGGCCAAACCTGGGTCAACCTCCATACATTTCTTCCTCCAATGCTGCCATTCAAATAGGATCACAACGGAGAGAGAAGACATTGGCTTTGCTGTATCTTGGTTATTGCCAACAAAATATCTGTCCCTTGTGAATTGCTCAACAGAAAAGAGCCTTAAATCCATTATAAACTCAAATTTCAGAATGTTCACCAATTTTCAGCCATTGTTAATAAATATTTACCAAAAATGGAAGACTGAAATCCTTAAACTAGGTGATGAGTAATGCCAGGGAAGGGGGGAGAAGAAAGTAAGGGAAATTGAGTTACCTTTTTTTTTTTTTTACCTGGATTACAGTTATTTTTCTAGGTATTACACTTCTCGAGGTCTAATTTGGCTTTATATCTTTCATAGAATCTTGCTGGTAAATTGCTAAAGCAATGGGCAAATGAGTGAAGGCATGAAATGGGAATTGCCTTGATAATCCCTTTCTTAAGACAATTGAGAGGAGGCCTTTCCTCTGTGCCTGAATAGTATGGGCTCCCCTTTTATTTGAGTACCTCTTTTTGCCTTGCTTAGTGTTGGAGCCGGAGGAACAGCTGGGCACCTTGCAGCTCCTCATATACCTTCTACCTCCCTGCAACTGCGACACCCTCCACCGCCTGCTACAGTTCCTCTCCATCGTGGCCAGGCATGCCGATGACAACATCAGCAAAGATGGGCAAGAGGTAAGATGCCTTTGCTGCCATAGATGCCGTGACTCTTCCTCTCCCCTATTTTAAAAGGGCATACCACCAAAATGGCCATTTTGCCTGGAGGTAATGATGTCTCCCCTTCTCCAACCTAGCTGTCTCTGTAGGAAGAGACTAATGCAGGGCCTTCTCTGGAGGCACAGTTCCTAAAAGTGCATGGGCCATGAGCCTCCTTATATGTTTCAAGTATGCTTCCAAATGAGGCTGTCATTTTCCATGGTGAGGCTTTACTCAAGACTCTGAACTTCCGTTTGTAAAGAAGAAAAACAGTGAACTACAGAAGTGCTTGCAACCATGTAAAAGTGGAATGATGGGGGTGGGAGGAGATTGTTATCCTTATAATTGATTTTACCTGCTTCTATAACTTGGAGCCCAAATATGATGTCACCTCTTTATTCTTCCAGTTTATCCCTGGAGCTCCCATCTGCACTATGAGCAAGAAGTCTAGTGTCTCCCTTTCAAGGGATCCTTTCCTTTCTTAAACTCTCCCCCCAAAACAGGGACTTGCTCGATGCAAGGGAGGGTCAGTCCTGCTTCCAAACCAGGTGTGGAGGAAACTGGGTCTGATCTGCTGACCATTGCCATTGTGTCTTGATGTCACATGGTATCAACTGCTCAAAGCAGGTTGTACATAGTCCCACAGACTCTTTAGAAATGTTCTTGTTGGATCTGATCCCCACTCAGGCCCCAGTGTGCCCCCCCCCCGCCCACCAAATCTAAGATCTTGGGTTCTGGTTCTCTTTGGTTACACTCATATATTTCAAGATTTTTTTTTTTGTTTCACCCTTGGACAAATGAGATGCTGGCTTGAATTTTAAGTTGCTTACTTATGGGCAACGTATTTAATCTTCACCTTAACAAGAGACACCCCCTTCCCTCTTTGATACCATGCAGTTATACCTCTCCCTGACCTCGGATTCCTCAGGAGGTTTTAGACTCCTTAATAAGCTAACATGCACTGTAAATCAATAAGAAGGGGCCAGAGGCATTCCAAACTTACTTAACCACAGAAACTTTTTTGTAAATTCTTGTTAAACAAAGCTCAGCTGCACTGCAGCTTCAGTTCTGTGTTTGTCAAATTTCTTTCCCAAAGAACGTGGTTATGTATAATTTTTTTCACTCTAATCCAGAAAGGCAATTCTGCATTTCTTCTCGTCCTCCTCCTTACGGGTGTGAGAATGGAACTCTCCTGACTTAGCCATTTATCTCTATAGCAGTTATAATTAGTGAAGCCCCAGATGGCTTCAGGTTTCATAATGTGGCACTGACACCTTATTTCAGCATACACAGCTCTTTGATGGGCATACTATAATTCTCATAATTGTTAAGTAGTTTTATTACTCATTTGGATGCCAACCTCTATCAACTACAGTTATAACAGAAGCTGTAGCATGATCTGCCTAATTGCTGGGGGAAAGCAGAGCTCTGTGTTTAAAGGTACTCCAGTTACTTCTCTGACATTTCTTAAGTACTGTGTGAGAAGGAGAAAATTGGGTCTCAGGTAATTAGGAAGGCATTGAGGAAAGCAAAAGTTCCAATCGAACTCATTGTTGCCCTTTTAGAATCATTTTCAGACATTCTTTCCATTCAATTGCTGAACAAGTCTCCATTGCCTATGCCAAAAAGAAGAAAATATTCTTGGACAGGTGTAAATGAAACAGCATGCTGGAATATTAGCTACCATTTATGTCTCTCCTTCCATGAGCTGGCTTTGTGCTAGGGGAGATATATATATATATATATATATATATATATATATATATATATATATATATGCATGCAAATACATATAAATATATAAATATATGCAAATATATATATATATATATATATATATATATATGCAAATCCTCTTAACAGGCAAAAGAGATATCACTGTCTCCATGTTTCAGAAGTGAAAACTTAGGGCCAGGGGAGCTAAGTAACTTACCTAGCAACCCACAGAGAGCTTCCACTTAAGGTTGTACGAGTGGCATATTAGTGCATTTCACAACTCTAGGGGAGGTGCCATGGACCCCATAGTCACTGGAGATTTGCAGAGTTATTAGGACAGTATCCCAGTGGATGATAGAAAAAGATCTTGAAGAAGGACAATGTCGTTATACTGGTTAATGGGTTGGGTTGGTCCCCTTACTAGCAAAGTCCAAGCTGTGCATAGAACCTGAGCCAGTCTAAGAGAAAAGACGTACAGAATAGGAATTAGAAGAAAAAAAAAATGTACTGGGGTCTAGGTCATGGTTTCTCAGCCTCTGCACAATTGATATTTGGAGCTAGGAATTCTTTGTCATGGGGCCGTCCTGTGCATTGTAGGATGTTTAGCAGCATCCCCGGCCTCTTCCCACTAGATGCCAGTAGCAGTACATCTCCTCTCCCACCAAGTTGTGACAACCAAAAATATCTCCAAACATTTCCAGGTCTCCCCTGAGGAGAAGGGTTCAAAATCACCCCTGGTTGAGAGCGCTTGATAGCTCTTTAATTCACTGACCATGTGTTGTTAGAAAAATCTATTAACCTTCCTATACCTGGGTCTCCTCATCTGAACTTGAGGAATGAAAATTCTTCAACCAGCCTTGAAGAGTGGTTGAGAGACCTAGTTTACTGTAAGGAATATGGAATTATCCTGGTGACAGTGAAGTTGTAAAAGGAAGCCAGGGTTTACGAGGGTTTCTAGACACTCTTGACCTGAACATTGCATCAAAATGAAAGACTAATAGCCAAAGATTAAAGCAGCAGGAGAAATATAAGGAAAGCATTGCTTCCGTGAAATCGTTAGCAGTGACAGGAGAGCAGGCAGCTCTCACAGCCATTGTGAACTGTAGTAAAGGCTACGGAGCAGTGAAGTACTGAGGGAGACAATGGGAAATTGGGCCATGTTCATAAATTGCTGAATGCCTCTGTGCAGGGCAGGTGGTTGATTCTTTTAAGCTGTGAATCCTTGGAAGGATTCAACTAATGGGTGATATGATCCACGTTGTAGATTGGCTAGAGACAAAGGGAGAGTGAGTTAGGAGGCTTTTGTATCAATAGTAATATGGACAACAGCAATTCCTATTATAAACATTTCCATGTAAGAATGGCCTTGGCGGGCCAGGCGCGGTGGCTCACGCCTGTAATCCCAGCACTTTGGGAGGCCGAGGTGGGCGGATCACGAGGTCAGGAGATCGAGACCATCCTGGCTAACATGGTGAAACCCTGTCTCTACTAAAAAAATACAAAAAAAATTAGCCGGGCGTGGTGGTGGGTGCCTGTAGTCCCAGCTACTCAGGAGGCTGAGGCAGGAGAATGGTGTGAACCTGGGAGGCGGAGCTTGCAGTGCTCCGAGATCACGCCACTGCACTCCAGCCTGGGTGACAGAGCGAGACTCCATCTCAAAAATAAATAAATGAATGAAAGAAAGAAAGAAAGAAAGAAAGAAAGAAAGAAAGAAAGAAAGAAAGAAAGAAAGAAAGAAAAGAAAGAGAAAGAAAGAAAGAAAGAAAGAAAAAGAAAGAAAGAAAGAAAGGAAGGAAGGAAGGAAGGAAGGAAGGAAGGAAGGAAGGAAGGAAGGAAGGAAGGAAAGAAAGAAAGAATGGCCTTGGGATTTGAATCATGCATGTCCTGAGCATCTACCCTAGGTTCCTGTAAACCAACGACTATTGCTCAGAAATTTTCTAATGACTGGCCTCAGGATACAATGGCATCTAAGAGGTGGAGGAGGTGAGGACACAAGGCAAATATAGAATTAGGGAATGCACTGCAGAGTCATTGCAGACATTCGGAGAAGTGATGAGCATGGGCCAGAAAAGTTAGGAATGGCTTCATGGAGGAGGTTGAATTTAAGATGCACATCAAAGGGTGTGTAGGGATTGAGTACATGGACCACATAAGCACAGCATTGGGATGGGAGTTAGCCAAACCCCTTCTGTTAGAAGTCAAGGGTAGAGGGAGAGGATCAAGAGAGGAGTTATTTATTATTTTTTAGTTGATTTGGCATGAGCAGGTAGAGAATATGGAATGGGCAGACTGGAGTAAAACTAAATACCAAATTGTAAAATATGGTCAAAAACCAATATTTTTCAACTTCTTCTCTTCCCTATTTTTTTAGTATGTATTATCTATTTGTTAGGGTGTTGTTTGGGGGGATTGCAACATAGATGAAACCTGAAGCAGATTGTCAAGAAGCTTGAAAGCTCACACAGGTTCTGCCAGCACCTTGCTGCATAACTTGTCTTTATGAAAGAGAGGAAGAGGAAGGAAAACAGAGTTGGGATGGGGGGTGGTCTTAGCTTCCTCATCTACAAAATGAACATAATATTTTCTCTTTGATATGTGCTTAAAATTCAATGCATCATTCACTGGTGAGACCTTAAAGATGTCTAAAAGAAGGGCATGAGAAAAATTGTTGACCAATCAGTGCTTTTTTGGGAAAAAATAGCAGTATTTTATTGAATTGTGGTGTTTTGCTATCTTGTGTTTGTTTTGTTTTCTTCTATTTTGTTTAGTTTGCTATTTGCTTTGCTCCTTAGGGAAAAGAGAAATTCCCAAGTGTAAGAAACATTGCATTTCTTCAAGAAAGAATATAGCAGGAACAAAATTGAAACCTCCTGAGCAGTGGTTTTTCAGAGTTCAAGAACCCCCTGGCACTGCCTGGAAAATGTGGTGTGAATATGCACTTGTTTGGTGAGAGTCCGTAGCTGGCATTGAGTTCTCAAAGGGTCTATGAGGCAAAAAAAGAAGTTACAAATCACCAGTGTAGGGCCATGATTACTAATCTCTGAGGAGGTACATGCCTCTAGGAAATGGTGGTTGGCTTTGGAACTTAGCAAGACCTGTGTCTCCCCTCACCCTCATTCAGCCCTGTTTTAAAGCTCGTTTTCCCGTTTCCCCATGCCATGGCTGGGTCTGCCCAGCAAGAGGAAACAGGAAGAGATGTAGCAATGGGATGAAGAGAGTAGGGCTGCCTAGAGTGGGGCCACCAGCTTCGCTTCTTTCTATACCATCTCCTGGCTCTGAGCTTTGGACATCACTTCCCTCGTCTATAAAATAGGGACAACAGCAGCAGCTGTTTCTTAAGCTTATAGTGAGAAAGAATTGAAATGGCCAGTGGAAAGCCCCTAGCCTGGTACCTGTACATATTAGACTTTTAACAGATATGAGCTATTCATATGAAGCTTAGAAATGATCTAGGATGTTCATTTAGTGAAGATAAAAGTTTTCTTGAATTGCTAGCTAATTAAAAAATGAAGTAATGGCCTGGCTCGAGTGTACGTTGTATTACCTAGACACAGCCGTATAGTATATATATAAATATATGCTGAAACACATGGAGAAAAGGTGGATGTTGCCTGGGAGCAACTCTTCTTTCCCTGTTAAAAAACAATAAAACAAAAGAAACCCCAAAAGTGTTAACAAACCCCAGCAGCTTGGTCTGCAGCTGGAATCTGTGTGCAGTTTTACAGATGGGTTGTATTCCATTCCCAGAATAGCAACAGGAGAAGGAAAGAGCGGAAACAGAGCTCTAGATTGTTCTCGTATGAAACATTCTTTTAAAAGAAAACAAAATCTTCCATTTGTTAATGTTTTTTTTAAAAAATGAGAAAACCCTAATATGACTTTACAGGGGTAAGGGGAAACACTCCAAATACCTCTGAGTTCTAAAGGGAGGAATTTGAAAATGACACGTATTTGATTTTCACCTTAACCATGAATTTCCAGGAAAAGAAAAATTAAATGAAAACTTGTCAATGAAATAAAAAACTTACCAATGAAATAAAACAAAGAAAAATGATTGGACGATCCTACATAAAGGGCACTTTCTTTGAAATTGTCAGTGTTTATCACATGAAATGATATCCCTTGGAGGCCAATCATTCACCTGAAAACAGCCTTGCCTTCTAAAAATAATACAACTCGTGTACCAAGCTGGGATTGCAGGGCAGGGCAGCCACCAGCTCATGACGCCACAGGATGAGAGTGGGGTTCAGAGGGCTTTGTTTCAGCTGTTCATTGGGACTCCTGAATTCTATGCTGGGCACCCAGGTGTTTCTCAAAATCTATGTAGATCTTCCCAGGCAAAAGATCCCCACCAAGCAGACGCAGTTCCCATACTTATCCTGACTCTCAACTGATATTGACAAGAGAAATAAAAATTCACATAGACCAGTGGTTCTCAACCAGGAGCAATTTTACCCCACAGGGGACCTGCGACCATGTCTAGAGATAATTCTGGTTGTCACAACTGTGGGTTGAGGGCAGGGGTGCTCCTGGCATCTAGTGGGCTGAGGCCAGGGGTGCTGTTCCACATCCTGTAATGCACAGGACAGCCCCCACAGCAAAGAATGATCTGGTATTACATGTCACTAGTGTCGAGGTAGAGAAACCCTAGCCTAGAGAAACTTACTCAGACTCTCCCGTTCACCTGAAAGAAAGACAAGTAGAAAAAATTCCCAAACCTTTGAAAACGTTCATATTCCTTATTACAACAATTCAACTTGTAGGAATTTACTCCTAAAAAGTGCTCACCCGAGCTCACAAAATATCTTTTCAAGGATATTTTTTGTACCATTGCTTATAATAACAGAAAATTCAAGACGACATCAATGCCTATTAGTTGACTGTGGTTAAAAAACATCATGGTTTATTCGTGCAGTGGGATTCTAGGGGCCAATGAAGCCTGAAGACAGGATTTTTTTTTTTTTTGTAGTGGAAAGATTATTGTAGCATGTTGTTAAGAGATAGTAAGCAAGTTACAAAATAATATATGGATGTGATCCCAGTTTTAAAGAAGAAAATATCAGGTGTACATGTATATATGTGCACAGGAAGGCATAGGAATGGCTGATTCTTGGCAGTGGTGAAATTATGGGCATTTTTTTTTCTTTTGGCTTACCTGTGCTTTCTAATTATTAATATATTGAATGTGAATAATTTTTTATGCTTCAAGCAAAAAATAGTTCCCTTCCTTCACCCCGTACTCCCCTTTAGCTCCTCCTACATTTCTTCTTCCTCCTTCTCTGTGATATCTTTTGAAGAAAGTGTCTACATTCACTGTTTCCACTTCTGCAACTGTGGCTCATTCCTGCCACACCACTGACATGACTCTTAGCTGGGACATCAGAACCATCAGAGAGTCCATTCTGGAGGGAAGGGTCACATCTCGATGACCCTCTGCCACAGTTGATAACTCACTTGAAACTCCCCTGTCATTTCTTCTTGGACACAGGTTTCTTTTATGGTAACTTCTCACCCATTATTGGCCTCCTTCATCAGCTGCTCCTTAAGGGTGCTGGAGTCTCCAGGAACCCCTTTTCAGCCCTTCATGTTCCTCACTTAACTGTCCTTCCATTTTTTCATTTGTTAAAACACAAGATCCTTACCCTCTGCATTATCCTCTTCACCCCCTCCGTAACTTTGGAAGCTGCTCTTCATCCCTACTTCTTCCTTCCTAGTTCAGATGCTAGCTGCTGTGGCCTAGACTGTTGTGGTATGTCCCAGGTAGTCCTACTTCCTTGCATCCCCCATCCCCTGTTCCATAGATTGCTCTTCCTGAAATGCAGATTCCATTTCCATTCTGCTCTGTTCAGAATCCTCTTGCCCTTAGATCACAGTTTGAATTCCTTGGTCTGACACATGAAGATCATCTCACCTGGCCCTTGCCTGCCTTTCCTGCAGAACTCCCTACCACACTGAGCTTCCTGGGGCTCCATGACGTATTTTAGATGTTTCTGTCTTTGCATGTGTGGTGCTTTCTCCATTGTAAAATTACCCCCTAGCCCAGATCCTTTGCTTTTCAGCCTAGCAAACTCTATTCTTCTTTTGAGAGTTTGTGCAAATGCTTCCGCCTCTGTGGTAGTGACCCTGGGGCCTTTGGAGTTGAGAGCTTTATACTTTGTACTCATTACCTGTAAGTGATAGGTTTATTTCCTCCCTAGAATGAGAGACCTTTAAAATAAGGACTATGTTGTAATCATTGGAAAAATTTTAAAATAATTACAATATATGAAAAATGCCCAGCCTATGATAGGTGCTGAGTGGATGGATCAGTGGTGAGATTATGGGTTGATGAATGAAGGGATGGATGGAGAAATGGATAGATGGATGGATGGGTGTCAATATTTCTTAAGTGCAAACAGGATAGAAATTTTATGTAGTACCCATTTTACAATAAACAACTTAGAGTTGCAAATTTTTATTCAATATGCTATTGAGATGATCACTGAACTGTGAGCTTCAATCCAAGATATTAAAGCAAAAGGAAAATAATGATGCCCTCCATGGATTCTGACAGAGAGGATGGCATCCTTGCAGGATTAAAAAAAAAAAAGGAGAGTAAAAGGTTTCATTGATTGTTGAATCACCCAGTATCTTGAAAGGCAAACATAACAACAGTCCTTGTGTTCTGTTCTCTTATAGGTCACTGGGAATAAAATGACATCTCTAAACTTAGCCACCATATTTGGACCCAACCTGCTGCACAAGCAGAAGTCATCAGACAAAGAATTCTCAGTTCAGAGTTCAGCCCGGGCTGAGGAGAGCACGGCCATCATCGCTGTTGTGCAAAAGATGATTGAAAATTATGAAGCCCTGTTCATGGTAGGTGGCCCTTCTGTGGCAGGACATCACAGCAAACTGCCTATTGGTTTCCTCTGGAGGCAGGATGAAATTCTAGTAGACCACCCTCTGGGGTGCAGTGCTGCTCACTGAATTCATTGGAAGTCAGGCAGTTTCAGCAGGAGTAGAAATTTGCACAACTATGATGTCATTTTGAGTTTGTGACTCCATGTTTAAACAAACATGCCAAATTATAATTTTCATTTTGTTGTCCTCTAAACCATGGTCACATTTTGGAGTCACTTAATTATAAAGCAGTGTCCTTGCTCAAGACATTAATAAAACCCTTCTTTATGGAATTGTGTCCCTCATGAATTCATGTATTCATAAGCATCCTCAGTGGTTTCACCTCCTCCAAGGTCAATCTTGACATTTTACCTCCTACATGAAGCTTCACCTCTCCTTCCTTTGTCCTTCCCATGCCACTTCTCTGTCCCCTGAACTCCATTACTGTTCTTACTGATGTTTATCTTGCCCAACATTGTGTATAGTAATTTATGACCATTTCCCCTAGTAGAGTATAAATGCATTTAAAACAAGGACTGCACCATTGTTATCTCCTCTCCATATCCTCTGTACACTTTTGGAAAGCCCTCCATCTGGCAGGCACTCAATAAATATTTTTTTGATTTGTATTGAATTACCAGTTCCTGTTTTCCTTCATCAAACTGCATTGCTTGCTACAACTTCCCTTGAAACATTAAAACAAATGCCAACTCTCTTCTATTTCTGTTCACCACTAATATTGCATGTCAAAATTTACAGGAACCTTCTTCATGTTTTTTCTCCCATTTCTCTTGTCAATTTGCAAACGCTATAAAGCCTGCCTATTCCACTAGAGCCTTTTGTGGCTCCTTCCTTCAACCGAGAATTCTAGTTACCTCTTTTAAATTTCTTTAGTAGTTTGTCTACACTTATCAAGTGCTTTGCATTAGATTTATGTCCATGCTTGTCTTATACTAATTACTTTTTGTAAATTTGAGACCCAGCAGTTTAGAGTATTTGCCCTCTGTGTCTTACCTATGTGATTGTGACCAAGTAATTCAATACTCATTATGCATCAATTCTAGCTTTAGAAATGGGAAAAACAAAATGATGATGTAATTCTCAGGGTGGTGACCAGAATCATTTGATACGTGAAAGTATTGTGCAAACTGTAGCAGTTTATGCAACTGTTAATTAGTAATTATATTAGTTGGGTAACACGTGCTGCCTCAAAAGTCAGTACTTTAACACAAACATAAATATCACTCTGACATAAAGTTTAATCAGGTGTTAAGTGGACAGCCTTCCAGGTGGTGATTTAGGAATCCCAGCTCCTTGTATTTTGAGGCTCTGACATTTTTTAGAGTTTTACGGGCAACCCCAGAAAGGTCATCCATCTTGTCCACTCAAATCTCATTGGCCAGAACTTATGCACAAGCCACACTTAACTTCAAGCGAGGCTTGAAAATGTATCCTGGTTGGATCCCCAGGAGGAAGAGCAAATGAAAAGTTCACTGAGGTAGAATGGCATCTTGTTCCTGTTTGTGTCTCTGAAGCACTGTCCCTGGGTTGCACATGCTAAGCTCTCAAAAAATGTTGAATTAATAATTGACTCTATATAAAATTTACACATCAGCCTAAATCCTCATAATTAACTACATATTTGGATGAATCAAATGTCTGAACTTTTCAACATTTTCATCAAGTTTAAGTCACATATCATCTTGCCAAGTAGTCTTGGCATTACTTCATGTTCTCTGGATTTTTTTAACAAAATAATACTTCTCATCAAACTTAATTCTATTATCTAAGCAAAGTTCTCCTTTATATGAAACCACATATCATCGAGCATTTCTTTTCAACTCAGATACCAACAAAAGTTTTCCTGGCTTCTTTGAAAATATAGCTGCTGCCATTTTAATTGTGCCATCCCTCTTCTTTCCATTTCCTGCCACCTGAATTACTAAGAACAGTATAAAAACATCAGTATTCTACCTTTTCCAGCTTTTCCCAAATCTGATCTTTGTTTGCCATTCTCTGTAGGGATTGATGTCGGCATTCTCTCATATTTTTGGTCTCCAGTTATAGTCTTTACTTCTCATAGAGGCCTTTCCTGGCCACCTTGTCTAAAATGCACCTCCACCCTCCATCACACACACACACACATCATCACTCCCTATTTCCTTTCCCTGCTTTTTCCCCTTAGCACTCACCACTGTTAACATTGGGTCTTACAAATTTCTCGTTTATGTTCGCCACTCCCTAGAAATGTAAACTACATGACAGGATGATTTTTTTGGTCCATTTCTATCTATAGTACTTTCTTTACTGCATTACCCCTGTGCCTGGGACATGGTAGGAACACAATAAATATTGGTTGAATTAATGAATGACTCAATGGTTGTTCTGTGACATATGATTTCCATATTACCAAGCCTTACTCCTTATACGTATGAAAAGATTTGGGCATGGAGAAATTAAGGATACCTTTCTTGGAGTAAGTTAACCATTAATGTAATCATTCTTGACCTCTTTAGAAGGATTCTGGTAATCATATATTCAGAAAAATAACAGTGGAGTGGGAGGAAGAGGGAGACAAATATCTCAAGTCTTGGTCTATGAAAAGAAACTGACTCTGGAACCAGAAAATTTACTATCGTCCTGTCCCTGTTATATATTGGCTACATGACCTCATCTTCTTCTATTTCTTTAGTTATCAAATACTAGATTTGAATGAATGATAGCCAAGACCCCTTCTAGTTGTAAAATCTGCATGGTGCTATGCCCTAGCACTGACTTCCCTTCCTTCCTTTTTATAAAGCACAGGAGAAAATTAATCTCATCACATTTTAGATTATCTTGGCATATTTGGCAGTTGAGAAACTAGTCGGCTATACCAAGGCTGGTGGTTTGTCAGCAAAGCTGATCTGCATGGGTGGACAAAAATGTAATCTTGTATGTCGCTATGTTGTTTTGTTTTGTTTGGCTTTTTAAAGAAGCTTTCAGAATTATTATAATTCCAAACAAAGAAGGATGAAGCTAGTCAGGGCCTGATGGTTAAAAGTAGTTAGTAATTGTGCAGTTTCACAGTCCTTGGGTTTAAGAGCTCGGAAAGGGAGGTGTCACTTCTATTAGCATTAGAAAGGAAGACTTGTTAGGAAAGGTAGCTGTGAGCTTGTCCTGGAAGGCAGAACAGACCTGGAGGCAGTGATTCCATAAAATAACTGGTGGAAGGGATGTAGAAGCTCACAGAGGCCTGGCAGGGACCCAAAATTTGTTCTGGGTGTTCTAACATCCTTCATTTCCTGATGCTGAGACTGCCTCTCCCAAGTGGCCACTCTCTGAGTTAATGGGAAAGGGCGGAAAAGAACCTGGCTTCGTCCTGTAATACAGAAGAGGAACCTAGATGCAGAGGTTGACACACAATTTAAGAGTCTGGCTAGGACAGTCTTTTGCATTGGTTGTTTGCTTTTCAGGTACTGGTTTGGAAATCCTTGAGCTGGAAATAGATCATAATAGCAGATATCATGACCACAGATATCAAAATACGAAGGCAGTAGATTATAATGGTGGTTCTCAAACTTGAGTGTGCAGCAGAGTTGCAAGGAAACTTAGACATTCAGATTCCTAGGATGCACTCCCGAGAATCAGATTGAGTAGCACTGGGATGGGGCCCAGAAATAATCTGCACTTTCTAGTGAAGACCTCCACAGAGTTCTGGTAGTTTCCTAACCACACCTTTGGAAACCATATCTTGGGAAACACTGGTATGGTAGAAAGACCATGTGCATTGGAATGAGCTACCAAAATTCAAATCCCTGCTCAGCCACTTATTTGCTATGTAATCTTGGGCCCCACAGTTAACTTCCCTAGCCAAAAGATGAAACAATGTGACCTAATTTACAGGACTGTTATAAGAATTAGAAATGACATTTTAAGGCACCTAGAACAGAATTAACATATATTAGGCATTAAAGGAAGATTTCTGCTATTATTACATTAAAGGGATAAGGTGCCTGCTCTATCAAAGCGTGTTTGGGTGTTTTCTTGGAAATCAAGCCCACTCTGCCCACTGTGTATAATGCTGTGACCTGATCCCACACATATATACTCCTAGGCCCTTACTCTGCTCTTTTTATTCCATAGCATTTATTACCTTTTAACCCACTATATAATTTACTTATTTTTATGCTTATTGAAACCTAACAGAATACAAACCTTATAAAGGCAGAGATTTTTGTTTGTTCTGTTCACTGACATTCATACCACCTAGAAAGTATATGGCAAAAGATGGGTGCTCAGTAATTATTTGTTGAATAAATATTGCAATTCTGTATTACTAGAAAAAAAATGTATTTTTGTTTCGATTTTGTCCAGTGTCCATACTGCTTATATTCCCTTACCTTTAAATCATGACCCTCCACTTCTGATATCAACACCTGTTGAAAAACTGGCTAACATAAAATGATACTCTGTGGGAGCACTGGAAATCAAGGATAAGAATCATTAATATCTACACAAAGTCATTGGTATTATCCTAACCAGAAAGTTCTCACTGACTAAGTCATTGATACATGAATTGTTCTGAAAGTTGTTACTTCTGTAACTAATATTGGGAATTCCAGAGAAAACTCATCATTGCTCTTGGGATTAGTAAGAACTTCAGAGCAGAATGGAGAAAACTGTCAGCTTCTTCTAAGGGCTGATATTAAACGATTCTTACTAGGACTTCTTCTTAGGAGAGGGGCAAGAAAGAGAAGACACCACCCTTGTAAGCTGATGAAAAGTCCGGAGTGCAGTGGAGACGTGGGAAAGCCAGTGTGTTCCCACCCCACTGAGTTGTCAGCCTGAACTGGGGACCAGCTTAGTGCACGTGGGAAATTTCAAATGAGCACTACTGGGAGCAAGGGTCAGAGGCTGTGATGAGGATTCCGAGTCAGAAGCCAAGCTTTGCTTTGTGTTCTCTTCATTCCCTGATGAAAATCGCATTTTCTTAAAGCCACTTTGCACACCAAGTCAAAGAGTCAAGCATTCATCCAGGTCATCAAGCAAGAAACCACCCCTCCCAGTATATCCACATAATTATATATGATTTCCATTTCCTTTTCTATATATCACAAATACCACTGTCTACGTGCCAGGGTTGGGCTACTCATTACGTACATTATTGGCTTGTTTAAATCTCACTACCATTTCATGAGGAGTAAGCCAAGTTTGTTTGCCCAAGTGATGCAGTGACTAAATGAATTATTTCTACAGCATGATGCCTCCTTACACAAAAGAAGAGGCATTTTGATGTGGTATCTCAGATATGGAGTCCATTTGTGGGGAAAGAACAAGAAAATATGTTTTAGCCAATCTGGAAATGAGGAATGAAGACCTTTAACAGCAGTAATACTGCTGGACTAATCATAGCACCCCTGATGTTCAGGCCAGCAGATGGCTTCCAGAGCCAGCAAATGTTCTGCTATAGTCTGCTCACTTGGCCCTGTCTGTAAAGACAGAACATGTGTACTGTTTGTGTCCCACAAAGGTGGAAGGAAGCAGAAGCAAATTATGCCTGAACCTTTCCCACTCCCTTTAACCTGTTGCCATGGAGCAAAGACTGCTGATTTCTTTCATCTTTGCTTGAGTTATCCTCCAACATCGTTCCATGAGCCCTGGACCCTTCCACTGTATTTGTTCACTAATGTACCTGAATTGCCAAAACATGCTGCCTGACATGTATCAAGCACTTGAGAAATATTTGCCGAATTTAATGCATCTTGACCCTCCCGTGCACCCAGACCCCTTAAATTATTAAACCACCTGTCACAACAGAGCCACGCCAAAGGTTCTAAGCTGGGCCTGTCCTTGTTTGAGCTTTTGCTCCCATAAACAGCCAAAGTGATTTCTTTTAGTGTGTTTGTTAACTACAAAATGCCATCATGATTTCCAGTGCTATTTACTTTTGCTGGGTTTTAAATGCTAAAGCATCCTTCTTGGTCAAGTGCAAAGTGGTGGATTGGTGTGGAACATCCAGTGACAAGTGCAGTAGGGCTGGGTCCTGGGAATAGCTCTTCAAAAAGCCCTTAATGGTTTATTGTGGTGACTTAGTAAATGGAGAAAACTCAACTCATACCACTTTTCTCTCTCAGTGGTTTATGGAATAAACTACCTCATAGCAGTTATACCCCAGGCAATAATTCAAGGTTTCATTTTTAATTTGATCGGGTAGATTTTAATTGTGACAGTTTTATTCTTTCATATGTGCAGTGTTTACATTTTTTTCTCTGAAGCAGGAGGGGCCAAAGTTCTTTTGATTTTTGGAACAGCATTATGCTTTGAAGGAACTCATTAAAATCTAAGGAGTTGAGTCTCCAGATAAACAAGACCATAAATGGTACCCTTAGAAAATATCTAGAATTGTTACAAGGTTGACTAAAGCCCAGTAGAGATTTTGATGTGAAACAATGAATTGTAAATGAAGAATCACTTTGGGCTGGGTTTCGTTTCTTCTTTTTAACATGCAGAATTGCTTGATTTTTTAAAAAATGTAATATGTCTTTCACTACCCTTCTCCTTAGTTCCCATTTTGCTATATACAAAAATCCCAGAAGCAGAAAATGAAAACGTTGTTTAATTATTGAGCTATCTTTTTCAAAAAGTTTTGAAGTTTTTGTATTGATAAGAAAAATAGCTTAAGAACTTAGAAAAAATCTGATGATAATCAGTTGGGAAAGAAAATGTATTTTCCCACTCTAGAAATGAACAGCAAGAAGACTGTGCTGCAGCATGACATAGGTACCACTGATAAGTAGAGAGAAACATCTAGACAAGGGCAACGTAACACATGCAGTCCATAATCCTGGGTGATTTTAGATTATTATTATTTTTAGCCATTTCAGCAACATTCACTGCACATCCACTGGGTAGAAATCACCACCCTAGCTTGTATTCTGAAAGAGCATAAAATTGAGCAAGAGAGTGTGTAAGTGAATGACGGGGTGAGGGTCATAGAAGTGCAGGTAAGACCTTCCAGAGAGGAAAGAGTAGGAAGGCAAAGTTAGAGGAGGAAAATGAGACATCATTTAGGAAACATTTGACTGGCAAGGAGAACAATAATCAACTGCAAATGGCTTTCGACATCAGCATTTATTATGTGACACAGTAAATATGGGGGGGGGGGCACAGTTTCAGTAGCTGGGTAGCACTTTGCTCTCTCTCTCTCTGCTCTGCCATCTTCAGCTGCAAAATGGCTACAGTTGATAACAGCATCTCTTCCAGCCATCATTGCATCAATTAATGAAGAGATGATGTTTCTTTTCATGTACCCATTTTCAATAGGGAAGATAACCTTTTCCAGAAGCTCCTACATGCCCCACTTCAGGTACCAGCATGTGCATACGTGATCTTGCCCTAGCTTTGAGGGAGGCTAGCTGAAAGAAAACTACAAATTTCTGAGCCTGTTTCAGTTCTGGGTAAACAAATCAGATAATCCCTGCCTTCAGGAAATTTACCTTCTAATGACTTGAATGGTGGGAAGATTCAAGGTCTAGCCAAAGGAACTGGAAGGGTGAGGCTACACAGAGTCTGACTTCAAGACCATTGCAGTTGAAGGGCCAAGAGGTCATAGGCTGTAACTCCAGAAATTCAGAGGGGGATTAGAAGCAGAGGCATAGCAAGAGAAAATCCCATAACTGAGTTACCCAAAAGAAGTGTTAAGCAAAAGAGAAGAGAGTGCTTCTTCTCTGAAAGCGAATGGATGACTGTTAATAAAAACTAATAACTGCAGAATAAATATTGTCCATCTCCATGTTATCTGCTTTTATTTTTTCAAGTGTTTAACTTACTTATTTCATCTATTTCTAATAAAACATTTTATTACTAGATCTCTTTGCAATTGGTAATCTATTTTCATTTTTTTTTAGCGCTTTTGATTCCCGTAACACCCCCCATTAAGTAAAATGAATATGCATATGTTTTCAGATGTGGGAACAGAATCCTAAAGAAGGTGATTGATGTGTCCAAGTTTATATTAATTATAAACAGCAGAGCCAAAACTGGATTTCAGGGGCTGTTGCCTCAGTCAGATTTTTTTTTACAGCATCCTAATTCCTGAAAAGGTATGCTTAAGTCAGTGGTCTACCTAGATATTTCTTTCTTACTTATTTCAAGCTGCTGTTTCCTATCAGTTTATTTACTTGACTTTTATTTCTCCATTAAGTACCTAAATTAATAGAGAAATAAGTGTTCATCCAATATAACTGAGCCAGTAGTTTGAAATTTTTATTAAATGTTAGGAAACGAAATGTGCAGTTATAGCCAAAGATTAGAAGAATTATAGGAAAACAGTACTGGGTGCTGTTGTATGAACATTAAAAAATCAGTTTCAGGCATCATTTCAAATTTTTTACCTCATTTTCCCACTGACTCCAATTTTCTGAATCATTCCTTTATTTTTTAGAATGTGGTTTAATCACATACATTTTGAAGCTGCCTTAAATCACTCTGTAACAAAATGGATTATAAATAAACTAATGAATTATATACAACTGTAGTTAGTTTTGCATAATACATAGGAAAATATTATTTGCCTTCCTGTAATACATGGATCTACAATTTTAAACTATGTCTTTTTTATGCATTTGTAAATAGTGTCTCCAAGCCAAAATGGTACCATGGGCCTTTTAAAAGGAAACTGTAGATAGATTTATAACTGTGACCCTTCCTATTTGCATTTGTTACCAAGTAAGAGTCACATATGCTACATAAAATAGACCTCAGTAATTATGATTGCTCGCCTAGTTGAATGAGGAAAACCTCTGAATTGCAGACTAGCTTGACAAAAATTTATGGAAAGTTATTTTTTAAGTAATGATACTTCTGAAACCTATTCTAATAATGCATCCAAGTTGATAATTTATCTTAGACATACTACATACTCTCAAAGAATTAATATTGTCATGCTTGCACCACTCTGAAGGGCTTGCACTCTAACTGTTTATTCTTTAATTAAATCCAAGAATGGATTAGTGCTTGGAGCGAAATTTTTTTTTTTTTTTTGAGACAGAGTCTCGCTCTGTCACCCAGGCTGGAGTGCAGTGGCATGATCTCGGCTCACTGCAAGCTCCGTCTCCCGGATTCACGCCATTCTTCTGCCTCAGCCTCCCAAGTAGCTGGGACTACAGGGGCTCACCACCACGCCCGACTAATTTTTTTTTTTTTTGTATTTTTAGTAGAGACGGGGTTTCACCATGTTAGCCAGGATGGTCTCGATCTCCTGACCTCGTGATCTGCCCACCTCGGCCTCCCAAAGTGCTAGGATTACAGGCGTGAGCCACCGCACCCAGCCACGAAATTTTTTATTACATGTCAAAGCCTAGCAAGTTTTAAATTAAACTAACTGGATGAAAATGCAAGTACTTTTCCTAATTTGTTTATGGAATTTTCTTCTAAAAAAGAGATCGGGACATACATTTTTGTCCTATATTATTTTTTGCTCTGCTGTTCATTAAAAAAATATGAGTTCTCTTTCCTCTCATTTTCACCCTTTAGGTGTTACGTTTTTAAAAACTGTTATAATAGCACATGGCTGTTGGGTGATGATCTTTGGAAAAAATACAGTAAAAATGATGTCTTTCTGTTTAATTTATACAGTAAGAGAATAATCTCACCCTTGACCTAAATATCCTGCCCTTTCCCTTCTCCCCATTTTCATACCCAGGCCACTGCAGCTGGTCACAGGGTTTTAAATACCATCTATATGTGCCTCTTAAATGTCTATGTTCAACCCAGACCTCTCCTATGAACTCTGAATCCTTATTGCCAACTATCTACAAGATACCTCCTTCATTTGGATGTCTTGCAAACCTCTAAACATTATCATATCAAAACCACACTCCAAAACTTGACCCCCAACCTTCTCCTCCTGCAGCTTCTCCAAACCAGTCAACAGCAACTCCATCTTTCTAGTTGCCTAGGCCCCAAGCATTGAGGTCATCCTTTCTTCTCCCTCTCCCTCTCTTCTCTCTCTCTCCATCCAATAAATTAATGCTATTACCTCTATCCTCACTATGTCCACTGTGGAAATATTTCTCATCACCTCACTGCCCTGGTTCAGGACCCATCATCTTATCTGGGTAGATCAGCAGGCCCTCTCTGCTCTCCTTGCTTTATCTCTGGCTCCATGCATTCTACTCTCAACTCAGCAGCCAGAGTGATGCTGCTTCATGTTAGTCATCTGTTCAAAATCTCCAGTGGATCCCCACCCACTGCAAGTAAGTGCAGAAGTCCTTATTATGACCCATAAGACTCCATGACACCTGGTCCTGGCCCTATGACCCCTTCCTACCACCCGCCTCCTTTCCTACTCTCTTCCAGCCTCACAGACCTCCTCATCACTCTTGACTCAAGACCTTTATCATTGGCTTTCTTTTCCTTCCTTCTACCTGGAATGATTTTCTCCAACTCCTTCATCAGTTTGAGTTTTCTGCTAAAATGTCAGCTTCTCTGGGACTGACAATCCTATTGAAAACTGCGTCTTCCCAAGCATTTCTCATTGCCCTTCTTTGCCTTGTGTTTCTCTATGTTTTTCTTGTATGTTTGTTTAATGCCCGTCTTTCCATATTTGTTACCAGCTTCATGAAGACAAGGATTATTGTCTGTTTGGTTTGTAACTGAATTCCCAGCATCCAATACCTGGCACTCAGGAAGCATTCACTCAACATTTATGCAATGAATGAAAGGAAGGGAGGGAAGAGAAGACCTGAGGGAGAAGCACAGTGGTGCTGAAGTAGAGCTTGTGTGGAATGACTGCTAGGGGAGAAGATGGGAAAGACAGATTGAGGACAGTATGCAAGTGGATGGCTTCAGCCATGGGAATAAAAAGAGTTTCCAGTAAATGAGTGTCTTGACCATGGCATTCTGACAACCACATAGAGAAGAAATGTGCTGCACATGTTAAGGAAATAGCAGACAAATTTGAAAGCTGTTGTATCAAAGGTTCATCAAGTACGTATTTTTCTTTGCAATGCAAAACTCAAACTAGCTTAAGTAATTTGAAGGCTCACATAGCTGAACAATCCACAAGCAAATATGGCTTCAGACATAGCTTGTCCCGGGACTCAGATGATATCAAGACATCCCTTTTATCTCTATTTCTTGGTATTGTTTGCTCAATTGTCAGCGCAATCATCAGGCCTCATATGGATACAGGCCCTGTATCCTCTCTTAGAAGTCTCAGGGAAAACCTCCAGGGTTTTCATTGCCTCTGATGGAGTCACATGCCCATTGCTCAGGCAACTATGATGATCTGGGAATGGAATGCTCAATAGACTTTGACTACGATACACACTTCACCCTTGAGCTAAGGCTTGGGTAGCAGTTGGTTTACCAGAGGGAACGTGGGGTATAACTATTATAAGAGGAGGGAAATGGAGACTTTTAATGATGAACAGATGACCACTACAAAAGGCTAATGAGGGCTTGAACTTGAGTCTCTGCAGTTGGAATGGAAAAGGGAGAAAAGAAGTAACAGAGATGAAGTCTAGTAGGCCTCCTGGCTCTGAATGGAGAGAGGATGCAGAGAAGCTTTAGTACAATTCTGAGATCTTGAGCTTGCGTGATTAGAAGTTGGCAATGTCATTAATGAAGGTTCACGATAAAGTAGGAGGAACAGATTTGTAAGAGACAGAACACATTTCCTTGCTTTCTCATCCCTGTTTTTATTAATAAAATTGTTTCCAGATTCTCAGAGCTCAAGAACTGTAGAGTTCTGCAAGAGGCAAGAAGCAAATTCTTCCACCAACCACTTATTTTCAGAAGACTTAACCCTGCAGTTTTAAAAAGTCTTCTCTCTGAGCTCATGTGTGAGAGAATCAGACTGAAATTTTATTTTCTCTCAATAGTTTTGAGTTTCCTTTGGTTGAGCTATCAGCTTCTATGGAATAAGAAACCACAAGTCAGAGCTGGGTTCAATCATCTCTTATAGAACATTTCCACACAGATGACTTAGGGTTGTGAGGCCATCTTCTAATGTACTGTGGATGGATTAGGCTTAGAGAAATATATGATGCTCATCTATAGAACTCTACTGGATGCCTAACAAATTACAAAGTGAGAAACTTTTCATCACTGATGGACCAGGTGCAAGAAAGGAGTAAAGGCAGGCACCGAATAATAAAGTGACATATGCAAATGTAGTAGCCAGCAATTTTTTGAGTATTTACCATTGACCAAGTACTGTTTTAAAGTCTCAACATATAATAAGTCATTTAATCACCATAGCAATGCTTCGTGGTGAGTACTGTTGTTATCCCCATTTTACACGTGAGCAAACTGAGATCTAGGAAGATCCTTGTCGATGTACGTTGTCAAGGGTCCCACAGCTAGTGACTGGCGTGGCTAAGATTCAAACCCAAGCAGTCTGGCTCAAGGGCCTGCCTTCTTAATAAACTGATCATATATTCCAGAACTGCCCAATACAGTCATCATTTCTGCCTGCTGCCTTGGCATAATTATAAATGTGAACTCTAGAAAGTGCCCCCATTGGGCAATAAATTATGGACACTATTTCTCTGAACCATGATATTTTCCTTATTCAAAACCAAGAAAATCTAACCTGAGCAATAAAGGCATCCAAGTGGTTCAGTTGTATCTCCAGGCATATGAGGGGTGACATTTTGGATTGAATATGACTATTGGTAATCATCCAGTTGGTCCTAAGAATTAAAGCAGCTGCATGGGTTGGCGTAGGTTTGGTTTTAACCAGCAAATCATTCTGCTGTCTTGCAGCTTTTAGGGCTCTGTTTTGTGCTACAGTAAAATTGTCAGTGACCATATGTTGCCTGTTTCTGGAATGGTTTTATTTATGCCTCAACATTTGGCTCCTTCAGGTTCCCCCAGATCTCCAGAACGAAGTGCTGATCAGCCTGTTAGAGACCGATCCTGATGTCGTGGACTATTTACTCAGAAGAAAGGCTTCCCAATCATCGTGAGTATTCCAGTGTTCCATCTTCTAAAGCCGCATTGGAGATTTCTATTTCCATTTCTGAGAAATTGGAAAGGTTTACATAAGTACATGCAGGGTGACCTGAAGTGGAATTTTGGCAACTCTTTGGCAATTCTGATCAGTCCATCTAACCAGAAAATGCTTCGGGTCCCATCAATCCACTTACCAAATTAGAAACCACATTACAAGATTTTTCTGTTTTATTTTCAGCTTTCTCTAGCCTCTCAGGGTCCTTTTGACTTCATTTACAGGGAAAAAGCACAAATTACTGGCAAGGGACTATAATACACGTCAATGATTCTACTTCTAGAATTCTGATAAGCGTGCATAGGGGCCCTTAAGGCTGCGCCTGGATGCATCTTGCTTGTGCAGCTTTACCAGTGGGATTAACCCATTATCAAACCACAAGACAGACCTTAGCTGAGGCCTAGGTGCCCATTTGAAATTAGAGGTGTGCACCTTCTTGGCTCTCCCACTTTTTATAGCTAGTATTATTTTGATAAAAATGCACATGGGTTTCTACATGCACTCATGTTTGCAATTAGTAAAATGCAAGCCATGCTGCAGGCTATGGCTTGCTGCCATTTTTGCTCCCAAAAGAGGAGCACAGAGTTTTTGCATTAGTCAGATTTTATGGTTACTTCCAATCTTTGCTGCAGAGGCAGAGGGTGTGGGGATGCTGAGCATTTGGCATAACCAGTTAAGGGCATAATATAGCATCATTAACCAGGAGTAGTATCATCACCAGGACACCAAACAATAAATTTGTGACAGGAAAAGTTGTTGCTATGCTCTTACAAAATTATCACTTTTGTTATACTTTTAACCTACTAAATTTCAGCAATTCTAAGATACGTTTCTCCCATGACCTATGATCTCTGAAATTGAGACTAATCTTATAACCAATGATAAGCTCCTAACGTAATCCCGTACCTGTAACCCCAGCACTTTGGGATGCCGAGGCGGGCAGATCACCTGAGGTCAGGAGTTCGAGACCAACCTGGCCAACATGGCTAAACCCCCTCTCTACTAAAAATACAAAAATTAGCCAGGCGTAGTGACAGGTGCCTGTAATCCCAGCTACTCGTGAGGCTGAGATGGGAGAATCGCTTGAACTGGGGAGGTGGAAGTTGCAGTGAGCCGAGACTGCACCACTGCACTCCAGCCTGGGTGACAGAGTGAGACTCTGTCTCATAATAATAAATAAATAAACAAATAAATAAAATAATGGCATGTCTTAATCGATGGTGTCTTATAAACAGTAACACATGTTAAGTTATTCCTGTATATTGGTGTTGAACTTGATAAATTAATTTTCACTCATGATTATTGCAGATACTTAAAAAGTTATATTATTTAGAAAAATTTGGTGAAAAGGAATTCCATGTTGTTCAACCTCCTTCTTTCCCAGGTCATTACGTTGATAGCACAGCTAAATTCAGCTTCACTCCATTTCCAGCTTAGCAGGGAAGACCTTTTAATTGGATTATCCTTTCAGATCTACTTTAAAAAATCTGTGTCTGGGCCATTCATTATCAGGCCAAATTCTGATTCAAATAGGACCAAATTCTGTTGAAAGTAAGGCCTGGATTCAAGCCCCAAGAGCCATGAGTGAATAAAATTATATTCAAATTGTATAGATGAGCTAGTATTTTATGGTCTTGCTTTTCATATCAGAGAATTAGGCTTACATTTAAATTTTTCCTAGATTTCTAACCCTCATCAAGGTATAAGTCCTAATTTATATTAACAAATGGCTTTTCTTTTCAGCAGATCATGCACCACCATAATTTTGATAAACTCATTTATTTCCCTCCCTTGTACAGAAAAGAGACATGCTGGCATTTCCATTTATGAGCCCCTCATTTAAACTGCACTTATAACATATGGTTGGTACTGTGTGGGAAAGCTACAAAACACACACTTTTGAGGAAAACCACTGATTTTTGCCTGGCCAAATTTCTGCTTTTGTGTGGCATTATGAGATAGATAAATACTATACTTTAAAGAACAGTTGATAGAAGTTTTTTTACATGGTTTTCAAATACACTCTTTGCATATAAATGCTGTGGTAAAAAGCGAACCTTTCTTTCTCTTCTATTAGGAAAAGGAAGAAGCACACATATTAAGCCCATTCCAAGCTGTACAATTGTCCAGCCCCTTCTGTTCCCTATCCGTAAGAGTAAGAAGTAGAATTTTAAAGTGTAGGTGAGCAGACCCTAGACCAAGATCTTAGGTGAGTGTCAGGGCTTCCAAGAAAATAGCAAAGACTTGGAACCAACCCAAATGTCCAACAACGATAGACTGGATTAAGAAAATGTGGCACATATACATCATGGAATACTATGCAGCCATAAAAAATGAAGAGTTCATGTCCTTTGTAGGGACATGGATGAAGCTGGAAACCATCATTCTCAGCAAACTATCGCAAGGACAGAAACACCAAACACCGCATGTTCTCACTCATAGGTGGGAATTGAACAATGAGAACACATGGACACAGGAAGGGGAACATCACACTCCGGGGTCTGTTGTGGGATGGGGGGAGGGGGGAGGAATAGCATTAGGAGATATACCTAATGCTAAATGACGAGTTAATGGGTGCAGCACACCAACATGGCACATGCATGCATATGTAACAAACCTGCACATTGTGCACATGTACCCTAAAACTTAAAGTATAATAATAATAAAATAAAAAGAAGAATGAGCCCATAGGAGCTCTGTGTATGTCAGAGACTAGCATTATCAGTGAACAGAAAACACTGGGGGAAGACTTACTTAGGAGAAGAAAGTGTTTGGTTTTTGTTTGTGTTCCTCTAGGTACAGGCCAAGGAACAGCCCAGAAGGCAGAGAATGATGTCATGAAGTAAAAATGCATATGTTAATAAATGAGTGTTTACTTTTAGTGGTCTTTTGAGGCTTGAGCTCCAGAGTGCTACCCCTCTAGCTGTAGTTGCCTTTTTTTTTTTTTTTTTTTTTTTTTGAGATCGAGTCTCGCTCTGTCACCCAGGCTGGAGTACAGTGGCACAATCTCGGCTCACTGCAATCCCCACCTCCCGGGTTCAAACGATTCTCCTGCCTCAGCCTCCCAAGTAGCTGAGATTACAGGTGCATGCCACCACACCTGGCTAATTTATGTATTTTTAGTAGAGACGGGGTTTCACTATGTTGGCCAGACTGGTCTCGAACTCCTGACCTTGTGATCCATCCGCCTCAGCCTCCCAAAGTAGGTGGTCTTTTTGTGTTTTAAACTCACTCACTCATGCTTCTCAAACTTTACTATGCATGGGTATCACCAGATCTTGTTAAAATGCTCTTTCTGAATCAGTAGGACTCGGGGAGGTAGTCTATGAATCTGAATTTCTAACAAGCTCCCAAGTGATCCTGATACTACTGGTCCATGATCCACACTTTGAGTTTAAAAAGCTTAAAATATCAAAGTATATTCTTGCTTTTAGGAGCTTTCAGACTTGTTGGAGGAGGCCTCCAAGGGTAGAATGCCAAACAATAGGTGCTGGCCCACTGGCTGTCAGACTCACCAGCCCCTTGGAATCACCTGGGAGCCTGAAGAACAACTATGCCTGGGCCACCCCTCAGAGATTCTGGTTCATTTTCATAGGCTGCAATCTGGACATTCGGATTTTTGTTTAAAGTCTCTTGCATGATTTTAATGAGCAACCAGGGTTAAGAACCTCTAGCTTAGATCTACCACGTTGGATATCACAAATTTACTATCATGTGGGAGTTTGAGCTGGGTGATTTTTGACATTAAAAAGGCATCCTTGTGTTGACAAAGGAAGGGAATCAATGCTCCAGACCATGAATCCACTTGGAGTTTGGAGAAGGAAAAGAGGTGTGATTTGAAGTCTCAGAGATAGCTTCTGAGAAGAGGAAGGATTTGCAGTGAACTTTGAAGACTGTGGAGGATATAAACAAGCCTGGATATTTGGGGAGCTTGCACCAGGACCTGGACATAACAGTAAATATGTTGGCTAGCTGGGGTCACAATAAAGAGGCTGGCCAGCAGTGAAGGTAGAAGCCCTTAAATGGCAGGCTGAGGGGTGGTGCTTAAGTCAAGAAGCAGTGACAATAGATTACTGTAAGGCTAAATTATAGTAAATTACAGTACCCTAAACTGCCAGATGGTGCTGGCTGCATTGGCAAGTCAATTATCCATCAGTAACACATGTTTGTGTAGTCAGTTATCTGTCAATAACACATGCTTGTGTAGTTTAATAGACTGGTTACCATTTCAGATCCAGAGCCAGATTGCCTACGTTTCAATTCCATTTCTATTGCTATTATATATGCGGTCTATTAGTTAAGAGTTAATATCTGTTAATACATAGATAGATCTCTCTCTCTAGTTTCCTCATCTGTAAACTAGAGATAAAAAGTAGCACCAACTTAAATACAGAATTATGCTCTTAGTGTATAGTCTGGTATATCATAAACATCACCAATTTGCTCATTTACAACTACTTACCAAAGGCGTGGCCATCACTAGATTCTACTTTGGTTTTCATGAGATAGCAACCTTCCAGGCAATATGACACAAGAGAGAACCCGTTCACTTTAAGTTATAGCATTGTGTCTAAAAGCAAACACTATATTTGCTTCTAACCCTTTGATTTTTTTTTCCTGAAGCTTCTGTTCTCTGCCACCAGTTCACATACCTAAACAAAGCTTTACATTCCTGTGAGGCCAAGTGGAAACTGCACAAGATTTTATTTGGAGGGGAAAAGAAACAAGTTTCAAAAGAGTGTAAAACCAAGAACAAGAAAATATTATAATTTCTGTTTTGAAAGAGCAAACATTTAGTGATATTTGGGAACTTAATATTTTGTTTTGATTTGGGTTTTTCACTTCTTTATGCAACATCGGTATTGGAGGAGTTAAAGGATAATTCCTTGTTTTTTCTCGTGCTTGTCTGCTTAAGTATTTGGCTTCAACCAAAACGGGATGCCAGAGGGGGATTAGAAGAGATTTTTATGACTAAGAATGCAAGACCAGGAGTCTGTGACCAGCCTGGTCACCACAGCAAGACCCCATCTCTACTAAAGAAAAATTTAAAAGTTATCTGGGCATGGTGGCTCATGCCTGTACTCCCAGCTACTCGGGAGGATGAGGCAGGAGGATCACCTGAGCCCGGGGTTTTGTGGCTGCAGTGAGCCAAGATTAGGCCACTGCACTCCAACCTGGGCAACAGAGTGAGACCTTGTCTCTAGGGGGAAAAAAAAAAAAAAAGAAAGCAAGACTTTGATTTTTAAAAATATATACTTGTCAGGTATGTTTACTAGCATTATATATGCTCTTTTCTTCAAAGGTACTTAAAATAGTTCCCCTACCCTTTGATTTAAGGATGTGAGGAAATAGGGAATGAGAATGGGAGGTTAATCAAACAGGACAGGATATGTTGAATGTGAATATTTGCAACAAAACAAAGGAATCACAGTAGGACTGGGACTTAGTGAGAGGCAAGTGAGACGCTTGCCTAGACACAGAATTTAAGGGAATGCCAGAAAACTCAGTCAGCAAAATTGATTATATTGCAATGTAATATTTTTTAAAAATCCAAGCTAATGCCAAAAATGTTTGATAAAGAAAATATCAAAATTTTAAAAAGACTAGCCATGCTTAGTCATAGAACCTGAAACAAAAGGTAAAATATGTGCTGCTGCCTTAAATGGAAGCAACTCATAAGTCATATTTATTTTTTGAGACAGGGTCTCGCTCTGTCACCCAGGCTGGAGTGCAGTGGCACGACCATGGTTCATTGCAGCCTCAACCGCCTGGGCTCAAGCGATCTTCCTGCCTCAGCTCCCAAAGCAAGATTTTCAAAATCTACTTTGTTTATCTTGGTTCCAACTGAGAGAATTGCTATGTTTGACAGTTTCTCTTGACCAAGTGACAATCTTAAATAAGTTCTAACTAAATTAACCTGAAATAAAATAATAAGGAAATTCTGTTTGGGCATACATAAAACATTTAAATTTAATATAAATATTATAGGTTCGAATGTATCTTCTTTTCAATTTTTCAATTTTTTCAACTGCTTTGATGTTCTGGGAAAAAAAAATATACACAAAACCATGTATATAGAGGTACACAGTTTTCTTTTGCCTGAGGCATCTCGGGCCCCTAAGTTCCGCATAAGGGATGCTTTGCAGAACTAAGCATGATTAATGTGAAAATCCCCCATAAATCCAGAGCTCAGGAGAGCTCAGCAGAGCTCAGATCATCTGTGACACAGTAACTAGTTTCAGCAACAGGTCTTGTAATTTTTAAATATAGGCTTGAGGAAACATATAAAGATTTGCTCTTATTCTATCAAACCTCAGGGGCTCCCCAGAAATAGAATATTAATTAAATAAGGCTAAGTAAAGTATCTTCCCTTCTATACTCTGGAAACAAGATCAAAATAGAACAAATTTAACTGCATTTGGAGAGAAGGCAGATATGGATGAACTAAACTCAGGTATATATATTTAAATTTCATTGTGGTTAATTCTATTAGTAGCCTTCACAAAGTTTTTACTGGAAAAAAAATTAAACTAAAATTAATTTTAAAAATTAGCAAAACTGGTGACTAGTGTATCAAGAGCATGGTTGAAGATCTGTACTAGTCTGAAAAAAAATAAAATTTCAGTACTGAAAAATAATTGTATTGTTTAGCTAGATGTTCATCTTATTGAATGACAAATCTGCCTTCTTCATTCTGGGGGAGCATTAGGCTTTCTTCTAATTTAAAGGTATCACATTTAACTTACCAAATATCACATAGATCATTTCTTTTAATCTTTCAAAGCTCATCATTAAAAATATCTTTTTTCACAAACATGGAGTGTTATGTGACAGATTATAATTTCTGTTTTTCTTTTACTAGGATTTTTCATATCAGAAAGGGTTTCAGGAAATTTTCAGACAAGAAATCTAACTTTACCAGTACAATGTAACAGCAAAGAGTCCTATTGAGTGGCGGTAGCTGTTGGCCTCAATACCCTGGAAATTATGAAGCATTAACTGCCCCTGCCCCCCTCCCCCAACACACATACTCCATTCAAGAAAGTCTTTCCAGCCAGATAGTTTTAGAAAAAGCTTATGTGGAATAGAGAATTCCATAATGAAAAATTCTAAAATGTGTGCATATATGCCTTCTATGGAAAGGCATTCAAGATGGAGGGAGAATGTATCACATTACCCCTTCCTTCCTCACACCTTCACTATGATTCACAGCTTCTTTATAAATTTGCAGAATGTTAATTTGAAGATGTTTTTATCAGGCCCTCTGTAAATAATGAAAACAACACTGTCTGATCTTCACCTGTCATAAGTGCTCCATTTGCCAGAGACATTAGGAGGGAATTAATAAGGACTAAAAATGAGGGGAAAAATTTCACCAAAGGCTTATGCCCAGGGTGTTAGCTTCATCATCCAGTGGAGAGTTTAGAGCCATGTCAGTTCCTCTTTGAAGTGGGGTACCTTTATCCCTAGCAATCTGTCAAAGGGAGGCTTTGTAGAACTGATGGTGATTAATGTGCACATTCTTCATGATTCCAAAGCTGCTCCAGCAGTGGATTCCTTTCCCAGTACCATTGATATAATCCAAGATGGATGATACAATGCTTTCAGTTCCAACAGACTGGAACTTATCAGTCATATGATTAAGCCAAGGATGAAGCCAACACACATTTGAAACCTCCACAGTTCTTCTTGCTGGGGTAGCTCAGCAAGGTGCTGGGCGGGCCCCATCCGGTGATTGAACCGGAGTTTTCCATTTGTCCCCAGAACAAGTTCTGTGCTTCCGGCTGCAGTGCAGGCCTGCCCACAGTACCCTGCCAGCATGTTTACGCCCTGACCTGGAGGGACCAGCTAAGGGTGAGAATGTGACTCGCTCTCCATGCCCATCCCTTGCTTGTCTGGTTAGCTGAGATTGGCCATGCATGCTGTATGTAGATGGTCCTGGGGTTTGGGGGTCTAACGGGGAAACCCTCCATGCATGGAGGCAAACCCATGTAGACTGGTGACCTGTCCACCCAACCTCAATCCATGATGCTCTGAGACTGGAAAGAGAAGCCACCAGGCACTTTTGGATGCCAACTTATGTCAACTGGCAACTCATTCACCCAACATTCTGAACCTCAATCCATCAAACTCCAAGACATACAAAGAGATGTCACTATGTGCTTTTAGACTATTCCTCATCTAGTGAATCACTGATCAGAGTAAAAATTTCATGTAAATAGATACATGAGTATTTTAATGCCTTTATTTGGGACCCTGAACTCAAAACTATCTTCTTAGGGTTGGATTATCCTAGAGTCAAATCTGAGAGAAAACATTGTGGTTGCTTATCTCATTTTTCGGACATATCCAAAAGATGGTATGGTTTTCTAGATTTGACACTGAGTGTCCTGTGGAAAATCACTAAAACCTCCCCTCCTGGGCCCATTTCTCCACCAGTGTTCAGAAATTAGAGTGCTGCCAATTGGAACTGGTTTGTAGGAAGGTAATGCCCACTCAAGAAGCTCCCAGAGCTGACTCACAATGATGGGTTTTAGCCACCATCAGGCACCCTGGTCCTGGCAGACAACCACTTCTCTGACAGTTGTAGCCTGAAAGGTAGTTTTTCTTTCTTTTCTCACTTTTATCTCTAGGTTTCAGGGTCAGAGAAATTTCCTTTCCTATAAACTTTTACCATCCACATTTCCACTACACTACACCCGGATTTATTCACACCCTGTCTTCTTGCAGAATTTCTGGATTATAAGAATTTGTTTTTTGATTTGTGATTTTTATATGGAAAATCTTACAGAACTTTATAGATTTTACCTGATTTATAAATTTGACAAGCTGCTTTTACAATAGCTTCCATAAACTTAGAAATGTTTCAGAAACTGGGATAGAATAGAAAGATTTAGAAGTGGAAAATGGAAAATGGACAGACACAGGAAGCACAGGTGTGTAATGAAGGTATCCACAATGACTGGATGCCCAGCCCCCATTACAGGAGAGACATGCTCTGAAAGGCCCTCACAATTCTGCTTCCAAGTCTCTGGAAATTTCTCCGGACTCCAGCCTCCATTCAGCAATCCTACTCTCTCTCTGTTCTGTGTCTTTACTTCCAATTGTATCACCTAAGTGGGTGTATGTGTATATGCATGTGTATATAGTTGCATTTATGTGTATATGTAATATGTGTCTGTGTATATGTGTACATGTCTATGTCATATTTGTGTGTGTGTATATGTGTTTATGAATATGTATATGTGTGCATATGTTGATGCATGTATATGTATGTGTTCATATGTTGATGCATGTATATGTATGTGTTTATGTCTGAATATGTATATGTATGTGCGTGTGTGTTGGGTATGTATGTATATGTGAGTATGTGTATATATGTTGATCCTGGATTTGCTTCTGACAGATATAAAACAATAGAATGACACTATTTTTTTAAAAAATCTATGAACTGCCTATGTTGTTATGAGAGTTCTGAGGAGTGAATAAAACAGCTTTTTTTTTTAATCGGTGTGCTTTCATGTGAGAAGATAATTCTTGGACATAGGTTCTTAGGCAAATTTGGCTGCCACTTCCTGACCTCTGCTAAGACAATAAAATGATAGGGAAATATTTTAAACATTTTAAAAGGCTATTAACTCTAAGTAAGAAAGAGCATTTTACTACTGATTTGTAATAATGTTGAACACTATCTACCAAATAAATTCTAGAAGAATCCCAACCCTAACTGCCTCTGCTGCTAGAGAGCATGGTATTCAGCATTCAGTCAGCTCCTTGTTTCTTTCACTCAATCCCAGACTCAGGTCAGGAAAAAGGAGAGTTGTTAACAGTAGCTTAGTACAGTGCCTGCCACATAATTAACTCTGTATAAATATTAACTTTTACTCTCCTCACAGGCCAAGGGGATATTTCACATAAGTATATTTCCCAAACTGCTTGCCATGTGTACTCACACTGTATCTCCTCCCATGGCTGGGATACACTGGGGGGTGGGGAAACTGTGAAAAGAAGACATCGTCTCTCATTGGATGCCCCCTCTGTCTATGTCCCTGGCTGTGACCCCAGCCATCCCAAGGAGGTTCAGAGCCTGTGTCTACTATGAGACACCTCATCTACCTCTACCTCCAGGGATTCGCTTCAGCCACCCCCACTGTTTCCTCCCTGATGGAGGGCCCAGCTGTGGTCACTTTGCCGGCTTGACTTAGGAGACTGAACCAGAAGAGCAGAGAACACTACACTGGTACTTCCTACCCCCCTTTCACTTCAAAATGTTCTGATCCACAATGGGACTACACTACATTCAGTTGTCTGGATCCTGCTTAAGGCAGACAGAGGAGGTCCAGGAATCGGCTGGGATGGGGACACCCTTCCTCCTTCTCCTAACTGTGGCCTCAGTCACCCCAAGGTCAGGACCACCACATTCACTCCCAGGGCAGCCAATGCTGCAGTTTTGGCTACCATCTTTGGTTTCCCTCCTGATTTGGCTCTTAGCAGACCTTTAGCCCACTGTCACATCTACAGATTGAGAGAGGAAAATAAGGTTTGGTTATTAGAGGTTCCCAAACATCCCCGTGCATCAGAATCACCTGGAGGGATTCTTTAAAAAATTTGCTGGCCCCACCCTGAGTTTCCCTTTTAATAGGCAGAGCTGACTTTCAGGGCTGTGACTCCACACTCAGAAGAAGCCCACATTTGGTTTACTGATTTGCAGTGGCCATCTTGAAATGCTTAACGCTTTTTAAACACGGGGCATCACATGTTCATTTTGCACTGGGCTCCACAAATGGTGTAGCCAGTCCTGTCAGTAGGTCCAGAATGGAGCTGTAGAATTGGCATTGCCAACAAGTTCCCAGGTGAGACAGATGCAGCCACCCTGGGATGCACTTCACAACCACTCAATGAGATCTTGCAGACCTGGAAAATCATCCTCATAGCAGTCCTCTGGCTCCTTCCCATAAGATTACGTGATGAGAGTTCAAAGAGGAGGCAAGGAAGGGGCTTCTTTATTCCATGTTGGTAGGAAATGTCCTCAGCAAAAGGGTTCAGGCCCGTGTTTGCCTCAGTTACGGCTGTGGCAGTATCACAGAAGCTGGGATGTTTTTCCCGGCGATATTAACCCCTGCTGGAAACCTCAGAGGAAGCTAGATCCCTGTGAATGCACTTCCTCCAGTTTGCATGCACAAAACCATTTGGTTAGGAAAGTGTTGTTCAGGCATGTGTTTACCTTCTTTAAGAAATAAAAAGGATTTGTTTTGAAAAATTAAGCCAAAAGAGAGCAAAGACTAGTAAAGAGAAGTGAAGTAAGGGGGAAAAGATGTAGGTTCTGGAACTTTTAATCAATCTGTGATTGTTTCCCTTCAAGATGTTGTCAGGGCCAGTTTTGAGGAGGGTAGAAAAGAAAGATGTTTCCAGGTAAGACTTCCCATGCTCTTTTCACGTTGCTCAAGTTCTCATTTTTCTGTTCCACATACATTTTCACTGTTATTTCTGTTTCTGTGACAACTCATGAACACAGAACTATGATAATGGTATACTAATTAGTACATCATATCAGTTTGTAAAAGCACTAGTGCCTTGTAGAATCATTTTAGATGTATTTGAATAAAATGGAGTCTAGTGAGGGTCATATATTTATTGTTTTTGTCACTACTTTATACATGAAACACTTATTCCCACCGGTGGCATCAACATCTTTATCACATGAAGGATGGATTTATTTACACTAAGTACAGTAAGTATTTTGGTGGGATGGAAAAGTTGTCCAGAAAGCCATAATGAACTTCAAGCAAAGTGTCAACCATAGTTTTATCTGAATTATTTTTAATGCAGGATATTGAGGAAAGTGAAAGAGTTATCTACTAGTGTATCCTTACCTAATAGATAGTGAGCATCAGACTTTCACTTAAAAATGGAAGCAGGAATGAGTCCCTGAGGCACTTAGCGATGCCCATTGGCAAATGCAGGGCTCCTTGTCGGTTTCATTCTCACCGTGCCTTCTCCATCATTGCCTTTTCCTGTTATATCTGTTGGGTTTTACTGCCCTCTGCTGGTCATATCGTTGAAACCCTTTCACGTCATGGATGTACATGTCTTGGAACATTGCTCAAAATGGTCTTTTTGTTTCAGCCCGTGTCCACGCATACTCCTCCAGTCATTTGTGTAATAGCCATATTGTTTAAATCTGGTCACTACTTGTTAACAAACTCACGCACCTGTAATTGTCTCATTGTGCCAGAAGCCCTGACATGCTGCAGTCGGAAGTTTCCTTTTCCGTGGGAGGGAGGCATTCATCTACAGACTCCAACAAGGCCTCCAGCGGAGACATCTCCCCTTATGACAACAACTCCCCAGTGCTGTCTGAGCGCTCCCTGCTGGCTATGCAAGAGGACGCGGCCCCGGGGGGCTCGGAGAAGCTTTACAGAGTGCCAGGGCAGTTTATGCTGGTGGGCCACTTGTCGTCGTCAAAGTCAAGGGAAAGTTCTCCTGGACCAAGGCTTGGGAAAGGTAACTGGAGCCTGGCCAGCAGGCGCTGGCCAAAACAAGCGACCCTCCTCTTGTTGCATGTGGCATGGTGTGGGGCTCTTCGGACCTTCTCTTCGTCTCTCCCTTATTTGATGTTTCTGTAATTCAACCTGCATTTACCGAGTACCTGCTGAACGCCTACTCTAGGAAGAGGAAGGTATGGCGAGCCCAGTCGTTGGCTGGGAGGGTCCCTGCAGGCCACACTCCAAGTCTCAGATATCTGGGAAATAAACGCATGCCCAGAGGAGCCACTCCTATTCCCAGCTGATTCTTTTTCCCTCCAGCATCCTAGGAACTTTATGTATACTGGATTTGGGTTGCATATTTGCTAGTCTGAGGTGCCACCCAATTACTGCTGTTACATTTCTAAAGAAAACAAGCTGAACCTACTATATGTATGAAGACAACCTTCCAGAACCAAATAGTGTTAGTATCCAATGACAAGAGAGCACTATACTGGGAGTCACAAACCTGCTCTGCCACTTTCAACCTGCAGGATCTCCAGTGAGCGATTGAGCTTCCCAGAGTCCCATTTCCTCCTGCTGTGAAAACTCAGAATGATAACAGTATTTAATTCATTGAGTTTAATGAACTAATCCATGTAAAGCCCTCAACGCAGCACTTCAAATGTAATACGCACTCGATAATACTTGCTGTGTAATCTTGTGTGCATTTCTTACCTGCTCCTTACGCTAGTTGCATCGTCTGTAAAATGATCTGCTGGGAACCTCCTAGGGATGAAGTGAGATAACGCATGTGAACTGCTGAACACGTGGAGGCACCCAGTAGACGTCTGCTGCTATAAATCGTAATTATAATCCCATCATGGGATTGTAGTGAGGATTAAATGAGATGGTGAAAAAGCCTAATGTAGTGCCTTACTCCATAAATATTGATGGATAAGCTAAGGGGATTTATGAGTGAATGCATGCATGAAGAAATCCAGTGATACCAATAGCAAAGTATTCCTGAGGATAGTACAGAAACTCTATTGTTCCTCTAGTTCTGTGTTAATGTGTTTAGCACCTATAAAGCTGTTGTCACCCATCACCCTTCTATTCATTTCCTATAACATGCAAACTTATTATTTTATGGTTCTGGAGGTGAGAAGTCTAAAATGGGTCCACAGGGCCTCTTTCCCTTCTGGACGTCCTAGGGCACAATCGTTTTCTTGCCTTTTCTAGCTTCTAGAAGCTGCTGCATTCCTTGGCTCGAGGCCCCTTCCTCCATCTTTTAAGCCAACAGTCTAGCAACATCTTCTCTCCTACCCCTCTCTTATAAGGACCCTTGTAATTATATTGGCCCCATCCAGATAATCCAGGAAAATCTCCCCATCTCAAGAACCATAATTTAATCACACCTGCAAAGCCCTTTTCGAAAATAACATCTTTGTAGATTTGTGGGATTATGACACAGATATCTTTGGGGGGGCCCTTATTCTGTCTACCACGAGCATGATATAGAAAGGGCCTTTTTGTAAATCCCAAGTAGAATGAACACGCTGAAAGGTGGATCTGAATTGTATTCTGTTTTGTATACAACAGGATCTTGAATACAATACTTTGCACAGAAGAGATGTTATTAAAATGTTCATTGATTTTTAATTTTCCTTTTGTGTTATATACCTTTTTATACACTTTTTCCCTAGATCTGTCAGAGGAGCCTTTCGATATCTGGGGAACTTGGCATTCAACATTAAAAAGCGGATCCAAAGACCCAGGAATGACAGGTGAAGTATTAATTTTAAACTTTATTGCATTTACTTTTAAAATTATTTTCTAAAGTTTTCTTTACTATCATTATATTACATGCTTGTCAAACATTACTTGGGAAATGCTGAAAATGGGAGGGGATGAAACTATCCTTAGGCTTTCCACCCAAATATGCCAATCTTTGACTATATTTTTTTCCATTTCCTTTGCAAAGGTTTTCATAGTTACAGTCACTCTGTCTGTGCAACTTTGTATTATTTTCTAACTTCCATTTTCCAGTTACTCTCCATTATCCTTTTTAAGGGCCAGGGGTATTCCACAGAGTGCATAATCATAGCTTACAAACCAATACTAAGTCATTTGAAATTTTTTGTTATTGTTGTAATAAGTTACACTTTCAGGAGCCTCTTTTATGTAATTAATTTTTCAAATTATTAATAGATTCACAAAATTTTGGAAAGCAAGTCAAAGGTTATAAATCCCAAACAGGGAAGTGCGTCAAATATAACAAGGCTTTCCAAGAATCTGGAGGTACAGTCACCTCCTGTGCTGTATGGGACCCACTACCTTACATTCTGTAAACTGTGGATGGCAGGAGATTTTACACTGCTGTGTGCAAATCTCATCAGTATTGCAAGTTAGTGGGTTTTCACTTTTGCTAACTTAAAAAACAAAATTGCATTTGTTAATTTGATTTGCATTTCTTTCCTACCAGTATTTTTCAGTGTTTCTATTAATTTGCTGAACTTCCCCCCATTGAATTGTTACTTATATCATTTCCTATTTATGTATGCCAGTGTTTTTTAAATTCTTATGAACTCTTTATATAATAAAGATGTTAACTCTTTTTCCATATTGTTTACTTACTTGCATTTTCTTTTTTTACATAATTAATTTTATCACTGTCTCTTCTCTGTGAATTCTTTCATAAAATTAATCTTCAGTTCAGCGTTGGATAGTCAGTCATCTGTATGCGTTTCTTTTTAATGTCATTTCATTGTTTCAACCTTAATTTTTTTAATCCATCTGGAATACATGTTATATATGGTATAAAATGTGTAAATTATTTGTTTGGTTGTTTTATATTTATATTTATATTCCCTTTCTCATTGTTTTGTAATATCTCCCATATTACATTTTAAAAGCACAGTGCATTTTTAAATGTAATGCCCTCTAGTGCTGATTCCTTTTCTAACTATATCTCACTGTATCCTGTGAAGAGCCTTACTCCATTTTCCTTTTCCAGTTTCAGCTGTCACCTGTTTCAGCTATCATTTGTTTCTTTGTAAATACTCACATCCCCCACTCCCCTGTCCCCAACATGGCCTTGTTCTTGTTCCTTGTCTGCTTTTTAAGAAGTGGAGGGCAGAGCAGATTCATAGGAAAATGGTAGTCTGGGTACACATGCCCCAAGGACTCCTCCTTTGCCTTGCAAAATGCACTGTTATTTCTTTCCCTTCAGTTTCCTAAAGAAAGTTGTATCCTTTAGGGAAAGCTAACTGCTGTAACAACTCCGAAATGGGGCAGTGGCTTAACCTATTACAACTGGATTTCTCCCTCACTGTCCCAGTACAGTGTGGACTGTGAGGGGTGAGGAGGGGCGGGAGTGTGTGAGGGGAGGGAATGCTGTCTTCCACATAGTCACTAAGGGGCCCAGCCTAGGCTCCACATATCCAGTGGCTCCACCATCCTCAGAGCCCCGGGAGTCTTCCAAGAGTTTCAGAGCCTAGAGAGTCTTCATGCTGGGCTGGTAGTTAAGGGAAGGGGGAAAGCAAAGATCAGTAGGAAGGCATTCGTTTAGTTTTTTTTTTTTAATTTTTTTTTTTTTTTTTGTGACGGAGTCTCACTCTGTCACCCAGGCTGGAGTGCAGTGGCGCGATCTCGGCTCACTGCAAGCTCCGCCTCCCGGGTTCATGCCATTTTCCTGCCTTAGCCTCCCAAGTAGCTGGGACTACAGGCACCCACCACCACACCTGGCTAATTTTTTGTATTTTTAGTGGAGACGGGGTTTCACTGTGTTAGCCAGGGTGGTTTAATTTTTTTTTTTATTTTTTTTTTTAGTTCAGGCCTAGAAATGGCTTACATCACATCTGTCCACATTTGTTGCCCAGACCTCATTTCTGTGGCCCTCCTAACTGCCAGAGAGGCTGGAAACTGCCATGTAGGAAGTAAAGGGGAACGATTGGGTGATCACCAAGTCAGCCTTTCCTGCATTGATGGTAGGAGAATATGCATAGTGGCTGGCCTGCCTTCTGGCATGGAATGGGGTACTTGAGATTCAAGTAACTTCATTGATGCAATAGAAACATGAAAACATTATAATTTGTATCTCTCCTGGATTACAGATTGCATTGAACAAGAAGGGAATGCTTCTTTCACCTTCTGGATTCTGAAAAGTTTTCCCAGCCATGTAGAGGGGCCCTTTCCTGAAACACAAATTGGTGGCAAAGCCAATTATTAATATAGTCTGACGTCTCAGCTAACCTGTCAGAGTCTAGGCATATGAATTGAGCCGATAATCAAAAAGCATTTGTCTTTTTTTGTTTTGCTGGGAAGGTTGTTTTCTTCAGGTAGCAGCAGCTAAGAGCATACTGTGCTGTTTCAGTTTTAGAAGTCCGGGGGGACGTCGTAGAAGTGGGAAGGAAATAACAGGATTTGAATCCCCAGCAAGGATTCTACAAACTGATTCCATTTCTTGGGCTTTCTCTCTGGCTTCCAGGTTCCTCTGGAGACATTTTTGAAAGCAGCTCCCTAAGAGCGGGGCCCTGCTCCCTTTCTCAAGGGAACCTGTCCCCAAATTGGCCTCGGTGGCAGGGGAGCCCCGCAGAGCTGGACAGCGACACGCAGGGGGCTCGGAGGACTCAGGCCGCAGCCCCCGCGACGGAGGGCAGGGCCCACCCTGCGGTGTCGCGCGCCTGCAGCACGCCCCACGTCCAGGTGGCAGGGAAAGCCGAGCGGCCCACGGCCAGGTCGGAGCAGTACTTGACCCTGAGCGGCGCCCACGACCTCAGCGAGAGTGAGCTGGATGTGGCCGGGCTGCAGAGCCGGGCCACACCTCAGTGCCAAAGACCCCATGGGAGTGGGAGGGATGACAAGCGGCCCCCGCCTCCATACCCGGGCCCAGGGAAGCCCGCGGCAGCGGCAGCCTGGATCCAGGGGCCCCCGGAAGGCGTGGAGACACCCACGGACCAGGGAGGCCAAGCAGCCGAGCGAGAGCAGCAGGTCACGCAGAAAAAACTGAGCAGCGCCAACTCCCTGCCAGCGGGCGAGCAGGACAGTCCGCGCCTGGGGGACGCTGGCTGGCTCGACTGGCAGAGAGAGCGCTGGCAGATCTGGGAGCTCCTGTCGACCGACAACCCCGATGCCCTGCCCGAGACGCTGGTCTGAGCCCGCACCCAGCCGAGCCCCCCCTGCCCCGAGCCCCCCGCCCTCCAGCCCAGGGGGGACCGTGGGTGGTGGCCACTGGCACACTTAGTGTTCTTCTTTCACACTTCTCAAAAGTGACACAAGAGAAATCCAGTTCACCTACAGAGGTAGAGCACTCACGCCCCCGCCATTGAGAATAAGGTTCCATTGCGTAGCCAGCCTTAGGAAAAACAAACAGAACCCAAACCAGATGGCAATGTCCAATCTAAAAACGTCCCTCTTGGCTCTATAATATAAGATACAACTCTTGCTTGGTATAGCCTAACCGTATTTATGTGTCTTCGGTTTTGACTATTGTGTATTCTGTAACAGATTATGTATAATCATATATGATATATTCACAAAGAGAAAACAAAAGGAACTTTTAAAAAAAAAATCACTTCACTTATATTAAGCAATGAGATATACTAAACAATGAGATTCTATAGAATGTTCTAGAATGTGCACAAGCGGGTTTCTGTGCTTTTGCCATAGCTTTATAACTGGGGATAACCCTTCCTTCGATACCAAACACTAACAAGAGGAAGCAGAATATGAGAAGCCATATTTTTACATAGGAGTCAGATACAAAAAGAAAAATCACTGAATGCTTTTAGATATTGAATACGTTTTCAGGAAAATGCTAAATCTGATAGATTACGAAATATATTTTTAGAACTTGTTTAGAAAGGATTCAGTTAACCAAACAAGAAAAAGGCAGTGCCTCACAAAGAAATTAAGAAGTTGTCCGTCCCACGTTACATCAAATTCAGTTTTATATAGGCCATATATAATATATATTTATAATGTATAATTTTTATGTATTTTTCAAAACTACAAACTGGAATCCAACTATAAAGTGTTTAAGAATCTACACAGAATATTCAAATTATAGAACATGTTTTTTCCCTTTGCCCCATAATCAGTATTTGCCAAATTACATGCAATTCCTTAAAAACTAAATCACATTTGGTAAAAGGCCTACAGCTTTGTACTTACATTGTGCCAAAGGCTGAGGAAATGTTTTCTTTCGTAATTTTATGTGTATTGTAAAATGTTCTACCGTACTTTAGTAGTTTGAAGTTTTTCAAGTGCATAACTATTTTTGACCAGCAGATGGCGATACGCTTCAGTATTTTATGCAATTTTTTTTCACTTCTGAAGGGAAAGTGTATTATAAAAAAAGATTTTTTTTTTTTTTATAAAACATGCTACTCTTAATTTTCATGTTGGTGATGAAATTCCCAGTGGTGTTTCTTAAGGTTCTATCTTGTGCCATGATGAATAAAAAGTTAAGCAAAGGCTTTGTTTCCTGGCTTTAAATCTCTTGAATGAATTTGCATCACATTTCAGACATATTCTTCACTATCCACAGATCCAAGTGTAATAAATCATGGCAATTCTATGCATATACATATATAGCAAAAAAGCTGGTTTAAAAATATCAGATGGCTTTGGGACATCAACTCAGTGACACCAAAGCATTTAGAAATGTATAATAATTTGTTGCAAGTAAAGGCTGATTTCCTCGACTGTTGAAGAGGTGGTTTTCTACAGGACTGAAACTCAGGTTTCCTGAGTTTCCTGAACTGTGTTGGGCAGCTGTTGCCCAACGCAATTCCTGTTAAGCTACACCTGCTCTGTGGGCCTTAGATGCCTAATTTGCTTCAGGGCCGAAATAATAAAAGCTAGAAGTGGCATGTGGTATTTCTTATTTGGGAATGGTTTGAGATAGCTTCAGGCTCTGCCATCCGGTCCAGCACTTCCACCACTGGCTGGGACTCAGGGAGGATTTGCCTGCAGACCTCTGGTTCTTCCTGACTGCCCACACTCAGCCAAAAGTTGTCAACAAGATCCAGAGGAAATGCTGCTTGGTTGTGGATCGCAGGTGGCTTTTCTGTGCCACCTACTCTCATCCTACTCCTGCTGATGCTACTTCCCTGGCTTTGAATTTGACCATGATCTGATCAGTTCTTTCCCTCCTTCCTAGATTGGATGGCCTGATAAATGCGACTCTCTTTCTACCATGTTCTTGCTAGAGTAGTCCTATTTTTAAAAAAACATCCAGATCAAATGGCCCTGAAGTTGATGCCTGTGTCAGAAAAGGTCACGAAAAGTATGTCCATCTGTTAATAGATCTAAAATAAGCAGTCCAGAAAACAGGACTCACAATATCTTTTACATATATCTCAATATTCACTCTCCCTCTCTTTGTACATTTAAGCTTAGGGGCCATGTCTTTAGCTTAGTGAGTTACAGCTTGTTTCTTTTTCTCTTTTGAGATGGAGTCTTGCTCTCTCACCCAGGCTGGAGTGTAGTGCTATGATCTGTGCTCACTGCAACTTCTGCCTCCTGGGCTTAAGCGATTCTCCTGCCTCAGCCTCCTGAGTAGCTGGGATTACAGGCGCACAACACCATGCCCGGCTAATTTTTGTATTTTAGTAGAGATAGGGTTTCCCCATGTTGGCTGGGCTGGTCTCGAACTCCTGACCTGAGGTGATCCACCCGCCTCGGCCTCCCAAAGTGTTGGGATTACAGGTGTGAGCCACCGTGCCGGGCCTTGTTTCTTAAATGCCTTTATCATATTGAAAATAAGCAGTTTAAAAAAAATCGTACATGAAACCCAAAGACCTGAGGGAAATTATCCTTTCTAATACCTTATAAATGATATAATACCTGACAAGAAAAAAATAAAAAACTCTTTCAAGCTGGCCAAAATGCCTTTAAAAGGCTGTTCAAGTCACTCATTCCCCATGAACAGACAGCTTCAACAAGCATGAAAAAAGCTTCAGTGTGTCACATATGTTTCTCCATCTATGAATACTCTGACATTGACATTGAAACAATATGAGCCATTGTTTTTGTGTCTCTGGCAAAGGGGCCAGAATGGGGATGGCAGAAATGGCCAAATACGAATTTGTCTTGATCCATCTAAGTAGCTATTACCATATGTTTGTTGTGGGTTTTTATAGAAAAAAAAACCCTCTTATACCAATGGAATTTGTGCAAATTGAGGAAATTTCTAAATAAACCCAGCTTGCTTCTTTTCTTATGCACATTTTAATACACATCTGCTTGGCAGAGAAACAGCATTGGGATTAAATATAAAGGGACGTCAGAACAAAGTCCAGGCCTGTGGGGTATGTTGGTCTGATAAGCAAACTGGGGGAGGTAGATTATACTGAACTGAGAAGAAAGGAAATGACTGAAGAAGAGTTACACAGAGGTTAAAACAGGACATCTCAACTGAGAATTTTAAAACAGAACTAAATCAGTAGCAAATGTTCTTCAAGAGAAAAAAAAAAAAAAACAAACCAAGGGAAAATTTGGACAAAGGTTGGAATTCTTCTTCGGCACAGTCAAGGTGACAGATGGTGTCATGGAGATGGCAAACGGCAGACCATGGTTTCTGGGGTACCCACCCCGACCTGGTGTGACCCTCAATTCACCAAGGTACATCCAGTGTCAGCTCCAACTGGAGGCCCCCAAGAGGTCGCCAAAGGACTAGAAGCATCTCTAAGTTCAATTCAACCAATATCTTTTCAGCTTAGGGTGACCAACTCATCCCAGTTTCCCCAGGAATGTTCCGAGTTTAGGAAAAAACAAAAAAGTCCCATATCTGGGACACAGGCCATTCTATGACTCGGCAGGGTGGGGAAAGGTGGCATGGGGGATCCAGGACACTTGACCTTGGCATCTCTCAAGTAGGGTAGCCAAATAAGATACAGGACACCCAGTTCAATTTGAATGTCAGATAAACAACTGATCTTGTATTAGTAACAGTGTTCCCATTCAATACCTGAGACATAATTATGCTAAAAAAATTATTCTTTATCACACATATTGCATGGGACATACATTAAAAAGGGATTCGTTGTTTATCTGACATTCAAGTTGAACCTAGCACCTATTTGCTAAATCTGGCAACCCTAATCTCCAACCTTAATACCCCACCCATTCCCCAGTGATCTGTTTGACATTCTCGCTGAATGTCCCCTGGATGCCTCAACCATCCTGAAGGACCAGTAAGCCATGTTCTCACCAGCCACCACTCCTATCTTTATGCAGAGCACCGCTTCCTGCTCCCCACCAGCAGCCTGGCCTGCGATCCCCCTCTTGTTGCCCTACTGTGCACATGTTTACTGTTTGTCCACCCCACTCAGAGTGGGCCCTTCCATCTCTGGCCTCCCACCCCTCCTCCATACTGCCACAGTTTATAGTTCTGAAGCGCACATTATGTCAGAGGCCCATCACTGCTGAAAAACCATTGATGCCCTCCTGCTCCCAGATATACAGGACAAAGTCCATACCCCACCATAACATCAACATACTCCGCGATCTGGTCTCATCTACCTCTGCCTCTTATCTCTCCCAAGCATGGCACCCCATACTCTGGCCATGTACAGAAAACCTCATTCCCATGTGCAGAGCACACTTTTGCATTTTTGTTCCAAGGGTATCGAATGCTCTTCCCTGCTTTTCCTACACAATTGGAAGCTATTTTCCCGGCAAAATCAGCTCAAACCTTCCCTTCCTACAAACATGATTCTACACAGCTTATTCTGGCCCTTTGCCATGTGGCAGTGTGAGCAAGCATTGCTGTGCATTACAGTTACTGTCTTATTCTTTTATATGGACGTTGTTTCCTCTCTGTCCCTGAGGGTGGGGACCATGTATTTCTTTTCTGCACCCTCAGAACTGGGGTACCTGACACACAGTTGGCATTTGATAAAATTTTGCTGAATGTATGCGTGTAAATATGACCAAGCAGCTTACCATGGAGTAGAGGAAAAATACATGTCTGTCAACTTGTATTAATCCAATATTGGTAGATTCATCCAATGATCCACGTGGCAAATGCAGAGATAGTGATATATTTTCCAAATAAAAATAGATTTTTGAAGAAAGAAGGAGACAGTCTGAGGAGACGCTGATGGCAAGCACAGAGACATGGTCTCTCAACCAGCCCTCCTCTGCAGAGATGTACCACCTCAGCTCTGTACTGTATGGGACAGAGGAAGTGGGTGGCTTTCCATTCTTAAGATGAAAATTTGAATGGTAAATGACATAAGTAAATGTATAGTTCTATGCTCCCTGGTAAGCATGCAATAGATACTTAGTGATCAAAAAGACAAGGATGTTTCAAGATATGGGCCTCAGCATCCAAGAGAACAAGGTTTGATTGCTGTCTTTCCCATTTATCAGCTGGGTGACCTCAAGAAAGTTGCTTTAATCTGCAGACTCTCCATTTTATCAGAATAGTTGGAGCATAAAAACACCAAACTGCCAGGATTCTTCTGAGGATTATATGAAACAATACGTAGAGCAGTGCTAGCCACATAACAAATATTCGACAAATGGCAGTGTAATTGGTGTCCTATGTGAGACCATTTTAGAAACAAAAATTGGGAAGCTTGTGGTGAAATGCAGTAGTAGTAACTAACATTTATTAACAACTTCTGCTCTAGTCTCAGTGTTTTGTGCACTTTCACTCATTTAACCCCCTCATTTTCCAGAGGGCACAATTGGCTCAAAGTGACATTAAATGAGTTGCCCAAAGCCATACATCTAGAAGGTGCAGAACCAGGATTTGGTCACAGGCCATCCAACTGTGCCACCTGCTGTTTGTATAATGCAGAGTCTATGAACAAAGCTCTGTGGTTATTTATTGGAGCCCCTGGGTATCTCTCATAAAGAAGAGGGCTTAGCTGGACCATCCCCTGGGGAGGGCTCCTGCCTCCGGGATGATCCACAGCTTCAGGGGAGCATTGAAGGGCTCTGGGTTCCCTGCCCATTTCCTACTGAAGTAAGGGAAATTAAAGCTGAAATTTAAAAAGGTCTAAAGAGGGTTTTATTTTTGAAAAGTTTTGGATAGCAAAACCACAGGGAAAAATGGGTGTGATTTAGTCATTGAACTCTCCTGGTTGAATTATACTTAAGAATATTCAATTTGCGTATTTATTAATTTGACACCTTGCACTTAATTAGTTTAGCATTATCTTTAGATTTTCCTTTGGCTCATACAGCTATAATAGCCATGCAATGGCTTTATTAGGTCAATTGGTTGGTTGATGGATTCATCCAATAACTTATCTAGTCAATATTTACCAGTGGCCTACTGGCTTCCAAGCCCATTAGAAAGACAGATAAGACAAGTCCAAATCTGCCTTCAAAGATATCTCAGCTAATAAAATGGTCACTCTTGTAAACTGTACTGCAAGAAGGGCAGCAGATGCTGTCAAGTCCCACAAATCCAGCAAATGTGCCAGTGTCTGGTGTCTGGTAGGCAAACCATAAATCGTTGCATAAATTTATCAATAGATAAATCAATCAATCAATCAATCCATCCATCCAACCAACCAACCATCCATCCATCCATCATTCTGTCTGTCCCAGGGTGAAAAGTCAGAGAAATGACCATAGCACAAAATGCTGCTTGGATTTTGAAGTTAAACCCCAAACAGGAAAGACAGTCTCTGGAAGTGGAGCAAACACCTTAGAAAGAACTTGGCAGAAATCAGGGATGGTGTGGTCACAATTAGGGTTGGTTTCCTTTGCAGTCACAGAGGACCCCATGCTTGGAAGAGCCCAGCACCTATTTGAATACTCTGTCAGTGCCATCTTGGAATTTTCATACTTTTGAACAAGCAGCCCCACATTTTCATTTTCCACTGGAACTTGCAAATGATGTAGGCAGATCTGGTCACGTTCTTTGCTAGATAAAGAGAAGGACCCAGTTTCAGAACAGGAAGCCCCTCATAGTACAGGTGAGCCACCTGAGGCCCAAGGAGGTTAAAGGGCCTTTTGCCTGAGGCCATTTTACGAAGTTCCTAACTCCTCCACAGAGCTCTTTTCCATCGGAACATAATTCCAAAATGTAAAATAAGGTAAAACTGTACCTTGCTCCATCCCAGGGAGTATGAGCAATGTTTATGATATGCAAAACCTGTTCCACTTATTTCCTTCCATACTTTTCTTCCTGTGTTTCTATTTCTGCCATCATATTTTTTTGTATTCTTATGTCTGAGTCACTGTTTCTCTGGCATTATCTTTTAGTGTGTGCTTCTCTTACTGCTAGAGTCTGAATGTTGGTGTCCCCTCAAAATCCATATATTGAAACTTAACCCGGAAGGTGATGGTATTAGGACGTGGGAACTCTGGGAGGTGATGAGGTCATGAGAGTAGAGCCCTCATGAATGGGATTAATGCTCTTCAAAAGAGGCTCCAGCTCCTTCGCCCCTTCTGCCATGTGAGGACTCAGTGAGAAGGCACCGTCTATGAAGCGGGAAGCCCTCACCAGGCACCAAATCTGTCAGTGCTTTGACCTTGGACTTCCAGGCTCCAGAAATGTGAGAAACACATTTCTGTTGCTTATGAGCCTCCCAGTTTATGGTGTTTTGTTATAGCAGCCCCAACAGACTAAGCCATTTGCTTAGTTCCAAGATCAAATGTAATGTTGGGCAATGAATGAAAAGGAGAACAGAACCCTCAAATGTCCAGTAGGGGAAGGCCAAAGCTGTTTCTTGTTTCTGCACAAAGGAGATGACTTCATTTCCTTAGAAGGTAAATGAATTAGAGAAGGGATTAGAAACAGGCTTTTTTCTGCAGGAAAGAAACATAGAGGGTCAGTGTTCAGTGTCTTCTTCTAGTCATATCCCTTTACTTGGTCAGACACCAAGGGTCTGGGCCCAGGATCTGCTGGGGAAAGTCAATCATGAAAGGAACATTGGGACAGATGAGCCACTTGGCTCTTTTTCATTCCTGATGCTTTGCAGGGGATCAGACAATTATCTTGCCCTCCCCCTCTTCTCTCACCAAGAGACTTCCATCAGAGGCATGCATGAGCTGCTCATGCAGTCTGTGGAAGGGCCAGGAGCACATTGAGCTTCGCAAAAGGGTGAAGCCTTCTGGGTTCACCCTTTTGCCAATACAGGGGCCAAACCACACTGGTTTGCAATGTCATGGCCCAGCAAAGTGTGCAAGTGAGCACAAGTGGAGCAATTCAGCAGTGACAGGTACCAGATAAATGAGCTGGCCTGACCCTGGATGAATTTCTTCACAGTCATTCTGAAAATGTGAGTGTTAAGTGTTGAATTGTGTTCCCCTCAAAAATGTGGAAGTCCTAGCCCCCAGTACTTGTGAATGTGATCTTATTTGGAAATTGAGTCTTTGCAGATGATCAAGTTAAGATGAGGTCATTAGGGTGGGCCCTAATCCAATATGGCTGGTGTCCTAAAAATCAAGGGGATGTTGGGGCACAGACACAGACACACACAGACACAGACACACACACACACACACGTGCATGCAGAAAACACCATATGAAGACTGGAGTTATGCTGCCCGATGTGAAAGAAATCCCAGAAGCTGGGAGAAAGGCCTGGAACAGATCCTTCCCTAGAGCCTTCAGAGGGAGCATGTCCCTGCTGACACCTTGATCTTGGACTTCTGTCCTCAAGAACTGTGAGAGAATAAATTTCTGTTGCTTATGCCACTACATTTATGGCCCTTTGTTATGGCAGCCACAGCAAACTAATGTGTTGAGCAAAGGTCAAGTAGCAGGAATCACCCAGAGCACCTTTCCTTCTCCAGTGAGTGCTACCAAGAAAGCGTTTTCCTTTTGAGACAACAATTCTCATAGAAGCAGCGTACACTAAGAGGGACCTTCTGTTACCCAGTCTGGGAGGCTGTTGTCTTCACCCCATTATCTTCCTGCCCCCACTATCATCACCTACAGAAGTCATATGAAGAAATGAACTTTCAGAGGAAAGCTTTTCATTATTAAAGCAAAACAAAGGTGTAATCAGGCAACATTCAGAAGTGAGGGGAGCAGGAGGACTTAAAGAAGAAATGGAAAATAAGCAAAATTGGGGAAGTGGCATTTACATTTAAGATTTGCTTTTGCATCTTCTGCATGGGAACTTCGACCCACGGCTATGTGACTATGAGGCAACTGTAAATGCATCACAAAGATGGGGGTGGATGGAAGCTCAAAGGATTCAAAAGATGCCAGAGGAAAGTGAAGCTCAAATTGGGCCCCCTGGCCCAGCAGCATCAGCATCTCCTGGGAGCTCGTTAGAAACAAGAATTCTCAGCCGCCCCAGGCATACAGGATCAGGAATTCTGGGTGGGGGCCCAGCCATCTGCGTTTTAACAAGCCCTCTAGGGGATTCTGATACATAGTACACAAAAGCTTGAAAAGCATCTTGCTGGGGAAACCACAAAAGGGAGAGAGGTGGAAGGGGAAAGGCAGCAAGATCCAAAATGCTGTTCTAAGGCAATGCTTGGCCTGAACAATGTCAAATCATACTTTTAAAAAAATCCAGCTGAAACTAGAAATCATAAAATGATCACATGTTACATTTTACCTGAAAGCATAAATGTACATCATTTACTAATCTTTCAACAAGGAGCCAAGGCCTTTTGCATCTCTGGGTGCGGTGGGTCAGCAGTGCCACTTCATCCTTCTTACTAATGCACAGTGGATGAACCACATCCACTGTGCATCATCTATTCTTCCAGTTCCAGGGCTTTTTTTTTTTTTAACAGCAAATTTAAGAAACGACTACAAAGCAGTGAGTGAAAAATTATTCTGATTTTTATGATATTTTCTAAACCCCTTCCAGTTTCATGGCAACATTTTTTGGGATTCTCCTTCAAAGCCTTCCTTATCATTCATTAGTCTTTATATACTTGGCTTATGCATTTACATTGCATTGTCTGTTGTTTTGGTTAATTAAAATAATTACGTTACTGGCTCATGCTAAGCCGGCTGCTCAACTAGGAGGATGGGGACCTCCTGGCTGTAGGGATCAACCAGCACGTTTTTATTTCTTTTTTTTTTTTTTTTTTTTTTTGAGACGGAGTTTCGCTCTGTCGCCCAGGCTGGAGTGCAGTGGCGCGATCTCGACTCACTGCAAGCTCCGCCTCCCGGGTTCACACCATTCTCCTGCCTCAGCCTCCCGTGTAGCTGGGACTACAGGCGCACGCCAACATGCCTGGCTAATTTTTGTATTTTTAGTAGAGACGGGGTTTCACCGTGTTAGCCAGGATGGTCTCGATCTCCTGACCTCGTGATCCGCCCGTCTCAGCCTCCCAAAGTGCTGGGATTACAGGCATGAGCCACCGCGCCCGGCTATTTCTTTTTCATTTTTAAAAACAGCTATAATTACAAACCACACAATTCACTCATTTAAAGTATACAGTTCAATGGTTTCTAGTATAGTCACAGAGTTGTGCAACCATCAATTTTAGAGCATTTTTTAATCACCCCCAAAAGAAACTCCCACGTCCATTAGCAGTCACTCCCCATTCCTCCTCCACCAGCCCTGACAACCACGAATCTGCTTTCTGCCCCTATAAATTTGCCTATTCTGAGGGTTTCAAATAAATGGAATCATACGAAAGTGGCCTTTTGTTTCTGGCCTCTTTGAGCACAATGTTTTTAGGGTTCATCCATATTGTAGCATTTATCAGTACTTCATTTATTTTTATGGGTGAATAATATTCCATTGCATGGATATACCAACATGTATTTATCCATTTACTAATTGGTGAATGTTTGAATTGTTTCCAAGCCAGCACATTTTATAGAGGGAAAGGAAAGCACTGGTTAACTTGGAATTCGCTTAAGTGTAGGTCTTTTAAGAGTGTGTCTACTGATGTAGTTTATATAAAAACTAGTTTGAAATAGGGTTTCAAACCACATTGTTTTCCCTTAACTTAAAGATTCTCAACCTGAAAGATGACATAATTCAGCCCATTGTAATATGAGGCCACAAACATTTTGGTATGAAAGGAGCCTTTAAGATAATTTCAGGAAATTGAGACTTACAGGCCTAAGGTGGCTTGTCCCAAATCTCCCAGCTTAACACAGGGAATCAGTGCAGAAACAAAGCTCTCAAATCTTGTTTTATGCCATTACGTTAGCTACCACCTCCAGATTTAAAACCCTGGCATAAGAAAAGGGCTCAGGCTGGGCTTGGTGGCCTAAGCCTATAATCTCAGCACTTTGGGAAGCTGAGGCAGGCAGATCACTTGAGTTCAGGAGTTCAAGACCAGCCTGGGCAACATGGTGAAATGCTGTCTCTACAAAAAATACAAAAATTAGCTGGGCGTGGTGGCATGTGCCTGTGGTCCCAGCTACTAAGTAGGCTGAGATGGGAAGATCACTTGAACCTGGGAGGTAGAGGCTGCAGTGAGTCAAGATCGCACCACTGCACTCCAGACTGGGCACTACAGTGAGGCTCTGTCTCAGAAAAAAATTTTTAAAAAGGTTCAGATGAAGGAAAAAGACCTTAATGAAATGATGTCTAAGAATGGGATTTTAAATCAGCAGTGAAGGAATCCTCTTGTGGTCACTACATGTCCTCCTGATGATTTGTCTGAGCTAATCTAAGCATGAAGCACGCACAGGAACATAAAATGGGAGGGGTGGTAGGACACAGGCCCAGTGCTGAATTGGCCCAATTAGACTGAAGAGAAACCTTATTTCCCATGGTTGTGGTAGATGGCCGGGTCCCACCCCACCTCATATCTACTGACCATAAACAAGGATCTCAAAGCAACTAGGAAGCATTGACGCTGATGAAAGGAACCAGCCCTACATGGATGAAGTTAAAATTGAACATGGAAGGAAAGGGAGTCCAGAGAAGCAGGATCAACCAAGTGTACACCCAACCTCTGCACTTCTGGCTGTGAGTTCAAGCAGGGATTCACTTACTAGAAGCCAAAAGCATCCTGATAATATTCTATAGCAAACCATTGAAGGGGCACGGGAATTAGTCACATTGTTATCCCAAATGTAGAAGGAATAGCAAAGTGTTTAAATGATGATTCTGCACAGAGCTCCAAAATAGTAACTTTCAAAATAGTAACTTTTCATTGTTCTTTAGGACTTCACTCGTCTATGATTGTGAAGACTTGTCTCACAATTCCTCTGTTACAACACTCAAGATGTATTATTTCTGTGCCCCTATCACATATGACCTTTGGTGTGTAAAAGCATCAATGAAAAGCTAATTATAAATACAAGATAGCACCCATATGTACATGCCTCATTCCCTAAACCAGTCTTAGGAACTATGTTTGCTCCTGCATCTGGTATGATTCCACAAAAACATTAGAATACTTGCAATGTGATGTATAAACCTCCGGTTGAATCATTTGCAGAAAGTGTTGTCAGCTTTTTCTTCCAAACTAGAGAGTGCACAAGCATGAAATAGACACTTTACCACTTACACCAATGGCATGAAATTTTACTGAAGGTACAGTGACAATCTCTACTGCAGCAGTAAATGTTTTTCTTTTTAAAGTTCAGAGGCACATGTGCACACTTGTTACATAGGTAAACTTGTGTCATGGGGGTTTGTTGTACAGATTATTTTGTCACCCAGGTATGAAGCCTAGTACCCATTAGCTGTTTTTCCTAAGCCACTCCCTCCTCCCACCCTCCACCCTCCAATAGGCCCCAGTGTGTGCTGTTCCCCTCTGTGTTCTTATCATTTAGCTCCCACTTATAAATGAAAACGTGATATTATTTGTCATGAGTGGCGCAAGGCATAATTCATATGCTTCATTTTGATATACTATATACCCCCCAAATTATATAATTTTTTAAATGTTACCTTAAGTTACAAGGAATATACATGGCTTTTGAAATAATTTTTGATCTTTTTCTTTGCAGTAAACAACCTTGTAATATGTTTTGAATCCGGATATGTAATATATTTTCACAGAGGGGGATAACCTTGTGACCCAAAGGACATTACAGTGAGCTATATTTTAGATTAAGAAGCACAAGAATCGCAGCACTTTGGGAGGCCGAGGTGGGTGGATCACTTGAGGTCAGAAGTTCAAGACCAGCCTGACCAACATGGTGAAACCCCATCTCTACTAAAAATACAAAAAAATTCGCTGAGTGTGGTGGTAGGCACCTGTAATCCCAGCTTCTCAGGAGGCTGAGGCACAAGAATCACTTGAACCCAGGAGGTAGAGGTTGCATTGAGCCGAGATCATGCCAGTGCACTCCAGCTTGGGTATCTGTCTTAATATAATATTTCTTTTTGTCAAGTGGGACTTGCATATCAAGTACCTAATTTGTTACCCTGATATTTTTTGAAAGATCAAAGGCTGTAACCTGTTCTTTTTCCATTTGATGATTTTAAATAACATGAGCTTTCTTAGAGCAAGCACCCAAACACCTGGTAATCCTTAAAATTGATCAAAATGGGGATTAGAGCCTGCTGTTACCCCTCTAAACTGATTCTCCTGGTGGCGGAGTGGGGCGGGGAATAAGGCCAGAGGATGAGAGAAGTAGATTATATCTCAGCACTTTGATTTCTCTCCTTGCTGTTGTTGATCAATGGTGATAGCTAATATTTGCTGAACATTTCCACCCACAGACTCTGTTCCCAGCGCTTTTAGGCATCACCTCAAAGTACCTGCAAAACAACTCTGATAAGTTGGTTCTATTACTCTCATTTCATAGCCGAGAAAGCTGAGGCCCAGAGACATTAAGATCACACAGCGACTAAAGGGCAGGGCAAGGACTCTGCCTCCAGGACACACATTTGTAATCATCACACACACAGCCTCAAGCCTATGGTGACACAAATGACGGGTCATACAATTCTGACAGTCACTGCAAAGGTGAGACAGGAAATGTGCATTGCTTCATTTTCCCTAAGAAGCAATCTCTGGGAGAAGATAAACCATAATGATGACTCAGTAAAGAAATTGGTAACTATCTCTAAATATTCAAAAATACTTACGTGAATTCTCACACTGTGTGTTACCACAATGTGTTCCTTAAATTGGAGTTCTAGCATTTACCACCATTTCATTTATAGACTGTCCATAAGATTGTTGAGTTCCCTGCAAGTAGGGGTATTAGTCTGTTCCCATGCTGCTAATAAGGACATGCCCAAGACTGGGTAATTTATAAAGGAAAGAAGCTTAATGGACTCACAGTTCCACATGGCTGGGGAGGCCTCACAATCATGGTGAAAGGCGAAGGAAGAGCAAAGGGATGTCTTACGTGGCAGCAGGCAAAAGAAGTTGTGCGGGGAACTCCCATTTAAAGAACCATCAGATCTCCTGAGACTTATTCACTACCAGGAGAACAGTATAGGGGAAACTGCCCCCATGATTTAATTATCTCCACCTTGCCCTGCCCTTGACACGTGGGGATTATTAAAATTCAAGGTGAGATTTGGGTGGGGCCACAGCCAAACCATATCAGGGTTATACCTTTTGCAATTTTGTATTCCTTATACGATGCACAAAGGGGACATAAACATTTTGTTAGCCAGTGACTGACAGGAATACTAAATGTTAATATGCAATCCATTTGTAGCCCCAGCTTGTCTGCCAATACTTAGCCTGATGTTCAGTAATTTGTTCTGATTCTGAATAGTGCTATTTCCACAGACACAAGACTTAGTTTAAAACTCCAGAGAATATCCTAAATGAGTTTCAAGCTGTACACGAAAACTCCTATCAGTATTGACCCCTGGACCCAATCAAGCATAATCTAGACACAAAGCAGCTCTGACAATCCAGGAAGCCATGGTTTTTTCTGGAAGTAGTAAAACGATGTATAAAACTTGATCTTGTCATCAAGTTTGCTTGAGTTTAAAGCTTGTTTACCACAGTCCTATAAAACAGGTGAATCCTGCCTTTGGCATATTTTTTGTTTCCAGTTAGTGTTTTGTCTTTCATAAGAATGTCTTATCCCACACTCATTCGATAGCACTTAAGACCCCCCCAAAAAATGCCAACAGTAATTATTTTCCTCTACAGTTTAAAAATATGTGATTAGGGCTGGGTGCGGTGGCTCACGCCTGTAATCCCAGCACTTTGGGAGGTCAAGGCGGGTGGATCATGAGGTCAGGCGTTCAAGACCAGCCTGACCAACATGGTGAAGCCCCGTCTCTACTAAAAATACAAAAATTAGCCAGGCGTGGTGGCATGCACCTGTAATCCCAGCTACTCGGGAGGCTGAGGCAGGAGAATCGCTTGAACTCGGGAGGTGGAGGTTGCAGTGAGCTGAGATTGTGCCACTGAACTTCAGTCTGGGTGACAGAGCGTGACTCCCATTTCAAAAAAAAAAAAAAGATTAGTAGATGAAAAAGTGGCTGCTTGGAGTAGGGAGACTATAGCATTGTTTTTTTTAAAAAAAAATTATTATACTTTAAGTTCTGGGGTACATATGCAGAACGTGCACTTTTGTTACATAGGTATACACATGCCATGCTGGTTTGCTGCAGCCATCAACCCGTCATCTATATTAGGTATTTCTCCTAATGCTATCCCTCCACTAGCCTCCTCCCCACCCCCCCCAACCCCCCCCACCCCCCCCCGGCCCCGAGACGGGCCCCAGTGATGTTCCCTTCCCTGTGTCCATGTATTCTCATTGTTCAACCCCCACTCTTGAGAACATGCGGTGTTTGGTTTTCTGTTCTTGTGATAGTTTGCTGAGAATTATAGTTTCCAGCTTCATCCATGTCCCTGCAAAGGACATGAACTCATCCTTTTTTGTGGCTGCATAGTATTCTGTAGTATATATGTGCCACATTTTCTTTATCTAGTCTATCATTGATGGGCATTTGGGTTGGTTCCAAGTCTTTGCTATTGTGAACAGTGCTGCAATAAACATATGTGTGCTGGGTTATAAATCATTCTATCATAAAGCATTGGTTTTATAAAGATAATACGTCTGAAGAAACAATCGTTAAGTGTAAAATTATTCCAAAAAATTTTCAAAACCTGTGAACTAATCAGCTTTATTTTAAAATATACAAGTATTTTGAAATGTAGAGTTTAAGGCTGTTCTATTTCTTAAACTCCACACAAAACTGACAAATCCATACCAAATTAATCACCCACAGACTGCCAATTTCATCCACTAATTTAACACTACAGCATTCAGGATAAATTAAAGGATTTAATAGTATAGACAGTTAAAAAAAAAAAGCAGTCATTTGTAACATGCTGCTATAAATAGAACAACCAGTTTATGGATTACTGGTACAAAAAGTTTCAATGGCAAACTTAGAGCTTCCTTAAAACAAACAAAAAAAATCTAGACTGAGTTGAAGCGTTCTCCATCTGGGAAAAAAATGCTCATCTTGTGAATTTTAACACTCAGCCAAATATAAAATCATGTTTTAGAGGGGGACCATCACTGATACTGGGACTTAAGCCAGGCTTTCAAGGTTTGGATTAGGCCGACTGATGTGGGGAAGGGTGGAGGCTGCCAGCAAAGGAAGAAATGAGATTCGAAGTTGGGATAACTTGTCAAATGCCAAGGACAATGAGGAGACCTGTTTGTTGGGAGCAGAGTTACATATTAGAATAACAGGATTTAAAGGGAACATTTTTTAAAAGGTATGTTCCAAAGGAAGGTATAGTTGAAAGTACTCTATCCAGTCCAAGAAATTCATATAAATCAGAATTTGGAGAGAATTTTGCTGAGTACCTTTCCAGTGTATACCTTTGCATTTTGTTAAAGGTCACAATCATACCATAGGGGCTTTAGAAATAATGGTAACTTTTTTTAAAAAAGGTATAATCACCTCTTATTTATAATGAACAGCTTTAGTTAAAATATTTGGCCAGATGAAAGCTCTTGAGCATCACCATGGACTCTCAGGCTTTACATCTCTGGAGTATTCCTGAGAAAATAGTAAGAAAAAAAAGCAACTTTCATCACTTTTTAAAAGCTCTTTTTCAGAGGTTGTTCAGGCTTTTCGAGATGAAATATACAGACAATACTGCAGGTAAAGGAAAAACTGAGAGACTGCTTCCCACTTAAGCTAAGTAGGAAGAAAACAAAATGATCTGCTATAAACTGCAAGGTACAACACAAGTCAAAAGTGAACAGTGCATAGTATCCTTCGTTAAGTGAAGGAAAAAGTGTGATTACCCACTTGAAGTTCCCATTACATCATGAGTGCAATTCAATCTGGGGAAAATAGTTTAATGTATCGCTCAGAAAAAAATAGTTTATATTTTTCCATCTGAAACAGTGCTTTACGAGGTCCAACGCCACCAAGCGACTTTCATTCTGTCCCATACTGCCGAAAGTGAATCTAAGGCAGGACGGACGTCCAGGATGGTGAACTGGTAGTCCTTGTTGACTTCACCACCATCATAATAATCAATCACATATCTAACTTCTGTCCCGCAACGGTTTATGATCCAATCGTGCCTATCAAAAGGCAACTCATACCTGGAATAAAAACATGCCACTGAGTGTTAAAATGCTTGCAATACATTCAGTCCCGGTTTAAGCCATGAGAAAACTCAAGAAGCACATGCAAACACCTGCTCCCAAACACCTAACTGGGGAAGTCAGACTTGAAGAATTACACAGTGAACAGCACTAAGGGAAGATGGCACTGAAGAACTGTGATAAGTCCGTATCAGATGACAGCTCATCTGTCTACAAAGGAATAAGGCCAATGGGGAAGAGACCTAAGCCAGGGAGGTCAGCTGAGATACTGCAGAGATGCAGGTGTGAGCAAAAAATCTCAAGTATGCTAGAAAAGAAAGGGAGGATGGCTAAGTGCATAAACCCAAAGACACAGATCACGGGAAGAGTAAGAGGGCAGATCCAAGAACATTGACAATAACTCCATTCAACCCTATGATATATAGGAAGCAATCTACTACACCCTAATAAATCTGCCCATTAATGGGCAAACCTCAGGGAGAGAAAGACATCTACAGTTGAATATGCATTAAGTTTTGCAAGATGGCACTGCAATTCTTAGACTGGTTTTGGTGTGAAGAGAAAGTTGACCCTGACCTGAGGATGGTGAAACAACACTTCTGCGCTGACACTCACCCCATCCAGGAACGAATTCGTGCCCTTGGTGAATACTCTTTTGCTTTCCCTCCAAACCGGATCAATGATGGACCACAAGGACACTCTCTAGAATTCCCCAAATAAGAAAAGTCTGTTAAAATATTTTCTTTTCTTTGACAAAGATGATGTTCTAATTTTTTAGTAATATCCATTTTTTTCCTGTATACATTTCACATAATATAACATTTACAGAGAAAGGTAAGTTCTAAAATAATTCAAACAACAAGTGCCTATTTGTTAAAAATGTTCCTCTTTCCTTCTGGACTGGTGCATTCCATTGCCTCCCCTTCCTTCTGGATATCTACACTGCACTTTGAGGAGTCAGGAAACAGGGCCTTTCCATTTGGTGGAGGAGGAAAGGCAAATTAAAAAAAAAAACAGCCTCAAGTATTGTGCATCATGCTTCTTTTTGGCACAGAGCAGCTGGGGTTTTTCAGACAAACAAGAAAATCCTATACTCTTCTTTCATTTCAAACCAATGAACAGCCTTTATGAAGAAAAGAAAATGATGGATTAATCCCTAGAAATGGATTGTAATTAATGTTGGACCAGCTCCTTAATAACTACACATAAGATGAGGAGTGGCAGAGTCCTAGCTGGCAAATGCACTCCCTCTACCCGCAGACCCCTGCTGAGGACTCTCTAGGTGCCAGCCCTCTGTAGGCACCAGGGTATAGCAGGGCACTGACCTGCTATACAAGACCCTCTGAGCACTGTCCTCGTGGAGTTCACAGCCCACCTACAGGCTAGACAGACAGCTGTTACCGAGACAGAGGGAGTGGTGGCCAAGTCAGCAGGCCACCTATATTGTTAGCTGCTCCCATGGATAACAAGATAGGTGTCTAAGTAAGTGGGAGGGAGAAAAATTTCCAAAGTATAAAGGACTTCTATTTGAGGACTTATGAGTTACTTTTCTTCTCCTTTTAGGAACTACTCCTCTCCTTAACATCTCTTCTCAAGAGGATCACAGGCAAAAAGGTAAACTCAATCTAGGCAAAACTTTCTTCTGGAGATCATAGCATGAGTTTTTAAACGGTCTACTTAATTTTGACCGTCCAGAAAATAACTGGAGAAGGAATTGAAACTGACAAACTGAAATTCCCTTTTCTCTCTTCGCTTTGCTCCATAATCACACAAGTAATTAGCAGGTGGTCTTAATTAGAACACACTTTCAAAGTAGGTCACTGCAAACACTTGTGGCTCCTCTCAGTCCAGAGATTACTGAGGGCAACACGGTTGCAGTTGTTCCCCTCTCACATGCACCCACCCCAGGCCTGAGGCCCAGCCTGTGACAGCCAGGGAGTGCAACCAATGAACTTCAGAGTGCAAATATTAAAAACAAACAAAACACCTTAAAAAAATCATTAAGTGGACTTTAGCCAAGAAATTAATTAATCGCATTGTGCAATGAATTTAAAACCACTGTTTATGACATAATCTGGCTCAAACCAGCAGCATATGCAGTGTTCTAGATACACCCAGTCTAGGCACCACCCGAAACAGACTCAGTCAGACATCCTGCGGGTGGGACCCAGCATGCTGGGTTTTAACAAACCTTCCCCATGATCCTGATGCACGCTCCAGTGTGAGAACCACTACTCTCAACAGACTGAAGTCCTGTCTCCTTTAACACACACAGCTGCATTTACCTATTCTCCTTGAGAAAAAGAGCTCTGAGTTAAGACATCTCTTTGTGTTTAGTCCTAATGGGGATTCAATAAATGCTATTGAGGGAACAAAAATGTCTTTCCCACCTCCCTTGGGGCAGATGGCATTTTAGCATCTCCCTTCCCACATGCTCTGCTTTCGAAGGGCTGTAATGCTCCTTCTGCTGAGAGGCAGGGTCTCTGTCCCCTCCCCTTGAATCTGGGCAGGCTTCTGACACTTTGGGACTTCCCAGGCTGGGTCAGAAAATGGAGATAGAGATGCTTTTTGGAACTCTAGCTATTGGAACCTAGCCACCATATGACGAAGCCGAAAACAGCCATATTCAGAGGCCATGACCACTCGCCAGAGGAGTAAACCAGCAGGCCGTCAGAAGACTCTAGCCCACGGCTCGGAAGCCATCCTGACCACTAAGTCTTTGCAGCTGAGGCCCCAGACATCAAGGACCAGAGACAAGCCATCCTTGCCCTGTCCTTGGCTACCCAGACCCACTGAATCCACAAGCCTAATAAAATGGTTGCTATTTTTCAACTAAGAAGGGTGGCCTGTCATGCAACAATTGTCACTGAGCCATGCCTGCTACATAAAATGTTTTATTAGAACAAATGATTTGAATGTTAAAACTCTAGAAAGCTGATATGAAATAACAAAGATGCTTGAAACATTTAAGATCTCAAACATACTTACGCAGCATGAAGGGCTTCCCACTTCAAAATCTCCTTCCAAGCCTGCTCGTTATTCTGATTGTGAATTCTAATGATATTATACATATCCTTCTGACTGATATCCTCATCCTTCCACTTCCACCTAGGAAAGAATATTTGGTAAAATTTGACAACTGTTCCTGATAATGCCATAAAGTTAATCCACATATTTTCATAAGATGATTTATTCAACATTCCCCTTTGAGAAAGAACTAAGAATGCTCATTTTCTCTGAATTTAACAGATCTAAGGCTCATTTTCAAGATTTACCCATGATCATGGAGCAGCACTATAAATCCAAAGCTACTATAGAAGCATTGAAAACAAATATAAAAGGTTCACCTTAGTCTCATTTTACTGAGTCACAGTAAACCAGACTTACAGAATCATCTATTTTTAAGGTGACAATTGTTCAGATAGTACCACTGATCAATGATCCCCTAACTTTTTCTAAACATTTTATCTAACAGTGTTTTCAGTTTTTTAAAAAACCTATTACTAGCTGTGATGGTTAATTTTATGTGTCAACCTGACTATGCCACAGGATGCCCAGACATTTGGTCAAACATTATGCTGGGTGTGTCTGTGAGGGTGTTTTTTGAATGTGAGTAACATTCTAATCAGTAGGCTAAGTGAAGCAGACTGCCCTCCCCACTCCGTGTGGGTGGGTCACATCTGATCAGCTGCAGACCTGAATGACAAAAAGGCTGACCCTTCCATGAGTAAGAGGGAAGGCCTTCTGCATGACTGCTTGAGCTGGGACATTGGACTTTTCCTGCCTTTGGACTTAAACTGAAACATCAGTTCTTCTTGCATCTTGAGACCGCTGGCTTTCAGACCAGAAGTGTGCCATCGGCTCTCCTCGGTCTCCAGCTTGCTGACTACAGATCTTGGGACTCCACAGCTTTATATAATTGTGTAAGTCAATTCCCTACAATAAATATCTTCCTGCCTTCCTTGTCTCCTGCCCCCCTACACATATCCTATTGGTTCTGTTTCTCTTGAGAACCCTGATTTAATACACTGGTCTCGCACTTACATTCTGACAGGTGTGAAAAATCAGGTGATTATAAACTGATTAATACATAAAAATGTACTATATTGTTTTGAAGGTAAAAAATCTCTTTAGCATATAACTCTTGGATATTCTGACAAGAAATTTTTATCTTAAATAATATGTTCACTCACCCTTTCTTTAACATTGCATTCCAGAACATCTGCTCAGAAGGGTAAACCCACTTTTTCTCTGAATCTGCTCTCGGAATGGATGACTCTTCTCTGACAGTAGACAATGCAAATGGCTGATCTGGAGCTGGTGTTTGATTTGGTGGTGGCATCTAAATAAAATGAACAGATTTGCTTTTATAGGATATAAAGTAAAAGGCAATATAATTAACTACTTCCTGGAAAGCAATACATCACACAAAAAGCACAGATTACTTATTAAATCAGTGACATCAAAATTTCAGACTTCTCACATAATTTGACTGTTTTGAAGAGTCACATTACTGAGGTTGTGTTTCTTCACTGATTAAGTTCTCAAATATGGTAAACACTGTGGTTAAATTTTTGGCCTCTTTCTCCTTTGAACAAATTTAGAAGTAATGTCACCAAGGAATAAGAAGTAGAAACTAACGCCACGATCTTCAGGCATTTCTAAAAACTTTACGACAAGCTTTTCAAAAATGACTATTCATTCTCTGGGGAAAACTCTCATAGCACACATGTACAGCAATGCTTTTTTAAAAAAATATTCTCAGATTTTTTAGGTTTCTGCTTATGCTTCATCCCTTAGGCAAAATATATTACAGATGAGTCTTTGCATCTCAACGCTGCGAGGTCAGAAGGTGGGAAGAATCCCTTCTCCCAGACATGTGGGTCACCAATACTGTTATGCTAGCACTTAGCCTTAGCCAGGGTCTCTCATCCGTGGCACTATTGACATTTGGAGCTGGACAATTTTTAGTTATGGTGGTCTAAGCACTGCAGGATGTTCAGCAGGATATTTGCCTGAGGGGCAAAATCACCCAAGGTTGGGAATGACTGGCCTTGAACTTTCTGTGTTAGAAGTATAAAGGATTTCCTAGTAAACATTAATTAAAAGTCTCCATCACAACAAGGCCCTCAGAATACCGACAGCAGGAAGGGCTATGTGTAGTAGGCACTGCAGAGTATTCTACCTGCATTATCACCACAGTGTGTTTAAGAACATGGGTCTGAGGTGGATAAGGATTCAGTTTTGGCTCTGCCATTTCCTAGCTGGTGATGTGGGATGAATGACTCCTTCACTCTCAGTATCTTTAGCTCTGAAATGGGGACACTAAGAATACTGGCTGCACAGAGTTGTTATGAGGATTAAAGGGGAGAATGTAGGGTGCTTAGCTTAAACGCTAGAAAAGTGACCAAAAGAGGCTGGTCTGAGTACAGTAGTGTTTACGACTAATTGATCACAACCAGTTACAGATTTCTTTGTTCCTTCTCCTCTCCCACTGCTTCAGTTGGCTAGCCTTGAATAAAAAATTTTTAAAAAGTGACCACAAGAAAAGTTAGCTGTTATTCACATTCTCACTACATATCATGATCCCATGGGGTAAGTGTCTAGGTCTGTAAGGTTCCAAAAGGCCCATGTTCTGAACCACTCACCTATTAGAGATCATCTAGGCCAGTGGTCTGCCAGGGGCTTCGGATAATGCTGCCTGTCGCTGCTTTCATGCTACAGAGAAAGCAGCAGCAGCAGAACTGGGTAGTGTGACAGAGACCCTACGGCCCACAGAACCAAACATATTTACTACCTGGCCCTTTATAGAAGCAGTTTGCCAATGACCTCTGGTGTAAATATTTGAAGGCCTATGTGCAAGATAATCTTGGTGCATTGTCCAAAACTTCATTTTCAAAAACAGGCAGTGGGCCATAGTTTGTTGATTCCTGAGGTGGACGCTGCTATTGTATCCCCCACGCCCTTTCTTTTCCAGGCTAAATATTTCTAGTTTCTTTACAGGCTGTCTGGTTCACTAAAATTTCTATTCTTGATAATCCTGTGGCCCTCTGAAGTATATGCCTGAGCCTCCCGTTAAAACACGATTCCAAACTTTAGACCACAATTTCTGATGTTGTCTATCACAAAATGTAGTGATGTCACATCAACCTTGCCCTCACTTCTCAATGGCATTAAATTTGCTGGCAGTCACACGACAGTGAACCACCCTAGTGACTCGGGCAGGCTGGCACCCTATTGTACCTGAAGAAGTTCCCCAATCATGTAATGTGTCTACAAAGTTTCCCCAGACCAAAGATACCTTAACTAACTCTAGCTATGGTTCTTACAGAATTTCCCATCTACCACCTAGTAACTGTCCCAGAAGAAAATATTCATTTGGTATGGCTTATTCCCAGTACAACTATGCTGGCTCCTCATAATCACTCTGGTTTTTTTCCCAGGCACTCCCTGAAACTACACTTACTAACACATTCTAGATTTTCACTGTAGATAGAATATCTAACTTCTCTGTTTTCAAAGGACAGAAGAATTCATCCTAGCCATTTGCAACTTGTCTTGGGAGTCTGTATAAGCAACCCTGCATAAAAAGCTCCAGAAAGAAAAGATGAGTGTGGATTACCAGATTTGAAGGATCTAGGTTCTCCTTATTCTCAGCCGCAGTGCCCCTAATGGGACACTCCACGTACTCATAGGCGCGTTCCTGGTGGGCAGGCACAGAGTATGTTTTCTTCTCACAGGTTGGGCCAGATGGCTCTGTATTCACTGGACAGCCTGAAATAATCAAGTATAAAAATGGTGTCACCATGAAGGCAGGACATCTAACTCTCTCAATTGGAGCACTAAAGAGCTGAATTTCTGACCAATGATTACCACCATAGGAAAAGCCAGGTTTCTTCTGTTTAAATCTATCAAGAACTGAACTAGCTAACATTCCAAAATCCTAAAGATGAGAAGGTTCTAAAATTTACATTTCCTTTGAAAGAAAAATGAGTATACATTCTCTAATTGTGTCACACCCCCAGCAAAAATAAGCCAAAAAACCTTGGCAGTTGCAAGAGCATGTGTTATCTGTGCCATGGTTTGAGTAACCTGGCTGGATGAGCAGCTGGGGAGCTGTTAGAGGAACCTAAGAGGGGACCAGCCACATTTCACAGGGTCTCCTTGACTTTCCATTCACTAGTTCCAGAGAAGCCCAGATCCAATCAGGACACAGTTGCAATCCAGGCTTTCATTACTGATGCATTATCTCAGGTACAAGGAAGGGGAGGAGAAAATGAACAGAGGAGACATCACAGAGGCTACTGCAAAAAAATCTGAATGCCACTCTGCTTTGTCTCAAGACTGAAACAAGGCACAGGAAAACCACGTGGCCTATGGCCTATTCCCATCAGTCAATGGCAAGAGTTTAACAGGAAAAGACAGACAATAAAGAAAATATTCCACAACCCATACAGGATCAAGATGCCCATTACGAGGGAAGGTCTGAGCCTAATGAGATGAGCAATAGCAAGGGCTATGCCCAAAGACCCAGGATGCTGATCCCAATTAGTGAGGGACTGGGAAACTGGTTCAGAGAATGAGCAGGCACTTGGAGAGCTGAGACACAGAAGACAGCTGCTCATGTAATGGAATCTTGGCCTCAGGCAGCAGCAGCAGCAACTACAGCAATACACATGAAAAAGCTGAGTTTGCTTTCACTTCCTTCCCTGCACTTCTCCTCCCAAGCCCTCATTTCCTGGTGCCCTGTGCCACTGCCCACTTTAGGGGTGAAGGAAGACTTGCTATGCCTTTCCTCTCTACCACTGAAAGCACCAATCCTTTCCAAGTCATAGATCCCAGCTGGGTGTTACAAAGAAAATAACATTTCAACTTTTCACGTCATATAACCAGTAGCCCCTTCGATCTCCTATAGACACCCACATTCTTTATTAATGTAGTAAGTCTGGCAGCTCTCCAAGATATACAGCAAATGAAATAAAACCAAAGTAAGGGTTCTAGAATCTCCCTGAGGACACTCAGAACAGGAGCACACCTGCTTTGGCTGATCTGTCTCAATTCTTCCTGTACAAAGAAACCCCAGAAGAACACTGCCTGTCCTTGTCCAAGGTCACAGAACTTTTGCTGGCTTTGCCACTTACTATGTGACTTGGAGCATCAGTTACTCCAAGTCTTAGTTTCCTTGACTATAAAATAGGGAGAAAACTTAGCTTATGAAGTCGTAAGACCACATAGCTTATGAAGATGAGAATGTAAGCTCTATCAGGCAAAGCTCCATTTTGTATGATGTTATTCTCTCGTGCAGAAACAAACAAAATCCAGCAATGCTTGGTACAGAATGGGCAGTGACCTCTCAGAATAGGCTGGCTGACTGAAGAAATGAATAACAGCGCAAACATTAGTACTCAGTAAGCACACCATGTTGCTTCTGCCCTTCACGACTTACTGATTCAAGCCACACTTTAATATAAAAAATCTAAAGTAGACATGAATGAATTAAAAATGAAAGACAGCTTTTCCATTTTCATTTTCTTATCTAAAGAATGGACAGCAAGCCCGTTAAGTGATGGCTTACTTTTATATACGAAAATACTGAAATGGCTATACGAGCAAAAGTTATTTATTAAGACAGCTAGATCTAGACTAAGGTTTCTCAACCTTGGCCCTCTTGATATTTGGGGCCAGCTGATTCTTTGTTGGGGGGCTGTTCTGTACATTGTAGGATGTTTAGGAGCACTCCTGCCCTCTATTCACTTTCCTCTCAGTTGTGACAACCAAAAATGCCTCCAGATATTGGCAAATGTCCCCTGTGGGAAGGGGGGATTGCCCCCCTCCAGTTAAGAACCACTGATGTAGGCACAAGTAAACTTTGGGAAGTTGGGGCTGGTTTAGAGTACTCACTACGTTCTCATGTACTACCTCAATCATCATGACAGGCCTGTGAAACATTATTATATCTTCATCTTACAGATGACAGACTGAGGCTAACAGAGTTAACTTGTTTAGAGTCACAAACCTCAATAAGACGCAAAATAACGACCAGACCCAGGGTGCCTGACTCCCATGCCTACCAGCCTCAGCAGCATACTACACTGCCTCTTCCTTTAGAGGCTTTCCAGACTTTTTTTAAGACACAGTCTCACTCTGTCACCCAGGCTGGAGTGCAGTGGCACAATCTTGGCTCACTGCAACCTTGGCCTCCCAGGCGATCCTACCCACCTCAACCTCCAAAGTCGCTGGTACTACGGGCACCCACCAGCACGTCTGGCTAATGTTTGTATTTTTTTGTAGAGGGAGGTTTTTGCCATGTTGCCCAGGCTGGTCTCGAAGTCCTGAGCTCAAGCAATCCACCCACCTCGGCCTCCCAAAGTGCTGTCACAGGCGTGAACCACCGCACCCAGCCGTGAATTATCTTTTGTTTTTATTTTCTAGGCAAAGGGCCGATTACCTTTCATTTTCCCTTCATGCATCGGGCATCCTGAAGGTGGGGACGCTGAAGCATTTGAGGCCTGAACTGCAACAGCAGGAGCAGATGGAGACAAACCCATGGCTGGAAACAGTGTTGACTGTAAACAATTTTAAATTTCCACCTGCCAAAACAAAGAGACAGATTAATGTCTCTGGACTCAGACTATTCTCTCGTTAGTCCTAATCTGGTCAACCCTTGTTCCTCCTCTTTGTCATCCCATGGGCATCTACCAGGCAGGGTACTAACTTCGAAGGACAGCTTTAATATATTGCCCCCTTAGGGAAATACTGTGAAACCCAGGCCAACCTCTGGGGGCACGTATGTATCTAAGGCAGTGAGGATTTTGGGACTGAGGTGAGGCAGTCGCTGAGAAACCACGTCACAGCCAGGAGGTACAGGCCTGAGGCGGGAGTGGGGCGAGGATTTCCGAGGAGTGGTGACCCGGGTGGAGGAGGGGAGGTCCATTGAGCCTAGACTTGACCCCCATCCCCAGAGCCTTAGCGAGGGGCTGGGGGTCCGAGAAGGGTGCGGCGCATGAATAGGAATTCGAAGAAACGAAGGGACACCAGAGGTCGAGAAGCTGCCAAGTGTCTTCCCCACACCGTCCCGGCGCTTGCCCACCTGCTCCAGCCCGTGGTCCCCAGACCAAACCGGCCGCGGCCAGCCTGCCCTTCTGCACCTAAGCCCTCCCCCGGGCTGTTCCGGGAGGCCGGTACCGCCTTCAGTCGCCAACCCGAACCCAGAGCAGCAGTGACTTCACGCCGCCGCCGCCGCCGCCGCCGCCTTCCTCTCACTCGGTCACCGCTGTGGCTGCGGTCACCGCCGGCGTTCTCACGCACCCCTACTTCCTTTTTAGAAGGCGGGACTTCCGGGCACGCGGGAGGCGGGCTGAAGAGTAATATTTTCCGTCAATCACGGAGAGCGGGTTCCGTCCCCTCCTCGCCCCGGCCTGTAACTGCTGCGGGGGCCGCTTTCTGGGCCCGCCCCTCCAGGCCAGGAGCCTTTTTCAAAATGTGGCGGTGGCAGGGAAGGTTGTCTGCTCCAGAGGCTTCCCTAGAGTGAAGAGCTCTACTATGTATGCTTTATGCGGCAGAAGGAGTGCTTTGGAGGAGTTTTTAAATTTGTTTTTTTTTTAAATCTTATCGGTTTTAATTGTAGCAATGATTCAAGAAACGTTAGTAGGTGCCCATAACTTCGGTGGTGGAGATCCAAAAGTGAACAAGACAGTGTTCTGGCTGCTAAATTCTTCTTAACTGGGTATGTGATTTTGAATGTCTGTATTTTCATTTACCTCCAACAGAAATTTAGCATTTTCTTCCATCAGGGATGTAGGCAATAAATCCTAGTACTATTAGCTGTATGTGGCACTAATACACATTACAGATAAATTATGTCACATATGGTTGTTGTGCCTGTCTCAAAATATCATCCATCCACTACTTTGAAATTAAGGTAATTTGATCTTGTTACTTAAAGTGTTAATAAAGAAACATATATCTTTCTATATAACTATAGTGGCTCTGTGAAATACGTCCAGATGTCCCCTGGTGCAGAAAGTGTTGGGGGCTCACAGCTTTCAGCTGAGTCTCCAGGAATTGTCCTCTGCCTAAGAGAATTGCCTCACACAAAATCACTTCCCCTCCTTGGGGACGATCTGCATCCTATGAGGGTCTCTGCAAGGGCACATAAGTCCAGGCCCCTAGCCCCAAAGGGGACAACTCAGAAGGGCCATCCCAGCATCAGAACTGCCTACAGGATAGCCCAAGGATTCCATTTCAACTATCACAGCTCAACTTCTCTCTTTACCCACAATTCTTTTGTCCCTCCCACAATTCCTTTTCACTCCCGCAATTCTGTTTTGTTACCCACAGTTCTGTCTCCCACAATTCTCAGTTCTTTCCACAATCTTCTGTCTCTCCCACAATTCCTTATTTCTCCCACAATCCCATGTCACTCCCAAAATTCTATTCCTTCCCACAATTCATTTTTCTGTCCCACAATTCCTTGTCTTGCTCACAATTCTCTTGTTTCTCCCATGATTCCTTGTGTCTCCCACAATTCACTTTTCTGTCCCACAATTCCCTGTCTTGCCCGTAATTCTGTTGTTTTTCCCAAAATTTGCTGGGTTTCCCAGCAAGCCTTTATTCTTTCCTACAAATTCTTGTATCTCTCAAAATTCTGTTTCCCACAGTTCCATTCCTCCCACAGTTCTCTGTCTTTTCCATCATTCCCTATGACTCTGTCTGTCACAATTCCTCAAAATTATTCATTTCCACAATGTTCTGTTCATTCACAATACTCTGTTCTTATTCCCCAGTCTCTCCCATAATTCCCCATTATCTCTCATAATTCTGTTCTTTCACAATATTCTTTTTCATGATTTCCTTTCTCCCACAATTCTCCCTTCATTCTCATAATTATTCCGTCTCTCCCACAACACTGTATTCTCTCCCATGGTTCCCTGTATCTCCCAGAACTCTCTGTTCTCTCCCCCAATTTCCTGTCTCTCCCTGAGTTCTCTGTTCTCCCACAATTCCCTGTGTCTCCCATAATTCCATGTTTCTCCCCACAATTTTTGGTTTCCTCTCACAATTCTCTGTTCTCTCCCACAATTCCTTATCTCAACCATAATTCTGTATTCTATGCTACAATTTCCTATCTTTCCTATAATTCCCCATCTCCCCCACAATTCTTTGTTCTTTCGCAGAATTCTCCACTCTTACAATTCTCCATTCCCTCAAAATACTCCATGATTGTTCACAATTCCCCAGTCTCTCCCCTAACTCCCATTCTCTCTCATAATTCTGTTTTCTCACAATATTCTCGTTCACAATTTTCTATCCCACAAGTGTCCCTTTTCTCCCACAATTTTGTGTCTCTTCCACAATTTTTTGTTCTCTCCCACAATCCTGTGTCTCTCCCACAATTCTTTGTGCTGTCCTCTCCACAAATCTATGTCTCTCCCACAATTCTGCTCTCTCCCACAATTCTGTGTCATATGCTACAATTTCCTGTCTTTCTCATAATTCCACATCTCTCTCCTAATTCTTTCTTCTCTCTGATAATTCTTCACTTTCACTCACAGTCCTCCATTCTCTTAAAATTCTCCATCCTCATTTGCAATTCTGTAGTCTCTCCCCTAACTCCTTAGTCTCCCTCATCATTCTGTTCTCTCACAATACTCTATTCTCTTACACAATTTCCCATCTCTCCCACAATAATCTCTTCTCTTTCATAATTCTCCCTTCTCTCCCACAATTCCCCGTGTGTCCACAATTTTGTGTCACTCCCACAATTCTCTGTTTTTTCCTACAATTCCTGATGTCTTCCCCCTTTCTTTATTATCTCCCACAATTCCCTGTCTCACCTACAAGTCTCTGTTCTTTCCCATAATTCCTTGTCTTTCCCATAATTCCTCGTATCTCCTACAATTCTTTGCTCTGTCTCACAATTCTCCACTCTTGCACTTCTCCCTTATTACACAATATTCTGTTCTCTTTCACAGCTGCCTAGTCTGTCTCCCAATTCCACATTGTCTCTCACAATTCTCTGTTCTCTCATGATACTTTATTCTCTCCCGCAATTCTCCCTTCTCCCACAATTCCCTATCTCTCCTATCATTTTCTGTTCTCTACCACAATTCTCAGTTCCCTTTCACAATTTCTCAGAAGACCCAAGCCTGGTCCTGTAACTTCAGTGTTTCAGGGCCCAAGGGGAAGAACATGCCCAGATGAGTGGTATGTGATCAGGAGGAAGGGGTATGGTGGGAGGGTTTGTGGTTATAATGAGAGCAGGTGTCAGGAAAGGTGTGACTAAGGGGGAGCACAAAAGACCAATTATTTGTTTTTTTCTACAATTCCTGAGTTCTTCCACTTAATTCCGTATTATAGCACTTGACAAAAGATTTGCAGTTATGTATTTGAATGTGTAATTCTCTTACCTATGTATGGATTTTCTGAAGTTAAAAAATAGATCTTATTTGGCTTTATATCCGCTATATCAGCACAACTCAAAATGTGTCTTGCCAGTGGGGACCAGTTCACACACTGTTACCCTTCTAATATGAGATGAGGAGCTTTCACCACAAGGCAAGGCAAAGCATTGCTTGCCTCATCCAGAAAGTCTTACTATGAAAAATGTCTCATCTCAGATAAAATTGTGCTTAGTGGCATAGCAGATTTATATTATAGTACAAGATTCTTAATTCAGTGTTGGCCAATAACTAGCAGTTTCTGGACTGGCACTTGGGTAGCACTGCCCTATCATTACAGTGTAGTTTCTGTTGTATAATTGAGTGCTCACTGAAGCAGTCAGAAGCAGACACTGGAAGGGATCACAGAGTCAATGAATCTTGAATGAGTGATGTTTCACTCATTCAGCAATATTTATGGAGCACCTATGATGTGTCAGGTACTGTGGGAAGTGCTGAGAATTTAAAAGTGCTAGACAGACTCCTTGCTCTCAGGGAATTTACATTCTAGTAAATGAATAGATTGGACAACAAACAATCCAACACAAACAGATAAATAAATAATTTAAGATCCTGATAAAAGCCACCAATTAAATGACACAGGTAGTGTGACAAAGATTGAGGCATGGGGGTCTACCCACCCCTGTGGGTAGATGATCTGTGGAGCAGAAAATTTGTATTCCTCGGGAGCTTGTTAGAAATGCAGAATTTCAAGTCCCTCCCCAGAACCACTGAGTCAAAGTCTGTCTTGTAACATGATCCCCAGATGATCAGTGTGCACGATACAGATTGAGAGCTCAGGATACCTTCTCAGATATGGTTGTCAGCAAAGACCTCTCTGAGAAGGGTGACGTTTTAGCTGAGACCTGAATGTTGAGAAGGACCCAGCCATGTGAAGATCAATGCAAAGAGTGGTCCAGACAATGAGAATGCCATGGTAAAATGTTCTGAGATCAGAAAGAACAGGGAAAGACCAGTGTGGCCCACACAGAATGAGTTGGGGGCAGAATAGTAGGAGGTGATGTTGGGGCTGGATCATGCCATAGGCCATGAGGAGGAAGTGACATTTTCTTTTAATTGAAATGTGAAGCCATGGAAGGGTTTTTAAAAAGAAGAATTATTTGATCTGACAATAGAGATAGCTTGTTTTTCTCAACTTTGCTCTTCACCACTTTCTAGTTATGCCTGGAGACCTTCACTTGGTTCTGTGCCAGCACTGCCCATGAACTTCATAGACTGTGATCTTTGCTAAGGCCTAAATGAATGAAGGTAAGTTCCTAAGACATAGCCAGTAGACCCCCCACCAATAGGTCTGTGTTCCATGGAGTCTGCCAGCATTCATCACATGTGTACTCAGAGGGACCGTGTCTACATCAAAGGCCAGGGTTACCTCTTGCTCTTGGAAATAAACACTACTTTTCCTTAAAGGGATTTATTGCCAATAAAATTAGAGATGGCCAGAGGTTATCATTCTGTTTAATATTCTCACAACCATTGTAATAACTTTAGAGGATATATTATTATTAGTTGGTAAGTCCCAAGCTTTTTTGTGTTTTGATGAGAGTCGAGGGTTTCTTCACATAGACCTCTAAAAATTGAATTAATTGGCCAGGCGCAGTGGCTCATGCCTATAATCCCAGCACTTTGGGAGGCCAAGGCGGACAGATCACGAGGTCAGGAGTTCAAGACCAGCCTGGCCAACATAGTGAAACCCCATCTCTACTAAAAATACAACAATTAGCTGGGTGTGGTGGCACACACCTGTAGCCCCAGCTACTTGGGAGGCTGAGGCGGGAACATCTCTTGAACTCGGGAGGCAGAGGTTTCAGTGAGCCGAGACCATGCCATTGCACTCCAGCTTGGGTGACAGAGTGAAAATCTGTCTCAAAAGAAAAATTGAATTAATTAATTCACTGATTGTGGATGACTACCTTATATGAGGAATCACTCCCGGTTTCTTATAGGAACCCTTGTTTCATGTCTCCAGATGTACACTCCCAGTTTCTTATGGAACCTTTGTTTCATGTCTCCAGATGCATGCAGGGCATTGCTTTTTGAGAAAGTTTCTTTAATTTATAGCTGTACTTATTTAAGACTGGACTTTCCTTGATACCTGCCAAGGTGGTCTGAGTGGGCACTAATGGGCCTGCAATTAGGTCAATTCAGAAAACTTAAGGCTATTCTTTGGTGAATGCCAACAGGGAGGTTGCCCAGCCTCTTCTCATGCTGGGAAATTCAGCAGGTATGAGATTTGATAGGAGACAGGGCCCTGATTCCCTCTATGGCGGTGCTTCTCAACTAAAGCTGATTTTGCTGTCCCTATCCTGGGGGTATTTGACAATATCTGGAGACATTTTTGATTGTCACACTGAGGGTAGTGGTTGCTACTGAAATCAAGTGGATAGAAGTCTGGCATTCTGCTAAGCATCCTACAAGGCAAAGGCCAACTCTAGTAACAAAGAATTATCTGGCCCCAAATGTCAATAATATTAAAGTGGAGGGACCCTATTCTTGGAAAACCAAAGGCCAGAAACTTCCTCTGCTTGATACCTGGCAGCTAGAGCATGGGCTTCTACTTTCTCAGCTTGCTCAATATATGTATATATACACACATGCAAACATACTGGCATGTAGTGTGCATTATGTAACTACACTGGGACTATTTAACTCATTGCCCCTTCTTTCTACCTACCCCAAACCAACACACACAATCATTCAGAAGCAGAAATGGGGGCGGGGACTCGCTATTTTCGAGTGGTGAAAACTGTTATTATTATTGAAGTTATTATGATTAAGTTGCTGATCCAGTTGTTGCCACAAGTGGGCCTTTATGAGTCACTAGATTTAACATGATGTGCCAAAAAAGATGGGAATAGCACTGGTAAGAATGGGTGAAGTGAACATTGCTTTGGGGAGGAGCTCTGGAGAGCCATGTGAATCACCACCCACACAGGCAGGAGAGATATCAGTATAGTCTTGCCTAGAGGAGTGAGGAATTTCATGTTTTCTTCCCTATGGAAATAATTAGTAGTGGATTTGGTTACCAATGGTAGAGAGAAATGGGGAAACCACGGGGTTATGTTAATGAAATTTCCAGTGGGTATTGGATTTGCCCTCCAATTTTTAAAGCATAAACTGTAACCAAAGACCTTCTGACATATTATTCTTTTAAAAAGGAGGAGCATGGTAGATTACAGTTGTTTGAAATTACCACCTTACTGCATAAAGAGAAAGCTAAGGTGAAGTAAATAAGAAGACAGGAGTAAAAAAATGGCTGCTGATTTTGAGAAATATTTAGGGTTAGGGGCAAGATGAGTTCAGGTTAGACACATTGCACTTGAGATGATAATGGTTATCTAGGCAGTGAAATCCCAGAAGCGGTTCAGAACACAGAATTAGAACTCAGGAAAGAGCTGGTTGCAGATAAAGAAATGTAAATTATCAGGTTTGGTTGGATGTTAAGACATAAGAATGGATGGTAAAATCCTTCAAGGCTTTGGTTTTCTTTGCTCTCATTCCAAATTTACCAAAGAACTTTGCGACTTTAGTTTGGCTTTCCTATTAGGAAGAGAATGCATCACTAGCCAACCTAAATTTCTTCCTCCTTGGCAGTCTTATTTTTTTATTCTAAACATTGTGAATTAATGACTTGGAGAAAATAGGAGTAATGGAAGGAAAATCAATAAGGCAAGGCATGAGTAGCTTTAAAGGAAGGAAGGGAAGGCTCTTTGAGTGGTTTGGACTCATTGTAAAGTGGGATTGAAAGATTAAACCCGCAAAAGACAAGTTGACAAACCATCCTCTACCACCACCACATGAAATGCAGTTTTCCAAGAAATGTGCTTTGAGGGACCCCATTTTTAAAACACAAGTAGTAGCATACTTTATATAGGGATTTAACTGTTGTTCTTCACCTAAAATATCTTGGAGGTTTTCCATATCCATCTTTCTTTTTATTTAACAGATTCAAGAATTAAAATGTAAATTTTCATATCAGTACATACAGTGTTCCATTTTGTTTTTATTTAGGACATGTACACTATTCCATCATATAGATTAATACAGTTTATGTAACTGGTCCCTTACTAATCAACTAAATTGATGTTATATCCAATACTTTCCTATTACGACAATACTACAATGAGTAATATTGTGCTTACATCATTTCTCACACTGTGTGAGCATATCTTTGTAATACCTAGAATTAAAATGACTGGGTCAAAGGGAATGTGCTTTTAAAACTTTGATAGTCACTTCTAAATGACCCGAGATAGGTGGTTGTACCCCTTGTAGCTTCCCTCAGGAGTGGATGAGAGTGCCTGTTTTTCCACACCTTCATCAACACAGTGTATTGCTTTTTTTAAAAATTGATTTGTAGACATTCTTTATAAGGAAATTAACCTTTCTTCTACACTATGAGGTTGGAATATTTTCTAAAATTATCTTTTTTTGTTTTTGCTTCTGCTAAGTTTTGCTTTGAGTAGTTTTTATGGATCTTAATTTTATAATCTTCTATGATTTCTGGATGTTGTGGCATAATTAAAAATATTTTAAGTCCTAAATTCTCCCAAGTTTCTTCAATTAAAAAAATTACACTTTTTCCTTTAAACCATTTATATATTTGAAACTTATCCTGGTGAAAGGAATAAGGTATAGCTGTGCTATGGTATGAATATGACTTGTTTGTCCCCATCAAAGCTAATTTTGAAATTTGATCTGCAGTGTGGCAGTGCTGGGAGCTGGGGCCTAATGGAAGATGTCTGGGTCATGGGGTAAATCCTTCATGAATGACTTGGTGACTTTCTAATGGTAGTGGGTTCTCACTCTCACAAGACTGGATTAATTCTCGGGAATGGATTGGTTCCGGCAAGAGCAGGATTGTTACAAAGTGAGGATCCCCCTCATGTTTACTCTCTCTTCACATGTGCCTGGTTTGCCTTTGACTTTCTCTGCTGACTCAACATGAAAGCCCTCACCAGAAGCTGAGAAGATGCCGGTTCCATGCTTCTTGAACAGCCTATAGAACTCTAAGCCAAACAAACCTCTTTTCTTTATAAACTACCCAGCCTCAGGTATTTTGTTGTAGTAACACAAAATGGACTAAAGACAAGCTCCAATGACTACATCCATTTTATACTCTCCTATGTTTTGGATTCTCTTGTCTTTAGTCTTAATGTTTGTGTGTTTATTTTGGATTTTCCAGGGATTATTTCATATAATCTCAACTAATAATGATTTTACTTCCTCCCGTCCAACTTTAATGCCTCTAATTTCTTTTGTTTTTTTTTTTTTTTTTTTGAGACGAAGTCTCGCTCTTGTTGCCCAGGCTGGAGTGCAATGGCATGATCTCGGCTCGCTGCAACCTCCACCTCCCAAGTTCAAGTGATCCTCCTACCTCAGCCTCCCAAGTAGGTAGGATTACAGGCACCTGCCACCATGCCCGGCTAATTTTTGTATTTTTTTTTTTTTTTTCAGTAGAGATGGGGTTTCACCATGTTGGCCAGGCTGGTCTCAAACTCCTGACCTCAGGCGATCCGCCCACCTCGGCCTCTCAAAGTGCTGGGATTACAGGCGTGAGCCCCTGCGCCTGGCCTCATGCCTCTAATTTCTTTCTCCTGCATAGGCTAAGACTTTCCAGCAAAACGTTAAATAAAAGTGGCAGTAGACATTCCTAATTTTTGTGGAAAAGTGTCTAGTGTCTATCCATTAAGCATTTTGCGAACTTTTAGATTGGCATAAAGTTTTTTGTCATGTTTAAGAAGTATCCATATATCTCTATTTTGTTATGAGTGTTTTACAAAATCAGCAAGTAATTTAGTGAATGGGTTTTCATAGAAGATGATAAAGGGGCAGAGTTTCCCCTCTAGGTCAATGTAAACTGAGCCAGCACAAGCAGAGAGAGGAGTCCAGAGGCAGAAGTGACCATAGGAGCCTAAGTCCCTGAGGAGTAACATATAACTCAGGGAAACTTGATATTCCATGGACCATGGACTGGGAGATTCAAGTGAATAAGACCTTGGGGTCCAGGAGATGGGGAGGCCAGGCCTAACTGACAGAGGCTTATACTTTAAGGGTGAATTTATTAAACAAATATTATACAAAATACAATGAGCTGATAATAAAACATTCTTTGTTCTTAAATTTATATATGTGTGCTTGTGTGTACTAATACTGAGGCCCTTAAACCACTAAGATTTAGGATTCTTAAACAAAACAGATTAGGTAAAGTTTGCCTTCCAAAGCCAAGGGGAGAGGGGTGGCCAGGGAAGGAGAATGTTCTGGCTGGAAAGGAGACAAATTCTGAGTAAAGGAAGCTGAAGGACAAACACTTCTACTCAGGATTTAGCATTGGCAGGACTGTTTGGTGTGTAGGAATTTAGAACTGGGTCAGTATTATTTAAAGGACTACAAACCTGGTTTTAAATTTAAAAGGGGTGTGGGGGTGGAGCATGGCAGGTGGTGAACCAAAGGAATTTACTATGATCTGAAAAATAAGCTTAAGTACTAACTCCACTGTGGGCAGGGAGGCAAGAACCTTCCCTTTTTTGAGTTGAAGATAAGCCTCTTCAGTCTAAACTTTCCTAAATTCCACTTCTTCTTTTTCTATAAAACAAGGTGAAGTACTTTATGCTAGCTATCAAAAATCATTGACTGTATGTTGCATGAATTTATGAATTTATTATGCTAGAAAAGTGTTTCTTGGCTACTTCATATGTATATAAGCTTTCTCCCTCAACACAGTTTCTGCTTTTTATTTTTGGAATCTCACATAGCCTATATCTTGTTTTCAGAGTAGATACTATCACTGTGGGTGGCTGAGTTCTCATCTATATGCAACCAAGGCTAACTGGCTCTCTAGGTTACCTTGATGCCACCCACTGAGAGTCCTTTCTGGATTTAGTGATTTAGTGCTGCTTATTTTCACCTTCTCTCAGGATGGAGCCTCAGAATAGAGACCAGGTTGAAAATCAGTCTTTTACTTAGAACCATGAAAGCAGATACTACATCTTATCCGTCTATGACCTGGTGACCCAGAAGCCATTAATTTGACATTACCAACATACCTCCACACAAAGACTTTATAATCTTCAGTGTGAGAATTAAACAAACAAACAAACAAAAACTTAAAACAACTTTGGAGGGGAGAACGATAACCTAAATTTTAAGCATAAGAAAATCCCTAACAAAAAGATCCAACTAATTGCCACTGGGGGGCGATGGAAGTTCGTGAACTGCTCTGCTAATCCCTGAGGCAACTGAGCACTTTAGTTGGTTTATTTATTCAAAGCTGGAATTTGGACGTGTGACCCATCAAGCTCAGGGAAATTCCTGGATGAGGAACACAGTCCTGGGAGAAACCTACCAAAGATGGAATTAGCACCTTGGCGAACCGCCTTCAGCGCAAAGAACTTTCTTTCCTTGTGTGTCTTAAGAATTTACTTCAGTTCCCTTCTGTCTGAAGCAGAGGAAGCCAAGTTAAACTGTGAATAAGCACGACAACAAAGAAGAGTTCTTATTTATCACTACCTGCAAACACATGTAAGTGCACAGTTTAAACAGCATTCAGACATCTCACAGCCACTAGGATCAGAGTTTTGGTGTGAGTAGGCCTCAGTTGGTAACTTTCCTGAGGAAAGGAGGGAGGTTATAGAATTTATGTTAGGAAATTCTGAGTCATAGATAACACTTTAAGTGACAGTTAAGGAATCTAGTGAGAGGGACTTTGGACAGGTTTAGAAAAGTACCCTATGGAAACAAAGGAGGAAAAAAAAAGTATCTTCACTGCAAGAGTAATATTGCAGCCACTTGGTGGCGTGTTGTGGGCTTTATTTCTCCTTCCAGATTCCCTCGGTGGTGTCTGGAACCACTGGTAGGATAGGGGTCCTGGCACCAGACTTTGGCCAGCCCAGTCATCAGGCAATATCAATGTTAGGGGTCCCGTTGCTACTTCTACTTGGTCTTTTTTCCCTTCCCAAGATTGCCAATAAAGTGTCATCAGCAGCCGGGTGTGGTGGCTCATGCCCGCAATCCCAGCACTTTGGGAGGCTGAGGTGGGCAGATCACCTGAGGTCAGGAGTTCAAGATCAGCCTGGGCAAAATGGTGAAATCCCATCTCTACTAAAAAAAAAAAAAAAAAAATTAGCCAGGCGTGGTGGCATGCACCTGTAATCCCAGCTACTCGGGAGGCTGAGGTAGGAGACTCGCTTGAACCCAGGAGGTGGAGGTTGCAGTGAGCTGAGATAGCACCTCTGTACTCCAGCCTGGGTGACAGAGCGAGACTCCATCTCAAAAAAAAAAGTGTCATCAGCACAAGAATTTGTCCTGCTTCCACTCCAGGAAGGGCCAAAGGGGACAAAGAGATATGGAACTTAAAAAGCAAGTCTAGAATGCACTTTTGTGCATAAGACATAAATATATCCATGAAATCATGTTGCATCCCCTGTGTAACAGGCTCTCCATTTCAAAAGCCCTCCAACTTGGCATAGGGATGACCTAAGGGCTCTAAGATTGCAGCTAAGATAAGGACCCATGGATCCCAATGCTCAGTGCCCTATGTCCTCTGGAAGTTGCTGACACATGTTTCTGAGGGACACTCAGAAAACCTGGAAGCATGTTATATTAGTGAGCACATTTTGGATTTTGAGTGAGAAGTCCAGCTTGAGTTAACTTAAGCAGAAAAAGAAATTTTGGGATCACACTCTTAGGAAGTCTGGGGTGGGTAAAGCCTCAGGAAGGGCTGGATCCAGTCATTCTGCCTCTATCTCTTGGCCTGATGCCACTTAGTTTGAAGGCCTCTCTCCTAACTTCTTTAACATTTGGGGGAATTTGCTCTGACTGGGTCACATTCTTTCCCCTGAATCAATTACTGTGTCTGGGGAGGTGAGGCAATATGATTGGCTAGGTCTGGTGTGTTGTGATTGACAGCCCACCTGGGACCACCTGAAATGGGGGAGAGGATGTTCCTCAGAGGAAATGATGCTGAACAGACAAAAGCAGCATGAATCTCCAGGCAAATCATTTGTCTGTATGGACAGGAAGATCAACAAGCTGGAAACAGGAAGTAATCCATTAGCCAATAGTAAAATTAATCCCAATTGCTGTTTTGCTTCCTTAGATTCTAACATAGGCCTAATGAAAAAGCTCTGGATTCTTGTGTAAATAATTTGGGAAATGCCTCTACTAATTCAAAGAGGATCTTGGAACTGTTTTCTATTGACAAATGTCCATAAAGAGGAACCTGAGTTGTATTCACTTGCTTCTTTTATTCCTACAATAAGGAAAGCACCAGGAGTTCAATATTGAATGCTGAAATGAAAAGGAAACATTCTGTTTAATAATGAAAAGTACCAACAATTGCATTTGGGGCTAAAAGTCCCAAAATTATCCCTAGAAACCTCTTAAGGTCTACATATTATTTGCAAGGCTCCCTAATGCAAATGATCTGCTTTCTAAGTCAATCTTAGTCATATAAAACACATGCCGCAACATAAAACATAAACCAAAACAAAATAAAATTTCAAGAAACCGAGGGCCAAAAATAGCTATAGTCAACTGCTGATAAGGTGTGAATGGAAACCATGGGACATTCTGGTCTGAATGACAATTGTTCTTGATCTTCGAGGCTGAGAGGATTGTAGGAAGCCATTGTGCAGATGGGATGACTTACCTAGGCCACAGGCTGGCAGCCATATCCACACACCATTCCGAGCCTAGGAGAAAAGCCCTGGGCCCAGAGATGAGGTGCCCTGGAAAGGGCACCCTTTGGAGTCGTAGAGCTCCAACTCTGGGCTCTCTGACTGTCAGCTGTGTGATGTGGATATCACGTCATCTCTCAGAGCCTCCACTGCTTCATTGGTGAAGTGACAGGAACACTGACTTTATGGCATTATGTCATGGAGAAAATGAACACTCATATATTGATCTAACTCAGGAGTCAGAACATTTATTCTGTGAAGGGCCAGAGAGTAAATATTTTGGGCTTTGTAGGCCATAGACTCCATGGCAACTACTGAACTCTACATGAAAGCAGCCACAGACAATGTGTAAATGAATGGATGTGGCTGTGCTCCAATGAAAGTTTATTTACAACCTGAAGGTGGCCCTCAACTTTGGCCCAAAGGCCATAGTTTTCTGACCCCTGGTTTAATGGTTAGTTCCTCCCTGTTCCATAAGTGTTAGCTCCTCCTTGCTCATCCTGGTAACCCTTCTGCCTGTTGTCAGAGAACATTCTGGTGATAGGCTGGATTGTGTTCCCCCAAATTCATATGTTGAAAGGCCTCACCCTTAATGTGACTGTATTGGAGATAGGGCCTTTAAAGAGGTAATTAAGGTCAAATCAGGTCATTAAGAGTGGGGCCCTAATCTGATAGGACTGGTGAGGACTGGTGTCCTTATAAGAGGAATAGACACCAGGGCTTGTAACTCGCTCTCTCCATACCCAAAGGACCATGGAGAGCACAGTGATCTGAGGAAAGAGGGCTCACCAGAAACCAAAACCACTTGCACCTTGATCTTGGACTTTCAGCCTCCAGAACTGTGAGAGAATTCAAGTCTGTTTTTTAAATCACTGTCTGTGGGATTTTTTTTATGGCAGCCCCGGAAGAATAATATAATCCCCTGTGAATTAGCTGGGTAAACGATGATGCCACCTTAAATTCCTTCCTTCTTTTAAAAAACATCTTTTTATAAAAATAATCTTTTCATATAAAAATTTTATATCTCTTTTATATAAAGCTTTATATTTTATATCTCTTGTTATAGTGGAGGTAAAAGCATCTGCCCTGCTTATGTAACAAAATTTTTGTGAGGCTTAAATTGACTAGAAAACACGAGGTGTGATATAGCACAAGTAATTACCAAGACATTTCTGTTTCAGCCATGTCACCCATATTTGCAAATGTAAGCTAGAACGTAAGAGAGCAAATCTGGACCCAAATGTTGAAGTCTTTTCTTTCCCTAAAGTAAATTACTTGGTCAGTAGAGTGGGGTTGGTATTTGTTTGCTTTTCTTTTTTTGAAAGGTGGGGAGCTACGAGGAAGCTAGGAGAAGAAAACATGTATAAAAAGGACTCTGGATCCAGTCCAGAGTGTTTGCCTCTGCCCTTTGATGTCCAATGGAATCGTTTCATTCAGTGTAGTAAATTCAGATAAAATTTCCATGCTATGTTAGGTGCTGTGTTGGGTATGGTGGATAAAGAAGTGACAAAGACAAAGTCTCTGCCTCCAAGGAGCTTATATTCTGGGGCAGAGATAGGAGACGTTGGGCTCAAAGCAGAGAACAGATGAATGAATAAAATAAGTACAGAATTTGAATAATGCCAGAAAGAAAGCCAATCAGAAGTAACATGGTTGAGGGTCTTCATGCCCATTCATCTTGCCTTTTGTCCTCTTCTCTCAACTCTGATGTCCAAGTGTTTCAAGCTCATAGTTCCTCCTAAAGATGTTGAATCAAGATGATGTTCTTCTTGTTAGCATCATTTCTAATGTACAATTCACAAAATTAGTAACAACAATTGTTAACTGTGTACTTCTGGCCTGGACACTACTATGCTAGACACTTTTTTGGGGGTAGTAAGCTTTTAAATTCAGAATAGTTTTAGATTTATAGAAAAGTCACAGAGATATACAGAGAGTTTCCATTCACCCTACCCCCATTTTGTTCTTTTATTGACACCTTATATTAGTATGGTACATTTGTCACAAGAAATAAACCAATTTTGATACAATAATATTAACCAACACCCAAGATTTATTCAGATTTCCTTAGTTTTTATCTAATATACATTTTCTGGTTCAGGATCTCATCTAGGATTCCACATTACATTTGATTATCATGTCTCTTTGGGCTCTTCTTGGCTGTGACAATTTCTCAGACTTTCCCTCTTTTTGATGACCTTGACAGCTTTGAAGAGTGCTGGTCAGGTATGTTGTAGAATGTCCCTCAGCTGGGATTCATCTGATGTAGTGCATTATTTCTCATTCTCATCCTTAGCCTTCAGTGTAAGTATAAATTATTCATCTTTTATAGATGAAAACACTGAGATCCAGAGAGGTTGAGGAACTTCCTGAAAGTTACACAGCTAGCAAATGGCAGAAGCTGTGATTCAAACTCAGTGTTGACATGACTTCAAGCCACATACTTACTTTGCCTCCCTGGTCTCAATCTGCTAAATTTCTGACAATGGAATTGTTCTCATCAAGGCTATCAGGGTGATCTCTTTATAGTTCTTTCATACACTTTAAAGCAATTTGATGACATGCTTAATTATATTAGAACAATTTCCACAATCAGTTGTTTGCTGAACTGGTTATTTGTATAACTTCGTTGGTTGTGTTCCTAGGACAGTTGGTTAATCCAGAAAGAGTATCACTGAAAAAGTATTTGAGAGCCTGTGTTTCTAGAAGTAGTTCTCAAACTGTGCTCAGAAGTAACACCTGGACTGCTTGTTAGTAATGCACTTCCCTGGGTTAGGGTGATCCACTGCCCCTCTTTGCCCAGGACCGAGCAATTCCCAGAAAAGTCCCAGGCAAATCAGGACACTTGGTCACCCTACCACAGAACTCCTGTGACTCACTAAGGCCCAGCAATCTGCTTTTGAACAAACTATCAAGGAGATTATTCTAAATGCACAGAAGTCTAAGATCCACTACATTAGATATAGAAATGAACTGCTGAAATAACTGGTGGCCAGTTTCTGAAGATATTAAAGAACATTGATTTTCATCTGGTTGGGTATATTTAACTCTGCCTGAAGTTGAAGGAGAATAATATCACCCAAACTTCCAGCCTTTTGATCTTAAGAAATGGTACTACTTTCCCAGCTCTATATTTTAGTTGAAGAATGATGGGAGTTCCCAAAAGATATAAAGACTTTATGAGGCCATTATTTATTAGTCAGAATTAATGAATCTGTTATTAATCCAGGGTGGTGGTTCTCAAACTTTGGAAGCTCAATGGAATCACCAGGAAGAGTTTAAAAATCCCAATGCTCAGTTCAACCCCAGACCAATTTTACCAGAATATCTGGGAGTGGGAGCCAGGCACTAATTTTACATTTGAGAACCATGGATCGAAAGGAATGCTGTCCAGTAGAAATAGAATGTGAGCTGCAGTTTCCTAGTAGTCACATTTGAAAAGTAAAAGACAAGCACATGAATTTTAAGAACATATTTAATGTAACCCAACATATCTGAAATTTTATCATTTTAACCTGTAATCATAAAATTTTCAATGACATGTTTTACGTAAATGTTTTTATACTAAGTCTTTGAAATCTGGTGTGTATTTTATGCTTACTTCTTAATTTGGATGCTATATTTTCACCAGAAATACTTATCTATATTTAGATTCGTGTACCTAAGTTGTTTCAAACGTATTGAAAAGTATTCCAATAACTGAATTGAGTATGAGTTTTTAAATTTTAATTCATTAAATTTTTACAATGCAATCTCTCAGTCTCAATAAGTACATTTCAATAGCTGAACAGATACATGTGGCTAGTAACTTTGGTAATGGACAGCACATATCCAGGGCAGCACTTCTCAAACTTTAATTTGGACACATAAATTAGGCAATCTGGTAAAAACTTGGGTTCTGTTCTGAGAGGTGTGGGGTGGTTCTAACTAGGTGCCAGATGATACTGTTGCTGCTGAGCCAGAGACAACATTTTGAGTGGCAAGGATCTGGGAGTAATGTTGAATGATGGCTACTTCCACTCTGATTTCTCCACTTGCTCAGTGCTAATGTCTTATTTCAAAGGCTCAACATGAAAACAATAAGCCTTTCCTTTTTGGTTAGGAAATGTGTGTGTGTGTGAATATATATACATATATTACACATATGTATAAATGCATGCGCATATACACAAGTATGTGTGTATCCATGTACATGTATGTCTGAACTTGTCTGGAAGCATAAGCTAGCTCTGCAAATGTAAAGAGCACTTCAGTACCTCATATATTATGTGTCTTCATTTTATTTTAAATTCAGTGTACACTTCTTTGGTTCACTGGAACTGAACAACAGCTGAATGTTTAACCTTGATGTAAGTCTCTATATTCATTTATTTGCTTTTTAAAATGAATTAAGTAGGTTCCTGCATTGTGTTTCAATATTTGAAGGTATTTAAAAAGTATTTGATGACCCAGGCTCTGGTTTTGTGTACAGTGCAGAGTAAATCCCAGTTTCATTTGTATGTGGAAATTTTTAGCTCCAGTACTTGTATTTCTTTCTATAGATGCTTTTTCATTGTTCTTTAGACATCAGTATGGATAGGAATTGCTTCTGGAGTGCTGTTTCAATGTTTATTCAATTATTCAGTTGATTCAATTCAATTGGTTCCTCTGAGCCAAAGCTGATTTAACTCCTGGGCCAGTATCTAAAAAATAAAGAAACCCCCAAAACCTAAAATTGACTGAGTTCTTTTTGAGGATTTATAATCTGAGAAAGTTATTCGAGCATAAACAGGAACCAAAATCATAATGAAATTGGAGAAATTGATCATGCAGCCCTCTTATTTTTTACTTTCTTTTAGGGGACAATTTTTTTGGAGGGAAGTCACCACTGTATTTAGCAGTTGTTGAAATCACACGAAGGAGTGAAGGATATAGCTATTCAAAACTTTTGGAAAGGCCAGGCACGGAGGCTCACACCTATAATCCCAGCGTTTTGGGAGGCTGAGACGGGCAGATCACCTGAGGTGAGGAGTTCAAGACCAGCCTGGCCAACATGGTGAAACCGTCTCTACTAAAAATACAAAAATTAGTTGGGTGTGGTGGCGGCCTCCTGTAATCCCAGCTACTCGGGAGGTTGAGGCAGGAGAATGGCTTGAGCCTGGGAGGTGGAGGTTTCAGTGAGCCGAGATCACGCCACTGCACTCTAGCCTGGGTGACTGAGCAGGACTCTGTCTCCAAAAAAAAAAAAAAAACAACAACAATGGAAAAAAACAAACAAAAAAACTTTTGGAAAAAAATCGGGATAACTCATTAAAATTAAAGGAAATAAAATGAAAGATAGCAGTTGGGTGTATCAAGGCAGGATTTAAAGGAAAAATATTAATTTTTACTTTAATCAATTTTTAGCTATTTTATCTATTATCAGTCATGTGAAGTGGGAAAATTATATTTCTTTTTCTTTATGAGACAATATTTATTCTGTTTATGATTATGTATCCCAATAAATATAAGTCCCAGCATCATCCATGAAAATGGCTACTGATTCAAAAGCTTGATTCCTTGGGCTAGACACTGGAAGACTCAAAAGTCCCAAAGGAAATCAATATTCTCTTTGTTTTATTTATTTTGTTTTAACCTCATGGGTATCTATAGGTGAAGTTTGGCATATAATATATTTTTTATTTCTTGTGAACCAAACTTCATTTAATAATAGATAATAACAATAGCTAACATTCATTGATTAAAATGTGTTAGGGCCTTATTAATTACTTTATATTAATTTTTATTTAATTATCGTAACAACCTGATGATATAGGTACGGTTAAAGTATAATTTTTAACAAGTTAAAAACATGAATGTCATATACATACGGAATGAAAACATTCCAAACAGTCATTTAACTCATTAATGATTGGAACCATTACAAAATTAAACTAATTCCAAGAGCATTTTGAGGAATCTGGTATTTATAGACATTTTGAGGGAAAAAAAAGTGTTGAATAAGATTTTGAGGCTACATTTAAAACTGGTTAATATCCTTCAAAGCAATAAAACCACAGTATTTGATGTTATCTTTTCTATTGGATAGAAATTTATGAATTAACGTAACTTCAGTCATCTAAATTCTAACCAAATAGAAAATAGAAAGTCAAACACAGGTACATTCCCTAGATAATGAAGTAACTTTTAGCACCAGTCAGTGCTCTGGTAAAATTTTGAAAGGTCATGCCGCACCCTTTTAACCTTATTCAACTTTTAGATAATTTTTCTTGATAAAATTATAATTGTGTACATTTTACCAATGAGGAAATTGATGCTTAGAGATATTAAATAACATGATAAGGGAATCACAGTAAGGGTAGAGCAAAAGTGGAACCCAGGTCCTTCTGATACTTTAATCCACTGTCTTATACCAGTTGAAAGCCATTTTTATCTGTCCTATAAAATTCTTTGTGTGTGTGTGTGTATTCAACATTACTTAAAATAAATGGAATCAATATTTGAGATTGAAAAACCTGTATTATATGAAAATTTTTATTATGATGGTATCAGTTGCAGTGAGATTTGTCCTATCAAGGATTTTGTTCTGTTTTGTTTACATGTACATACATGCTTACAATGGTGGAATGATGCATTCTTTGCAAGCAAACCAGACCCCAACTAATGGTGGGTAAAGGACTCAGAGTTAGAAGTTATGCCGAAGATAGACTATAACAGGATATAGTTATGCCGAAGATAGACTATAACAGGGCTAAAAAATGAAGGAGGGAGACAGACTTTGACAGCAATGATCTGAAGAGCCTTGATGGAAGAAAGCTGAGAAGGAAAAAACTACAAACACTGAAATGTACTTAACTCTCACCTTTTCAGTTTGAAGCTGTTCATAGTGAACTCAGCCTGTGTTCTAAATAAACAGACACCAAAAAAATCATGTGGGAGCTAGAATGTTGACTCTGGGGATTCTGAATATTGAGCTGATTTATAGTATTCCAACTCTTTGATAAATGTCTAAAATGTTTCAATACTTAGGCTATCTATGATTTATTTGTATTTGATATTAGCTTTATGATGATATTGTTTATAAATCAGCATGGATTTTGTGTGAGTTATTACAAGAAAAGTTTACTCTTCTGATTAATTAAGGAAAGAACCACCTAACTTTGTGAAACTTCTGACTAATCAACATTTGAAATGTGTTTGTTGGCATGGTTTTCTAAAATAGGGAGTATAATAAAGTAGGTTAAAAGAATGTTGTATAGTGAAGGTCCCCAAGAGATTGACCTAATTTATTTATTGTTTAAAACAAAACAAACAGAACAAAACTAAAAATGATGGACTTGTACTTCAGACTAGTATAGAATAACAAGGTCCAGATTTACCCTCTTACCTGAAATAACACAAAAAAAACTACACAAAATATATGAAGTAGTGATTTTCAAGACACTAATATCAGCTAATGAAGGACAGTGGTCCTTGAGAGATGATAAATGAAGTGAACTCTATGATTTCCCAAGCTTACTGCCTTGGGAGAATTTCCAGACCATCATGCTGGGGAAGGGGGTCGGTGGAGCTTGATGAACTCCATGATATGAGGAGGTGGAGCTGAGAGTCCAGGGAGAACAACAAGGCTAGAATTCACAGAAAAGAGTACCAGGGAGGAGAGAGCTGCCCAGAGATAGGACTCTGGATACCTGCAGAATATCCATCACAGTACTGACAGTGTATTCATGTGAGGATGCTACCCAGAACCAGAGAAATAATGACCTGAAAGGATTACAGGCAGTGATATGCAGCACTCTCACTGGCATGGGAATAGTGCCTATTCCACCAGCAAGACTTAGAAAACCTCATAATTCATGAAGCATTAGATGGTAAACTCTGAAGGATCTTGCCTCAATAATGGAAGAATAATTCGTTCTAAACACAACTCTGGCCCCGCCTAACAAATCTTAAGAGCAAGACCCAAATGGATCAAAAAGTTAGGTAGAGACATGGAAGATATAGAAAAGACCCAATTCAAACTTCTAGAGACCAAAACTGCAATGTTGGAGACAAAGTAGACCACATGGGAATAGTGACAGAGTAGACATTGTAGAAGAAAAGGTTAGTGAATGTGAAGATATGTCAATAAAAGCTATCCAAAATAAAACATACAGAAAAATTGTTTAAATGAACAGCACATCAGTGATCTGTGTGATAACTTCACACAGCCTAAGATATATGTGCAATTGGATTCCCTGAAGGGGGAAGAGGGATTATAGGAAAAAATTTCAATACAATAGCCAAAAATATAAAACTATAAACTCACATATCTAAGTAGGTCAATAAACCTAAAGCATAAAAAAGAAGAAAATGACACTAAGACACATCATAGTCAAATTTAACTAAACCTCTGATGAAGAAAAAGTCATAAAAGCATCCAGAGAAATAAAGACACTAAAGATACATTGCATACAGAGGAACAAAGATAAAGATGACAGCAGATTTCTCACTGGAAACAATGCAATCAAGAAGACAGTGGATTTGCATCTTCGAAATACCAGGGGTGGGTGGGACAAAACAAACAAGCAAACAAACAAAAAAAAAACCTGTCAACCTAGAATTCTATACCCAATGAGGCTATTTTTCAAAAATAAAGGTGAAAGACTTTTAGACATCAAAGTCTGAAAGAATTTACCACCAGCAGCCCCACACTATGAGAAAAGTTAAAAAAAAATCAGGCACAAGGAAACTGATAACAAATGGAATTATATCTACACAAAGAGAAAGAATGCATTCAAAATGGTCACTATATGTGATAAGTATACAAGAGTTTTTTTCTTACTATTAAATTTCTTTAAGAGATAATTGAATGCTTAAATAAAAATAATAACCCTGGAAACCATCAGTCTCAGCAAATTAACACAGGAACAGAAAACCAAACACCACATGTTCTCATTCATAAGTGGGAGTTGAACAATGAGAACATGTGGGCACAGGGAGGGGAACGTCACACACCGGGGCCAGTCAGTTAGTATTTAGGACAAGGGGAGGGATAGCATTAGGAGAAATACCTAATGTAGATGATGAGTTGATGGGTGCAGCAAACCACCATGGTACATGTATACCTATGTAACAAACCTGCACGTTCTGCACATGTATCTCAGACCTTAAAGTATAATTAAAAAAAATTAATCCTGTCATATGTGTATTATAACATAGGTAGAAGTAAATGTATGGTAACAGCAGCACAAAGATTGGGAGGGGGAGAAATAGAAATATACTATTGGAAGCTTCTTCTGCTATATAAGAAATGGTGTAATAATCACCATTTTGCCCACTTTTTAATGGGGTTGTTTGTTTTTCTTTTAAAAATTTAAGTTCCTTATAGATGCTGGATATTAGACCTTGGTCACATGCATAGTTTGCAAATATTTTCTCCCACTCTGTAGATTGTTTCATTACTCTGTTGTTAGTTTATTTTGCTGTACAGAAGCTCTTAAGTTTAATTAGATCCCACTTGTCAATTTTTGCTTTTGTTATGATTGCTTTTGGTGTCTTTGTCATGAAATCTTTGCCTGTTCTTATGTCCAGGATGGTATTGCCTAGGTTATTTTCCAGAGGTTTTAAAGTTTTGGGTTTTACATTTAAGTCTTTAATCCATCTTGAGTTGATTTTTGTATGTGGTATAAGGAAGGAGTCCAGCTTCAATCTTCTGCATATGGCTAGTCAGTTACTCCAGCACCATTTATTGAATAGAGTCTTTTCCCCATTGCTTGTTTTTGTCAGCTTTGTCAAAGATCAGATGGTAGTAGGTGTGTGGCCTTATTTCTGGTTTCTCTATTCTGTTCCATTGGTCTGTGTGCTTGTTTTTTACCAGTACCATGCATGCTGTTTTGGTTATTGTGACCCTGTAGTATAGTTTGAAGTCAGGTAACGTGATGCCTCCAGCTTTGTTCTTTTTGCTTATGATTGCCTTGGATATTCGGGCTCTTTTTCGGTTCCATATGAATTTTAAAATAGTTTTTTCTAGTTCTGTGAAGAATGTCATTGGCAGCTTGACAAGAATAGCATTGAATCTGTAAACTGCTTTGGGCAGTATGGCCATTTTAATGACATTGATTGTTCCTATCCATGAGCATGGGATGTTTTTCCATTTGCTTGTGTCATCTCTGATTTCTTTGAGTAGTGTTTTATAGTTCTCATTGTAGACACCTTTCACCTCCCTGGTTAGCTGTATTCTTAGGTGTTTTATTCTTTCTGTGATACTTTTCTAAAGAAGACATCCATGCAGCCAACATGCATATGAAAAAAAGCTCAGTGTTACTGATCATTAGAGAAATGCAATAAAAACCACAATGAGATACCATCTTACACCAGTCAGAATGGCTATTATTAAAAAGTCAAAAAATAACAGAGGCTGGTGAGGTTGCAGAGAACAGGGAACATTTATAAACTGTTGGTGGGAGTGTAAATTAGTTCAACCATTGTGGAAAGCAGCATGGTGATTTCTCAAGGAGCTAAAAGCAGAACTACCATTCAACATAGCAATCCCATTACTGGGTATATACTCAGTGTAATATAAATCATTCTACCATGAAGACACATGCACGTTAATGTTCATTGCAGCAATATTCGCAATAGTGAAGACATGAAATCAACATAAATGCCAATCAATGACAGATTGGAAAAAGAAAATGTGGTACATATACACCATGGAATACTATGCAGCCATAAAAAATGAGATTATGTCTTTTGCAGGAACATGCATGGAGCTGGAGGCTACTATCCTTAGCAAACTAATGCAGGAACAGAAAACCAAATTCCATATATTCTCACTTATAAGTGGTAGCTAAATGGTGAAAACTTATGAGCACAAAGAAGGAAACATCAGATACTGAGGCCTACTTGAGGGTGGAGGGTGGGAGGAGGGAGAGGAGCAGAAAAGATAACTATTGGGTACTGGGCTTAATACCTGGGTGATGAAATAATAAGTACAATAAACCCCATGACATGAGTTTACCTATGTAAGAAACCTTTACATGTACCCCGAACCTAAAATAAAAGTTTCTAAAAAAAAAATAAAAACACTTGAAGTTAGACTGTGATAAGTTAAAGATGTACACTATGAAACCTAAATCAGTGACCAAAATAACAAAACAAAGGATTTTAATGAGTATGTTAACAGAGGAGATAAAATAGAACCACAGTAAATAATTAATTGAAAAGTTGGCAAAGGAAGAGGAAAAAGAGAACAAAGAACAGATGAGACAAATAGAAAACAGAGAGCAAGATGATATGCTTAAGTCTAATCATATTAATAATCACTTTCAATATAAATGGCCTAAACGTTCCAATTTAAATGCAGAGATTATCAGATTGGATAGAAAAGCAAGATTCAACTACATGCTGCCTACAATTATCTAACTTTAAATATAAAGATGGAAATAGGTAAAAGTGGATGGAAAGAAACAAGACTAATCAAAAGAAAGCTGGAGTGGCTATCTTAATATCAAACACAGTAGACTTCATAGCAGAGTATTACCAAGGAGTAATAAGCTAATTTGTGATAGGCGGAATACTAAGATGACCTCCAAGATTCCCTCTCCTGGTGTACTAAATGCAATAGGTAATCCTTTATTGGATCTTGGATGATTTTTTGAAAGCAGTCATGAAGTACATGATTCGGTGAATATGAAGAATAAATATGGATTGTATATTAAATAATGTTATTTTAAGTAACATTTAAATGTTTAACATTTAAATAACATAAAATACTTAAAATAACATTAAGTAATGTTATTTTATCAATATTAAATTTCTCAGTGTGGTATCAGTGTTGTGGTTTAGTAGGATAATAAGATAATATCTTGTTCATAAGAGTGTATGCTGAAGAATTTAGGGATGAAGTACTGTGAGATCAGCTTCATCTTACACTCAAATAGAGAGAGAGAGAACAAAGCAAATGTGGCAAAATATGAGCAATTGGTGAATTTAGGTATATGGTTGTTTATTTTGCTATTATTGAACATTTTCTGAAATTTGAAAAACTTAAAATGTCAAGAGAAAAACGGCATATGTCTTTTTTAAAATTGAAAGTGACATCTTGAGGAGAAGGAAATAATTTGCTGATTGATTAGAGGGAAGTGTTTAAAGCCTTATTTAACTGCTCAAATGTTCAAATAGGACTGCAGCCAGATTGGAGAAAGGCAGAGGAGATTTTTTTTTTTTTTTAAATAAAAAAAGCAAGGAGAGTGAACCTTGGTGGGCCAATGCATTTTCTCCGTCTTTCTACTTCATGGTAATTTCCTGTTTGCTCAGAAACACACATCAACCTTCCCTTGAGATTGACTCTGGCTTTAAGACTCTTTGCTTAAGAATCTTATTCTTAGAATCTGGGTCGGGTGCTGTGGCTCACGCCTGTAATCCCAGCACTTTGGGAGGCTGAGGCGGGCGGATCACCTGAGGTCAGGAGTTCAAGACTAGCCTGTCCAAAACATGGTGAAACCCCGTCTCTACTAAAAAATACAAAAAATTAGACAGGTGTAGTGGTGCGTGCCTATAGTCCCAGCTACTCGGGAGGCTGAGGCAGGAGAATTGCTTGAACTTGGGAGGCAGAGGTTGTCGCGAGCCAAGATCTCGCCACTGCACTCTAGCCTGGGCGACAAGAGCAAAACCCTGTCTCAAGCAAAACAAAACAAAACAAAAACAAAACAACAAAACAACAACAACAACAACAAAAAACCTTAGTCTTAGAATCTGACAATCAGTCCTAAAATCTTGACTATTTCTCCTAGCAAACCCCAAAGCTGACTAATTTTTGTTTAATATCCCAAGGAACTTTTTACAACCACAGTTTCCTGGGCCCATTCCTAGAAATTCAGGTTCAGTGTGTTTGGGTTGGGGACCTAGAAATCTGTATTTTTTCTAAAGCTTTCCCAGGGACGGAGCATAGCTCCCTTCCACTGAGTTAGAATTTCCAGGAGAGGCACTTGAGAAGCTGTATTTTTAACAAGTGTCATTGATGCTTCTTATCATTAAGAGAGTTAGAGGAACACTGACCTCTAGAAAGTCCTCATGCAAACAAGAATTCTGGTGCCTTACTCTGACATTCCAAAGATCTTGATACTCAATATCCCCAGATCTTTATTGCATTGAGGTTAAGAAAAAAGTGTGTGTGTGTGTGTGTGTGTGTGTGTGTGTGTACACCTGCATGTGGGATAGGGAGATAATTTCGAAATGGGCATTCTAGCCTGGGTATTTGGGGAGTTTTATTGACTAAGCTTATTCAGATGATACTAACATTTTGACCATTTTTTTAAATAAAGAAGAATCTCATTATCTCTTGCCCAGTAAGTCTATCATTAAGGGAAAATTTTTCTGTTTTGGTTTCTTAGGAATGAGGGAGGGATTGCACTGAAACATCACACAAACTATCCTTGCCCTTGACCACCAGCACACATTGAGAACTGGCTGGCCAGGAGGAGTTAGACTTTGAAGTCCTGAAATAGGCTTTTTCTTGGTACAAAGCAAAATGTGTTCATGCAGAATCTAAATCCATGAACCCCAGCCTGTAATCAACTCCACTATCCAGCTTAGATCAAAGAGAGTTAATACATGCCTTTTAGGTGTAATTTGAATGAAGATATTCTCTGTAAAATCTATTGGATTTCACAGTGAGTGGGAGAGACAGAGTTAGACTTTATACCACTCAAGTGGACCAGGGACCAGATTTAAAGGTTAAAAAATGAGAGTCACAGGTGGGAGGAGTGTATATGAGAATACAGAAGCATGGGTGGATCTCTTCCCCTCCTTGGAACTTCCGACTGTAGGCTGTTTGCCTCCTTTGAGCCAGGAAACTGCCCAGAAGTGGGTGACTTGAGCAGGTGAGGCGTTGGGCTCTCTTAGGTACCCCGGCAGTTAGGGAGACCTGAACTGGACTATCACACATCACCTGGTGATGACTGGAGAATTGCAAATCCCAACTTGGCCTTCAGGATGGACAATGACCTCATTTGACTCTTCTGGGTGTCTAAGATCCCCATGAGTAGTAGAAAAATAAAATTGTAGATACTAACAAGGGCCATGTGATCAGATGTAGAAATGCAGATTGTAATAGGTATATTTTCTTCCTTATTTGATATGAATATATCTGTACATATTAATGATATTTGTCCTGTATTCCTCTGTCTGTCACAGAATATAAGGGGTGAGTTAAGCCCATATTTCAATATTTAAATTGCAGGATAAACAGCTATTGTGACCGACCTAGAAGGCAAATAAAGATCAACCAGTTATGGATAAAATAACAAATAGGACTTTGTGGCTTCACTTTGGGGGAAAGTGTGAGTGGGTTTTGGATGTATGAAGAATAGTTGCATCAAGTAGGACAGAAACATTATGTGGTTTACTTTATATGGAAGTTAAAAATGGGTAAGAAGGGTGTGTATGGCTGCTGCATTGACAAAGGGGCAAACTGTGGTGGATTGTCCATTGCCAAGTAGATATCACTACCATTTTCTTCTAAGAGCTCTTCTGCATTGCAGGAGAGAAGTAGAGTGCTATATATTTTCTGTCCCTTTCCCTGTGCATTCTTGAGTTAGTTTGCCAGAGAGAGTAACATAATCTATTTTTTGGAGGGTTGAAAGATAAACAAAAGCTATTATGCTTGGGGTGGTTGCAGCTACATGGTAGGCAGGCAGGAGACTTAGATTGGCTTTGCAGGGAGTACATGAGAACAAGATACTCTGCTGGTGCAAACTGAAACAGTTAGTCAAAGGTTTCTCAGATATTCTTGCAAGTGGGAGCAGTTTTCTGTCAAGTTTTTGCTAACCACCCACTTTGGTGTGTCAGGCTAAAATATTCAGTGTCTGATGCTCTGATGGTTGGTCAAAACTTTCTTGACCCTAATACCCCAGGTATTCCAATATCCATGTGACTAATACTTGTAGTAATTTCTTTATTCCTGGAATGCTTAAAATGATTTTCTTTTCTTTTTTTTTTTTTTTTTTTTTTTACTGAATTCAAGCTTATGCAGACAATTTGATAAAAGACATGCACATCTAAAAGATGAATTTAAGGAAAATTCTATTGGAAGGCAAACACCATAAGATCTATACAAGAAGTAAAGGTACTGCTAAGCACATTTTAAAATACAAGGAACTTAAAAACACTATAATTTTCAACTTGACCTTGAGATCTGCGTCTTTTCTTAGGCTTCAGTCTGTTTTGGAGAGCCATCTACATAATATTCTAGGAGTCAGCAAACTATGTCCTGTGAAGCAAATCCAGCTTGCCCACTTGCTTTTATAAACAAAATTTTATTGGGACACAACTTTGCCCATTAATTTGCATGTTGTCCATGGATGCATTCACTACAATGGCAAAGTTGAGTGATTGTGACAGAGACCAAATGGTACACAAAGCCAAAAAAAATATTTTCTATATGGCCCTTCACAGAAAACCTCTGCTGACACTTGTATTATCCGAATTCCCACCTCCTTCAAAAATTGAGTCTTTTTCTGTCTTCATCAACTTGGCTAACTTGGTGGGATTAGACTAAATAAGATTATTAATTTTTTGGCAAAGAGGTTTTGGATGCCTGAAAGAACCTTTTAACAGGCTCAGAGCACTCACACTTCCAATCTGGACAACAATGTGCCATTTTTAAGTAGCTGAGTTCCTCCATAATCATCTGATTACCTTTGCAGTGTTTCCCTTCCTGCATTGCCTAAGGTTGATATGTATATTGTTGTTGCCTTGTATGGCTCCCAGCAGTCCAATCAATTTAGGACTTTTCTGAAGAATAGTTCTGCTCTCTAATTGGACTTGGGCATGTTACAAATGCAGAGAGGATTATTCATTTCTCTTGTAATCATTAAATAATAAAAAGAAAGGTTTCGATGTAAAAGTGAAGCATTTTGCATCTTAAATTCAATGTTTTGGAAGTAGTTAAAAAGCAATTTAAGAGTTTACTGGAAATACAGAGAAATGTTTATTAAAATGTTTTATGAGCAATACCCTTTAGTGAATCTAGTCAAATTTTTATTTTTTATTAATAAAATTAATAAAAAAGAAACTCTCTGGAAAGGTATAATTTAGAACACATAGCAGCCATGTTATGACATTCAGAAGGGATTCTTGAACTTTCAGTTACGATGCTGCTTCTGCTATAATTCAGTTAGGCTGCAAATATAGTATATAAGATAATGAATCCATTAATAAATATTATCCATCCATGTGCATATGTCATTAGTTAAGTCCAACCCATGTTAATTTAATCCATGTTTAAATGCATGCATTATATATTTATTATCTATGTATCTATCTATCTATCTATCTATCTATCTATCTATCTATCTATCTATCTACTTATCTATGCAGTTCCTACTATGGGCCAGGCCCTGCTTTGATTCAGGGCCTGCGCTTATGAGGACAGGATGAAAATAAGGAGAGAAAGGAAATTTCTAGAGTCCTTTCTTTTGCTCAGCTATAGAGAAGTAGTATTTGTGGCCCTCACTCTAACAGCGTGAGTGTGGCTCAGTCCGGTACCCTCCTCCACACTTACCTCTGGCTCATGTCCTCTTGCTGCACAGAGTAACTGAAAAAACACATGGGAGAATCATTGGAAAAGGATTTTTGTTTGTGTGAAGAGTCAGCTCTAAAGTTTGTATTGGACCAAAGTTAATATGGAGCAGAGGAAGCTGCTTGCACTTCTTCCAACTCCATAGTCTGATATTTATTCTTCTTGACAGGAAGATAGACTGCCAACTTTGTTTTTAATTATTTGAATAAAATCACATACATCATTCTCCCTTTTCTCGTGCTTTCCTCTGAAATCCCATCTTCTGTGTAACTGATGCTGATGAAATTGCCGGTTTTGGCATTAATGCTTCTGTCAGCCAAGTGAGATTGACTGAGTTAATCTCCACACCCTGAAATGAAGCCAGGAACATTGAGCCCCACTTCCCTCTCTCCCCTAGCTCTCTACCTCCCCTCAGCTTTTTACCTGCCACCCTCCAGACATACTGTATGTCTCTGTGGCATCTAACCTGGCACCTGAATAAACATTTTCAAGTACTTTTTTAATTCCCTACCTTCCCACATCCCCCTTTTTCTTTATTTTTTCTTTCTTTCTTTTTCTCTTTTTCTTTCTTTTTCTTTCTTTCTTTTTTACAAAATAGTTGAATCCTCTTTTTTTGTATTCTAGTGTAAACATGGAACAAATGTGTAACTCATCATAATGGACATCTGTTACATAAATAGTGGTGAGCCCATATCTCCCAGATTAATCATTGTTTCTATTCATTTGGAATTAGCAACCTGTGACTTCAAGTAACTCCCTGATGAGATGGAACACACATTCTTTTCACAGATGCATAGAAATAGGAATAAATCTACAATTTGGCAAATGCACCAGATGCAGAAAACAGTGCATGCTTATAATAAGAAAATATAATAACTGTCTTGGACTAATATGTGGTTACTCTGACAAAGAGGAATTTGTATAGTCGAAACTTCTTGAAAACAGTCTCACCTGCGTAAGTGTTTTCTAAACTCTGGCCCCAGGGGCCTGCAGTTTCCTGACAAAGTTTTCTCATGTTATTTTTTCTCCTTGGAGACTTGAAATTCCTCATCACTTAGAAGCAAGATAGAAATTTGGAGGCTATGAAGCGTAACAGAATTGTCGTCTGTAGGAGCCAGGGTCTTACTGGCTACCCTTCCTTGTTGAGGCATGTTTTCAGAAAGAGTATGTTTCTGTGTGCTAGGACTGTGTATCCAAGACATCTATCATATATGGACCATTGAGTGAGTCAGCATAAGCTAATGATTCCACAGTTGTGTCCCACTGCACATTTAGAGAGAATATTTTACTCATACCGGAATAAGGAGTGTCCATCATAAAAGGTTTGCTGAACTTATTTATGCTATAAAATAATGCCAGCTTTTATAACGAAGTCATTTGTTCATTCAGCAATTGTCTATTGTTCTGCTCCTGGCACTGTTCTCATTTGGGATATAAAGACTTGTATATTTTCCTTAAAAGTGAATAGTCTAATAAAGGAAAAAGATTTGCCTATGCATGAGGACAATACTGCATACGAGATCCTTTCTGATAAGTACCTGCACAATGAAATGGTCAGTCTTTCCTCAGTGAGCTGGAAGCCGTAAAAAGAAATACAGAAATGACTTGAGGGTGAAGGTGGCATTTCAGCGGAGTTTTGAAGGAGGGCGATTTACTGGGACCTTGGATGTAGGGTGGGACAGAATGGGAATGTGACTATCTTCCTTAGATTACATCCTGTTTATATTCTGCTTCTAAAGGCAATCTTAGAGTGTATAAGATGTAAGTAGGAAAATTATATAGTGAGGTTCCAGGTTTGAGAGAAAGAGGTAACAGCTTAGGCCACATGAAATGATTATAATCTGATGGTAGGAGAAACACCAAATAGTAAGGAACCTGTGGTTCCTTACACTTGACTATGCTGAGTATAGACAAGTTATAAGAAAACTTTGACCAAAAAATTATCAAAAATTGTATTTCCATAAAGTTCAACCTAACAGGTATAACATGCATGTACATGGCACAAAATCCCAGAAGACAAAAAGGAGGGAAAAGTATGTCTCAATCCCATCCCTCTCCCCCAGCCACTCATTTTCCTACTTAGAGACCTCTGCTAGAGTTCTTCCAAAAGGTATTCTTGCCATATTCAAACATTTCCATAATGTAACATGTTAAAAGGGGGGACTCGTCCAGGGTCAGTTTTGGCTGGGGAATGAAGACAATGAACATCACACTCCAAGAGACCACCAGGACAATAATTCTAAGTAGACCATGGAAAACCTGAATAGAAGACTCAATGACCTGACAGATAAAAGGGTCAAGGGGACAGAGGAAAGAGGTGTTTGGTAGAGGGATTTCCTTGGAAGAAGTAGCACTGAGAGTCCCATTTCTTACTCCCAAGAATGAAGGCAAGGAGACTCCTACCTCTAGCCCCAGTCCTAGTGAGGGGAGCATCTGTGCAACCTACACTGAAATGTGAGGTCTGTGCCTTGAAACTGGAGAGCCCAGAGCGCTGGTGCCTGACTCATCTGAGGAACGCTGAGTGGCCTATGGTAGAGGGGAGGGGACTCCATTTGGAAGGGAACTGCCTTCCCACCAAAGTGCATGGATTCCAGAGACCAGCTGTGGAGCTCGTGATGGGAATATTGGCCCAGGGTTGTTTTAACAGGAATCTTATAGCAAGGTGTTACAAGTTGGTTTCTCTAGTAAGTACACCATGAGAAGGAGTTTAGTGTGCACATGTCCAATAGTTTAGTGTGCACATGACCCTTGGGGTCAACACCTGGGAAAAGGAGGGGAAGAAAGCGGGATTTGCAGAGGGAAGCTGAGCTTCAATGCAGGCCCAGAGTCAGCTTTGGCCATTTCCATGGAGAGTTCTGGAGTAAAATGGCCCATCATAATGGTCGCACTTGGGCCAAATGACAGGAATTTTATACCTTTGCTTTGACCAGTGGCCATTGGGTATAGGCCACCCTGGGAAGGATGTGACCTTGGCCGTGGCAGCCTTCTGCTGCCAAGTTGCTGCCAGCTGAGAGCTGTCTGCCTGCAGCACTCTCAGCACAACAAGGCTTTCCTTGAAAAGGGATCAAGATGACATATCCGAATGTCCATCACCCTAGGCAAGGGGACCTCAGCATTAGGAGGCAATTGTGTGCAATGCTGGGACAGATGCTAAGAGGGGACTGGGAACAGTGAGTGAGACAAAAGGCCATGTCACGTTACAGGTGTTGTGGTCAGGGTGGCCCAAAGGGACCCCGTGAAAGCTTGCATACCTGCCTCAAGAAGGCAGCTGTCCTAGAGAGTACAAATCCATCTCACAACGGTATGAGTTAGAAGTTTTTTTTTTTTTTTTTTTTTTTTTTTTTTTTTTTTTTTTTTTTTTGAGACGGAGTCTCGCTCTGTCGCCCAGGCTGGAGTGCAGTGGCGCAATCTCGGCTCACTGCAAGCTCCGCCTCCCGGGTTCACGCCATTCTCCTGCCTCAGCCTCCCAAGTAGCTGGGACTACAGGCGCCCGCCACTACGCCCGGCTAATTTTTTGTATTTTTAGTAGAGACGGGGTTTCACCGTTTTAGCCGGGATGGTCTCGATCTCCTGACCTCGTGATCCGCCCGCCTCGGCCTCCCAAAGTGCTGGGATTACAGGCGTGAGCCACCGCGCCCGGCCATGAGTTAGAAGTTTTTAAACTGCTTGTATAACCAATGGCACATTCATGTTGAGTAATCTGAAAAGACTTTAGTAAAGGGTCTAGTTACAAAGGTGTGAAAACCTCAAGTGTAGGTACGCTACCTGTAAGCTAGTGAGTGGACACTGTTGGCATCCCATGCCAGAAGGGTGGAGGGAAGAGATCAGCTTCCAGGACCCAGACACAAAGAGAGCTGAGTGAAGAGGGCTACCTGACTAGGCTGTGACCTTCAGCTAACAGAACCTGACCAAGATCACTTTGCAGCTACAACACTGGGGGAATTCCTACTTCAAACTGAATCTCTTCACTTTCTCTGATACTATCCTGAGACTCCCCATTGGAAGGCTCATTCACAAAGTCCATTTAGGTCAGCCCCCAGGGGCACAGAGCCAGACCTACAAGAGAGGAGTGTGCAAATCTTCTCTTCCCCCACTGGATCGAGAGAGAGAGAGAGAGAGAGAGAGAGAGAGAGAGAGAGAGAGAGAGAGAGAGAGAGACAGAGAGAGAGAGACCCGAGACCCACTGCTTGCCCTTCCCAAGCAGCAAGCAACTGGACACTGGACAGCAGCCTGTGATGGCTGGGGATAGGTGTGGAGAATGTTTTCAGATGATGGCTGAGACCAACTTGCATGTCTGTACTCTATACCACCCTGAGGTCACAATACATCAGTGCAACTTCCTAGTTTTCAAGATGAGACACAAAATAAAGTGCAGTTCTTGGGTCTAATTGAATCATAGAATGGGTGGGGGTAGGTGGAGGAGTAACCTGTCCCTTGGTGTTTGCTCTGGAAAGGCGAGGGGTATCATGTTTGGTTCCTATCTTTACCTTACCTCCCCCCAGTATCAAGGCTGATCTTTTCATCTCAGGTCACATGCTTGGCCACAGCTTTCCTTTCACTGAAATTTCTGAATCTGGATGAAAGGAATCCCTGGAATTTTAACCCTGGGCCTTAATTGAAGAAATTAATCCTGCGATATTTGAGTCTTGGGAGAAAAAGACACCCTAGTGTTGAAGTTTCTGTGGTTTATTTTGTTGCTAGAAATGGATCTTTGATTCTCCATTGAGGATGGGGGCTCTTTAGTTGTAGGGGAAAAGAGACAACCACAGTAACTCTTTTGGTTATGCCAAAGGGAAGTCATAGCTCTAAGCCATCTGCATAATAATTCTTCATTGTAGGTCAGAGATGTACACTCACAGGAAGCATACCTGACGCTGGTAATCAAGGATAAACTTTGGTTGCCTCTCTCTAGGTCCCAGGAGAGTGTGGATATGGGAGAGGCAACCGTCAAAAGCCTTTCCAGGAAGAGTAGATGGGGGTGGGGGAGGTGGGCTCAATTCTGCAACGTAGTGGGCACTGGGAGCTACGCTATTTCATATCCATTTTTACGTTTTCTCTTCTGCATTACAGTTCTCTCCTTTTAGGCTCCTGTAGTCAGTAAAGTCTTATTAAACCCTGTAGCCTGGTCTTAGCGGTGCTTTCTGAAATCAAAGGAGTGGTCAATGTCTCTGTAGGGGACAAAGTTGTGAGAACAGTTATTGCAGCCTGCTGGGAAAGCTTGTGAGATATTAAGGTGGTAAATTCCAAGGCTGGCTGTAGCCTCAAGGGCACCAGAGTGAATGAACTTAAGGAATAGTCAACAACTATCTTTAGGAATCTCCATGTCAAAGATACCTGGGCAGGGAAATATATTGTGACATGGGATGGGAATTTGACCACTTCTCCTGGGATATTAAAGGGAAGTGCCACAATGAAGCAGGAGCACTTGGGACATCTGGATATTAATTCCAAGGAGGGACCTTCGTGGTTTCTCTAAAAGGCCATCTTATCCAGCTGCTGCTTGGATATTTGTAATCATCCTTTTGTCTTGTCGGATGGGACTATTTACTAGAAAATTCTTCCAGTGAAAGATAAATTTGGGCTCTTGACCTGCCTTTTCCTAGCTACCTCTTTGTATTCTCTTCCGTTCTGCACTTTTCTCTTCAGTTAAACATTGCTCGAGAAGCGTGGTGTATGGTAGAAACATTGATTTGGAGTCACAGAAACTCATATTCAACATTGACTGTACTTAAAGACTGCATTTCCTTGGAAAAATAACTGAATTTCCCCAGCTTGAATTTCTATAGCTATTACTTTTAAAATGAGGACACTTAACTACAGTTACTCTTTTTGATGCTCATGTTTTCATCATAGATTAGTAGGAGCCTCTTTAAGCTGGTTCTAGTTTCCTTCTGAAATAACCCTATTTATCTTTGAAATCTTCCTTGATTTCTGGCACTACATGGTGTCACAGGCTCATCTTGTATCTTCTCTTCCACTATATCAGACTTTGAGTTGGCCATCTCTCCAAGGAACACTAGTACCTTTCAGTGGGGGAATGAAATTAGAGGCCAAAATCTAGGGACTTGGGCACTTATTTCTACCAGAATGCTGTTGCTCCTAGGTCATTTTAGTTGACAGAGCCAGAAAGTACATATTTTTAAACTTGTGAGCTCATATTAACATTTCCAACTCAAGTGAACAGTACTTTTTTTTTTGCTTCTTTTGTTTTATAATCATAACTTTGTTCTCTTATATGGAAAATCTTTTTACATAAAACTATTAGCATGATTACTTCTTGTCTCTATATTTAAAAATGAAGAAAATATTTCAAAGTAACAATGTAAGTATTACCACAAAAAATAAAACAGTGGGATGAATGCTAACAAGAACAACAGCAAATTACTAATTGAAAACTACCAAGCTCACACAGTTGTAATGAGGAGTAAATGACCTCCTATGTCAATTTCCCGGAACCTAAGACACAGTCAGTACTCAATAAATGTGAGTCTTCTACTCCTCCCATTCCCAACTCTCTGTCTCAATCAAATCTTTCCTTAGTGTTCCTTTCACTATTGGATAAAGCCTAAACACAAGCTGGCATTTTAGCCTTCTCCAAAGATACTCCTGTCTGCTTTCCCTAATCCCAAACTGCTCCCTGTGCTCTTGTTCAAATGCCTTCAATCCTTTCAAAATGCTGTATGCACTTTGGCTTTTGAGTTTGGCTTGTAGTGTTCTATTTACCTCCTTTCTTCTCTCCCTTCCAAATGCATCATCTATTCCTTTCCTTTTGAATTGGTATGACTGCTTTAACAGACATTAAATTCATATATATATGTGTGTGTTTGTGTGTGTGTGTGTGCATGTGCATAAGTGTGTGTATATACACATACTATATATATTTGGATCTGTTTTCTGGATTTTCTATTCTGTTATACTGATCTCTTTATCTGTTGTCATGTTAATGCCACACTTTCATTATAGTAACTTTATTATATGTTTTAAAACATTATTAAGCAAATCTTCATTATTACATTTTAAAATTTTCTTGCAATTTTCATGAAACTTTACAATCAGTTTTGATCTGATTCAACCTCCCAACCCTCCATCAAGAAAAAAAAAAAAGTCCCACATTCTAAATAACTTTGCTTGGACTTTTATGGAAATAGTATTAAACCAGTAGATTGGCTTTTTTGTGACCTTAAGTCTTCTCAGAAAGGAATTCTTCCTGTAGAAAATCTTGTTTTAATTCTTTTAATATAATTTAATGGTTTTATTCATGTAGGCTCTGTACCTGCTTTTAAAAATGTATTTTGAAGTATTTTGTTGCTATTATATTTTTCTTTAAATTTCCACGTTAGTTGCTGTTTTTAAAACTACTGTTATTTAAAATAATAAAACTATTATTTTATAATACTTTTACATTTACAGAAAGGTTACAAAGATAGTACAGAGAGAGTTTCCATATACTCTGCACCCAGTTGCCCCTAATATTAACATCTGACATTAGCATGGTATTCTTTTCGAAAGTAACAAATCAGTATTGAAGCATTAAAACTAAAACCCATTGTTTATTACATTTATTTAATCTTTACCTAATGTCCTTTTTATGACCCAAGATCTCATCCAAGATGCCCCATTGTATTTAGTTATCATGTCTCTTTGGCCTCCTCTTGGCTGTGATGGTTTTTCAGACTTCTCTTGTTTTTGATGACCTTGACAGGTATTTTGTAGAATTTCCCTCAATTAGGATTCATCTGGAGGTTTCTCATAATTAGCTGGGGCTGTGGGTTATTGGAAGAAAGACCACGGAAGTGACATACCCTTCTCATCACGTTATATCAGTGGCACGTACTACCAATGTGACTTTGTAATGTGGATATTGAGCTTGATCACCTGGCTGAGTAGTGTTTGTCAGGTTTCTCCACTGCTAAGTTATTCTTTTTTTTTTTTTTTTGGCCCTTTCCATACTACTTTCTTTGGAAGGAAGTCACCATGCATAGATCATATTTAAGAAGTAGGAAATTATCTTCTACCCCCCGGGGGCAGAAGATCTATGAGAATTATTTGGAATTCTTCTACATGTAAGATTTGTCTGTTCTCCCATGTATTTATTTATTCAATTATTTATTTATATCAATATGGACTCATGGATATTTATTTTATACTTTGGGTTATAATCCAATACTGCTTGGATTGTATTCAATTATTTATTCATAACAGTTTGGACTCATGGATATTTATTTTGTACTTGGGTTATAATCCAGTGCTGCTTTATTTATTTTGTTGCTCAAATTGTCCTAGCTGTGGCCATTTGGAGCTCCTTCACTTGGCTCCTGTGTCCCTTTGGCATACTCTCATGATTGTGATTGTTTGTTTTTTTAGTACTTCTTTACTTCTAGCACTACAAGATGCGCCAGGCTCATTTTGTGTGTTTCCTGCACCAGCTTTAGGCTTAGCCATCTCTCCAAAACTCCCTGGTTTCTTTTATTTGAGAATGATATTAAAAACCAAGATCTGGGTGCTAAATTGGCTTTTTACTAGTAGGCTCTTTCATCTGGCAGAGCTAGGAAATATATGTTTGCAAAGTAAGCCATGTATGTGCACATATCTATAAATATTTCCATATGTGAACATTTGTATCCACATTAAGCCAAGCATAAATCGCTATTGATTTTTGGCAGTATCTATTAATTTTAAAATGGACATACACTTTTACCCAATACTCCTAATTTGGAGACTTATTTATCCAGAAATAAAATTACAAATAGATGTATATATAGAGCAAGGGATGTTTACTGTAGCATTGTTTATGGAAGAAATTACTAGAAATTATTGTTCATAGAAGTTTATTACTAGAAATAGCCAAAGTGCCTATAAAAGTATGAACATTTTAATAAATTACTATATATTCATACTGTGAAGCATTAGGTAACCATTAAAATATAATTAATCCTTTCATGTATTAATCAGAAATATATCAAAGATTTTTTGGTAAATGATAGAAGCAAATTGTAGAGTAATAGAGTCCTATTTTTTTAAAGTTTGTAAAAAGTTTTTTTTTTTTTAATGTAGGTACATGTTACAGTGGGCCTGAGAAAGATGTAGAGAGAGATGTAGAAAAATGTATACCAGACTGTTAACAAAATTGTGGGATTTTGGAGGAATCAGAATATTATTTAAAAATGCATATACCTTAATATTATATGCTTCCTATGATGATCACACTTTACCTCATTTTATGTTCTTAAGATCTAATAAGATCATTTCAATCATACACAAGAAAATATGGAGGGATGGATTTGGACTTACATGGGAAAGGTGCTTGAATATTATTCCACTTTAATTTGCATACTGTAAGCTCTATATGTTGTTACAAATTATCTTTTGGGGCTATCATTTGGGGAAACATACAAGATAGAACAGAACTTCATTATTAGAATTGTGAAAATCACAATGGCATTTGAGAACCTTGTTTCAAATATGTGTTACTGTCTGCTAAAAAGATACCACATTGTAGTCTGGTGATAGTTAATATTTCAATCACATAAAAATGTTTATTTATAGATATATTTATAACTCCCTATTCAATAAAAAGAAATATACCTTTTTTCAGATTCTTAAGTTGGTGAACAAGTCCTCCTCTTTTTTTCCCAGGTCTGATCTAAGGACACCTTGTTTTCACTTTTCTCCTCTGTGAAATACCAGAAAGAGAGATGAGGTAGCTAATTCAGCATTTATGAGTTGGAGATACAATTTCACCACATTAGGCAGTGCATCTGAAATATTCCCAGCACCTCTCCTGGACACCAGCAGGGCTGCTGGACAGTGGTGGCAGGAGTGTGCTGATTTATTCTCAGGTTAAACACAACTGCTTCTCCTCCTCTGTTTCTCAATATTGTTCTGTTATAAATTACCAGATCTTCTCAGAAGTAAAGAGAAAAACAGGCATAAGGATGATGACAAGACCATGTTCGATTTCTTGTAGGAAATATTCTTCAGGTCCAATATAAGTATTTTATTGAAAACTTAAAGTTTGCTTATACTTTCAATTTTTATTAATTTTATTAAGTAGTAAATACTATATTTCTAAAAATGCTAATAAGCACTTAATTAGGATATTAAAAATTAAACCTCCAATAGTTTAAATGTAGATAAACTAATATTAGTGATTTAGGATTAAGGGGGGTTACAGTTCTAGAATGTTTTTTAAAGCTCTTGTTGGTAAAATTTTAGAAAAAATCTTTAATCTGATATAGCTTGTTCTGTTCATCCTCAATGAACATTTAGTTGGTAGTTTCACATAGTCCTCTTTATGATGGCATTGCCAACTTCTTTCACTTGGAGATAGCATAGCACAGTGAAAATTGCGTGCAGTGAGAACTGTGGTGGTACCAGTTCTGGGTTTGAATCTAGCCTCAGTCAAGTTTTTCAATACCTCAGAAACTTGTTTTTTTCCTCTGAAATGACAATGAAAACACTGCCTTGAGGATTAAATTAGGTAATATACAAAGCAGCTAGAATGCCTGTTTAACAAATGATAGTCATTGATGTACATATGAAACAATTTCATCGCTCTCTGCTTCTAAATAGTGAGCCAATGAATAGAAGCAGTAACCTATCTGCTTAAATGAAGAGAAAATGAGGTGATGATGCAAGGTAGGTGAGCCCCCAAATTGGGGCTTAGCCTAGGAGGATTCTTGCCTATGTCCAGGAAAGAATTCAAGGGTTAACCAGTCGTGTTAGACAGTAACTTTTATTGAAGCAGCAGAGGTACTGCTTCTTGCAGAGCAGGGCCATCCCATAGGTAGTGTGCCCAGAGTAGCAGCTTGGAGGCAGTTCTGTAGTCATATTTATACCCACTTTTAATTATATGCAAAATAAGGGGCAGATTATGCAGAAATTTCTAGAAAAGGGGTGGTAACTTCCAGGTCATTGGGTTATTGCCATGGAAGGGGGTGGTAACAACTGGGTGTTGCCATGGCAATGGTAAGCTGATGTGGCACACTGTGGGCATGTCATGTGGAAAGCTGCTTCCACCCCATCCCTGTTTTAGCTAGTCCTCAATTTCGTCTGGGGTCTGAGAGCCCCATCTCCAAAGTCAAGTCCCGCCTCCTACCTCAATTCAGAGCTGTGCAAAGGAAATTAAGACCATGACTTTGAATTAAAATAAATGTTAGATAAGGAATCCAACTCCCTGAAACACATTTAATTATTATAGCCTAATATTACAAGGGAAAATGTCAGTATTTAAAGGAGCCCTCAAATGTATCATAGAACTACCTTGGAGGATGAATCATTTATGACTGTGGTTCATATTTTATTTTACCAAACCAGAATAGGTTTTCCTCCAGAAGTTTCAGAGCAAATATATCCTTCTCAACATTAATTGCATTGTCTCCAATTAAACTTTGATTGTTGCCAATTCACAGGAAATTTGGTTTGAAGAAAGCATTTACAGTTTTGGGATAACATTCATTGCAATGCCACAGAAGTAGAACACAGATTAAAGAAACACTTTCCAAACCAATGTCTGGATTTTGTTTGGAATTATCCTCAAAACCCCAATTCTGAAGCTTAACTGGGAATATCAAATGACTTTCCATGTCATTTATCCCTCCTATCCCCTACTTGTCCCTCCTTTCTGCTGAATAATTTTTTCCTCTAACTATGGCATTATTCATTCAACTGAACTAACTACCATGAAGGTGAAGCATACTGAAAACCCACACAATGTCAGACGTGGAAAAATCAGCTAATATTTTCAATTGTGTTATAAAAAGATATGGACTATACATTGTAGTCCATTCATGTTGCTTCCTTTTGGAAGGTCTTACCTAGCACTGACACATGAAGCCAGCTGTGCCTGCCCAGAGTTGGAAATGTTACAGGTTTCAAGAGGCAGTTCCTTGTGCTTGTATTTGGAAGGCAAGCTCCTTTGTGTGGTGTCCCACCCCACCCTGTTATTGGTATGAAGCTACATATTTCAAAATGTCTTGCTTATGAATACCAGGCAGAAAAAGCACCCATGTAAGCATTTAAAGAGAGGGAAAAAGGACTAAACTGGATGAAGAGAAGCATAAATGAATTTTGGAAACCCTGTTTGTTTTTCAATGAGATCCCCTGCTTCCTTTTTCCTCCCCCTTCTTTCAATCCTTATGGAACTATTTCAGAGCCAAAAAAAAAGAAATTCAGGGGAAAAATAATGTTTCAACTTTCATAATGTTGCAGTATTTCTTCTCTTTGCATTTTTCTTTTCATGTTGAACAAATAATTCGTTTTTATTGTATTTTACCCAATTTCCTTTTGAATTTGCATTTCTGAAACCTGGCCATTGTGGAAACACTTATAAAAAAAATGTGACCTATTATTTACTATCAGATTTTGCCTATTGGAGTCACTAGCATCTGCCAGTTTGCATCTCTCTCCCTACTGCATACACACAAATCCATTCTCTCTTTCTTGCCTGTCCTGAAGACTGTTGCATTTCTGCGATTTTTATAACACTCAATTATTTTGGGATCTCTTACAACTTTGTTGTGCACCACTCATATTTAAGTCCTTAAGGAAATTCTACAATAAATAATACTTTTAAGGCTACAGCTTATCTCTTTGCAAATTTATTTATTTTATTTTTTGCTTCATTCTGTCATATCATGACCAAGATTACAAGCCAGTCTACCAGTTGCTGTATGTGTAATTTCTGAAAAGAAGAAACTGTTAGATTCAAAGTATAATTGTTTTTGTTTTCAATAATTCATTCAAAGCAAAAATTACCTATCTAGTTTTGTGAATCCTTAATTATTTTGTTCTATCTATATTTATGTTGTCTGTTGCTATACTTATGTGAAGACAGAAACGTCAAACTAAAGGAAAATAAAAATCAAGGAGGTGTTCTCTTCCTTCCTTCCTTCCTTTCCTTGCCCCTTCTTCTTTTTTTTTCCACTGAGGCCTTGTCAATTTCTTTACTATAAAGGACAGGTGAAATCAGGAGAATAATGATTAGTTGCCTTTATAAAAAAGGAGGAGACTCCTGGTATCTTCTAAAAGAGATGGTGACTTTTGAAAAGGGAGCACCCACTCTCCAGGTCAATACAAATGCTTAAAATATGAGAATTATTTTTGCCTTAGAATTTTGGATCATTTCATTTTCTGTTTGGTAGCAGAATAAAATAATCACTTTTACTCTTCATCTTCTCATCCTTGTGGACTCTCTTCTCCTTTATCCCCTTCAGTTTGTCACTTAATTCTTTTTAGCCCATTAACCAGAGGAGAAATGTATCTGGAAAAACTATGGTTGGGCTAGACCCGTAACAAGCAGCTAAATGAACTTATGAAATCATGTTTATCCGAGCTATTACCAGCTTCTGCTAACACGCACACACACACACACACACACACACACACACACACACATACATGACTAGACTAGAATAAGATTTGGTTGATTTTCTGCTAATATCAGGGGTTTATATAAAATTTTTAGAACCTAAACAGATGTCAAGATATATCCTTTTCCTTCCTAACTGTACACTATTATGCCTGAAATAACAGGATCCAGAATTATTTAAGTTTCTAGTGCCAGCCAATTCAAAATAGATTTAAAAGTAAAATGTATTGGTTTATGTAACTGAAAGTTAAAAGAATTAGTGCAGACTTCAGGCATGGTATGATCCAGGGAGTCAAATGATGTGGTAAGGAGATATACATATGTGTCTTTCTGTTTGTCTGTATATCTATCTATCCATCTAATCTTTTTTCCTTTTTAAATTTTCAGTAGTCTTGTGCCTTTTTAAATGTTTTATTGTGATAAAATATATACATATAACATGAAATGCTATTTTAATCATTTTTAAGTGTATAATCCAATGGCATTAATTATATTAGCAATGTTATGAAACCATCGTGACTATTTGTTTCCAAATCTTTTCCATCATACCAAACAGAAACTGCATACCCATTAAGCATTAACTTCCCAACTCCCCCCTCCCCAAGCCCCAGCAACCTCTAATGTACTTTCTGTCATTATGCATTTGCCTATTCTAGATATTTCATATAAGTGGAATTATACAATATTTGTCCTTTTGAGTATGGCTTATTTCACTTAGCATAATGTTTTTAAGGTTCATCCATGTTGTAGCATGAATCAGTACTTTATTTCATTTTGTGGTGGAGTAATATTTCATTATATGTCTATACCGCATTTTGTTTATTCATCCATTGGTAGATAGATATTTGGGTTGTTTCCATCTTTTGGCTACTGTGAATAATGCTGAAGTGGACATTGGTGTACAAATAACTGTTTGAGTTTCTGTTTTCAATTCAATTGGGCATATACCAAGGGGTGGAATTTCTATAATCTTGATTCCTTTTTCCTCTCCATGGCTTCATCCTTAGGTGAGCAAAAACAACTTGGTCCTCACTCCTACAGTTCTTTAAAGAAGGCAGATATTTTCTCTCCCATTGCACATATTAACCCCAAAAGAGAAAGTCTGATTGGCCATGTTCTGATACCAACCCTTGGATCAATCACTGTACATAGAGAGAAACTCCTTCATAGCTTCATGACTAATAACCCTACTGTGTGGGAAAGCAGTTTTCTACACAAAAGAGACACTCTGTTTCTATGCTGGGGGTGGGGAGCAGAGGAAGAGACATTTGCTTGCAGTGTCATCCCAGGTGTGGGTAGAAAACTCACCTTGGTTGTTTACCAGGGACCCTTGGGTGAATGGAATACTTTAAGAAAGATATAGTTAGGGTTTTGACAAGAATTAGGGAAAACAGAAACTGTCAGTGCTGCCAATTGGAATACCAATTGCTATCACCTCTCTGGAGAACATTTTGATAATATCTAGCACAGCTGAAAATATGCAGATGTTCCGATCAAGCAGTTCTGTCCTTAATATAGTCCCAAGAAAACCTCTTCCCCTAGTGCCTAGGAAACACGGACAATACTGTTCATTGTAGTACTGTTTGTAATGGTGAAAAATGGAAAACAGCTGAAGGTTTCATTAGCTGACTAAAAGATAAACTGTAGTGTAGTCATAGAATGGAATGTTATGCTATCATTAAAAATAACCTAGATTTATATGTATCAAAAAAGATGGACTCAAAAGTATAACACTGAATGAAAAAAATAAAGTTTCAGTATCATAAATACTATTTGCAATAGCATTTATGTAGATACTAGAAAACATACAAGACTATATTATGTATTGTTTTGGGATATATTATGGGATTAAGATGTATATGAAATAAAATTAAAAACCTGTGTACTGGAAGAGTACCCAACAAGTTAAATAATGAAAAGGCAAATGGGGCACAAAAAAAAATCAAGGGTTTTTAAAAATTAAACTGCTCTTTTTTATTTTAAAAATAGCTAAGTTATATTGAATAGATGTGAGTAGTTGCTAATTTTGGCTGGTTGATACTGTATTATTTTCTTTTCTTCACTGTTCCATATTTTTCAAGCTTTTCACAATTAAAAGAAGTAGCACACAGTTGGAGTTCAAATAGAAATTCAATTTTTTTCTTTAATATTAAAATTTTGGGATATGTAATAGGTATCCAGTTTATCCTAAGCAAATTAATGCAGGAGCAGAAAACTAAATAGCATGTGTTTTCACTTATAAGTGGGAGCTAAACATGGGGTATTCATGGACATAAAGATGGCAGCAATACAAACTGGGAATTACTAGAGAGGGGAGGGAGGGAATAGGGAAAGGGTTGAAAAACTAACTACTGTATACTGTATTAGTCCTTTCTCACACTGCTGTGAAGAAATACCCAAGACTGGGTAATTTACAAAGGAAAGAGTTTAATTGACTCACAGTTCCGGATGGCTGGGGAGGCCTTAAGAAACTTACAATCATGGTGGAAGGTACCTCTTCACAGGGTGGCAGGAGAGAGAATAAGTGCAAGCAGGGGAAATGCCAGGCACCTATAAAACCATCAGATGTGAGACTCACTCATTATCATGAGAACAGCATGGGGAAACCACCCCCATGATTCAATTACCTCTACCTGGTCCTGCTTTTGACACATGGAGATTATGGGGACTACAATTCAAGGTGAGATTTGGGTGGGGACACAGAACCAAACCATATCAGGTACTATGCTTAGTACCTGGGGTGACAGAATCATTTGTACCCTGAGCCTCAGCATCACACAGTATACCCAGGTAACAAACCTGCACATGTATTCTCTGAGTCTAAAATAAAACTCGAAAAAAATAGGCAGGCAGGCAGGTTTGTTGGGGGGCGGGGGAGAGAGAGAGAGAGAATATTGTGTTTTTTTTAACTTGGTATCTTTCATGTAATCATATGAACAAGCTCTTGCCAAAATCTCCCTGCCATGCTATGCTACTTCACGCCATTTTATATCATTTATGTGTTAGAATGCATTTTGTCTTTAATCTTCCCTGTGCCAGAGTATTTCCCCTAAGAAAATGCCCAGTGTGTTTCCCATTAACCTCAAAATTCCTGCCAGGGTTCAGCCTTACAACCCTGAAATGCCTCCTATCATTTCAGCAAACAGTGAGACTGCTCCCTGAACATTAAAAGCTGGCAAAAGTAAACTATCCAAATCAGTATTCGTATCAGAAGAAAGTCCTGGGAGGTGAAGATGGATTTCAGAAATCCTATTCATACCAAGAGGAAAAAGTGATTAAATAATTGTGCGTGAGGCAGTTGGTGACAGCCTTGTCTCTTTTGGTTTTGTAAAAACGATAACAGAAAGATTTGCAATATCATGCATGATTCTGAAGTGGTAAAAATTTTATAATAGAAACTTAAAGGCAAGAAATAGAATTGCAGAGAGAGCATTGCTTGCTGAGCACTGACATCATTGCGTGGGAATGAATGAGTATTGTCTTACACAATGGAATGCATTCTATCTCTCCTCTGAGAGGGAATTTGGCTTGGTATGCAAATTAAAATATTGTTTTGAAAAATCTGTTGCATCAAATTACAGAAAGAATTTTTTCGCTAATCCAGTTCTTTGGTCCATTGTTGGCAAAGCAATTGAGAGCAGGCTCGTCTAGCCAGTTTGTCTGGGGCTCCAGTCTTGGATTTTGTGCGGAGCCCAATCAAGGAGAACTGTCCTTTGGCAAAGAAGCAAAAGAGCCCTAAATTCTTGGGGTCTCTGCTTAAATGTTTTTTTCAGGCATAAAAGAAGGAAGGATAATTTGCTTGAAATACTTGTAAACCCTTAAAGGCATTTAGAATTTGAGTGTTTGTTATTTTGTTCTCCCTTTGTTGGGAAGTTGGCAGGTGAGCGACTATGTAGCTGGCTTGTGTTGGTAGGTGGCCTTCCTCTTCTTTCAAACTTACCTGAAGGGGCCTATCCCCAAATAAAGTCTTTCAGTCTGAAGTTTTGCAGCCTGGAAATAATCTGAAACTATTCAGAAATGTCATACGTTTCACAGCTCTGCTCCCCAGTGTCCTTGGCTGGCGTGGCCCTGAGTTCGCTGATGGGGATTCAGAGAACAACTGACGCCAACATTCATGCTCATGGCTCATGGCTCATGGCTCATGCCTCGCTACAGGGCAGTGGCTTGTGAAGAGTTGTCCTGAACAACATCATCAACATCACCTGGGATCTTGTTAGAAATGCAGATTCTCAGAGTCCACCCTAGACCTACTGGGGATGGGGCCCAGGAATCTGTGATTTAACAGGTTCACCAGGTGTTGGGGTCTACAATCAAGTTTGAGAACCACTGCTCCAGGATAATCTGTCTGTTTGGGTGTAGAAAATCCCAGTTCTGAGCTCCTTCACTCTTCCTCCTCCTGTTGTAATAATTGTTCCTTATTGAAATAGTGTTAGAATTATTGAGGAAGAAGGTGGAGAGAGAAAACTGGCATTCATCAGACAGCTAGTATAAGTCAAGTGCTTTACATATGCAATCTCAGTGTTTCAAGCAATTATGAGAATAGGTCATTTGGCCCAATTTACAGATGAACAAACTGAATATTTAATTACTTATTGTAGCAAATGTGGTTGTTTGGGTGTTCAATGATGATTTCTTTTTTTTTTTCTTCTTTTGTTAACAGAGGAATCCAGATTTACTGCAGGTATCACGTAGTTCTGTGTTCAGGAAAGAGGGCCCAGCCCCAGGGTATGGAATATGATTGGGTTTAAGTCAAACATGGTATTCCTCCTCTTTTCCAGTGATTGATTTGAATGTGGCCATGTGACCTGGTTCTGGCCAACTAAATGTAAGGGGAAATTTGTGGATGCTGTTGGAAAAATGTGTTCTCTCTGATTAAGTAAAGACTTGCATAAATAAAAATCCTCATTCCTTTTTACATTGGACTGCTGTCTTGTGAGGATGCAGTATTTGTTTGGAACCACAGCAGCCACCTTGCAACCATGAAGAAAAAGTCAAGGGAGAGCGGTTGAGATTGCCCTGCCTGGCACTGTTCTGTTTCTGGATTTTTGGTTGTGTGAGTTAACAAATCTCTGTTGTTTAAGCCATATTTTATTAGGTGTCCTATTATTTTCTACTAAAAGCGTACATTCTGAGGGTACACATGTTTACCAGGCACCAGAATAAAGATTAGAATCCAAGTTTGACTGATGGTAAACATCATCCGAGTTTGTTCTCTCTCTAACCTATCTGCCCTCCTGCCTTTTCTTCCAATAAAAATACATTTTGCAGGGGTATATGGATAATCTCTGTGTCTTCCTCTTAATTTTGCTGTGAACCTAGAACTACTCTAAAATAAGTCTTTAAAAAATTATAGTTACTTTTCAGTGACCCCCTCCACCACTAGATAATTAAATAAATAAATAAACTTTGTCTACAATCAGTCTACAGAATTTAAACTCCTAGAAAAATGACTAGCAATGATATGAAAGTTTTTGAAAACATTATATTAAGTGCAGTTTATTCTAGGCCAGATTGTCCCAAGGAATGTTTTATCAGTGCTTTTCAGGTAGCCCGATGTATTTCAGGTGCACATATGATAAGTACATTCTTCTGGTAAAAATCCAAGTATTATACAAAACCAAAGCTTTCCATGACTCAACTCAATTCCACTTTTCTCTCCAGAAGTAATCATCCATCTCCTGTTAATAACATGTTTTACTAGTTATTTTCTGTGCATTTATATATTTATATGCTCAGATCAAGATAAATTTTTTAAAAATAGCATTTTTGCATATATTGTACTGATTTTTTAACTTCACAGCATGTCTTGCACATTTTTTCACATCTGTTAAGTGTACTTTTATATTATTTTCTTTTCTATATAAATTATTTTCTTTTTTTCTATATAAATATTTTCTTATTATATTCAGCCTAGTGCTCTATCATAGGTGCATACCAAAGTTTTATTTAATTATCCCTTTGGCTAAAGCAATACTTGGTACATAATAGGCACTTGATAAACATTTGTTAAATGAATTTGTCTTCGAAATTACTTAGGGAGTTTGCAGTTTTTCCTTGTTTTAAACAATATTTCTATGTAAACTTTAGAGTCCGTTTGCCAATTTGCCCAAAATAAATCATATTTGGACTTTCACTGGACTTTTATTGGCAAGGATTGACATTTTATAATATTAAGCTTTTGCATGCTTTTTTTGCATGTGTATTTCTTCAGGATAGATATTTTGGAGAGAAATTGCTGACTCAAATGGTATATGAATTGTAAAGATTTAATAGTTATTACCAAAATTATTTTTAATTCAACTTCTCCCATTTATTGTACTATCAATTGTATATGATGGTAGCAATAATGGTGATGATGACAGTGATGATGGTAATGATACTATATTGCAAAAGAACCCAGTGCTTTTCTATAATAATTTATCTCTGCTTATCCTCAAATGTCTGATGACCTTCAGCTTTTATTACTGCTCATTTTGAGTGTGGAGAAAAGTTCTGATTCTTTAGCTAAACCCATGTTAGGAAAATTTGCCTTGCCTGAGAGTATGCATTTTATGATCACCACCAACATATTGGACTAGTCCCAGTTAAATGTTGAGTAATGCCTTGAACCACTGTCATAAAATGCCCTAGGATGGCAAAGGAAGACTTCTAGAAGGGATGACAAGCAGTGAAAATAAAATAAATACTTGACTATTGGTTCATGTTTATGTAACTGTCTTGCTGAGTACTAGGTATCCCAGCTGAGCACCTTGAAGTCCCTATTTCCTAATAAATCTCCAGATCTCTGTGAATGGACAGATCCCTGTACCTTAATGGAAGCACTTACCTGGCTGCCTTCACTTAGAATTTATTTTTACATTTTAAGCAGGCTATGCAAAGTTTGCAACTCCTAATCTTCATCATACCATGACTAGTTCATCTTGTTAAACTAGCAAAACTGTGAACAATTTGAAGAGTTCTTCTTTTGCTGTCATTTATGTGCCTATGAGTTTTAGTTGTTTGTGTTTCTTTGGCAAAGTATTTGCATGCCTGAGGATTAATGCCACTGACCCAATTAACAGTAAACCTGATCAACTGAAATAACTCGTGTGTATCACACCACATTAAGCACTGATATTTCCTGTTTTAAATATAAAGTTTCGTTCTAAATAATAGATTAAATCCTTAAGAAAATGGTTGGGGGATTTATGAATATTCAGAATTGCTTAGATTCAATGATTCAAGTACATTTTTAAAAAATAAAGTCTGGAACTCTTGCTTAGAGATAACATTTTTATCATCGTAAATATTTATTTAAAGATTTAAGACTTTCAAAATATGTCCCTATGGGATGTCAGATATAATACTGTCACTGTAATCTTACCATCTCTTGTAATGCTATTGCCCAAAGGTCACTTTGGGGCAAAATCTGTTTTCCTTTATGTTTGCCTGAGGAGCAACGTTGCATCCAGCAGAACCACTGGGAAAAGAAGCCCTTCCCCCCGACCTGATTATTGAAGCAGACTCTGGCCCATCCCAGAGAGGGACTCCCTGACCTACATTCCTCCTTCCCTGGCTATCAGACAGGGTGCTCCTGCTGAAGCAGGAGCTGAAGTGTTGGTGAGGCTCCTGCATGTGGCCCACTGCTCTGGTCTTAGATGATTCTGAAAGATCTGCTACCTGTCCTGCAGGAGCTGCTGGTCAATGAAAATCCTCCAGATTGATGATGGGAGTGCATTGGGGGAGATGAATTCATTGTGAGTGAATACATGAAAACTAGAATGCCTGTCCAAATGTTTATTTTGAAATCCAAAAGCTATCCTCTGTCCACTGCTGGAACCCTCGCTTGCACGTTTGAGCTTAAAGCTGTCGAATATCAAAGCCTGGATTGCAAATCCACACATGGAGAGAGGCGATTTCTAGAAACAGAGGACATAACCATAGAGAAAAGAATACTTGGTCCTCACAACTCAAAATGTGGCCCATGGAACAGCATTGCCCCGTTACCTGTGAGCTTGTTGGAAATGCAGAACCTTGGGCTCCACTCTGGACCTATTGAATCAGGATTTTAATTTTAACAAGATTCCTTGGTGATTTGTATGCGCATTAAAGTGTGAGAAGTGCTATTTTAGGCAGTGTTAAGACTAGGAGATGTTCTTGTTCTCACTTACAGTCACCTGTAGTCAGTTTGGAGTATGTCAAAGGACCCTCACAGGAAAGTGTTTGCATAGACTTATATAGAGAACTTGAGATCAGAAGTGGCAATAATGAAACAGTCCAGCAGTTAATGGTAGAGCTCTCACCAGCCATACAGTCGATAAGCTCTGCGTGGTTAGAGTAGGAATCCCCAATGAATTAAAGGCTGACCCTAAACAATTATAGGCTGACACTGAAAGATTATAGCAGTGACACATCAGCAGGTTTTGGGTGAATCAACATGAGATAACACTGGCTAGAGACAGCTAAAAGGAAAAGATCACTCATTAAGTATGGGATTGTGCCCTTTTTATAGCAAGCCCTGTCTTGTCTGTAGCTGTCCATTAAATGCTATGAATAAGAAAAGTAGTATGATTTTAAAAATATTGACCTTGGGTGGCTTGCAGGACCTGGCTTTTAACTCTTGTATCATGGACTGAATTTGGAGCTGACTCATTCTCAATATTCTGAAATAGCGATATTTGACCATGTACAGTTAAAAACCGAGGTATAATTATACTTCAATAAATTGCACAAAACTTTGTTTCAGTTAAGTTTTGAAAACTGTATGTACTAACCATCCGAAACCAGATAACATTTCTACCACACCAGAAGTGTCTCTTGGCCCCTTTTGGGTCACTTCAATTACTGTTTTAATTTCTATCATCATATATTATTTTGGCAGTTCTAGAACTTCATATAAATGGATTCATACATATATACTCTTCTGTTTGACTTCTTTCACTCAGCATGTTTCTGAGAAACGTCCATCTTTGGGGGTGTATGAGTAATTTATATTTTTTATTGCTGAATAGTATTCAATTGTATGAACAAAGTTTTATCCACTTACACATAGGTGAGCATATAGGTAATCTCCAGTTTTGAGCTATTATGCATAAGACAGTTTCGATCATTAGTAAATAAGTCTTTTCATGAACATGCATTTTCATTCAGCTACAGTAGTTGTCTAGGAGTGGAATTGCTGGGTCTTAGGGAAGATGTTTGTTTAACTATTAGAAACTGCCAAACAGTTCTTCAAATTGGTTGTACTATTTCATACTCTGACTTAGAATTTTAACATTTTTAATTAGTGGGTTTTTAAAATTATTTTTTTAGAGAAGGATCTTGCTGTGTTGCCCTGGAACTGCAGCCTCGAACTCCTAGGCTCAAGTGTTCCTCCTGTCTCAGCCTCCCAAAGTGCTAGGATTATAGGCATTAGCCACTGTGCCCAGCCTACACTGTAAATAGAAATGCACAAGAGTTCTAGTTGCTTCCTATTCTCACCAATATTTGATGTTGTCGGTCTTTTACATTTTGGTTTAATTTGCATTTATCTGGTAACTAAAGATATTGGCCACTATTTTGTGTACTTATTTGTCTTTCATACAATCTTGTTTTGTGATGTATCTGTTTGAGTAACTCTTTTGCCCATTTTTATTGGGTTGTCTTTCTGTTGTTGACTTGTGGGAGTATCACAGATAGATTTCTCTCAACTTACCTATGCCTTCAGTACCTCAGAGCCTAGAGTGCCTCAGATGTGCTTTCTGGAGTTTTCAGTTCTGTTTTTGGACATGGCTGCCTTGCACTTAGGAAAGTCCTCATTTATCTCACGGGTGTATCTTTTTTCTACCTATCCCAGCTTGATATAGTTTGGATGTTGTCCCCACCCAAATCACATGTTGAACTGTAATCTCCAATGTTGGAGATGGGGCCTGGTGGGAGGTGATTGGATCATGGGGGCGGATTGCTCATGAATGGTTTATCACCATCTTCTTGGTACTGTCCTCACAATAGTGAGTGACTTCTTGTGAGATCTGGTCGTTTACAAGTGTGTGGCATCTCTCTCATCACTCTCTTGCTTCTGCTCTGGCCATGTGATGTGCCTGCTCCCCCTTTGCCTTTTGCCATGATTATAAACTTCCTGAGGCCACCTCAGAAGCAGATACCATTATGTTTCCTATATAGCCTGCAGAACCATGAGCCAATTAACCCCTTTTTCTTATAAATTATTCAGTCTCAGGTATTTCTTTATAGCAATGCAAAAACAGTCCAAAACACAGCCTTTGGCACAATACCCTGAGCATTTGGTGACAGCCTATGGGAATGATTTGATGGGTCAGTGCAGACCCTGTGGCTGAGCTCCTTAGCATTCTCATCTGTCACACCAGATCACATGTGACCATTAAACTTTTGTTAAAATTTTGCCTAGTTTCTCCTTGTTCTCTTCCATGGTGGATTTCTTCTCCACCCATCATTTTGCTCAGATTGAGAACAATTAGGGCCGTCTTCTCACCTATGAGAGGCTCACTGTTTTCCGGAACCATGTTGATTTATGTTTCTTTGCCTCCTCCACTCTCTGGTGAATTTTATAAAACTTAGATTTTGTAGCTCATCAGGCTTGTTTTGGTGGTTAGGGTGAGAATGATGCTGTCTTGTGACTTTCTACATTCTAGCCAGAAGTGGAAGTACTGCACATTTTTACCCAGTCCATTCCTTCTTGAAATGTGCCAGAAATGTTGTCTACTGAAGCCTGGAGAAAGACATTGCTTTAAAAATAACAAGCCAAGATGTTCACAATGACCCAGTGTAGAGTGGAGTTATCAGAAGAACCAACCACATTATACATTTATGCTGATAATTTAAGGGTTAAATTAGCAACCAGTAAACCATGAGAGCTGTTGACCCTGAGCACATTACTAAACATCACTGTGACTTAGTTTCCTTGTTTATAAAACAAGAATCAAAAGAGTACTTACATCATGGGATTGCTGGATGATTAAATGAGTTAATATATATAAAGTGCTTAAAAGTATACTTGGTGCATAGCAAATGCCTGATAAATGTAACGTTAGCTGTCATTATTAATATATTGCTACAAATGACTGTTGTTGTTCCAGGAGAAGTTTTTCTAGGAAGAATTTATTTCTTCTCAGTCAATCCCTCTTATGTCCTAATTAAACATTAAGTTAAAGCTTTCTTTGGGTTTTCATGAGAGCTAACAGATCTAAGCAGCCAATACTGTGGTCTATTTCAGTTCCATGAACAAAAGGTTGGAAAATTTTGGCTTAAAAATTGGTGCCTGTGGTGGTGTCAGAGGCGTTCAAACCAGAGTGGCTCCATCTTGAATAGGGGCTGGGTAAAATAAGGCTGAGACCCACTGGGCTGCATTCTCAGGACCTTAGGCATTCTTAGTCACAGGACGAGATAGGAGGTTGGCAGGACTGGTATCACTAGATACAGGTCACAAAGACCCTGCTGATAAAACAGGATACAGTAAAGAAGCCAGCCAAAACCCACCAAAACCAAGATGGCAATGAAAGTGGCCTCTGGTCATCCTCACTGCTCATTATATGTTAATTATATTGCATTAACATGCTACAAGACACTCCTACCAGCACCATGACAGTTCACAAATGCCATAGCAATGCTTGGAAGTTACCTTATGTAGTCTAAAAAGGGGAGGAACTCTTAGTTCCAGGAATTCCCCACCCCTTTCCTGGAAAACTCATGAATAATCCACCCCTTGTTTAGCATACAATCAAGAAATAACCATAAAAATAGCTAACCAGCAACCCTCAGGGCTGCTCTGCCTAAGAAGTAAGCATTCTGTTGTTTCTTTATTTCTCTAATAAACTTGCTTTCACTTTACTCTATGGATTCACCCCAAATCCTTTCTTGCACAAGATCCAAGAACCCTCTCTTGGGGTCTAGATCAGGACCCCTTTCTGGTAACAGTAGAAGTTAATATTATTCAGCAATATCTTTGGTTCTCCTGTCTTTGAGTGGGATCTTCTGTGCGTCCTGACATGAAGCATGCCTATGTGATGCATTGGCCAATTAATTGTGACTGGAAATGTATCACTTCTGGGCAAGTCTTTAAGAACTGGTTTGCAATGCAATTTGCTTCCGGGCAAGTCTTTAAGAACTGGTTTGCAGTACAATATACTTTCTTCCTCATGTTAATGTGACCAGTGAAGTTCCAAGAAGAGGAGCCTCTAAGTGAGGGTGATTTGGAGCAGAGTCACAGCTGGCTCATGGTGGGCCCATAGAATAAGTCAAATGTAAACCTTTGCTTTAGACTGCAGAAGACTTTGGAGCTGTTGGTCACAGAAGCATCCCCAAGCCTCTCCTGATTGACTGATAAAGTACCTTCACAGGACAGAGGGCAGACTGTTTGTTCTGCTCTGTCTGGGCAGGGTTGAGTCTGATGGATACACTAGTCAGGCAGAGAACTCCTGGAGACCAGAGTTTGAGTGGAGGGGTAGCCAGATTCATGGGTACCAGAGTGAGTTCAAACCATATCTAAGACAAGGTGCCAAAAATCTAAGTGTCCACATCTCCCAAAGTGCAGGTGCAGGACCGGAAGCAGAAGACAGAAAGTGGAGACCAGATGTTTGAAGCTGGGTAAAGGCAGGGATGGAGCAGGAACCGAGGAACAAACCTTGGAACTAGGTAAGAAGTTCTCTCTATGACATTTCATTGAGTAGTAAAGGGAGAGCCAAAGCGCTGTGTTATTGGGACAGCTGTTTGTTGTATGGTGGGCTGTTTGACTGAAAGGTCAAGTCACAAGGTCAAGTTCACCACATCTCAGGGCGATTTCTGCTTTTATGAACCAGTCTTCACACCAGCAAGATTCCTTGGCACCTCAAGGTTTGAAGAACAACTACACAACAAAATTCACTCTATTCTGGATGATGATGGTCTCCCAACTCAGGTTTAAAGGGCAATCACTTTCAAATTAACTGGACAATCACTCTCACTCTGCCCCAGAGAATCACTTTTGAAACATCAAAACACCTATTTTGGCTCCCTTTTATGGTACCTTGTCATTTAAATCATACAAAATGTTACAAATACAGAACTGTCCATGTATGTTTTTAATAGGGTCAGCGATATTAATGCAGCAGCAGTGTAAGCAGAGCATTTTAAGAAATTCTTCCGGTCCTTTTGGAATTCAGCTTAACAGACATGTATTGACATAACTAACTTGTTCAATATGTCTTTCTGTAAGTTATAAGTGAGGAGAAAGTAAAGCTTTCCATTAAACTAACAGATGAAATTTTTGTATTAGGGATAATGTACTAATATGATACACACTAATAGGATATATATTCCAAAGTGCTGTTACATCATTTAATGCAAAGTTACCTCCTACTGGGAACTAAATATTATTTTACAGAAAATATAAATAATGTAAAGACTTTCTGGGCACTCAGTAATAACCTGGGATGTGAAATAACTTGATTTGTGGCACTGGCCATGTACAATATCTTTTTGTTGAAGATGATTATCAGAATTCTATGGAAAATGTATTGTCAGGGTTGTAGAATGGACGATTCCTGTTATGATTCACTAGGGAACAAGCTTTTTTTTTAAAATTTTTTTTATTATACTTTAAGTTTTAGGGTACATGTGCACAACGTGCAGGTTAGTTACATATGCATACATGTGCCATGTTGGTGTGCTGCACCCATTAACTCGTCATTTAACATTAGGTATATCTCCCAATGCTATCCCTCCCCCTCCCCCCACCCCACAACAGGCCCCGGTGTGTGATGTTCCCCTTCCTGTGTCCATGTGTTCTCATTCTTCAATTCCCACCTATGAGTGAGAACATGCAGTGTTCGGTTTTTTGTCCTTGCGATAGTGTGCTGAGAATGATGGTTTCCAGTTTCATCCATGTCCCTACAAAGGACATGAACTCATCATTTTTTATGGCTGCATAGTATTCCATGGTGTATATGTGCCACATTTTCTTAATCCAGTCTATCATTGTTGGACATTTGGGTTGGTTCCAAGTCTTTGCTATTGTGAATAGTGCCGCAATAAACATACATGTGCATGTGTCTTTATAGCAGCATGGTTTATAATCCTCTGGATATATACCCAGTAATGGGATGGCTGGGTCAAATGGTATTTCTAGTTCTAGATCCCTGAGGAATCGCCACACTGACCTCCACAATGGTTGAACTAGTTTACAGTCCCCCCAACAGTGTAAAAGTGTTCCTATTTCTCCATATCCTCGCCAGCACCTGTTGTTTCCTGACTTTTTAATGATCGCCATTCTAACTGGTGTGGGAACAAGCTTTGTAAATGATTGTTTTTGTTCTTAGTTGTCCTCTAAATAAACTAGAAAGGTAGAAAGTGTTCACCTAAGTCTGTTTCCATTTGTGGCCATGAGGTTGTTTAATATTATTATTTGTCAGTTAAGTTGTCTGATTTTTTTGACAATTGACTTATTATGGTAATGATACACATTGACATACACTAGCGCATCCACCTATATAGAGTAGGTGTTTAACAAATGTTTGTTGAAAATGATTCTATAAATACATCTATAAAGTTTGAAATCTACATTGTCAGAAAGCTGAAGAAAACTCTTCTGTGAGAAAAAAACAGCAAATTTTAGACATTTCCATCGTTTTCTAATATATATGTTATATATATACACACATAATACATATATAAATATAGGAAATATCTTGAAATAAATATTATCAAATCTTTAGGTGTTTAGATGGAGATTTGTATGAGGAAGGTATATTCAAAAAGAAAGCTGCCTTCACTTAATTTATTGCCTATTTGCTAAAGGTATTTACTCAGTAGATCAGGAGTAAAACTTTAAACTCAAATGTCTGGAGGAATTTAAATATATGTGAATGTGTATGTTTAAATTGAAGAAGAATGTTGACAGAAATAAATCACTTTTAGAGAGAATTCCCAGGACCTGGTCCCTTTTAAGAAAGCTCTCCTGGTCCTTGTGCAAATACATAGTTCTTTAAAGTACCAGCCCACATACTTTATGGGTTTATGTCAGTATGCCTCTGTTTATTTTTGGAATAAAAATCCTTGCTTATAAAAAAGGTAGTTAAGTATGGTACAACATAGCTGTGATCCCTTTGGCCTGACTTAAGAGTTTGTACTTAAGGAACATAAACTAAAGTCAGAGATAATTCAATTAGCATTTTGAACACACAAAGGCATGCTTGCTTCCTAGCTTTCAAGGCACAAAGCAGCCCCATTAAATTATAACAGTAATTACACCACTTGCACACATTCTTCAAAATTTCATGAAGTGCAATGCTGAGCTCTACTTTGAGATGTTTGTCTGTCTCTGGAGAATCAACTGAAATAGGAATATACAAGTCAAATAGCTTAACTCCTTGTCCAACTTCACACAACAAAAATTGCCACTTTCCCTTCTAGGACACATATCCAGTACTCCCTGTTTTCTTCCCACTCCTACTAATCCGTCACTAAACTTCGTGGATGTTAACTCTGAAATGGCTCTCGAATCTGTCCACTTCTTCCCATTTTCCTTGCCACTGCCCTGGTGTGGGGTGCCACCTTCCCTTGCCCATACTCATGGCAGTAGTCTTATACCTGTTCTTCCTGCCCTGACATTGTCTCCTCTCATCTCTCCTCCCCTCTGCACAGAGCTATCCTTTCACTAAAATGAAATCTCAACAATAATACCCTGAGTCTCAGCTTCATCACCTTAATCACTTCCCAGGTCACCCCTGATTCATCTCCTTTACTCTGCACTACCAAAGCCCCTGTAATCACTCTGCTGTAGTAACTGCCACATTTTATTGTGCTTCCTCGCATGGTGGTCTGTTTCAGTAGATCATAAGTTCTGAGAAGGTAGGAACCATGCTTGTCTTGTTTACCCCAGAATTCTTGGATTCAAGCCTAGGGTATACTCTGAAATTGCGAAGGAATTTATCACAACTCTTCAATATCAGAGCAATTCCTGAGCCAAGGCACATACCAATGCTCTCTAACATATTAAAATACTATTTTTTTTTTCGCATGTTGGAGCCTTTATGGTTCTAAAGGAAAATTCCCTAAGGCAGTGTGTCCCAACGGACTTTATTTTACTAGTGAGAATAGTGAAATCATATAAATTTCTCCTTGAACTAAAGGTACCAACTTAAATTCCTTCTCTCAACTTTGACTAAAATGCTAGTAATTAGATTTTAAAATATTTTTATTTTATGTATCCTTTATGATGTATGAAAATGGCATGACATGTAATGATGGTGATATAATAACAAACAAACTGTGATATAAAAATCTGCACGTGTGGGGTGGGATGTGGCCTAAGTTCCTTTAACTATTAATAGGTTAGATGACTTTTTTGTATTTTTCTTATTTCTTTCTCTAATGCCTTTTTTACAGACTTTTACCCATAATTGAAGACTCTAGTTCAGTTTAGGCTAGAGAAGTGAGATACAGGAAGAAAAATTACATGTGTCTTTCTGTGTGATTTGTATGTATATATGTGTGATGATTGATTAACGACTATTATTAGCCATAAAAATAAAACACATGGGGGTTCATGGAACAGAAGTTTATTCACAGCTTATTGTGAAAAAAAAGGTCATTGTCAGTTCAAATGAAATCTCATCTTTATTGTATATGTGCTGTCAAAGTGAGCACTCATCTTTATTGTAAATGTTAAAAGTGAGTAGTGTTGAATAGATTTGGTTCCTGTTATGAAAATAGTAGAAATAAATATAATTCTTGTAAAAGTCAAAACATTCATTTTAATTATGGCCACTGATAGATTTGGCATAAAACCCCATATAAGAAATATAAACCTAAACATGTATGTACAGAAATAATTGTAGGTGAAATGTAAGTGTAGGGTTTGTTTCAAAATAATTGTGGTGTGGGGAGGGAAGAGAAGAGTGGACAGGGTCATGGAGGAAATAGGAAGGGCCCTGAGATGATAGTTGTTGAAACTGAGTAATAAGTATATGGTGAGTAATTATATATCATCATGACTTCTGTATATGTTTGAAAATTTCCATAATACAAAGTTTTTATAAGGAAATAAAGAAAACCCATATGTAGAAGTAGGAACACCCTGAAGCTGATGAAGCTTAAGCCTGAGGACCCACTACTGGATGAGTTCCTTCCAGAATGCTGAGAGGAGCCCTGGGGATGTCTTCATATTTTTTTCTGTAAAACTTGAAAAAGTGAGATAATTTAACCACAGTTGACTAAGACTGTTGTCCCTTCCCGTTTCAAAAGCCCCTCCATCACACTTCCCTTCAAAATGAGAGATGTTTGAGCAGCTGTGGGCTTTTGGGGGATCTAACTAAGGGAAAGTTAAGTTGGGGATATAAAATAACTTTCAATTATCTTTACTCATAGATGAAAGATACAGATTTAAAATTCCCAGCAGGAACATGCACTTTGACACCCGCACAGTTCATTGGTGGAATATACTTATTGATTACCAGTCACTTCTGTGTATGTTATGACTAGTTGCTCTGGTGTAGGAAAGGCTTCCAGGAATACTGTCCACGGTGCTGAGCCACCCTGTGTTGTGACCCAATGCACGAGACCAGAGATTGTATTGTGACCTGAGTGTGCCCCATGTTACTTGTCACCAAAGTATGCAAGTAGTGGGGGAAAAGCAAGATTTGAAATGTATGTAGCCAGAAGCCTGTCTGTGGACAATCTTTCTAATCGTTAGATGTGTAAAATTGTATGCATTGGATTTGGTTCTCATTGATACCTACTTAGAGTCATCTTCAGTCAGAAATATACTTGACGATGCTGCAGTTATAAATGCATCATATTTTTTGCATTTTTATATAAATCAAGAGAAATAGAATTTATCAACACGTTTTATTTACAGGGCATAAATATATACTACCAGAAATATAAACTTAAGTTTATATGTATAGCTGCTTGAATATCCATTCATTGTGTCTTAGCCTATCTAGTGCATTTTTTGCCCTGAGGCAGTGTAGGATTCCAAATAAAAAGACACATAAAAGAGGAAACAGAGCAAGATGGCTGAATAGAAGCCTCCACTGATTGTCCTTCCTGTAGGAACACAAAATTGGACAACTATCCACACAAAAAATGCACCTTCATAAGAACCAAAAATCAAGTGAGTGATCACAGTACCTAGTTTTAACTTCAAATCACTGAAAGAGGCACAGAAGAGGGTAGGAGAGACAGTCTTGAATTGCTAACACCACTCCTCCCGCATCCCTCAGCAGCAACTGCGTGGCATGGAAAGAGAATCTGTGCACTTGGGGGAAGGAGAACATAGTGATCATGGGACTTTGCATTGGAATTCTGTGCTGCCCTACCACAGTGGCTCATAGATTGAGCATTTAGACCAGCCCTAGCCAGAGGGGAACTACCCATCCCAGCAACTGGGACCTTAGTTGTGGCAAGCCTCACCACTGCAGGCTAAAGTGCTCTGGGGTTTTAAATAAACTTGAAAGGCAATCTAGGCCACAGGAAGTCAATTCCTGGGCAAGTCCTGGTGGTGTGCTGGGCTCAGAGCCAGTGGCCTTGGAGGGGGACACATGGCTTAGTGAGACACCAGCTGGGGTGGCCAAGGGAGTGCTTGTACCACCTCATCCCCAAACCCAGGCAGTGCAGCTTGCAAATCTGGAAGGCATTCCTTCCTTCTACTTGAAGAGAGGAGAGGGAAGAGTAAAGATGACTTTATCTTGCAACTTGGATACCAGCACAGCCACAGTAGGATAGAGCACCAGGCAGAGTCATGAAGCCCTCATTCCAGGACCTACCTCCAAGACAACACTTCTAGATACACCCTGGGCCTTGAAGAGAAGGACCCAGTCCAGGCAGGATTAATCACCTGCTGACTAAAGAGCCATTGGGCCTCAAATAATCAGCAGCAGTACCCAGGTAGTATTTGCTGTCGGCTTTGGGAGGGACTCAGAGAAGTACTGGCTTTAGATGTAACCAGGCACATTACCAGCTGAATTGACTGTGTAGAGGGACTCCTTCTTTTTGAGAAAAGGAGAGGGAATAGTAAAGGAGACTTTGTTTTGCAGCCTAGGTACAAGCTTGGACACAGTGGGAGCTCGTGGAGTCACCAGTTCCAGGCCTTGGCTTTTGGATGGCATTTCTAGATCTGTCCTGGGCCAGAGGTGAGCCCACTGCCTTGAAGGGAGAGTCCCAGGCCAGCAGCATTCACCACAAGCTGACTGAAGGGCCCTTGGACCTTGAATGAACATTGGCAGTAGTCAGGCAGTATTTGTCACAGGCCTGGGGCAGTGACAGCCACAGGGAGAGATTGGGAAGAGTGGGAAAAGCAGTGCAAACAAAACCCACAATTAGTAGAAGAAAAGGAAATAATAAAGAGCAGAGCAGAGATAAGTGAAATTGAAATGAAGTAACAATGCAAAAGATCAAAGGAATAAAAAGTTGGTTTTTTGTAAAGATAAACAAAATTGACAAACCTTTAGCCAGACTAAGAAAAAAATGGATAATACCAAAAGAAATAAAATCAGAGATGAAAAAGGAGACATTACAACTTATCCCACAGAAATTTAAGGTTAAATTTCTCATAGAGGTTGCTATAAGCAAGTATATGTCGATAAATTGGATAACCTAGGAGAACTGCATAAATTCCTAGACACATAGAACCTAGCAACATTGAACCATGAAAAAATCTAAAACCTGAAAGGCCAATAATGAGTAATGAGAACTCAGAGGGGGTGGAGCAAGATGGCAGAATCGTAGTCTACATGGTTTGTACCCCACCAGAAACATCAAATTTTAACAACTATCTGCACACAGAAAAGAACCATTGCAAGAACCAAAAAATCAAGTGGGCAATCACAGTACCTGGTTTTGACTTCATATCATTGAAAGAGGCATTGAAGAGGGTCAGAGAGACAGTCTTGGATCACCAACACCACCACTCTCCCATCTTCTGCCAGTGGCTGTGCAGTGCAGAGAGTCTGTGATCTTCGGGGAGGGAGAGCACAGTGTCTGGGGGACTTTGCATTGAACTCAGTGCTGCCTTGTCATAGCAGAGAGCAAAGCCATGTTGGGCTCAGCCATTGCCTGTGCATGGAGGGAGCATTTGGACTAGACCTAGCCAGAGGGGAATTTCCCATTCTATTGGTCTGAACTCAAGTTTCTCGGCAAGTCTTGCCACATCAGGCCAAAGTGCTCTGGGGTCCTAGGTAAACTTGATAGCAGTCTAGGGCAAAAGGCCTGCAATTCCTAGGCAACTCTTAGCCCTGGGCTGGACTCAGAGCTGGAGGACTAGGGTGGCACATGACCTAGGGAGATACCAGCTGGGATAGCTAAAGGATTGCTTATACCACTTTTCCTCAAACCCCAGGCAGTGAAACTTGCAGCAATGAAAGTGTCCCCTTCCTTTTGCTTAAGGGGAGGAGAGTGAAGAGTAAAGAGAACTTTGTCTTACATCTTAGATACCGGTTCAGCCACAGTAGGATAGGGCACTGGGCAGAGTCATGAGGACCCCATTCCAGGCCCTGGTACACAGACAACATTTCTAGACACACTTGGGGCCAAAAGTGAACCAGCTGCCTTGAAGGGAAGGACAAAGTGCTGGCAGGATTTATTACCTGCTGACTAAAGAGACTTGGGCCATGAATAACCCAAAGCAACCATCAGGTAGTACACTGTGGGCCTTGGGCACTGCAATGTGCTGACTGTAGGTGTGACCTAGCATGTTCCCAGCTGTGGTGGCTACAAGGAAAGACTCCAAGTAAAGGGGACTTTGTTTTGCACCTTAGGTACCAGCTTGGTCACCTTGCAGTAGAGCAACAAGCAGGCTCTTGGAGTCCCTGAGTCCAGGCCTTAGCTCTTGGACAGCATTACTGGAACTGCCCTGGGCAGGATGAAGAAACAAGATCCCATTATCTGTTGCCTATAAGAAACATACTTCACCTGTAAAGATACACATAGACTGAAAATAAAGGGATGGAAAAAGATATTCCATGTCAGTGAAAACCAAAAAAGAGCAGGAGGAGCTATACTTATATTGGACAATACAGATTTCAAGAAAAAACTATAAAAAGAGACAAAGAAGGTCCTCATATAATGATAAAGGGGTCAATCTAGCAACAAGATATAAAGATTATAAATATATGTGCACCCAACTCTGGAGCATCCAGATATATAAAGCAAATATTATTAGAACTAAAGACAGAGGTAGAACCCAATAAAAGATCCAGAAACATCAACACCCCATTTTCAGCATTGGACTTATCATCCAGACAGAAACTAAACAAAGAAATACCAGACTTAATCTGCACTATAGCCCAAATGGACCTAACAGATATTTACAGAACTTTTCATCCAAAGGCTGCAGAATAAACATTCTTTTCCTTGGCACATGGATCATTCTCAAGGATAAACCATATGTTAGGTCACAAAACAAGTCTTAAAACATTCAACAGAACTGAAGTAATATCAAGCATCTTCTCTGACCTCAGTGGAATAAAACTAGAAATCAACAAAAAGAGGAATTTTGGAAACTATACAAACACATGGGAATTAAACAATATGCTCCTGAATGACTAGTGGGTCAATGAAGCAATTAAGAAGAAAATTGAAAAGATTTTTGAAACAAGTGATAATGGAAAGACAACATGGCAAAACCTATAGTATAGAGCAAAACCAGTAGTAAGAGGGAAATTTATAGCTATAAATGCCTACATCAAAAAAGAAGAAAAACTTCAAATAAATAACCTAGCAAGGCATTTTAAAGAACTAAAAAAGCAAAAACAAACCAGACCCCAAATTAGTACAAGAAAAGGAATAATAAAAATCAGAACAGAAATAAATGAATTCAAAATGAAGAAAACAATATAAAATAACGACAAACTACAAAGTTGATTTTTTGAAAGGATAAACAAAATTGACAGACTTTTAGCCAGACTAGTGAACAAAAAAAGGGAGAAAATAAAATCAGAGATGAAAAAAGAGATATTACAACTGATACCACAGAAATTCAAAGGATCATCAGTGGCTACTGTGAGCAACTATATGCCAATAAATTGGAAAATCTAGAGGAAATGGGTAAGTTCGTAGACACATACAAACTACCAAAGTGGAACCATGATGAAATAAAACACCTGAACAGACCAATAACAAGTAACTACATTGAAGCCATAACAAAATGTCTCCCAGTAAAGGAAAGTCCAAGACTCAATAGCTTCACTGCCAAATTCCACAAAACATTTAAAGAAGAACTATTACCAACCCTACACAAACTATTTCAAAAAATAGAGGAGGAATATGTCCAAACTCATTATATCAGACCAATATTACTCTGATACTAAAGTCAGACAAGGACCCATCAAAAAGAGAAAACTACAGGCCAGTATCTCTGATGAATATTGATGCAAAAATCCTCAACAAAATACTAGCAAATCAAATTCAACCATACCTTAAAAAGATCATTCATCATGACCAGGTGGTATTTACCCCAGGGATGCAAGGATGGCTCAACATATTCAAATCAATCAATGTGATACATTGTATCAACAGAATGAAGGACAAAAACCGTATGACTGTTTCAATTGATGCTGAAAAAATTTGATAAAATTCAGTATCCCTTCATGACTCTCAAAAAACTAAGTATAGAATGAACATACCTCAATATAATAAAAGCCCATAGCTAGTATCATACTTAATGGAGAAAAACTAAAAGTCTTTCATCTAAGATCTGGAACATGACAAGGATACCCAGTTCACTGCTGTTATTCAACATAGTACTGGAAGTTCTCGCTGGGGCAATTAGAGAAGTGAAAGAAATAAAGGGCATCAAAACTGGAAAGGAAAAAGTCAAATTATCATTGTTTGCTGATAATATGACCTTATATTTGGAAAAACCTAAAGACTTGACCAAAAATTATTAGAACTGATAAATTCAGTAAAGCTACAGAATACAAGATCAACATACAAAAATCAATAGCATTTCTAAATGCCAACAGTGAACAATCTGAAAAAGAAATTGAAAAGTAATCCCATTTACAATAGTCACTAATAACGTAAAATACTTAGGAATTAACTTAACCAAAGAAGTGAAAGATATCTACAATGAAAACTATAAAATACTCATGAAAGAAATGGAAAAGGACACAAAAAAATTGAAAGATACTCCATGTTCATGGATTAGAAGAATCAATATTGTTAGAATGTCCATATTATCCAAAGCAATCTACAGATTCAATGCAATCTCTATCAAAATACCAATGACATTCTTCACAGAAATAGGAGAAACAATCCTAAAATTTATGTGGAACCACAAAAGACCCAGAATAGCCAAAGCTATCCTGAGCAAAAAGAACAAAACTGGAGGAATCACATTACCTGACTTCAAATTATACTACAGAGCTATAGTAACCAAAACAGTATGGTACTGGCATAAAAACAGACACATAGGCCAATTGAACAGATTAGAGAACACAGAACCAAATACATACACCTACAGTGCACTCATTTTTGAAAAAGGTGCTAAGAATATGCCTTGGAGAAAGGGCAGTCTCTTCAATAAATGGTGTTGGGAAAACTGGATATCCATATGCAAGAGAATGAAACTTGATTCCTATCTTTCATCATATACAAAAATCAAATCAAATTGGATTAAAGACTTAAATCTAAGATTTCAAACTATGAAACTACTACAAGAAAATGTTGGGGGCCATCCTGCATGTAGAATTCTTAAAAGAAAAAAGCAAATAAGAATAAAAAAGAAAACACTGGGGAAACTCTCCAGGACATTGGTCTGGCTAAAAATTTCTTGATTAATACACCACAAGCACAAGCAACCAAAGCAAAAATGGACAATGAGATCACATCAAGTCAAAAACCTTCTGCACAGCAAAGGAAACAACTGGTAAATTGGAGCGACAACCCACAGAATGGGAGAAAATATTTGCAAATGATCCATCTAACAAGGGATTAATAACCAGAATATATAAGGAGCTCACACAACTCTATATGGTCAAAATATTTAAAGAACCATTTCTCAAAATATGACACACAAATGGCAAACAGGTATATGAAAAGGTGCCCAACATCATTGATCATCACAGAAATGCAAATCAAAACTACAATGAGATATTCTCTCACCCCATGTAAAATGGTTTTTATCCAAAAGTAAGGTAGTAACAAATGCTGGTGAGAATGTGGAGAAAGGGGAACCCTCATACACTGTTGGTGAGAATGTAAATTAGTACAACCACTATGGAGAACAGTTTGTAGGTTCCTCAGAAAACTAAAAATAGAGCTACCATATGATCCAGCAATCCCACTACTGGGTATATACCCCCAAAGAAGGGAAATCAGTATATCAAAGAGATACCTATGCTCCCATGTTTATTGCAGCACTGTTTACAATAGCCAAGATTTGGAAGCAACCTAAGTGTCCATCAACAGTCGAGTAAATAAAGAAAATGTGGCACATATACACAATAGACTACTCTTCAGCTATGAAAATGAATGAGATCCTGTCATTTGCAACAATGTGGTTGGAATTGAAGGTCATTATGTTAAGTGAAATAAGCCAGGCACAGAAAGACAAACTCATGCTCTCAATTACTTATGAAAGCTGGAAATTAAAACCATTGAAGTCATGAAGATAGAGAGTAGAATGATGGTTACCAGAGGCTGGGAAGGGTAGTGGGTGGGTGGGTGGAGGGGCAAGTAGGGGAAGATTAATAGGTATAAAAGTATGGTTAGATAGAAGGAATAAGATCTAGTATTTGATAACACAACAGGGTGACTACAGTCAACAAGAATATATTATACATTTAAAAATAACTAAAATAGTATAATTGGACTGTTTGTAACACAAAGAAAGGATAAATGTTTGAGGTGATGCATACTCCATTTACCCAGATGTAATTATTATACGTTGTATGACTATATCAAAATGACTAATGTACCCCATAAATATATATACCTACTATGTATGCAAAAAAATTAAAAATTAAAAATTGGAGGCATAAAACTGCCTCCAATGCAGCAAAATGATGAGAAACACATACACACACACACACACACACACACACACACACACATGAACACACAGTGGATTGAATCACTAATGAGTGTAGGAGGTGCTCAGATATTAGTGAGTGGCTGAAAGTGTTGCTGTTTAGCAAATTCTCCTATGAACAGAAAGATTTTTTGGAAACCTCCTTCCAGAATGACTTAAAATATGCAATGTGCTCCTTGATAATAAAATTTAGAATAGAATAAAATTAGTTGCATTTATAGGTTTGAAACCAAAGTTTTCTACTACTTCAAATTTGAGCCCTTTGTGAAGATAGTTTCAAGTATAACAATATAAATTGTTTTTTTTTAAATAGAGTCCCTCCAGAGAATTGAAGCATAGCTAAATCCTTCCACAGAAAAGAATAATTGCTTAAAAGAGAAAAGCAAGTCATCCTGTTTTCACTTGGCTATTTTCTTTTCCAAGTATGGACTATAGACATCTAGAAAGCATGGTAATAGTGAGTTAATATATATCATGCTTTGTTTATTTTGACCTTTAAAATAACACACTTCTTAAATGTCTAGTTCGTGTAATTTCTATATTTATCCAACCAACCTTATATCTTTTCCTATTTTTCACTTTTCAGGGAAAATCTTGGTTCATTTTCCTCAAGTTTTCTCTTTTCAGGCATTGTTCATTAATTTTGCTAAGAATCTGTTTACTCAGAGCATCACAGTAGGATATTTTGTTTTTGAAACAAAATTTAAGCACATTAACACACAAGCAATGGTGTGTAATATGTATGGGTGAATATAATTACATGATCCATTTATATCTTCCATAGCTAAATATAGGATGCCAGTTGTTTGTTGGTTTGTAAGTGATTATGCCTTTGATTACATTATCTCCACTTGCTATACCTATAATGGCAAAGAAGTCTTTTCTTTTTCTTGAATTTTCTAGGATCCAGGTGACATGAAAATATCTCTGGCATAGCCCAAGCATGGTTGTTATGGTGTAGAGAAAGGCTCTATTGCATTCAGCCATTCAGGGGCTCAGGCTCCATTCATGTTATGGCTCCATGCCCTGAGACCTTAGGATTCAACTGGATTAACTACAAACAAATGGTAGAAAAAGTAAAAAGGAGCATGAAGAATTGTGTATGGGGGGTCGGGGGTGGGGACGCGGTAAGGGAACAGGCCTAGAAGTGGCAGGCATCACTTCTACCCACATTATGTGGGTCTCGGAATTCAGTCGTATGGCCTAGTTGCATCACAGAGAAGGCTGGGAAATCTATAACATTGAGGACATGTTTTGTTCTCCTAGGAGGACAAAAAAGAAAATGGGGTTTGGTGAGTTCATAGCATCGTCTCTGATACCATGTAGTTCACTGTGGTATGGCACCATAAAGGTCCCTCATGTTCCCCAAGTAGTCTCTAATGGCAAGCTGATTCTTTTATCCAGTTTGAATCAAGGTTGAATGACAACCTTAATTCCTGTTAGGTGAGAATAAAGTATCATGAGTCATTTAGCCCCCATGATGAAGGCTTTCAGAGAAGGTCTTGTTAAAGGGTGGGTGGGGAAAATTCCTAGGGATATGAGGGGTCAGTGGGGAGTGAAGTGAGATACTGTAGAGTAAGCGAAAAGGTTGACCAGTTACTCCTTACCTACTTACAATGGCCTGAACTGCTGAGTGTGCAAGAGGGACAGTTTTAAAAGCTGTCAGGCCACAAGCTTTCTAACTGCCATCAGCATAGGTTGTTTTTCCCATCCTGTGGCCTTTGGTTGGGTTCTCTAGGAAACAGACTCTAAAATGGAAATTTGCATGCAAGTAATTTATTGGAGAATGCTCAATGGATGGAAGGATGAGAAAGAGGGAGGAGTTAAAATGGTCATGGGTCAGGAAGCTTTAGCACTGGGATGGCTCTTCAAAGTTGTCCTGCCTTGAGGCAAGGGGGCCAGGCTTTTGGATCCCTCTCTATTTGACAGTCACTGGATTTGAGCTCCTTCCAGGGAGGGAGTGTGATCTAGGGTAATGGATGACATCTGGGCTTCTACCACTGCTTTTCTGTATGCTCCCCCTTCTTGGAATACTATGTGAGAAGTACAAAAGAGGACCCCATGAACATGCTTTTAGATGCCATGGTTCTATGTGGCAAAATTCTTCTACAAAGACAAGCTTTGCTTATGCTCTACTTTCCACCCTCATCTCACCAGGCTGGAATGGCCTCCCCACATTTCCTAGCTTATACAAAGCATCCTCATCCTTTCAAGTATATTTCAGTTTTCGATTCGATGAGGCACTCTCTGCTTCCCTGCATTCTAAGGGAACTCACACTCACCAGAAATCTTTTATAGTAATTATTGTCTGAATTATACATCTGTTACTCATTAAGCACTGTTTTACAGTGCTAGCTATCTTTTCTGGTGTGTACCTTCACCCAAAAATGTAAGTACTTGAAGGAAATGGTTATGTTTTATGTTATGTGAGTCATCATCAGTGTTTGGTACAATGCAAGTCTTATTTCATTAGTTTGACAAGTATTCATTGAGCACCTGTTATGTTTGAGGCACCATGATGGATGCTGGGGAGACTAAGGTAAGAGTTCTCACACTCAAGAAGATTATTCTTGTGTGAGAGAGGGACAGACAATTCTATGGCAAATAATCTGAATAGAGGTTTCAGATGATAAAGAAGGATCAAAACTGCCGGATGGACAGGGTTAGGTCAAGGATCGGGGTGAGGATATGGGTCAAGAGAGGTATCAAAAAGATCAGTCACCATTAATATGGTGATATGAAAAACTCTGAAGCTTCAGATGATTAGGGTAGAAAGTCAGGAAGCAGGAACTGACAGACCTAAAAATTTATGGAAATAGGCACTAATTTATGGAACTCTGAGTTCAGCCCAGGGTTTCTCAACCTTGGCACTATTGACATTTTGGACTTTAAATTTCTTTGTCGTGGGAGGCTGTCCTGTGCTTTGTAGGATGTTTAGCAGCATCCCTGGGCTCTACCCACTAGATGTCAGTAGCTTTCCCAAGATGTGACAATTAAACATAAACCTAGATACTACAAAATGTCACCTGGGGGCTCAAAACACCCCCAGTTGAGAACCACTGAGCTAGACACTTGTGCAAAAAGCAACACTGGCCATGATAGCAACTTCACTATGAGCAGGGGACATTCCTTTCATGAGGTGAAAAGTTAGGAGTGTGTTTAGTGCTAACGGAAGGAAGTCCAAATGCTGACACTCTTTCTTGGGAATAATACACTTGTGGTGGGTGTTTTTCTATCTACTCTTGATGGTCTGTCTACCTAACAAAATATCCCTGCAGTTGAGATCTGGTATATGGACCCTATTTTCCCTAAAGTTAATAGCTCCACTTTTTCAAGTGCTTCTTATAAAGTACATGATCATAGAATAAAAATATCAAGAGTTAATAATCATTTGTTTATTATTTTTTGGAAACTTTTAGCAGCAGGGAAGTATGCGGATTTCTAGAAATCACCAGGGTACAGTGAAAGTTGCCAATAAAAATGTAAAATAATACACATGTTGTTATGAAGCAGAAACATGTTGTGTTTCAAATAAATCAGTATCCTTAACAATTAGCAAGAGAACTTGAGTTTTGAAAAAAGAACAATAGTATCATAATTTTATTATCTTTTTCCTACATATCTGGAATTTTAAAAACTTTTTCAATTAAAAAAACATTAGATTATTTAGGTCACTCTTGAGTTTAACAGTAGTTTTGAAAATGTATGGAAAAGTTCTGCTTCAAATATCTTCTCCTTTTACAGAATCTTCTTAATTATTTAAAAGAACTTATCTGTGAGTTATTCTCTGATATATATAGTGAAAATCCAGAGAGAGACTAGAAACTTTAAAATTACTCATTATTTTTTCTGATATAACTATAAAGTTTGAAAACTAGAGACAAGTATAAAAAATGTAATTTATCATATTTTGATGTAATTGACCTTTTCTCTTGCTTATTTTTTAGTGGCGTTTAAGCTTTAATGTACATAAGAATCATAGGGATAACTTGTTTTAAAAGGATGTCCCAGGGCACTACAAAAGAAGAGTACAGGATGAAACCTGGGAAACAGCATTTTAACAGCTACCCCAGATGATTCTGATTCAGAAGGTCCATAAAAACCACCTGGAAAAATGGATTTATGTTCTTATGTTGCCATCATATCATTACCATCCATTGACTGATTAGGGGAGGGAAGAAACTTTTGCTCTGTCTGTTTTTAAAAGAGCCCTGTTATTTGTAAAGATCATTCTTTCTACAACAATTAGCTTCTATTTAAGACACAACATTCGTTTTAGTCTTTCAGTACACTTTTGGGTGACTTTCCTTGGATTGGTAATCATTCAGTGTTTTTTGCCTTTTATCATCTGGAACAGATACATGAATGGTCCATTTAAGAATTAATAATCTCCTCTGGACTCCCAGTACATTTGGCCTGTATTTCTCTTGGGATGTGTTAGCTCCAGGCATGATGTAATGTTAACACAGAGCGTCTATGGAAGGATCAGATGAATGGCACAGACCTAGATGATTTTGGCGGGCAGAATCTGTAGTAATTAGCACCTCTTAAGGTAAGAGGGTGAAAGACAAGGCAACGTCCCAGGTGATTCCAAGTTTGGGAACCTGGGCAACTTGAGTGAGAGGAGCTGTGTTGGGGAATTTGGGAGCATGGGTTAGAGAATATAAGAAGAGTGGCGGTGATATGGTTTGGATTTGTATTCTTGCTCAAATCTCATGTCGAATTGGAGGAGGGGCCTCGTGGGAGGTGATTGGATCATGAGGAAGTTTCCCCCCTTGCTATTCTTATGACAGTGACTGAGTTCTCACGAGATATGATGGTTTAAAAATGTGTGGCACTTCTCCCTTTGCTCTCTCTCCTGCCTCCATGTGAAGAAGGTGTTTGCTTCCCTTGTCTTCTCTTCTCAGGTAAGTTTCCTGAGGCCTTCCCAGAAGTAGAAGCCTGCACAGTCCACAGAACTGTGAGTCAATTAAACCTTTTTTCTTTATAAATTACCCAGTCTTAGGTAGTTCTTTATAACAGTATGAGAACCAACTAATACAGGCAGGATGCAAAGTTTCAGGAGCCAGTGGGACATCTGTTAGAGATGTGTATAAGGAGTTTAGAAATTTCAACCATGCTTCAGAGTTAACATTTGAAATAGAAAAGTAGCAGCCAAAGGTGTAAATGTACTAACTAAAAGCTAGTAAATATTAATAAAAGAGAGCCAAAAACTAAGCTGTGAGATGTGCCCTCATTTAGAAACCTGAAGAGGTGAAAAGAAGGGAATAAAACAAGTAAGAAAGGGACAAAAAAGGAAGTGGGAACTTACAGTAAAAACTTGTCGTAGAATCAAGGGAATGCTTCTGAAGGAAGACGTGTCTAGCAGAGGCAAGCCCCGCTGAATTGAGAGAGGAAAAGTATTGAAACGAAGCTTTTGAGTTTGGTGACCAAGGTTTCACTGGTGACCTTTGACAAAACCTCAGTTACTTGAGTAGACTTAAATGAAGTGAAAAGTCATGAGCTTGAGGGAGAACTTAAAACTCAAAATTACTGTAAGAACTTGAGTCTTCCAGGTCGACTTGTCATCAGGTTCCTTGTTTTTGTTGTGGATTTCCGCTTGCAGGATAAATTTTCCCCTGCAGTCTTCCCTTGGTGACCTCTTCAATGTAATCAGTTCAGTATTTCTGCTATACCTCCATTACCCACATCTGAGGCTCTGAATTAGGTGGAGTTAATTGGTTCAATTGGAGATTCACACCCATGGCAACTTGTCATCTCCTAACCTCTTGATGGAGTATACCAGCAAATGAGAGATGACTTGAACTAATCTGACCCTTTCATTTCACATCCACAGCACAATTACTCTCCCTTTTGCTCGCCTAACACGATCTCAAATACTAAAATGACCCAATCCAGCTTATTAGATCCCCAAATAACTTAATATAATAACATAATACAAAATTTAGACATTTGGAAAAGGCACACGGTAGGGTCCGTATGTACCTGCTCCCATTTTTTTCTATGGTTCAAAGCACAGTTTTAAGAAACCAGTTAACTTTCTTCAGTGAGGCCTATTTGCCAGCTTCTCTACTGGGAATTATTTATAGTATGGCAATAAGGTCATTAACTTGTACTTGGTTCTGAAAAGCTAAAAACTTTCGAAGTTGCAAACTTGAATTTTTGCCCTGATCTCTCTGACTCCATTGACAATAATATTTTCCACCATGCCATGGTACCTTGACAGATCATCTTTCTCTTCAAATTTTTTTTGTGAGAATGGCTAATTGACATGTTTTCTTTCTGCTGCCTTCCATGATATATAAATACAATTAAGCAATAAAACCAAGGAAACACAATATCAAATTGATTATATATGACCCACATGTTGAGGAATAAAACATTTAGCCTTATACCTTTTCATACTCCATGTGCAGCTAAGAACAAGTCCTAGTTTTCTAAAGCACCTCTTGATGAGCTAAAAAAAAAAAGGACCTTAATGAGTCTATCTTCTATACCACATCTCTGATGTTTATAAATATTTCATATAAAGTCAATTCATGAAGTTAAACTTCTGAAACAAAATTATGGGATCCGACAGACCCCATCTGTTTAAGGCAAAAGTTGAAAATGTCTAATTCAAAGGCATCATAAATTATTTATATGTAAATTTAAAAATTTAAAGTTTCATTTTGGCTTTTTTTATTTTCAGAGAAGGAAAGGGTCATGTTAGATCTGATAACAAGTAAGTATAGTTATATATCAACATATTCCAGATATTCGGGTGTGAAATACCCCCATAAAGCATCCTTGTGGAGCAGCGTAACTTATTTCTGAATTTGAGTGCTCTGAGGCATTGGGCTAGTGTGAGGTTGAGGATGTCAAGTCTAAAAAAGATGTGGGTTTGGTTCTGGACCATGGTTGTGGCCAGAGGAATGTAGTCTGGCTGCAGGGTCAGAGTGTTAGACACTAGAAGGACAGACTTTGTGGTGGTAGATGATGAGTCCCTTAGAGAAGGACCCCAGGCAGTAGTTATGGGATTATGGGAAATGACACCCACCACTCAGGGACAAAGTTGGCAAGAGGTGTCAATGGCTAGGACAATGCCAGCCAAGTGTGGATCACAGAAGAGCTCCAGGCAGTCCCAGTGGAGAATTCAAAGGATAAGGATGATTGCCACAATGGTAATTATGGGAATTGTAATGGCCAACAATTGAGTAGCACTTTTGGTAAGACTTGGTGGTACCACTTGATACTGTATGGCCACTTTGTCTCAGAAATTTGGTAGCATTGTGTCTATAGTAACTCCAGCTACAAAGGTCTGAGAAAGAGGGAAGCTGACAACCTCTAGACTTTTGGTCATTGATCCTACAGTTCAATGATTTTATATATTTTATTTTTGTTCTTCTCGACATGCTGATTTAATTTTATATAGTTTATTTTTATGTATGTGTGATTAAGTCTCTTAAAAGTCAACCAAATACAGACTCTGGAGCCACATTGCCTGGGTTCAGCTGCGGGCCCTTGGACAAGTTACTTGACCTCTCTGTGGTTTAGCTTTGTCATCTGTAGACTGGGAACAATATCCCTACATTATTAGTTAGTTATGAGGATTTAATGAGTTAATACTTGCTTTACATAGAGTAAGAGTTTTCTATTAAATTGCTAAAAACTAAAAATAAAATTTTATGTAGGTTAGTAGGTCCAGTTGTATCCGTTTCACATGGGGGCATTGTTTAAAATGCAGATTCTGGAGTGTCACCCCAGACTTACTCAAATTCTTAAAGGTAGCCCTGGGAATCTATATTTCTAACAAGTCTCTCAGGAAATTCCATTTTTCAAAGTAAGATCTGGGAATTAATTGAGCCATGCTTCTTGTTCACAATATATTTAAAGTTATTAGCAAATTATTTTCTGACTCATTTCTTAAGAAAAATCCTTAGTAGATTGTACAAAGCTTGCTTACTTAGTTTAAATGTTATTTGGAACAAGAAAGGATATAACTAAATCAAGCTTTCTCTAAACTATTCTTCATGCAAGATTTGCTCTTACATCTTCCTCTACCAACTCCAGATGCAAATATATCACCTATGAATTTTAGAAACTAGCCATTTGTTGGGCATGTCTTTTACTAAGACTAACCTGGAATTTGGTTTGAATTATCAAGTATTTGTAACACAATATAAAGGAAATGCAGTTCTGTGTGTCAGAAATCCCCAGTTCCCAAAGGAAAAGTTCACTGTGATAGGCAATTGCTAACCGTTCACGAGCACATTTTTAAAAAGTATAGCAATGATAGAAAACCAAACAATAGAGCCTCCATAAAGATTTATCCAAATGTAGTTGCCAAGACAAATAATGTTGCATTTTAACAGTAACATGGTTTGTTCCTCATTAAACAAAAACAAAACAAAACAAAACAAAAACGCGATCTTGTTTTCTATAAATGAGTTCAATAGAGTGGTAATGTGCAAATGATTTATTTGAAAAGAAAAAAGAAAATAATTTCCTTCTCCTATCACTGTAAATGTTTATGGGCTGCCCATTTTTAGGCACAGAAGATGTCTCTTTAGTAGATCATTTGCCAGTAGTAAAGGATTTACACCGAGACATTCTATTTGGCGGGGTGTGAGGGATGTCTGGTTGTCCTTGTTCGCAGTATCATTTGTTTTCAAGGTGACTGACTCGATGTAGGGACCTAATCCATGACCTTGAAGCAAAGCAGAGTTAATTGATGTACCAAAGGATTCATTAGCATTTGTCTCTCAACCATGAAACCAGATGGGCAGGGTAGCCTAATTGAGAAATTAACTGTATATTTTCTTGCCTATGGGCTTTTAATGCACAAAAACAAAGGAAACATTTTTTCTTCCTCTTCTGTTTTTCCAGCTTTTATTTTAGTTTCATGGGGTACATGTACAGTTTTGTTACCTGGGTATACTGCATAATGCTGAGGGTTGGAGTACAAATGATCCCGTCACCCAGGTAGTGAGCACAGTACCCAATAGTTAGTTTTTCAACCCTTGATCCCTCCCTTCCTCCCCACCTAGTAGTCCCCAGTTTCTATTGTTACCATCTTTATGTTCATGAGTACCCAATGTTTAGCTCCCACTGATAAGTGAGAACATGCAGTATATGGTTTTCTGTTCCTGCATTAATTCGCTTAAGATAATGGCCTCAGCTTCATCCACGTTGCTGCAAAGGAGATAATTTTGTTCTTTTTATGGCTGTATAGTATTCTGTGACATATATGTGTTGGGGAACCAGCCCCACACCACCCAGGGGGTACCCCGAGTCCTGCGGAGACAAAGGAGTTAGAAAGAGACAGAATAAGCGTTTAAAAGGCAGGTCCAGGGGACCGGACCCTCGGAGGCTTGCTCATGGCCCAGAGCTCTCGGGCTCCGCCCAATTTATTGGTTTACAAGCTCTTTGTTCTTAGGGCAGATGGGAGGGGGAGGAAGGGATGAGGAAAAGGATTAATCAGTGAAGGAGAACTCGTGAGTCATTCAATAAGATGTATAGCAGTGGCGGTTTCTTTGAATTTCCTTGAGCAAAGGCGTGTGTCTAAACTACTTAAGATCTTTAACTTATGGGGACTGAAATGGGTGGGAGCGGGTTTCAGGAGGAGCCAAGATGTTTGATTGTACTCCACTGCTTCAAGGGAGTGTTATCTCCCCGAGCAACCTGTGGAATGCCACTGAGCGGTTATGCTCTTGGGGCATAAAGACATGAAGGCAGTAAGGAGACTTTTCTCCTCAGAGGCCACCCATGGCTTCCCATGGGTGTCTCACACAGGAGAGACCAACTCAACTGGCACCCCAGAAACTCTTTCCCACAATATGTACCACATTCTCTTTATCCAGTCCACCATTAATGGACACCTAGATTGATTCCATATCTTTGATGTTGTGAATAGTACTGTGATAAACATGCGAGTGCAAGTGTCTTTTTGGTAGAACAATTTGTCTTCTTTTGGATATATGTCCAATAATGGGATTCCTGGGTTGAAAGGCAGTTCTGTCATAAGTTATTTGAGAAATCTCCAAACTGCTTTCCACAGTGGCTGAACTAACTTACATTCCCATCAACAGTCTATAAGTGTTCCCTTTTCTCTGCAGCCTTGCCAGCATTGGTTGTTTTTTTGACTTTTTAGTAATAGCCATTGTGACTTGTGTGAGATGGTATCTCATTGTGGTTTTGACTTGCATTTCTCTAATGATCAGTGATATGCAGCCTTTCTTTATATGTATGTTGGCAGCTGGTATGTCTTATAAGTGTTTGTTCATGTGTTGCACCCATTTTTGATGGGTTATTTGTTTTTTGCATGTTCAATTGCTTAAGTTCCTTATAGATTCTGGATATTAGACTTTTGTCAGATGCATACTTTGCAAATATTTTCTCCCATTCTGTAGGTTGTCTGTTTACTCTGTTGGTAGTTTATCTTCATGTGCTGAAGCTCTTTAGTTTAATTAGGTCCCACTTGTCAATTCTTGTTTTTGTTGTAATTGTTTTTGAGGACCTAGTCATAAATTCTTTCCCAACGCCCATGTCCAGAATGGTGTTTCCTAGGTTTTCTTCTAGGATTCTTATAGTTTGAGGTCTTATATTTAAATCTTTAACCCGTCTTGAGTTAGTTTTTGTATATAGTGAAAAGTACAGATCCAGTTTCATTCATCTGCACGTGGCTAGCCAGCTATCCCAGCACTATTTATTAAGTAGGGAGTCCTTTTCCCATTCCTTATTTTTCTTGACTTTGTCAAAGATTGGATGGCTCTAGGTGTGTTATAACTGGATTCACTATTCTGTTCCATTGGTCTGTGTCCATTTTTGTAGAGTACTATGCTGTTTGGGTTACTGTAGCCTTATAGTACAGTTTGAAGTCGCGTAATCTGATGCTGGTCATTTTGCTTAGGATTGCTTTGGCTGTTCAGGCTTTTTGTGGTTCCATATGAATTTTAGAATAGTTTTTTTCTAGTTCTGTGAAAAATGACATTGCTAGCTTCATAGGAATAGTGTTGAATCTACAGTATGCTTTGGGCAGTATGGCCATTTAAGTGATATTGATTCTTCCAATCCATGAGTGTGAAATGTTTTTCCATTTGTTTCTGTCATCTGTGATTTCTTTTAGCAGTGTTTTGTAGTTCTCCTTGTAGAGATCTTTCACTTCCTTGGTTAGATGTATTCCTAGGTATTTTATTTTTGTGTGGCTATTGTAAGTAAGATTGCATTCTTGATCTGGCTTTTAGCTTGAACATTATTGGTATATAGAAATGTTACTGATTTTTGTACATTAATTTTATATCTTGAAGCTTTACTGAAGTTGTTTATCAGTTCCAGGAGCCTTTTGACAGAGTCATTCGAGTTTTCTAGGTATCGAATCATATCATCTGTGAAGAGAGATAGCTTGCTTCTTTTCCTGTTTAGATGCCTTTTATTTCTTTCTCTTGCCTAATTGCTCTGCATAGCATTTTCAGTATTATGTTGAATAGATGTGGTGGGAATGGGCATTCTCATCTTGCTCCAGTTCTCAAGGGGAATATTTCCATTTCTGCCCATTCAGTATGATGTTAGCTGTGCACTTGTCATAGATAGCTCTTATTATTTTGAGTTATGTTGCTTCTATGCCTAGTTTCTTGAAGATTTTTATCATGAAGGTGTGTTGGATTTTATAAAAAGCTTTTACCACATTTATTGAGATGATCATATGGGTTTTGTTTTTAAATCTGTTATGTGGTGACTCACATTTGTTAATTTGCATATGTTGAACCAACCTTGCATCCCAGGGATTTTGCCTACTTGATCATGGTGAATTAATTTTTTCATGCACTGTTGGATTCAGTTTGCTAGTATTTTGTTGAGGATTTTTGCACCTATGTTCATCAGGGATATTGGCCGTTTGTTTTCTTTTTTTGTTGTGTCCTTGCCAGGTTTCGGTATCAGTGTGATGCTGGCTTTGTAGAATGAGTTAGTGATCGGTAACTATTTTTGGAATAGTTTCAGTAGAATTAGTACCAGCTCTTCTTTGTACATCTGATAGAATTCAGCTTTGAATCCATCTGGTCTGGGGCTTTTTTTGGTTAATATGCTTTTTTATGATTGATTCAATTTTGGAACTTGATATAGATATATTTAGGGTTTCACTTTCTTCCTGATTCAAATTTGGGAGGTTGTGTTTTTCCAGGAATTTATCAGTTTCCTCTAGCTTTTCTAGTTTGTGTGCATAGAAGTCTTCATAATAGTCTCTGAGGATCTTTTGTATTTCTGTGGGGTCAGTTATAATGTTACCTTTGTCATTTCTGATGTGCTTATTTGGATTTTCTTTTCTTCTTTGTTAATCATCTAGCTAGTAGTCTATCAATCTTGTTTATCCTTTCAAAAAACAAACTTTTGGTTTCGTTGATTCTTTCTATAGATTTTTTTTCTCAATTTTGTTCAGTTTCTTCCTCTTCTTTTTAATATAGTGAGCCAGGTGTGGCAGATGATATTTTCTAAAAATGGCTGCAGCAATCTATCCAGTCCTACATGTTCCTCCAGAACCATGCCACCCTCCCATCAAGAGGTGGAATCTATTTGTTCTCCCTTGAACCTGAGTGGAACTTTGAGACTGGTCAACAAATAGATTAGAGTGGAAGTGATGCTGCATGACTTCCAAAGCTAGGTCCTATAAAGCAATATGGCTCTACCTGGCTCTCCCTCTTTGGCATGCTCACCCTTGAGACCCAGGCTCCATGCTATAAGTAAGCCTCAACTGCATGAGGAGACCATGTGTGCTCTGACTAACAGCACTAGCTGAGACCCCCAGCTGGCAACCAGCGTTAGCCACCAGAAATGTTAGTGAACTAGCCTCTAGATGATTTTATATCCTAGTCCTCGGCCTTTGAGCAGCCCCAAATTGCAAATTCTTGAGCAAAAAAAAAAAAATGTCATTGCTTAAGGTGGAAAGTTTGGGCGTGATTTGTTAATCAGGATGAGATAACTGTAACACCAGGGCTTCCTCTTCTGGAGGTGTGGATAGTTTTTTGCTTCAAGGACAGATATGAGGCCCTTGTTTCCAGACAGGGTGAATAATATCAAGGCTCAGAGGGTTCAAGCAGTGAGGTGGCAGTCTAGTCCACCAGGAATAGGATTTCTAATCCCAGTAGATAAGGGTAGGGAGTTGTGAGAGCAGTGGAAATGTTGCCCTGCTCTCAATCTGGCTTTGGGGAAGAGGCGGGACCTCTGATAAGGCTGGCAACCAAATACTAAGCTCAGTGAGCTTGGAAACTGCAGTTAAGGCTGTCATGATCTGCTGGGGGAGGAGGAGGTGTACATGCACATGTGTATATGCATGTACATGTGTGTGTAGTGGAGGGATTGAATCAGAAAAGCCAGCTGCCTTCAGGAGGACCACAAGAGCCAGAGCAAAGAAAAATGGCATAGTTACAACCACACACTGAAAGACACTCTTGGAGTTTTTGTCATCCCCTGGGACTCTTGTTAGACCCTAGGAAGGAGACCAGATCCCCAAACTTTGTTCTGATGTTATATGTATATATTGAAAAATTGTTAGTCATTTGTTCTAATATCATTTATCAGCTGATTAGTTACCTGGTTAATTCTTTTCTTACTAATTTGAAATATTGTGTGATCATATAAGAATGTCTTTGGTCTGCTGTGTTTTTGTTCCATTAATCTGTCTGTAATCACCAATATGATTCCATTTTAGTGACTATATATTTAAAATACATTTTGATATCTTGTAGGGGGAAATCCCATTATATATTCTCCCAGAAATTTCTTGGCTTTCTCACAAGTGTATTCCTTCAGGCAGGCTTTCAAATCATCTGGTGATGTTCCTTTCAAAAAACTCATTGGGGCTTTGGTGAGTATTGTCTTGCATATGAATAGTTAAAAATGGTAGATTGAACATACACTTAGCTCTTCTCCCTCCCAGAATCCCACTAAATGAGAATAAAGGAATGTTTACAGAAGATATAAATACATGAGAACAAAGTATGAGATAGGAGACATCAGTGACACGATTTTGGAAGTTGGTGGACAGATGGTAGGGGTTAAATGATTTAACAGACATGAGAAAGCTGAATCCTAATCTGGAAGTTGGAAAAGGGGAGAAATAACCTAATGTACATTGCAGACTCCTACAAAGAAGCAGGATTTGGCAGGTGGAATAATCAGTTGAAAGACTGTTTAAAAATTTAGTCCCTCATATCTCCAATCCAAATTTATACATCTGAACAAATATCCATCCCCCATTCTGGCAGGAGACTTGAAGTTTATTCTCTAAGGATGATAAACAGATGATCTTTGAATTAGGCAATACCAGGTACAACTAAAACAGAGATACCAAACAGAAAACATGGGGACTAAGATAAACCTTATGTATAGGACCTAAGATCTCTAGCCATCTTCCCTCATATAGCTCAGTAATGTTGGCAGCCAGATATATATGTTCTTCTTAAATTCTAGAAATTTTATATTGAAATCTTTTACTACTGATTTCCTTCTATTTTCTCTATCCTCTATTCATAGAATTTCAACTATTCTAAAACATTCTCCCCCTTCTATGGAGGGGGTCAAAGGCATCTTCTTTGAGAACCTATCTTCCAAGAGAAATAAGCACAAGACACTCAAATCAAAAGTTTTCCAAATATTATCCTAGAGAGAAGAGCACCATTGAGAAGCACTCCCCCTGCCATGAGCTCCCAGCCTTCTTTTTAGCGCCTGCCTCACTCTTAAATATGAGCAGACAGCCAAGGACTGCCAGACGTTTATGAAAAAAACCCCACCTCACTTTAAATGCCAATACAAATAGAAAGAAAAACTTAATAATAACTAGTATTAATATCCCTAGAGAATATGAATCAATGAAGAAGTAGATACTATAAAACAAATATCCAGTGAACATGAAACCTTAGAAATAGACAATATGATCGCATAAACTATTGGAAGATACCCTGGGCACAGTGGCCCACACCTGTAATCCCAGCACTTTGGGAGGCTGAGGCAGGTAGATCACTGAGGTCAGGAGTTCGAGACCAGCCTGGCCAACATGGTGAAATCCCATCTCTACTAAAAATATAAAAATTAGCTGGGCGTGTGGCAGGTGCCTGTAATCCCAACTACTTGGGAGGCGGAGGCACGATAGTCACTTTAACCCAGGAGGCAGAGGTCGCAGTGAGCCGAGATGGTGCCACTGCACTCCAGCCTGGACAACAGAGCAAGACTCCATCTCAAACAACATAAAAAATCAAAAAATATATATTGGAAGATAAAATCAAGAGAATCTCCCAGAAAGACTAGAAGAAAGAGAAGAAAATAGATAATATTTTTTAAAATAGAGACTTATCTAGAATGTTCTAGAATAATTGAAGTTCTGGCCGGGCACGGTGGCTCACGCCTGTAATCCCAGCACTTTGGGAGGCTGAGGCGGGTGGATCACGAGGTCAGGAGATGGAGACCATCCTGGCTAACATGGTGAAACCCCGTCTCTAACAAAAATACAAAAAAATTAGCCGGGCATGGTGGTGGGCACCTGTAGTCCCAGCTACTCAGGAGGCTGAGGCAGGAGAATGGCATGAACCCAGAAGGCAGAAGTTGCAATGAGCCACGATAGCGCCACTGCACTCCAGCCTGGGCGACACAGCGAGACTCCGTCAAAAAAAAAAGAATAATTGAAGTTCTATGAATAGAGGATAGTGAAAATAGATAAAAGGAAATCACTAATAAAATAATTCAAAATAAAATTTCCAGAATCTATGAGGAACATGAATGTCCTGATAGAAAGGGATGTCACTGAGCACCCAGAACAATGGATAAAGTAGACCAAATCCAAGGCACATTATCGAGGAATTTCACAAAGCTGGGGACAGATAATGGACAATATAAAGTCTCAGGGAGAAAAAAAAACAGGTTTCATACAAAGTATCAAGTATAAGAAGACATCAAACTTATCAATAACAATAGTGGAAGCTAGAAGGCAATGAAGCAACAACACACTAAAAATTCTGAGGAAAAATAACTTCAAGAACTCCATTTTCAGTGTCTAAAAAACAAAACTCATGTAGCCCCTTTTCAGGAAGCTGTTTGAAGATGTGCTTCTAGAAATTTATGGAATAAACCAAGAGAAAAAAAAAAGACACAAAGTCCAGGAAACAGAGAATTCAATTCAAGAGAAAGGCTGAGGGAATCTCTGTGATGATAATGAATGGAGAGTTCTGGGTGGCTTCCAGTTATTAGGTATAATGGTAAGCAGAATTCTACGATGACCCGCAAGATTTTCACCCCTTGATATATGTGCCCTGTAGAATCCCCTCACATGAGTGTGTGCAGGATCTGTGAATACGATGGGATATTACTCCTGTGATTATGTTATATGGTGAAAATGAAGAGGTTTTCAGATGTTATTAAAGTCCCTAATCAGTTGACTTTAAGCTAATCAATAGGGAGATTGTCCGGGATGAAGTCTTACCTAACTAGATGAGCCTTTTAAAAATAGTCTAGAAATCATAGAGGGAAGGAGTCAAAGAGATTTGAAACATCAGAGATTCTCCCCTGCTCACCTTAAAGAAGCAGACAGCCATTTATGTGGCGAGGACCACATGTCAGGGAATGGTGGGTGGTCTATAGAAGCCAACGGCCTCAGTCCCATATCTACAAGGAACTGAATCCTGCCAAGAGTGACATGAGCTTGGAAGAGGATCCTGAGCCTCAGATGAGAATTCAGCCCTAACAAATACCTTGATTTCAATCCAGTGAGATCCCAAACAGGGAAATCAGCTATGCTGTGCCTGGACTCCTAACCCATGGAAAGTCTGAAATAATAAATGTGTGCTATTTTAACCCACCAAGTTTGTGGCAGTAAATAATTAATGCAGGTGTAGATGGCAAACAATCCAGACTGAAGCAGCTCAGACTCTGGAAGGATTTATCCAGAGATATAAAATTGTCCTAATGTCCTGAGAGATACATACAACTTGAGGATAATTGGGAAATGTATTAGTAGTAAGTACACACAAAGCTAAGCAATCAAACACCACATCATTGCTAACTTTAAGAAAAACAGAATGCTGCAAAAAAAAATAGTCATAGTATATAAGGCAACTTAGTTATAAATAGGATTTACAGAGTCAGTATGATGTAAAAACCAAATGATGGTCTAAGCAAAATCACATGATAAATACAGTGGGAGGATGAAGATGAGAAATATATGTAGGAGTACGAGTGGGGTGAGATTTTGCAAAAGCAAAATCTTCATCTTTCATACCAGGAGTGATAGACAATGACTAGAACAAAAAATTCAGAAATTGCAGTGTATGTCTATCATGGTGCCTCTGGGAAGGGAAACATTTGAGTGGATGAAGCAGGTAACTTTTGTTTTTTATTGAAACCTTGTGAAAGTACTTGACTCTTTAAAATATGTGAATGCATAACTTGGACAAAAATGAAAATAAATTTAAAGTAAAGAATTGAAAGTTCAGTAGATTAAAGACACATAATATTAGTTCTTGAGATGATGTTTTCATTTAATTGTATTTTCAAATACCTCCCACTTATTGGCTGTTTATAAGTGAACAAGATTATAAACTGTAAAATTCAATTCACTTATTCCATGTGTGAATAAATGCCACAAAAGAAAATAAGAATTTCCTTTTCCCAATCACAAACATTTCCCTTACAAAATCACCTTCAGGAAGTAACCTGACCAAATAAACGAGAGCTTCCATTTCTCAATTTTTAGCACATCATAGGGTGAAGGGATTATTTCTGTTTTCCCTTTTGTTCCTTAGAGTAACATTAAAATATTTGTAATATATTGACACCCCTGATGAAAGATCAAACATTTCAGTGTTTGTTTCTTCAACAATCAACTTCTCATTTGGAATAGCTGGAATCTAAATTCATTTTTCTCACACTTTTCACTCTCCAGATGCTGGAATTGCGCTAGATCATGAAGAAGATATGTTGTGGTTGTTTTCATATTTTCTATTGAGTGGTATTCACCAGCAATGTGACAGAATTCAGTGTACATCAGCAAGGTGTACCTTTTACCATTTCTCGCACTTACTATGTGAGTTCCTAAACCCTGTTAAGCAGCTATCTCCATTTCAGTAAAATGGATAGTAATAACATCTCCAATATGGGATTTTTGAGTAGCTTACATGAGATAAATAAGCAAAGGGCTTAGCACAATGTAAGAAGTCAATAAGCATTAGCTGCTGATATCATTGCTATTCAGGAAAAAGAACTGTGATTAATAATAAGCATTAATATTAATGTTTAATAAATTTAAGAATAAAATTCTAACTTTAACCAAGTAGAAGTTTTGTTGCTGGGCAAGATGGCTGAATAGGAACAGCTCCGGTCTGCAGCTCCCAGCGAGATCAACACAGAAGGCGGGTGATTTCTGCATTTCCCACAGAGGTACCCAGCTCATCTCATTGGGAATGGTTAGACAGTGGGTGCAGCCCATGGAAGGTGAGCAGAAGCAGAGTGGGGCATTGCCTCAGCTGGGAAGTGCAAGAGGTTGGGGAATTCCCTCCCCTAGCCAAGGGAAGCTGTGAGGGACTGTGCTGTGAGGGACTGTGCATTCCGGCCCAGATACTACACTTTTCCTACAATCTTTGCAACCCACAGACCAGGAGATTCCCTCAGGTGCCTATACCACCAGGGCCCTGGGTTTTAAGCACAAAACTGGGCAGCCATTTGGGCAGACACCAAGCTAGCTGCAAGAGTTATTTTTCATACCCCAGTGGCACCTGGAACGCCAGGGAGATAGAACCATTCACTCCCCTGGAAAGGGGGCTGAAGCCAGGGATCCAAGTGGTCTAGCTCAGTGGATCCCATTCTTATGGAGCCCACAGCAAGCTAAGATCCACTGGCTTGAAATTCTCACTGCCAGCACAGCAGTCTGAAGTTGACCTGGGACACTCAAACTTGGTGGGGGGAGGGGCGTCCACCATTACTGAGGCTTGAGTAGGCGGTTTTCCCCACACAGTGTAAACAAAGCCACCAGGAAGTTCAAATCGGGCAGACCCCACTGCAGATCAGCAAAGCCACTGTAGCCAGACTGCCTCTCTAGGCTCCTCCTCTCTGGTCAGGGCATCTCTGAAAAAAAGGCAGCAGCCCCAGTCAGGGGCTTATAGATAAAACTCTCATCTCCCTGGGACAGAGCACCTGGGGGAGGGGGCGGCTGTGGGTGCAGCTTCAGCAGACTTAAACGTTCCTGCCTGCCAGCTCTGAAGACAGCAGTGGATCTCCCAGCACAGCGCTCAAGCTCTGCTAAGAGACAGGCTGCCTCCTCAAGTGGGTGTCTGACCCCCTTGCCTCCTGACTGGGAGACATCTCCCAGCAGGGGTCAACCTCATAAAGGAGAGCTCCAGCTGGCATCTGGTGGGTGCCCTTCTGGGACGAAGCTTCCAGAGGAAGGAACAGACAGCAATCTTTGCTGTTCTGCAGCCTCTGCTGGTGATACCCAGGCAAACAGGGTGTGGAGTGGACCTCCAGCAAACTCCAGCAGACCTGCAGCAGAGGGGCCTGACTATTAGAAGGAAAACTAACAAACAGAAAGGAATAGCATCAACATCAACAAAAAGGATGTCCACACAGAAACCCCATCCGAAGGTCACCAACATCAAAGACCAAAGGTAGATAAATCCATGAAGATGAGGAAAAGCCAGCGCCAAAAGGCTGAAAATTCCAAAAACCAGAATGCCTCTTCTCCTCCAAAGGATCACAACTCCTCACCAGCAAGGGAACAAAACTGGATGGAGAATGAGTTTGATAAATTGACAGAAGTATGCTTCAGAAGGTGCATAATAACAAACTCCTCCCAGCTAAAGGAGCATGTTCTAACCCAATGCAAGGAAGCTAAGAACCTTGAGAAAAGGTTAGAGGAATTGCTAACTAGAGTAACCAGTTTAGAGAAGAACATAAATGACCTGATGGAGCTGAAAAACATAGCACGAGAACTTTGTGAAGCATACACAAATATCAATAGTCGAACCAATCAAGTGGAAGAAAGGATATCAGAGATTGAAGATCAACTTAATGAAATAAAGGATGAAGACAAGATTAAAAAGAATGAAAAGGAAAAACAAAGCCTCCAAGAAATATGGGACTATGTGAAAAGACCAAATCTACATCTGATTGGTGTACCTGAAATTGATGGGGAGAATGGAACCAAGTTGGGAAACACTCTTCAGGATATTCTCCAGGAGAACTTCCTCAACCTAGCAAGACAGGCCAACATTCAAATTCAGGAAATACAGAGAATACCACAAAGATACTCCTTGAGGAGAGCAACCCCAAGGTACATAATTGTCAGATTTGCCAAGGTTGAAATGAAGGAAAAAAATGTTAAGGGCAGCCAGAGAGAAAGGTCAGGTTACCCACAAAGGGAAGCCCATCAGACTAACAGTGGATCTCTTGGCATAAACCCTACAAGCCAGAAGAGAGTGGGGGCCAATATTCAACATTCTTAAAGAAAAGAATTTTCAACCCAGAATTTCATATCCAGCCAAACTAAGCTTCATAAGCAAAGGAGAAATAAAATCCTTTCCAGACAAGCAAATGCTGAGAGATTTTGTCACCACCAGGCCTGCCTTAGAAGAGTTCCTGAAGGAAGCACTAAATATAGAAAGGAAAAATCAGTACTAGCCACTGCAAAAACATACCAAATTGTAAAGACTGTTGACACTATGAAGAAACTGCATCAACTAATGGGCAAAATAACCAGCTAGCATCATAATGACAGGATCAAATTCACACATAAAAATATTAACCTTAAATGTAAATGGGCTAAATGCCCCAATTAAAAGACACAGACTGCAAATTGGGTAAAGAGTCAAGACCCATCAGTGTGCTGTATTCAGGAGACCCATCTCACATGCAGAGACATACATAGGCTCAAAATAAAGGAATGGAAATAAAGGCTCAAAATAAGGCAAATGGAAAGCCAAAAACAGCAGGGGTTGCAATCCTAGTCTCTGATAAAACAGTCTTTAAACCAACGAAGATCAAAAAAGTCAAAGAAAGGTGTTACATAATGGTAAAGGGATCAATGCAACAAGAAGAGCTAACTATCCTAAATATATATGCACCCAATGGAGGAGCACCCAGATTCATAAAGCAAGTCCTTAGAGACCTACAAAGAGACTTAGACTCCCACACTGTCAATATTAGACACATCAACAATGAAGGAAAACATGTTAAGGGCAGCCAGAGAGAAAGGTTGGGTTACCCACAAAGGGAAGCCTATCAGACTAACAGCTGATCTCTTGGCAGAAACTCTACAAGCCAGAAGAGAGTGGGGGCCAATATTCAACATTCTTAAAAGAATTTGCAACCCAGAATTTCATAAGTGAAGAAGAAAGAAAATCCTTTACAGACAAGCAAATGCTGAGAGATTTTGTCACCACCAGGCCTGCCCCAAAAGAGCTCCTGAAAGAAGCACTAAACATGGAAAGGAACAACTGGTACCAGCCACTGCAAAACATGCCAAATTGTAAAGACCATCGAGGCTAGGAAGAAACTGCATCAACTAATGAACAAAATAACCAGCAAACATCATAATGACAGGATCAAATTCACACATAACAATATTAACCTTAAATGTAAATGGGCTAAATGCTCCAATTAAAAGACACAGACTGGCAAATTGGATAAAGAGTCAAGACCCATCAGTGTGCTGTATTCCGGAGACCCATCTCACATGCAGAGACACACATAGGCTCAAAATAAAGGGATGGAGCAAGATCTACCAAGCAAATGGAAAACAAAAAAAGGCAGGGGTTGCAATCCTAGTCTCTGATAAAACAGACTTTAAACCACCAAAGATCAAAAGAGACAAAGAAGGCCATTACATAATGGTAAAGGGATCAATTCAACAAGAAGAGCTAACTATCCTAAATATATATGCATCCAATACAGAAGCACCCAGATTCATAAAGCAAGTCCTTAGAGATCTACAAAGAGACTTAGACTCCCACACAATAATAATGGGAGACTTTAACACCCCACTGTTAACATTAGACAGATCAACAAGACAGAAAGTTAACAAGGATATCCAGGAATTGAACTCAGCTCTGCACCAAGTGGACCTAATAGACATCTACAGAACTCTCCACCCCAAATCAACAGAATATACTTTCTTCTCATCAGTACCACACCACACTTATTCCAAAATTGACCACATAGTTGGAAGTAAAGCACTCCTCAGCAAATGTAAAAGAACAGAAATTATAACAAACTGTCTCTCAGACCACAGTGCAATCAAACTAGAACTCAGGATTAAGAAACTCACTCAAAACTGATCAACTACATGGAAACTGAACAACCTGCTCCTGAATGACTACTGGGTATGTAACGAAATGAAGGCAGAAATAAAGATGTTCTTTGAAACCAATGAGAACAAAGACACAACATACCAGAATCTCTGGGACACATTCAGAGCAGTGTGTAGAGGGAAATTTATAGCACTAAATGCCCACAAGAGAAAGCAAGAAAGATCTAAAATTGACACCCTAACATCACAATTAAATGAACTAGAGGAGCAAGAGCAAACAAATTGAAAAGCTAGCAGAAGGCAAGAAATAACTAAGATCAGAGCAGAACTGAAGGAGATAGAGACACAAAAACTCTTCAAAAAATCAGTGAATCCAGGAGCTGGTTTTTTGAAAAGATCAACAAAATTGATAGACTGCTAGCAAGACTAATAAAGAAGACAAGTGAGAAGAATCAAATAGATGCAATAAAAAATGATAAAGGGGATATCACCACCGATCCCACAGAAATACAAACTACCATCAGAGAATACTATAAACACCTCTATGCAAATAAGCTAGAAAATCTAGAAGAAATGGATAAATTCCTGGACACATACATCCTCCCAAGACTAAACCAGGAAGAAGTTGAATCCCTGAATAGACCAATAACAGTTTCTGAAATGGAGGCAATAATTAATAGCCTACCAACCAAAAAAAGTCCAGGACCAGACACATTCACAGCCAAATTCTACCAGAGGTACAAGGAGGAGCTGGTACCATTCCTTCTGAAACTATTCTAATCAATAGAAAAAGAGGGAATCCTCCATAACTCATTTTATGAGGCCAGCATCATCCTGATACCAAAGCCTGGCAGAGACACAACAAAAAAAGAGAATTTTAGACCAATATCCCTGATAAACATCGATGCAAAAATCCTCAATAAAATACTGGCAAACCGAATCCAGCAGCACATCAAAAAGCTTATCCACCATGATCAAGTGGGCTTCATCCCTGAGATGCAAGGCTGGTTCAACATGCGCAAATCAATAAACGTAATCCAGCATATAAACAGAACCAAAGAAAAAACCACATGATTATCTCAATAGATGCAGAAAAGGCCTTTGACAAAATTCAACAACACTTCATGCTAAAAACTCTCAATAAATTAGGTATTGATGGGACGTATCTCAAAATAATAAGAGCTATCTATGACAAACCCACAGCCAATATCATACTGAATGGGCAAAAACTGGAAGCATTCCCTTTGAAAACTGGCACAAGACAGGGATTCCCTCTCTCACCACTCCTATTCAACATAGTGTTGGAAGTTCTGGCCAAGGCAATCAGGCAGGAGAAAGAAATAAAGGGTATTCAGTTAGGAAAAGAGGAAGTCAAATTGTCCCTGTTTGCAGATGACATGATTCTATATTTAGAAAACCCCATCGTCTCAGCCCAAAGTCTCCTTAATGACTTCAGCAAAGTCTCAGGATACAAAATCAATGTGCGAAAATCACAAGCATTTTTTACACCAATAACAGACAAACAGATCCAAATCATGAGTGAACTCCTATTCACAATTGCTTCAAAGAGAATAAAATACCTAGGAATCCAACTTGCAAGGGATGTGAAGGACCTCTTCAAGGAGAACTACAAACCACTGCTCAATGAAATAAAAGAGGACACAAACAAATGGAAGAACATTCCATGCTCATGGATAGGAAGAATCAACATTGTGAAAATGACCATACTGCCCAAGGTAATTTATAGATTCAGTGCCATCCTTGGATGCAAGCTACCAATGACTTTCTTCACAGAATTGGAAAAAATTACTTTAAAGTTCATATGGAACCAAAAAAGAGCTCACATTCCCAAGACAATCCTAAGCCAAAAGAACAAAGCTGGAGGCATCACGCTACCTGACTTCAAGCTATACTACAAGGCTACAGTAACCAAAACAGCATGGTACTGGTACCAAAACAGAGCTATAGACCAATAGAACAGAACAGAGCCCTCAGAAATAATACCACACATCTACAACCATCTGATCTTTGACAAACCTGACAAAAACATGAAATGGGGAAAGGATTCCCTATTTAATAAATGGTGCTGGGAAAACTGGCTAGCCATATGTAGAAAGCTGAAGCTGCATCCCTTCCTTACACCTTATACTAAAATTAATTCAAGATGGATTAAAGATTTAAATGTTAGACCTAAAACCATAAAAACCCTAGAAGAAAACCTAGGCAATACCATTCAGGACATAGGCATGGGCAAGGACTTCATGTCTAAAACACCAAAAGCAATGGCAACAAAAGCCAAAATTGACAAATGGCATCTAATTAAACTAAAGAACTTCTGCACAGCAAAAGAAACTACCATCAGAGTGAACAGGCAACCTACAGAATGGGAGAAAATTTTTGCGATCTACTCATCTGACAAAGGGCTAATATCCAGAATCTACAAAGAACTCAAACAAATTTACAAGAAAAAAACAAACAGCCCCATCAGAAAGTGGGCGATGGATATGAACAGACATTTCTCAAAGGAAGACATTTATGCAGCCAACAGACACATGAAAAAATACTCATCATCACCGGCCATCAGAGTAATGCAAGTCAAAACCACAATGAGACACCATCTCACACCAGTTAGAATGGTGATCATTAAAAAGTCAGGAAACAACAGGTGCTGGAGAGGATGTGGAGAAATAGGAACACTTTTACACTGTTGGTGGGACTGTAAACTAGTTCAACCATTGTGGAAGACAGTGTGGCGATTCCTCAAGGATCTAGAACTAGAAATACCATTTGATCCATCCATCCCATTACTGGGTATATACCCAAAGGATTATAAATCATGCTGTTATAAAGACACATGCACACGTATGTTTATTGCGGCACTATTCACAATAGCAAAGACTTGGAACCAACCCAAATGTCCAACAATGATAGACTGGATTAAGAAAATGTGGCACATATACACCATGGAATACTATGCAGCCATAAAAAATGATGAGTTCATGTCCTTTGTAGGGACATGGATGAAACTGGAAACCATCATTCTGAGCAAACTATCACAAGGACAAAAAACCAAACACTGCATGTTCTCACTCATAGGTGGGAATTAAACAATGAGAACACTTGGACACAGGAAGGGGAACAACACATACAGGGGCCTGTTGTGGGGTGGGGAGAGTGGGGAGGGAAAGCATTAGGAGATATACCTAATGTAAATGATGAGTTAATGGTTGCAGCACACCAACATGGCACATGTATACATATGTAACAAACCTGTATGTTGTGCACGTGTACCCTAGAACTTAAAGTATAATTAAAAAGAAAATACAAACTTTAAGTTAAAAATGTAATAAAAATAATAATAATTGTAATAAGTTTTACAATTCTGTATATGGAATTTTCTCACCCTGCTTAAGAAATAAATGCCTAATTAATTAATTTCTACCCTTTTTATGAAACTAGATTAAACGTAGTAATCTGCATAATCTTTTTTATACATTTGAATCTGCAATTCAGAAAATGTTTTAATGATGGAGTAGTTGCATCCATACACCTACATAAAATTAAAAATACATTATTTTTCACACTCAGAATTTCACAAATAATTTTGTTGGAAATCTACAAGTTCTTTGGAAAGTTGGTAGGAAAATTGTGTTTAAATAGCCACTGACTTTTAATTCTCAGAAGATACAAATGAATTCATCTGACCTTATCTAGGAAACCACATTACTACATGTGATTATTATTTGCACATATAGAGCGAGAAAGCGTACTAAAGAGTTATCCTTGTGTAAACTTAATTCTTCAACCATTAAGACTTTGGCTGGGAAAGAAAATGAGAATGAATGAGGGTTCCTCAGTTCAGATTCTTCTTCACTCGCCTTTAACCATTTATTTTTTGCTCAAAAAAATTTTTTTAAAGCACAAATGCCTATGCTTTCACATTTCCAAATGACAAACTTAAAACTTCACTTTAGCAGTATGTTCATCATAGCTCAGGAAAAAATCTCAATACAATGTAAAGAATGAAAGCCTATAAAGACATATTAATCTTTTGCTTTGATTGGTTTTGTTCCATTGCAGTTCTATAAAGATACATGAATTAAGAACATTGAGCTTAGGAACTGCTAAATTGAGGATTTCTCTAGAATGCTTTCTTCTCTTGTAAACTCGTGGAAATTAAATGAAAAAACTATGTTACCACAATATTTCTGTGCAAAGACCAAACTTTAGAAAAGTTGTCAGGAAATTCCAAAACTTCTACACCCTAATTACGTGGGTGTTGTGGCCTGAATGTAATTTTTCTATTCCTCTTTTCCTTGTTAAATTTATACCTTCAATACAGTTCTGTTCATGTGGTAAAAACTGTGTCATAATTTGCCCAGGGTATGCAGTGTGGCCAAGTTCTCACTGTTCTTAAGATCCTTAACTGGGCATTTCCTGACTTTTGATTTTTCACCCTTTAAACAATTTTGCATTAATGCACACCATACAGGATATTAGCTTGAGAGAAAAGAAAGAAATTTAGGATAAGGATATTTGTAAACATGTGGCACCCACAGAGAACAGTTCAATAAGACCAGATTTGCTGTTTGAATAAATATGCTTTTTAGGGCACTCAGCTTATTCTTCTAAGCATGAGAGGAAGAGAAAGACAAATCTTTATTTTGCATTTTTTATAAAAGCTATCCTAGTTTCACCTCATTTATCATTCAGCTACAAAATGAAAACTTGGCCTTTGTTCACTCACAACTCTAATTTTTCAGAAAATCATGCACAGATTTGAACAACTCTCACTTCTGAGTGGTTAACATGAAACCTTAAGTTTTTAGAATGTGGATAAGTTTTAACAAGGAAGGAAAACAATTTCAATCAGGTAAGAAAACAGTTTAATTTGGAGATTCAAGCCCTTAAATAATGGGGATCTAGAGTAGGATTAGAAATCAAGAGAGATCGAGATCCCCACAGACCATAGTTAAAATGAAACTAGTTCCAGTGTGGTGCAAATTGAAATTGATATTAATAGTTAATATTGTAGTGGATTTCAGGAGTAAATTTTCTGTACAAGTGTAGAAAACTATGATTGATATGTAATATAATGAAGTTTGCCCTGTTTCTTAACTAAGTTGTGGTCTACCACCATCCCCCCACTCTTCCTGTCCTCTCCCCATCTCTCCCTCCCTCTCCCCATCTCTCTCTCTCTTTCCACACACACTCTTTTCTCTCTCTCTCTCCCCACTCTCTCTCCTGTTTTCCAAGTGGAACAGAGTTGGCTAGAGATGATGGTCTTAGCTGTATATCCCGGTCTTAGCTGTATGTCCCTTCCACCCTCTTTCTCTTGTTGCCTAATTCCTCCTACCTCAGAACCCTGACTCTGTGGATTCACATTCTTTTGGCACTTGGTGCCAACTTGCCTTCTGCCACTTGGCCATCCAGCTATTGTGTGCTCTCTGATGGGGCAGCTGGCAGAAGAGGGGCCATCACTCCCTTGATTCACAGATGTGATCATTTAATCAATTGTTCAACAATCATTTATTGCATATCACCATGTGCCTGGCACTTGGATTGGAGTCCCTGGGAGGAATAATGTTTTTCCAACTTACCTTGACTCTTCCTCTGCAACTCCTCAAGGTCCCACTCCACAGCCTTGCATGGTGAGTAGGCTCTCACTTTCTTTGGTGATCCTGGACTCCCAATTTTGTTCTCCTAGACTTAGGAAACTGTCAGACATTTTGCTCAACTTCTCAGCTTCTTCGTTCCCTCATTTGGGCTTGACAAATGTCTTAAAGGAGAAGGAATACCCAAATGGCAGGCTTACCTCTCTGCAGTTCTGTCTGCTCCCAGTTCCTTGAAGTTAAAGTTGTTTAATCCCTTGTTAGCAGTTCAATGCCTTAAAGCAGCTGTTTTAAACAACTTTTCCAGCTTTTCTCAACAAGTTGTTTTAAACAGCTTGTCCAGTTTGTCCCTCATTGGAGGGGTGTTTCCAATGATCTAGTCTTCCCTCACCTTTTAAGATTCTTTTCCACATCTTAGCTTCCTGAGATCGTATCTCTCATACCCCTTTCTTTTAAGCAGAATTCATCATGTCATTCTCTGTGTCAGCAAACTCCTGAGTGCATGCCTGTATTAAAGAGTGTATTCCTGTTATAAAACTTACTTAAACATTTGTCTCTCGTCTTAGACAGTTCATGTGTAAAGGACACTAATTATATCTAACATATATTTGTGCCCCTAGTGCCTAATGTTGGTGCATATAATAGATCTTCAATAATGCTTATTGATGGAATAGGTGGCATTTCATATAAATGTTATTGTTCATTAGATTCAGTGTCTCAAATGAAAAGTGTGAGCTTTCTTCCCACCACAAGAAGAAAAGGAGAACGAAACTTGTATATCTCATATAGAATGCTTCAGATAGGGAAATTAGAAAACCAAGTATCATCTTTGGTTTTGTCAAAGGGAGAGTGGGGAAATAAGAAAAGATAAGTACAGTAATCATCAAGGTTAGAAAGGAAAAAAGAAAGAGAAGAAATCTTTAAATCCTTATACACAAATTTTTTGGGATGATTTTCCAAGATGTTAGCCTATTTACATTGTTCAGCCTCTGCATGTGTGTCATTATCTCCCAAAGGAGAATCACATGATACCCAAATATCTGCCTTTAATCCTCATGCCTGGTGGGATGGGTGTTCAAAAGGAAAGGAATTCTGACAATTGTTTTCAGAGATATCCACCTCAATATTTAGGGTTTCTGGGTGGATATTTGATAAATTGTGTAGAAATATTTAAAAGTACAGAATAATAATAATAAAAAGTGCACTTTCGGCACAATATGTGGATGGGAAGTAAAGGAAATGGCACTTTTTCCTCACAGTGAAAATTTATTTATAAAATACAAAAAATTGTCCTATTTACAGTACATTAATTACTGCAAATGGCATAAGCAGAAGGAATTTATGTGAAATTGCAGTTTTGCCTTTTCATTCTTGTCCTATTCTCAGCCTTTTTTTTTCTCCATATCTTCCCCTATAAAATAAAAGAAAATAGTCACATGGACAATTTCCTTCTGTTGTTTAAGGATGTCTCAATTCTCAGAGTAGCAACAGTATGCTATGATAATATTTCTAATTTCAAATTTTGCAGTTAAAAAAATACAAAACCTGTCACTCATGATCAATAATGCACAGAAATCATGGAGTGACAGTCTCTAAAATTGCCATTAAAATAATGTGAGCAACACGCTTCACCATGATCTATTTATTCAGCACAATTTTACTGTTAAAAAAACAAAGTCAAGGGAACCTGTAACTATTAAGCACCTTACCACACCGATCTTGTATTCTCCCCAATAAGCATAAGAGGTAGGTGATCTTACCCTCAGAGAGCCAAGGAAGCAAGGGTTCTGAGAGATGTAGTGCCTTGTCCAAAGCAAGGAAGTGGAAAAAGAGAATCCAAACACAAACTCCAGTTCTCTTGCTTGCAGAATCTCTGCTGTTTCCACTTGACCACACCATTTTCAGTCTTCAGGCAGGGTATGGATGGATCATGGCTCTGACACCTAAAAAAATGAACTCCTCCAATGTAATGCAAAATAAAATAATGCCAAACCCTAAAAGAAGTACAAAAACATGCCACATTGTCTTACTTTTTTCCCCATGGTAAATATTTTATTTATTTATAGAAGTATCAATAACCAATTTTTTTCAAAGAGCCCTCTCTCTCCCTCCTCTACCCTCTCTCCCACCCGCTTGGTAGTGTTCTAAGCACATAGCTTGTTTTTCATTTGTGTAATCTGGTACTAGTCAGGGTAGGAAAACTTTTTCTCTATCGAGCAGAGTTTCTTAAGTAAGGTTTATGGGCAACTAAGGAGTCAATAGAGGGATGAAAGATATCGATGAGAGCTCTGATGTAATGTGCAAAATGTTGTGTATATAGGCAGTTTTCTGGGGTGTAGGGTAGAGCTTTTGTTGCTGTCCTCAATAGATGAAAAACCATTGTTTACACATTCTCTTCTAAATTAATAACAAGGATTATAAAATGTTATTCAATAACTACCAAAAATCAAGATAATTCTTGCTAACTTATCCTTACATAGCTTTTCATCTCTCCTTGGCATTGTTCTAAGCATTTTATGTATATTATTTAATCCTCACAAGAACCCAACGTAGTTAGTATTATCATGGTTTCCACTTTATTTAAGGTGCAAGATATTTCATAAATAAAAACATCTCAGTTCTATATTATGATAATAGCTAATGGAGAAAGGTAGAAGAACAGAAGAGAGGGAAAGAGAAAAAGGAAGAAAAATAGAGCAAGGAAGGATGCAGATGAAAGGGTGAGGAAGAGAAATCTAGTGCTGAAGTATTGTAGGAAAACAGAAGTGACAACTATGTATAGGCTGGGGCAACCATAGCTGTAAAAACACAATTCTGCTATTTGCCAAAGCTACAAGCATTAACAGATTAATTATTTTAGAAGAAAAAAGAATACATAAATGATTAGATTAAAAACATGTATAAACACTGTCAGAATTTATTAGGAGAACTGTCTGAATTTCAGCCTAATGTTTAGAAGCACAGACATTTCTGAAAAGTTCTCTTTTCTTCATTTGATGGAAAATCCTTATTCACACAGTGTGGAAACAGGCTGAGAAAATAGTCATTTCATTGAATAAACATCCATCTTCCACATGGTCTTTTGGACATTAATTAATGGTTCCTCATAGCTCACCCTGTATATTGGTGAAATTAAGCCAAGAACTGTATCAAGACTATGGATGAATGCCTGTCTATCCTTCCTCACTCGCCAAGTCTACCATGAAATTAAACTGAGCTGTTATAATTGGAAAGCGGATTATCTATATTGTAACTGAAATGCTCTCAGTACGTTTAAACTAGCCCTGTATAGTGCCTGTGATGATAAATATTGTAGGAATTTGAACTAGATTCTTTCTTCTCTTTAATGAAAAGCTCATGAATACAGTAAGTGCCTTTAGGATAGGGAAGTTAGTATGGTTTTCCTTTCATATTAAAGAAGTTTTGTTACTTGAGAGAGAATGAATGATCTTGGCTCAGTGTTGAGTTTCTCATTTTCTTTTGTTTTCATCTTTAAAAATGTGGGGAGAAGAGTGGGTTTGAATATAAAAATTGACTTTGTTTTTTCCTTTATTCTCAATGATCAAGGTGGATCTGAGATGCACATTTTTCAAGCAAGTGTTTTCTAATATATTTGGTATTTGTTGTGTTATGTCTCCCCTACACCACCCCTCATCCCTCACATACATTGTCTACTCTACAAGACTGTAGAGCCATGGAATTAGGGCCACAACTTAGGGAACAGGGGCAGGGAGGGACCATTCAGGCTCTATGTGAATTGTTTTTCTCACAGAACTAATGGATTCACAATTTAGACTAAATGGCTATCAAAGATGGACGTTAAATACCTTGAATTGGCTCTGAATGACCAAATTTTCTTTCAAAAAGCTAAGCATATATATTTCAAAGGTAGAAAGGGAACTTGCATATTCATTGTTCTCTTTATGTTCACTTATAAAAATACGTACTCCCTACTTGCCCATTTCTTTTCATTGGACATAGACTGTTGTCACAATCAGCTCATGAAGCTGTCAGCAGATCCATGGAGACTGCTTTAAAGTAAAGGCAATGTAACATCAATGCAAATCCCATGATTATTAACGAAACAAATAGAATTCATTTAAAATGACTTTTACAGTTGAAGTCTCCTCTCAGAAATCTTCCCCACTATTCTGTTTCCGTTTCAAAGTCACATCTTTGTTAATGACATCATGGAATCCTGAATTCAAATTGCTTGTGTTTTGTTAAGCTTTGGGAACACTCATGCTAGAGTTCCAGCTTTGCTAGGGCATATTAGAAAACCACATACTATTTAAAAGGGTTTTAGTATTGGTTAAACACTTTGTGTATTAAAATGCTATATTATTGCAGCAGAGTTGAAAATCTTCCCTTGAATTGGGAATATTAAGTAAAAGAATTCAGCTAAAGGTATATCACTAAAATATTTGCAGATAAAGAACATTTGAATTATGACTCCAATTTTTACTCACTTTTTCCAAAAAGAAAATTTATTAAGTGCTTGCCATCTGCCAGACATTGGCTATATGTTAAATAAGGAGAAGAGAATAATGTAAAGAAAGATCAGGCATACCCATGATGCTCAAGGATTTTTTTGGAATTTATAAGTGAGGGAAATGCAAATGCATAATTCCAGTACAGCATGCTGAGGGCCATGGCAGGGGTATGCCTCATGAGATTGAGAGCCAATTGCCTGAAGGAATCTGGTGATTAGTTTTGGAAGGGAAATATAAATCTGGCCATCAAAGAGGAAGGATGTTGTGGGTAGTTGCCAGATTCTCTAGCTGCCTAGACCGTTTAAACACTCTTGTAATGGTTGGGAAACTTCTTGCATCCCCAATATAGAAGGCAAAAACCTTTCTTCACCAGACTCACTTGGAGCTAAACACTTGCCTATTACCTAGATTCCAGCAGTCAGAGGGGTAAACAGGAGACATTGATATATAGGTGAGCAATGGAAGTGGTAGGTGTGTGGGTTTGCCTTTTGGAGACAGAAGTAGAGCTTTAGTGTGAGCAATGCAGGGGTGGGGAAATCTGTGATGTTGAGTCAGAAAGAGGAGGCTAGGGTATTTGGGTATTGTTCTTGGCATCTGAGTACACAAAAGTCCCTGACTCTTCTGGGAACTTTGTAAGCTTCTTCATACCGCTCAATATGTTTTGTGAACTACCAGTATCCTATAATAAATGTCCTTTTGCTAGAATGAGTATAGTTTGGACTTGAGGACCTCGACTGATAGAAATATGTAGGTATTTATGGTTTGGCCAAGGCAGAAAGAAGAGGGTGTGCAAAGAAAAGAAGAAATTAAGGAAGTAGGCTAAGTTAGAGTGTGATAGGGATGGTTTTGACGTGACCATTGGTAGTTAGGTAGGGAGTAATATAAGGAGATGAGATTAAGAAAAGTTAATATCAGATTTGGGGACAAACTAGGATATAGTTCTAAATTATCTAGACTTTACTCCATAAGCAATGGGGAACCTTTGGGAAAGTTTTAATTGAAAGACTGACAGACATTTTGATGTCTCTATTTTCAAGCAAGAACCCTGGTGGTATTGGGAGGAGGCATGAATGAAGAATTGCTCATAGTGGGAAGACCAGTTTGAAAGCTGATACCATAGTCCATGTGAAAAATAATGAGGCCCTAATGAGATGGTCACAGTGAAGATGTGGTGGGGGAGTGATGGGGGGGTTGGCAGGTGTATCTGTGAGATCTCTAGAGAGGACAATCAGTAGGACTTTATGACATGGAAATTAATGGGGCTGGCGCAGTGGCTCACACCTGTAATCCTAACATTTTGGGAGGCCAAAGCAGGTGGATTGCCTGAGCTCAGGAGTTCAAGACCACCCTCGGCAACATTGCAAAACCCCATCTCTACTAAAAATACAAAAATTAGCTGGGTGTGGTGGCAGATGCCTGTAATCCCAGCTACTCAGGAGGCTGAGGCATGAGAATTACTTGAACCTGGGAGGCAGAGGTTGCAAAGAGTCGAGATCATGCCACTGCACTCCAGCCTGGGCGATAGAGCAAGACTCTGTCTCCAAAAACAAACAAAAAAAGTAATGGGTCATGAGGAAGAAAAATAGGGATAACTCAAGTTTTCCAATTTACATTATTAGGTGAATAGTAATGAAAGTTATTGAGATGGGAATTATAGTGGAAAAAGCAAGTCCTGAAGTGAATGTGAGAGGATAAGTTAATTTTAGACATCAAATTTTAAGTACTTGAAGGAAATAGTTGGGAATACACATCTGGAATTTTATAGAGCAGTCAATGTTGTAGATAAAATTCAAAATCATTAGTAATTAAGTGGTAGTTGGAGTCATGGGCATAGATATAATAAACAAGGGAGAGTATGTAGGGAAAAAAGGAGCAGAGATCTGGATAGGGGCTGGGGAGGTGTAATTTTAAGGGGATGGAAAGAAATCAGTATAAAAGACGGAAAACTGGGAAAGGATCATCAAAGATGTAGAAGGAAAACTAGAAGCGACACTCAAGCAGACTTGAGTCTTCTACTGTTGGAAATTAATGTCTTCTTTTACTTCATCTTAACATGAAGGTCCTGCTATTACCTTTAAAAATATTTTTCTTTCACTGGAATATTCCACATAGCATACATCGGAACGTTAACTGTGTTCAGTGGGTACTGCCACTAATTCATCTTGAAACCCCTATGTTCAAGGTTTTAGAAGAGTGTATAATGTACATAAAATAAATACAATAGAGTAAGCATTAAGTACATGGGTTAGGTTTTCTGCAGAAAGTGAACAGTCTTCATTTCCTTTATAGATTTCTAAGTGGTAAAACCACCAAACAATTCCTTGTGATAAATCACTGCAGACAGCATGAAAAATTTCCTTAGGTAATTATTACACTCAAGGATTTCTGGTAAGGCAACCAAACGAGCATAATACTGACAGTCCAGACACCTTAGTTTGAGCTTTCAACAGGTGATCCACAGAACAACATTCAAATTTATATGTTCACATGAATGGAAACATTTGGCACATGTACAGAAACCTTTCTTTTCAGAAGTTAACAATTATGATTTCTAACTAGGAAATTTTATTCACAATCCTTCAATGACTTTCAGCATTGGCAACAGCTTAAAAAACTAGAGTTGGCTTAGTCCCTACTTCTAGATATTTAGCTCTTGAGTTCTTCAGTTCCTCATCTGTGATTTTTGAATATTGGATTCCCCAGATTCTTCTACAGACACACAACAGTTCTCCACCTTGTGAAAGATTTCTCCAGGAGTAAGAATTATTCTCAGTTCCTTTAATGTGCTATTACCATTTTGTCCCATCCTGCCTGGAATCATCTCTATACTCTTCTCCTGCCCACTTCTAGATCCAAAGGGGAAAGAGCCCTGCACTCTAATTGCTGATATAAGAATTCACCATCAATATCAAATCCCATGCCTTTTCATCTTATATTTACCTGGCATTTTTCATGGTGACATATCCAATGAATTGCAAACAGAAATACCCTGGATCACAAATACGTTTATAATGGTAACCAACAACATTCATGTAATTTTTTTAGCAGCCTTCAGTACAAACTTAGGAATGGTGAAAGCAAATGACTACTATGGGTTGGAGGTTGACAGAATTGGGCATAATAGGCAAATTGAAGGTTTTCAGGAGAGCCAGTGAAATAACTAACCCTAGAGTCCAAACTGGGGAAGGAAATTTATGAATTTATTTATTCTTTTAGCTGATTATTGTGTGCTTGTTCCACTAGGGCCAGATTACTCTTATGTCCCCAGGTTTTTGCTGTTTAAAGGAAATATTTAAGAAGGGAAATATTTAAGAAAGGAAATGATAATATATTTCACAGATGAGGAAACAGAGGTTCAGAGAAAGTAAGTAACATGTGTAAGAACTAGTAAGTGGTGAACTACAAAGTCAGACCTGGTCTGTCTGCCTCAAAGGTCCATGCTCCTTTCACTACACCATGCTGGAATCCTTGAATCCTTCACAAACTTATCAGGGGAACCCGCCCCTGATAATTCAACGTGGATCCTTTTCTATTTTCCCTAAGTGTCGGCCGGTCTGAGAAATAAAGGGAAAGAGTACAAAAGAGAGAAATTTTAAAGCTGGGTGTCTGAGGGAGATATCACATGCCGGCAGGTTCCGTGATGCCCCCTGAGCCATAAAACCAGCAAGTTTTTGTTAGCAATTTTCAAAAGGGAGGGAGTGCATGAATAGGGTGTGGGTCACAGAGATCACATGCTTCAAGGGCAACAAAAGATCACAAGGCAGAAGGTCAGGGCGAAACTAGAATCACTAATGAACTTCCATGTCCCGCTGTGCACGCATTGTCAGGGTTCAAGAGCAGAGAACTGGTCTGACTAGAATTCGCCAGGCTGGAATTTCCTAATCCTAGCAAGCCTGGGGGCGCTGCACGAGACTAGGGCGTGTTTCATCCCTATCTACAGCTGCATAAGGCAGACACTCCCAGGACGGCCATTTTAGAGGCCCCCTCTGGGAATGCATTCTTTTCCCAGGGCTGTTAATTATTAATATTCCTTACTGGGGAAAGAATTCAGTGATATTTCTCTTACCTGTTTTCGGTAATAAGAGAAATATGGCTCTGTCCTGCCCAGCCCACAGGCAGCCAGACTTTAAGATTATCTCCCTTGTTCCTGAAAATCGCTGTTATCCTGTTCTTAAGGTGCCCAGATTTCATATTGTTTAAACAATTTGTGCAGTTAACACAATCATCACAGGGTCCTGAGGCAACATACCTCCTCAGTTTATGAAGATGACAGGATTAAGAGATTAAAGTAAAGACAGGCATAGGAAATCACAAGAATATTGATTGGGGAAGTGATAAATGTCCATGAAATCTTCACAATTTATGTTCAGAGATTGCAGTAAAGACAGGTGTAAGAAATTATAAAAGTATTAATTTGGGGAACTAATAAATGTCCATGAAATCTTCCCAATTTATGTTCTTCTGCTGTGGCTTCAGCTGGTCCCTCTGTTCGGGGTCCCTGACTTCCCATGACACAAAATCATGTTGCCCTTAACACTTCCCTCTGTTATTCAAGGGGTCATGCAACCCTGAGAGCAGGTCAGGTGCCTCAATATAAAGGTCCAGGGGCCATGGACCCTGACACAGTCAGAACCTGTGTCTCTACATCTGGGAAGATATAACCATCAGACTAAGGTTTGCTGTCCTTCAAGCATTATCCCCTGATGTAGGAATGTAGTCAGGAAGTTTGACAGCTTTCACATCTGTCTCCTTGAGTGCTCTGCCCTCCCAGACTCCCTCTCCCTAAGACAGTCTTCAATATCTGGTCTCTGACACTCCAGTTTGGTTTTGAAATGCTTTTGGTTTCTCTGGCCATGCTATGTTCCAGGGAAGAGCTGTTTTGTTTTGGTTTTTCTCATGCCTTAAGTTCTGTTTTGGTCAAAGCAACAGCTTCCTTCCCAATTTATATTACAGTGGAGGTTTTCCACTCAATAAGGAAGAAAAACATCAATTATAGTAGAAACCAGTGGGAGAGGTAAGGGGACCTGGTGGATGAGAGGAGGGAAGAAGGAAGAGAAAATGAGGAATGAAAGGGACCAAAAAAGGAAAAGTTGTTAAAAGCTTGACACACACACACACAAAAATGGAGGAGGTAATTATGGCTGAAAGGTTGTGGGGAGAGGTCATTAGGAAGTCTTTAAGATTAAAAAAATAATATATCCAACTCTGGGGAGGTGACAAGGTCATTAAGCGTTGCTGGAAGCAGTGTAAATTAGTATGGCTTTTTTGGCAAGAATCTAGAGTTTGGCAAGAGCCTTAAAACTGTTTATACCTGGCCAGGCACTGTGGCTCATGCCTGTAATCCCAGCACTTTTGGAGGCCGAGGCGGGTGGATCATGAGATCACGAGATCCAGACCAATCTGATCAACATGGTGAAACCCCATCTCTACTAAAAATAGAAAAATTAGCTGGGCATGGTGGCACACGCCTGTAATCCCAGCTACTCGGGAGGCTGAGGCAGGAGAATTGCTTGAACCTGGGAAGCGGAGGTTGCAGTGAGCCAAGATCGCACCACTACACTCCATCCTGGTGACGGAGCAAGACTCTGTCTCAAAAAAAAAAAAAAAAATGTTTATACCCTTTGGCTCAATATTGTACTTCTGGAAATATATCCTAAAAATACTTCTGAATTTTGAAGCCTATAGAAAAAAAGAACTTCGTGCACAAAATTTTTTTCTCAGTAATAGTTATGTAACTAAATAATTGGTGACAACCAATGTGGCTATCAATAGACAAGTGGTTAAATAGTTTTGACCATTCAGTAATTCCTATTACTTGATTGAATATTAGGTAGCCATTGAAAATGATTGTTTTCCAAGACCATGTAATGTAACAAGTGCTTACAATAAAAACAAGCTACAAAAAACTATATCATCCAAATTATGTTTACAAATGAAGAAATAAGTGTCTGTGAGAAATGGTGTTGGAAAACACACCAATGTATTAATACTGATAGTGTTTTAGTAGTGAGACTACAGGGTTGGTATTTTTTTAACAAAGCAATTCTTAAAATTAAGATATTATTTACACACAATAAAATTCACCCATTTTTAGTGTACAATGTGATACATTGTGGTATTGTGTACAATTGGTTACCAGCACCTCAATCAAGAAGTTCCATGTGAGGGATGAAAAATTACCTATTGGGTACAATGTACACTCTTCAGGTGATGGGTATACAGTAAAGCCCAGACTTCACCATTGTGCAATTTATCCATGTAACCAAAAAGCGCTTGTACTACTAAAACTACTGAATTTTTTTTTTTTTAAGAAGTTCCCTTATGGCCTTTCACAGTGAATCTCCTCTTCTCACCCCTGACCCCAGACAACTGCTACTGATCTTTTCTCTGTCAACGAAAGTTTTTCCTTATCTAGAATGGCACATACATGGTTTCATATGGTATACAAGACTATTGTTTTTAGCGATAATCTACTTTAAAATGTTTCTTCAATGAGTACATTAAAAAATAATTTGAACCTAAAACATAGACTTCAACTGTTTCTTTTTCCACTAAATGCAAAGTGGGAAAGAAATAAAGAGCTTTGATTACTTAAGAGAAGATAGTTCAAGCAGACCTAAGTTATCAGCGAGCTCAGAAAATCTCCCTGCTTAGAGGCTATAAATAGTATGGTGTAATACTGATCCTCATTCAAAGCTGTGATAGAGTAGAAGATAACTTTTCAAAGTTTGTTTCTAACCCGATAAGAGGATAATAGGAGAAGAGAGAGATAAGAAGAGATGTTTGTAAGCAGAAAACTATAAAGGGGGGATATTTTTCATTGTTTTGTATTCTGAACATATGCTATTATAAATTTACCATTCCGGAACATTCTCTTTAAATAATGCAAAGCTTGTCTGACCACCCAGCTATATTTCTGTTTTTCATTTTTAATGTCTGCACATTAGTCATTTATTTTAAGCTATGTAATTATAAGACAAAAGATGCTAGGTTAAGTATAACCACCCATGAACATAAAGCCATTTTTAGTAAAATTACAGTCTGAGTTACTATATGTAGTCATGTGATTATCTGCATAAACACCTATGAATTTGGAGTCAGTATGAAATAACAAAGTTAAATATTGAGTGAAAAATGCTATACACACATTATGTTTTTATGTGTGTGCACATCAATATATATGCAGTTGAGAATGTTAAATAGAAGTGTTCTTTCATTCTTTCCTTATTTTACAAAAGAAAAAATTTTGAATGTTTTGCTTCCCAATAACTCCCAAATACCTTATTTAATGCTTTTTAATTGTGGTAAAATATGTGTAACAAAATTTACTATTTTAATCCTTTTAAGTGTACAGTGTAGTCGCATTAAATACATTCGCATCGTTGTGCAACCACCATCCCCATCCATTTCCAGAACTTTTCTCATCTGGCAAAACTGAAACTCTGTACCCATTAAACACAACTTGTCCTTCTTTCCTCCCAGCAAGGTTTTGGCAGCCACCATTCCACTTTCTATCTCTATGATTTTGAATACCATAAGTACCTCATATGAGTGAAATCATATGGTATTTGTCCTTTTTTTATTATATGGCAGAACATTTCTATGAGTATTTCCTCATGGTGACATAGGGAAGTTGATCCTATAATGATACAAAGATGCTCTGGGATGCTTTCCTCATGTATCTTGATGGTCCTTGACAGGAATATCTCTATCTGTATTTCTTGCTGGTATATAGTTAACTATTAATGGTACACCATGTTGTAGCCATATAATAAAACAGAGTAGTACTTAACCTCACTGAAGGACTCTGTTGTGTTGGGTACTTGACAGGAATTTTTAATCTGGAAATTTCTTAAATTTTAGGAAATTTATTTTTGTATTATTTCTTATATACTTTTCTCCCTACACTATTCTCTGCTCTCTTTCTGAAATTTCTAATAATTTGGATTTTAGACCTCTTAAACTTATTTTCTAATGTTTTTCTCTTCCTCTCTAGTTTTCCCAATTGTTTGTTTTAATTTCTGGTCAAGATTGTCAACTTCTAATCCTTCTTCTAAATTTCTAATCCTTCTCCTACATTTTAATTACTGTTATCATGATTTTAATTTCTATGATCTGATTTTTATTTCTTTCTTTTTAAAAATAAAACCCTGTTCTACTTTCCTGAATGCCATATCTTTTTTATCTCTTGGATGATATTATAGTTTTTTGAAGTATCTTCTCACTGATTTACTTCTATTTTCTTCAATTCCTCTTTGGTATTCACCTATCACTCACATTAGAGGCTTTCTCGAAGGTCTGAGGATCCTTTGCTTCCACCATGTAAAAAAGAGCTAATTGATAGCTCTGGATTCCTGTGTGGATGTTGGGGGAGGAGGGCCTTATAGAGTGTGGACTTTAATGTAGGATCACTGGGATGAGTTATCTGGGTCAGGTGGGGGGTACAAATCTCAGTAGCTTTGAGCCTCTTCTTTGAGCTCAGTTTCCCAGGGAGAAGTTTTCCATCTCCCTCCTGGGATATTTAATGCTGGCTTCTCAGTGGGATCTCACTCATCAGGCAGTAGATTTTTACTTTATTGTTCTGTCTACAGTGCAGCATCCTTTTCTCTGACCAGCCGCAAGTCCAGGGTTCCTTTGATTCATCACTGCCAGAGAATAGGTCTGCAGACTTTTACTGAAATGGGAGTAGTTTCCAGATTGTTTGAGTTAGGGAAGAGATACATGTCCCTAACTGCTTTTTAAAATGCAGCTAATTTGTGTGCTATTTTCAATTTTACCTGTAACCCAATTTAATTTATTTTATTTTTTTATTTTAATTTTTATTTTATTTTATTATTATTATACTTTAAGTTTTAGGGCACAGGTGCACAATGTGCAGGTTAGTTACATATGTATACATGTGCCATGCTGGTGTGCTGCACCCATTAACTCCTCATTTAGCATTAGGTATATCTCCTAATGCTATCCCTCCCCCCTCCCCCCACCCCACAGCAGTCCCCAGAGTGTGATGTTCCCCTTCCTGTGTCCATGTGTTCTCATTGTTCAATTCCCACCTATGAGTGAGAACATGCGGTGTTTGGTTTTTTGTCCTTGTGATAGTTTACTGAGAATGATGATTTCCAATTTCATCCATGTCCCTACAAAGGACATGAACTCATCATTTTTTATGGCTGCATAGTATTCCATGGTGTATATGTGCCACATTTTCTTGATCCAGTCTATCATTGTTGGACATTTGGGTTGGTTCCAAGTCTTTGCTATTGTGAATAGTGCCGCAATAAACATACGTGTGCATGTGTCTTTATAACAGCATGATTTATAATCCTTTGGGTATATACCCAGTAATGGGATGGCTGGGTCAAATGGTATTTCTAGTTCTAGATCCCTGAGGAATCACCACACTGTCTTCCACAATGGTTGAACTAGTTTACAGTCCCACCAACAGTGTAAAAGTGTTCCTATTTCTCCACATTCTCTCCAGCACCTGTTGTTTCCTGACTTTATAATGATTACCATTCTAACTGGTGTGAGATGGTATCTCATTGTGGTTTTGATTTGCATTTCTCTGATGGCCAGTGATGGTGAGCATTTTTTCATGTGTTTTTTGGCTGCATAAATGTCTTCTTTTGAGAAGTGTCTGTTCATGTCCTTCGCCCACTTTTTGATGGGGTTGTTTGTTTTTTTCTTGTAAATTTGTTGGAGTTCATTGTAGATTCTGGATATTAGCCCTTTGTCAGATGAGTAGGTTGCGAAAATTTTCTCCCATTTTGTAGGTTGCCTGTTCACTCTGATGGTAGTTTCTTTTGCTGTGCAGAAGCTCTTTAGTTTAATTAGATCCCATTTGTCAATTTTGTCTTTTGTTGCCATTGCTTTTGGTGTTTTAGACATGAAGTCCTTGCCCATGCCTATGTCCTGAATGGTATTGCCTAGGTTTTCTTCTAGGGTTTTTATGGTTTTAGGTCTCACATTTAAGTCTTTAATCCATCTTGAATTAATTTTAGTATAAGGTGTAAGGAAGGGATGCAGTTTCAGCTTTCTACATATGGCTAGCCAGTTTTCCCAGCACCATTTATTAAATAGGGAATCCTTTCCCCATTGCTTGTTTTTCTCAGGTTTGTCAAAGATCAGATAGCTGTAGATATGCGGCGTTATTTCTGAGGGCTCTGTTCTGTTCCATTGATCTATATCTCTGTTTTGGTACCAGTACCATGCTGTTTTGGTTACTGTAGCCTTGTAGTATAGTTTGAAGTCAGGTAGCGTGATGCCTCCAGCTTTGTTCTTTTGGCTTAGGATTGACTTGGCGATGCGGGCTCTTTTTTGGTTCCATATGAACTTTAAAGTAGTTTTTTCCAATTCTGTGAAGAAAGTCATTGGTAGCTTGATGGGGATGGCATTGAATCTATAAATTACCTTGGGCAGTATGGCCATTTTCACGATATTGATTCTTCCTACCCATGAGCATGGAATGTTCTTCCATTTGTTTGTATCCTCTTTTATTTCATTGAGCAGTGGTTTGTAGTTCTCCTTGAAGAGGTCCTTCATGTCCCTTGTAAGTTGGATTCCTAGGTATTTTATTTTCTTTGAAGCAATTGTGAATGGGAGTTCACTGATGATTTGCCTCTCTGTTTGTCTGTTATTGGTGTATAAGAATATTTGTGATTTTTGCACGTTGATTTTGTATCCTGAGACTTTGCTGAAGTTGCTTATCAGCTTAAGGGGATTTTGGGCTGAGACAATGGGGTTTTCTAGATATACAATCATGTCATCTGCAAACAGGGACAATTTGACTTCCTCTTTTCCTAATTGAATACCCTTTATTTCCTTCTCCTGCGTAATTGCCCTGGCCAGAACTTCCAACACTATGTTGAATAGGAGTGGTGAGAGAGGGCATCCCTGTCTTGTGCCAGTTTTCAAAGGGAATGCTTCCAGTTTTTGCCCATTCAGTATGATATTGGCTGTGGGTTTGTCATAGATAGCTCTTATTATTTTGAGATACGTCCCATCAGTACCTAATTTATTGAGAGTTTTTAGCATGAAGCGTTGTTGAATTTTGTCAAAGGCCTTTTCTGCATCTATTGAGATAATCATATGGTTTTTGTCTTTGATTCTGTTTATATGCTGGATTACATTTATTGATTTGCGTATATTGAACCAGCCTTGCATCCCAGGGATGAAGCCCACTTGATCATGGTAGATAAGCTTTTTGATGTGCTGCTGGATTCGGTTTGCCAGTATTTTATTGAGGATTTTTGCATCAATGTTCATCAAGGATATTGGTCTAAAATTCTCTTTTTTGGTTGTGTCTCTGCCCGGCTTTGGTATCAGGATGCTGCTGGCCTCATAAAATGAGTTAGGGAGGATTCCCTCTTTTTGTATTGATTAGAATAGTTTCAGAAGGAATGGTACCAGTTCCTCCTTGTACCTCTGGTAGAATTCGGCTGTGAATCCATCTGGTCCTGGACTCTTTTTGGTTGGTAAGCTATTGATTATTGCCACAATTTCAGAGCCTGTTATTGGTCTATTCAGAGATTCAACTTCTTCCTGGTTTAGTCTTGGGAGGGTGTATGTGTCGAGGAATTTATCGATTTCTTCTAGATTTTCTAGTTTATTTGCGTAGAGGTGTTTATAGTATTCTCTGATGGTAGTTTGTATTTCTGTGGGATCAGTGGTGATATCCCCTTTATCATTTTTTATTGCGTCTATTTGATTCTTCTCTCTTTTTTTCTTTATTAGTCTTGCTAGCAGTCTATCAATTTTGTTGATCATTTCAAAAAACCAGCTCCTGGATTCATTAATTTTTTGAAGGGTTTTTTGTGTCTCTATTTCCTTCAGTTCTGCTCTGATCTTAGTTATTTCTTGCCTTCTGCTAGCTTTTGAATGTGTTTGCTCTTGCTTTTCTAATTCTTTTAATTATGATGTTAGGGTGTCAATTTTAGATCTTTCCTGCTTTCTCTTGTGGGCATTTAGTGCTATAAATTTCCCTCTACACACTGCTTTGAATGTGTCCCAGAGATTCTGGTATGTTGTGTCTTTGTTCTCGTTGGTTTCAAAGAACATCTTTATTTCTGCCTTCATTTACCTGTAACCCAATTTTAAAGGTAACCAGTGGTTCTAATTCCTGAGTGATTCCGGAGTTCTATGGTATGAATCGTCCTGCTTTGGGGTTTTTCTTATTACCATTGTAAATTTCATCTCTATTTCTGCTTCCAAAATACAGTGGCTGTGGCTTTTTTCCCCCTAGTTCTTTATCTTTGTGAGTTTTGGCCTTTTTATATCCCTGTAATTTTAATAGTGTTTGGGGAAGGTATAGAGGTGAACATGTGTGTATCTAGGCTGATATGTGTGATTGGAAACTCGATGTGTGATTTTTAGATCCCTACTGTATTTTTATTATTATTTAAATACGATTTTTTAGCTGTATGTTACTGAATTGTGATTAGAAAACATGGGCTGTATGATATTAGTTCTTTGGTGTTGAGATATTCTTCGTGAACTATTACATGGTCATTATTGTAAATGTTCCATGAATATTTGAAAATAAGCTCAATTGTCTTAGGTGGGTGCAGAAATTTTCTGTTTCAATTAATTAAGGTTTGTTAATTGTGTTGTCAAAGTCTTCTATTTCCTTGCTATATACTTGATTTCTGAGAGAGTCATCTTCCTTTGTATTACTATGAGTATCATTTCCACAATTTCTCCTAGTAGTACTTTCCATTTTTTGCTTTATATATTTTGATGCTACTCTGTTGAATGCACACACATTTGGGATCTTTACATATTCCTGGTGAATTTTTCATTTACCACTTTATGAAGAGCCTCTTTACCTTGAAATCTCTTTTGCTGTCAAGTCTATTCTAGCTAGTGTGTACTAGTGTTCTTTCAGAATGTTTCTGTTAAATCTTTTTTTATTCTTTCACTTCCATCCTTTTGTTAAAAGGTACAATTGACACACAATGAAGTACACACAGTTAAACTGTATAATTAGGTAACTTTTGACATATGTATACACCTGTGAAATTATCATTAAAATCAACATGATGAATATACTCATCACCTCCAAAAGTTACCTTGTGTTTTTCAACCCCTCCCTCTAGCCCCTCTCTGTCTCCTATCCCCAAGCAACCACTGACATGCTTTCTGTCATTATAGACTAGTTTGTAATTTCTAGAATTTCATATAAATTGAATTATACAGTGTGTACTCTCTTTTAGTCTGGCTTCTTTCAGGATAATTATTTTGGGTTCACCTATATGGTTGCTTATATAAGTAATTAATTCCTTTTTATTGCTGAATAGTGTTCCATTGTATGGGTATGCCACAATTTGTTTATCTATCCAACCACTAATGGACGTTTGGGCTGATTCCAGTTTTGGACTATTGAAAACTGGGTTGGTAATTTATGTGTAAGTCTTTCTTATGGATATATACTTTCTTTTCTCTTGGAATGGCTGGAGTGTATGGGAGATGTATAATTAACTTTTAAAGGACCTGCCAAATTGTTTTCCAAAGTGGTTGTGCCATTTTATACTCCCACCAGCAGTCTGTGAGAGTTCCAGTTTCTCTGCATTCTCACCACCAACACCTGGTATGGTTAATTTTTAAAATTTAGTTATTTTAATAGGTGTGTAATTGTGTCCCATTGTAATTTTGATTAGCATTTCCTTAATGACTAGTGATGTCAAGCACCTTTTTATGGGTTTTTTTTTTGCTCTCTGTATATTTTACTTTTGAAGTGTCTTTTCAAATCTTTTGTACACAAATGTTTGTTTAGTATCTACTTGAAATAATATTTTTCTCCTTTGACATATTCAAGTGCTTAATCAAAGTAGTAAAATTTCTAGTACTAAATCCTAGGTAAATTTTATGTTTCCAAGGTGTGTCATTTTTCAATATACAGCAGATCGTTTGGTGGTTTTTTTTTGTTTGTTTGTTTTTTTGTTTTTGAGACAGGGTCTCACTCTATTGCCCAGGCTGGAGTGCAATGGCACGAACATGGCTCAATGCAGCCTCCACCTCCTAGAGTCAAGTCGTCCTCCCACGTCAACCTGCTGAGTAGCTAGAACTACAGGTGTGTGCCACCATGCCTGGCTACTTTTTTAACATTTTAGTAGTGAGGAGGTCTCACTGTGTTGCCCAGGCTGGTCTTGAACTCCTGGGCTCAAGCAATCCCCCTGCCTTGGCCTTCCAAAGTGCTGGGATTAATAGGAGTGAGCCACCAGGCCTGGCCTCAGCAGCTGTCTTAATAGTCTTGATTTGCTTCAATTCAATGTTGATTTTTGCCTATGAATTTAAGAATAGCTTAGTCTATCATTTTTTCTATAATCTTTCCTTGTCAGATTTTTAATCAGTCTTACGTTTCTACATTTCTCATGGTCTGAAATGTTTCTAGAGCAACAGTATTCTGTCTCTTGAAAACTTGATAGAACTCATCTGTAAAGCTCTATGGACATGGTGGATTTTTTGGAGATAATTTGTAATAATCATAGTTTTAGAAGTTACTGTTATAGCCAGAAGTTTTCTTATTTCTTCTCAAGTCAATGTTGGTAACTTTTACTTTGCTAGAAATAATCCATTTAGTCAGATTTCAAAATGTTTTAGCATATGATTATAATAATATTTTTAAAAGCATCTCTGTGACTGCTTTTTTTCTTTTTTCTTTCTTTTTTCTTTTTTTTTTTTTGAGACAGGGACTCACTCTGTCGCCCAGGCTGTAGTGCAGTGGCGTGATCTCTGCTCACTGTAACCTCCACCTCCTGGGCTCAGGTGATTCTTTTGCCTCAGCCTCCCGAGTAGCTGGGATTACAGGCACCCACCACCATGCCTGACTAATTTTTGTATTTTTAGTAGAGATGGAGTTTCACCATGTTGGCCAGGCTGGTCTCGAACTCCGGACCTCAGGTAATCCGCCTTCCTTGGCCTCCCAAACTGCTGGAATTACAGGCGTGAGCCACCGCACCCAGCCTCCATGACTGTTTTTTATATTCCCTTTCTCATTTCTACATTTTGGTGTTTGATATTTCTCAGTTTTGTTTCCTAAAACTATACTGAGGGTTTTCCTGTATTTTTTTTTAATCTTTCAATTTCTCAGGTATTTGGTTTTGAAATTATTACTTTGTTCTATTTTCCAATTCATTAATTTTGCCTTTTATCTTTATTATTTCCTTTCTTGACTTTTCTTATAATCTTGTTCTCTTAGTAAGTGACTTAGCTCATTTATTTCCACTATTTTATTGATTAATTTCAATAAAATGTTATGAAGTTACCTTTGTGTACAATTTTACCACAACCTGTTTATCTTGATATGTTGTAATTGTCTTTAATTGTAGAGCTTATTTACATTATATACGTGCACAAATTTAGATTAATGCTTCTAAAATTTCCAATTTGTTTTTTTTTTTGTTGGTGTATATTTGCCTAAAATTTTGTTATAAATTTCTAAGTCATTACATTGTAGCTGGTAAAATGTCTACTTTGGGGAAATCTAAAAATAGGCTATTTGTGGGTGACAATTTGTAAACATCCTTGAATGTGAATACACATTCCTTGAGGCAAAGTTCTATATGTAACTATTAAGTAATTTTAGCAATTAAATTATTCAGTTTTTCTATATTGTATTTTGTTTTGGTCTATTGAATATTTCAGAATTGTTTTATAATAAAACACTGAAATATGCTTCTCTTAAACTCTGTTTAATTGTAGCAACATTACTTCATATATATTTCTACAGAGACCTAGACATACACTGTCCATTATGGTAGGCACTCACCACATGTGACTTTTTACATTTAAATTAATTAGAATTAAATAAAATTTTAAATTCAGTTTATATGATACTCTAGTTGAATTTCCAGTGCTCAAAAACCCCATGTGCCTAGTAGCTACCATTTTGGACTGAACAAGTATAGAACATTTCCATTGTCATAGAAAGTTCTATTGGACAGCATTGCTTGACTATTATATTTTATTGTGGATTATACCTTTGATTAGTGTAGTGTTGCTTTATTTTTTATTTATTGCAATCTGCATTTAATGCTTTCTATTTTTTCTTTCAATTTCCTGATACATATTTGCCATCCTTTTATTTTTAATACTTCTGAACATTTTGTTCTATATATTATCTCTTCTAAATAATATATAATTCTATTGCTAAAATATTTTTAAATTAGTTTAACAAATTTGTTAATTTTCATACTAATATATTTTATCTTCTGATGTCTTCATTTATTTTTTTTAAACAGCTTCCTAGTATTCTTACTGGTGTTCATCTTTTGATCCATGTGTAGAATATTGGTTAAGACCATAAGCTCAAGCATATGCCTAGTCGGGCATGGGTCCCATTTCAATATTTCAAGAATCAGAAGCTCTTAAATTCTTTGTGCCTAAATATCCTCATTTTTAAAACTTGAAAAATAGGGATAAAAATAGTACCCATTTGGTAGGGTTATCGAGAGGGTTGTAGGAATAAATGTTTTAAAAGTACCTGATACATTAGTAGTCAGTGCTCATAACTACTACTAGTTATTTTTTGGGCTGCTTTGTCTCTAGAAACACTGAATGTATTTTTTATTATGATTTCACTGTTAAATTATAGAATATGTGCAACCTGTATATCTCTAATTATCAGTGTCACAAAATAAATGCAATTATTTGAATCCCATCTAAATTGAGGTCATTAGCTTCTTTTTCATTCCTCCCTCTTGTAGACCCATCTTATGAATTTTGTTGGAATTATTTGTCACTGTAGATCCATATTGTTTAATATTAAATACTATTTTAACTCATTTAGCTTTGCTTTCAAGAATGATTATTTTTGCATTCTTTAATGTAATCATAAGTATTTGGTTCACCACTAGACCTATTTAACCTTTCTTATACTCTTTTTTCTTTATGTATTTATATGTTTTGGCCAAATGGTATCACATTGTACAATTTTTAAAAAATATTTATTTATTTATTATTTATTTATTTTTGAGACTGAGTCTCGCTCTGTTGCCCAAGCTGAAGTGCAGTGGCGGGATCTCAGCTCACTGCAACCTCTGCCTCCTGGGTTCAAGCAATTCTCATACCCCGAGTAGCTGGGACTACAGGTGTGCCTAGCTAATTTTTGTATTTTTAGTAGAGTGGATTCACCATGTTGGCTAGGCTGGTCTTCAACTCCTGGCCTCAAGTGATCTGCCTACCTCGGCCTCCCAAAAACACTGCAAATTTTGAATCTGCCTTTCTTTCCTTAAGAATCTTTGAGAGATAGAAAAATTTATCCCAGGAGCAAAAAGTAATTAAAGTTCACTTGATACGCCAAAAAATGTGAAATATAGCCATCCAATTTCCTCAATTTATTCACATTGTTTGGGCCATATAGTTATCTATGTTTGGGTGGTATCCATTTGGCCATTTCATTATGGGTGTGTCACTGTCTATATGTTTTGCTTGGAAGCTGAAATGGATCTCTTCCCTCTGTATCATCATAGATGAGTTCAATTACTACTTGTACTTAGATGACGCCACAGTCTGCGTGTCCATTTCTGGACTCCTTCTCTCTCTTTAGTACAATAACTCCTGATTTTAAAAGCTCTTTCCGCATGCTGTTATTCACAAGATGTGCGTTTATTAATCTGTAAATAATGATGTTGGATTAAATGATCTCAAAGGTTTATTCCAGGAATAAAAGTCTATGACCTATAGCTGCTATTCCTTTAGTATTCCACCGAAAGTGCTCTTTAAAATTCTTTTAAACTCCTCCTCCTGAATTTGTTCTTTTTCCACTATTTGTGTGAAGCTGGCCATTATTTCTCTAACAAATTGAACTGTCTTTTAACTGAAGCACAGAGCCTTTGTAAAACATCCATGATCTTTGATTCTCTGAAACCTACTCTGTTACACTTAGTGGCTCCAGAATCCAAAGGGAACATAGTCACCACCTGTGTTCTCAACATTGAACTGCTCCTGAACTCCGTTTTTCTTACTCATCACACATTCTCTCAACTCTTCAAGACACATGATAACTCACCGTTCGGTGCCACTCAAAAAGCAGGATCATAAGGGCCAGTACCAGTGGGATAATGAATTGGCTCAAGGGACAGTAGCCATCCCTCCATTTCTGTTTTCTTTGCCTTTGAAATATTTTCAGTAATACCTGACCACACATCATTGCCTCATCTCTTTCTTGGAGAGCTCAAGCTATACCCTTCGCCTCAGGAGTGTCAGCACAGTTTCAGTACAATATATATGGCACATGCCACACTACTGAGAGCACCAAGAGAGAAAAGCAAACCTCTCTAGGGCTGAGGGAGTCACCTCAACTGAATGATGATTACCTACCTGTGGACTATAAGCTCCAGAGGTGGCTTCTGATTCCAGTTTACTTAGCTAATCAGAACATGGTGCACTTTCTCTCTCTCTCTCTCTCTCTCTCTCTCTCTCTCTCTCTCATTAATTTTCATGTCTAATCCATACCAGAAAAAAAATCAGGCCTGTCCTTAAATTACTTTTGTACTAATATTACGACTGTTACTACTGTTACCATAACTATGAGACTGTTGCTGCTGATACTATCAACTTAGTGCTGATACTTCTGCTACTGCTACTACTGTGGCTAGGGATACTATGACTATCATAGCCACAGTTGTCATTCTGGTAGCTTTTACTCTATGGCATGAAATCAGCAAGACACTTTCCATACATTATTTTATTTAATCTTTATATCAGCTCTTTTGGATAATATTAGTTATCCCTACTTGAGAGAGGAGAAAATCGAATCTTAGGGAGGTTAAGTAAATTTCCCAGTGTGACAGAGATTGTAGGTAGTATAGCTGTGGTATTTGAACCTAGATCAGTTTGGCCTCAAAGTCCACACTTTTAACTGTTACAGGGCCCCAAGCTGGAAAATTCCTCATGAGCTGATAGCATCTCCTTCCAAAGTACTGGCAAATGTTGCTAATAGATTTCACCTCTCTTCCTGCCTAAGCCCAGATACAACCTCAGAATCCTTTTCCAGTTAGAGCCAGGACAGCCACTAGAGAAAATCCATCAGATTTGGCATGTTGAGCTAAAGCCTGTTTGTGAGCCCTGTACTCCATGACATAAAATGGCATTCCCCCTCTGCTTTCCCTTCTTTAGCTCTCCTGTGGCACTGAGATGACAAGGGGCTGAAGCCAAAGCCCATTCACTTGGGAGATGCAATAATGTGGAACCATAGGCAGAAGTTGAGGCTGTTGCCACTGTGTACTCCTGACCCTTTTCTTGAATAGCACATATTGATGACTTCTCCATATACTAGAACATCGAGCATTGCTTGTGAGGACAAGAGTAACTCAAACATTTTGTATATATTGTCTCTTAATAGTTATAGAGCATAGGCTCTAATAGTTTTAGCTCTGTCCTTCTCTATACCATTGACCACACAACCTCTCCTCACCAGACTCCATTCTTACTATTTGGAGAATGGGATTTACAGTACTTACAGCTTTCTACAACTAGAAAGCTTTCAAATCATGAAACGTGCATGTATGAGTGTCACCAGGAAGTTCAAGATAATTATAATTGATGCAGTGAAGCAAAGTCAGACTGAAAAATGCATATCCATATGCTTGCACCTTTAAATATATGTTCATTTATTCTTAGTGTTGGTAAAAAATGTGTCAATTCAAGGAGAGGAGGAGATTTCTTCCTGTTATTATGAAGCAGTGCCAAAAAGAAAAGATCAATTATTCTCAAGACACATTTAGTTGAGCCTTCCTCCCACATCCAAAATACTTCTGTGAGTTACACATCTGTACAATGCAGCAATTGTTTCATCTTTCTCAAACTAATAGAGATGCTAGAAACATCTGGTAGTTGATAGTTAATTTTTTTTTTCATTGCACCTTTTCATAGGAAGCAGGGAACACAATTCAATATCTCCCCTGAGAGGGTCTTGCGTTTATGACAGGTGTGTATTTCTTAATGAGTCGTTGTTTGACACCGTTGCTTCTCTTAAGTCCAGCTGGAAGTACATTCATCTGGCAAAAAAGAGAGGGGAGGAAAAGTGAAATTTGAAAGAAAGTTGGAGTGTCAGGTGGTTGTTGCATAAAACATCCAATTCACTCCAGTAATATTTATTCTGCTTATTTTGTGCAATTTCCTGCAACTGGCTTTTACAACTCTGTCACTATGATGACTTTTCTGTTTTGAGTTATTTAGCTGCGTACTATTAATTTATCTGAGACTAAAATGATGCTTCTTTCCTGTGTAGAACTAGGAATTGATTCAGCATACGGCTTGGCCTTGGGACAAACACCTTCATCCCAATATCCCAGCATCCAAGCCCCAATTGAGGTTCAGAAAGAACAGAAGGATATAAGATTAGTTATTATATCCTGAATTTTCTGTCTCCTTCTTAGTGTAACTCTTTGATCTCAAAAGACTTATTTTTAGCTCGTTGTGACCTCACTGAGATTATCCCTATCCTTCCTAGCAGTTATGATTAGCTAGTTATTTTTACTGAAAACATTTCAGGGCTTGAAGTGGGAGGGTGAGGATGCTGCATTGTTGGTGGAGGGCCCAGTATTTGGAATTCTTCTCTTGATGTGACATAACGAATCTTAATTGCCCTGCCCTTAGGCCGTGGCATAGCTACTCTGGCTGGCTAAGCCTGAAGGACAGATGTTGCTTAGGGAGAGGTTCAGAGCTTGCCCAAAGAGATGCCATTAGCAAGCAGAAGTGAATGTAGGGCCTCCTTGATGACCAGGACCATGGCATCTACCTGCTGCCTCAGTGACTTCCTCATGTGAAGACTTGGTTTGCTGGAGAGCTATAGAATATGTATTCTAAAAGACTCAGTGCTAATGATGTTTGTATCACCATCGCTTATCTCAAACTTCTCAGACTCCTAGGCTCTGTTGACAATCTCGCCTTTTAGTTGGCTTAAAGTACTCTTTCTACACACACACACACACACACACACACACACACACACCCCCACACACACACTGAATGAAGAACTCTGCTGTTAATAGAAGCATTTCACTGGTCTTTTTTAAACATTCAATGTTAGGCAAAATATGATACTTGCCTACTGGTTTAGTGATTTCCTCACTTGATTCCAGTGAGAATGGTTTGGAATATGGGCTATTTCTAATTTGTTCATCAAAATACAAATAAAATACATGCAAAATTGTACAGTACAATACAACAGAACCCAACCCTTTTTATCCATTTCTCTCAAGAGTCTTCTAGTAGTATGTTGGCAATAATATTCCCACTGGACTCATGAGGTCACTGAAGCAATGAGAGATTCCATAATTTGACCAAGGCCAATGCTAATGAACAAAGCGGCTGTGCCTCTACATTAAATTACCTGGTTAGTCCTGGTTGTATAATTTCACTTAGCATGCTAAATTATTTTGATTTCCTCTAAGCATCTATTGTAAAGTGGCAAAGCTAATCCAAGTAAGCAATTGGATTCACACAGGATGAGGACATGGTGGGGTGGCCTCTTGAGTGCTGGTGACCTCAGTGCCCAGGCATCTCCATTCCCTCAAAGCCCTCTCTTGCTGATAAGGTCAGGAAGAATCTTGTTCTGTTCATGGTCTTCTATTGGCTGGCATGCCCTCAGTTATCATTACTGCCACTTACTGACTATACAGAAATGTGTTTCCATGGGATAACCACTTGGCAATGGCTTTGATAATTACTATTTGTGCTGCCGCCAGTCCATCTTCTTTTGTCTGTCTTTACGGGTGGTCTCCTGACGGTCTCATGAATGCCATGAATGTAAGGAATGTGTAAGAGTCTGGGACTCTGATTTCAAGGCAATTTTTTCTGAACTCCCCTCCCCTTCCTTTATGACAGGAGTAAAAAGAACTTTAGTAATTAGGTTAAACTCTTTAGGAACATTTCTTGTTAGAAGTTGTGTGTCAACACTGAAAAAGTCACTATGGAAAGGTACTCTCATTCATCTTGGCGACTCTGTCTAAGAAGTTTTCTTTGTCTTAGAAACCAATGCAACAGATTTTTGAATTACCTAATAATAAGTGTTATATTTCTCCCATAGCAGGAGAGAGATTTCTTTTCCCAAGTATGGTCTTCTATTCTCTTTTCTTTAAGTCTCAAGAGTGGTATTTAATCTTTGAGAACATTATATTTTGCATATGGTAAAGATTGTTAAAACCGTTGGGGAAATTTACCAGGAAATTGGCGCATTTTTTTCCTTCTTCCTTTTCTGCATAGAAGTAACAATGATTCTAACACTGTGTTTTCTGTGATCTAAGACTCATGGTAACAGTATGAGCTTTAAGGATTTCACCAAAACCTGTACAGACCTGCTTGGCCCATATCTACTTTGCCTTATGGTTGGCAGTGGGGCTCCATGTGATAGAGATGTATCAGAGTCACCCAGACAATTTGTTAAGATTCAGATTGCTGACTTCCACCCACAGAGTTTCTGATTCATTGTGTCTGGAGTGAGCCGTAAAAATGTGCCTATCTAACAAGTTTATAGGTGATACTGATGCTGCTGGTTCTGGGACCACAGTTTTCGAGAACTCCCAGAGATGGGAGTAAGAGTAACAATTGCCCCATGGCCAACATCTGAAGCTGCTATTCCTTGTGCTAGGATAACCATAAACCTCTGGATTTAGTAGGAACAGCCTATGCTACTACTGGGAAGCTTCTGAGTCTATCACATCTTGTTAGGATGCTTGAAAATGGACAATAATATATTTGCAAAATATGGCCCTAGCTTCTTAAGAGATATCCAAGCACTATTATTTTTGTTGCTTTTTCTTCCAAATCCTTGTCTTGGAACTGATGGCTTGTGAGAAAAATGACTACAAATGCCATCAGGAAAGGAAGGTCTTAGCATGATAGTCAGTTTAACTCTTGAAGAAGAATTCGTTTTTCCTGTGTCACATGGCTTAAAAGTTAGTTAAACCAGGACAAGCCTCGATGTGTCTGGATTGAGCTAATGAGTAGCTGAATAGTTTACCCATAAGTGCAGAGTAATCCTCATGACCATATGATATAATATGGAAAGTAATCAACAGTTTCAAAAACTGACATCACCCAGCCTATTGTTTTCATTTGACTTAACTGATAATTCCTACGTGCCTTAAAGGGAAAACTAGACCAATTAGTAGAGGAGGAAGAAACAACCTGGCAAAGAGGCACAACTCTAATTACATATGCAAGCCCAGCCACAATTTTCAGCTGCAGTGTGTGAGATGGGTGAGAAAATAGGACAGTAAGAAGCTAGTGCTGTGCAAAGATTAGAGGTAGAGCCCTCCGCCAAAGGACTTAATGACAAGTTCTAACAATGTCACGAATGCTTTGCGAAAGGAACAACCAAATTGTAATAGAGCAACTCATAAATGAAGTGAATAATTATGTCTTCCTCTTCTAAATAACCTCTTAAAAGAGGCTAATACACACACACACACACACACACACACACACACACACACACACACACCACATACCACTCCTGACAACTTAGTGATGAATCAGTAGTCTCTAAATGAAAATATTGGCCGGGCACAGTGGCTCACGCCTATAATCTCAGCACTTGGGAGGCCGAGGCAGGTAGATCACTTGAGGTCAGGTTTTCAAGACCAGCCTGGCCAACATGGTGAAACCCTGTCTCACTAAAAATACAAAAATTAACTGAGTGTGGTGGTATGTACCTGTAGTCCCAGCTGCTTGGGAGGCCAAGGCAGGAGAATTGCTTGAACCCAGGAGGCAGAGGTTGCAGTGAGCCAAGATGGTGCCACTGCACTCCAGCCTGGGCAACCGAGTGAGACTCTGTCTCTAAATAAATACATAAATAAATGCAAAAATTAGTTGCAGATGTAAATTAGTTTCTGTTATGCAGTGAAAGGAAATGGTACAGAATTATAAGGTGGAAATAATAGGCTAACAAATCACTTATAGATGGATAAACGTAATTTATGATCTCTCAGCTCAGCATCTCTGTGTTACACAACTCCAGGGGGCACCATTAAATAGGCTGGGTGCTTGGAACACTTTGGAATTATCTAATGGGATTTTCCCTGTTGAGAAAAAACTGAGGAACAATTATACAGGCTTTGGGCTCTAGATGTCTCCTATACCATGAGGCAGTTTGTTATGCTGTTCTTCAGAAGCCACCTGAAAAGGAAAGCCTAGCAAACATTTGACTGGAGAGTCTAGTGATCGTCTTCTCCAGGCATTTCCCATCTCTGCTTCTTGGCTGCTTTTGTTTCCCAGTTCTGCCACCCTTACTGCATTAACTGGTGTCTTCACCTGCCTTCTGCCTTCTCCCTTGCTACCACTGCCTACACCAAAGTCAGAGAATTGGAGAATCTCAAGCGATTATAGTCTGGCCTCTAAGTGACCTCAGCTCTTTTGGGCTCCCTTACCCAAAGGAATTTTCAGTTTTTGCCAATTTCCTCAGGCCATTTCAGTTTTTGCCAATTTCCTCAGGCTAGGCTGGAGTGTACTCTGTATCTTACAAAAGCAATTCTCTCTCAGTCCCTGCCCACGAATATAGAGCTAAACATAATAAAAGTCCAACTTGACATATATGAGTATTAAGAACTTATTATGGTAGTCATTTTTCTAATCTCCTGAATGCATTAATTCATTTTACCTGTATGACAACCCTGTAATGTAGTTGCCATAACTATCCCTATTTTTACAGATGAGTGAGCTTGACACCACACCATTAAGTAACATATAAAGTTCCCCAGATAATAGGGTAGAGCTCGGATTTGAACCCAGGCAGTCCAGCTTCACAGTCTGTGCTGTTAAACATCTGCAGGTGCTAAGAATCTTACCTCCCAGGGAGTAAATTCTTCCTCCTGTAGGGGTATATGCCACCTCCCTCAAATGCTGCCCCTTTTCTCAATAAGATCCAGTTGGTCTCGTCTTTCTACTCCCTTTTAGTATCAGAGGATCATTTTTGGCCTTCCAAAACATGACTGCCAAAGACAAAGTCCTCTGGGAGACTGGGGGATAGGGTCATGCAAATCACACTTTTGGTGTTCTTTATCTTGATTTCTTTCCCTGAGAAAATGATCAAGATATTTCCATATCGATAATAACAGAACTTCCCTCACCACCACCCCCACTTTTAACACCAAGAGTCCACTCTTTTAAAGTGAAATAATCCTAATTAATCTGAATTTACTAAATAAATTGGGAGGAAGGGTGTTTGTTAATAAAACGACTTCATTCCGTTTGAGTTGCTGAGTACAACTAAAGTGGAAATTAGTTTTCACGTCCTCACAACATGCACAACTTCATAAGAATATATTTGTGCCTATATAGCACTTTAGTTTTATAAAAATGTGCAGAGATAAGAAATCAGGCTTCAATAATTAACTTTCTTAAGTAGGAGACAAGTGAATTTGGCTAACTTTGACAAACCAAGTGGCATACTAGATACAGAAAAATTCTTTTAAAAAATGAGAATACCTCGGTGATGAAATAATCTGTATAACAAACCCCCATGACACAAGTTTACCTGTGTAACAAACCTGCACATGTACCCCGAACTTAAAAGTTAAAAAAAGACTTAATGGTTTCCATATAAATTTTAACATTGTTCATGTCTTCATGTAACAAATTTTTATTGAGTTTCTACTGTGTGCTTGGTAGTGGAGACACAGCCCTGAATGAGAGAGAGAGATGTTTTCTGTCCATGGGTATTTAAAGTCTAGTGGGAAAGACAAACAGTGAAATAAATAATTATGATAATATTTGATGTGAATTGATGGTGGGTGGAGGATGGCTGATGGAAGCCTTGAGTAGGGGATCTAACCAAGGTAGAAGAGAAAGCATTCTGGAAGATTTGACATTTATGCAGAGACTTGAAGAATGTGGAGGGCCAGCCTGGGGATGAGTGAAGGACAAGCATTCCAAGTAGAAGCAATAGCATATGTGAAAAATGAGAGGTGAGAAAGAATCTAATATATTCATGTAACTGAAACATCATCTAGAAATAGATTTCATTTTGCTGATGAGGACACTCAAACCTAAAATGGTGAGGAAAACTGCTCAATGGTGCTGGGTATAGAATGCAGGTCATCTGATTTCAAGAGCTGCCCTCCTGCCATTACCTCCATGGCCTTCCAGAGACCAGGCAGACCTTGGGGCAGGATTGTTGCTTGCTCATAAGGCACCTTTGCATGAGTTAGAAATATAATGTATTTCTATATTGTTATAAACATTTTGGGCCGGGTGCAGTAGCTCATGCCTATAATCCCAGCACTTTGGGAGGCCGAGGCAGGCGGATCACGAGGTTAAGAGATCGAGACCATCCTGGCCAACATGGTGAAACCCCGTTTCTACTAAAAATACAAAAATATTTTTGGGGGGCGTTGTGGCACGTACCTGTTGTCCCAGCTACTCAGGAGGCTGAGGCAGGAGAACTGCTTGAACCCAGGAGGCAGAGGTTGCAGTGAGCCAAGATCGCACCACTGCACTCCAGCCTGGTGACAGAGTGAGATTCCATCTCAAAAAACAAACAAATGAACAAACAAAAAATATATAAACATTTTGTTAGAAAAAGTCTGCCAGAATTATGTCAATAAATGCATAAATCGACAGTGTCAGCCATCTTAATGGTGTTCCATTAGATGTACAACATGCATAAACATATTGGCTGTTGAGAATTCAGGCCAATCAAACCTAAATTAGTAATCTTTCAATCATCTTTTGGGTAAGACTCTATAGCCATCTCACTCCTATGGCTTTTTAATGGTTCCTGATGAGCTGTCCAGAGTAGAACCATTGACCTTGACCTCCTCTCAGGTGTTTGTGTTCTCTTGGCTCCTGATTTATGACCCATTGCCTGCTGTGACCTTCAACATTCCTGTCTATTCTCCTGCCTGCTTGCCTCCTGGTTTCTAATTTATAACTTTCCATGATCAGGTTTCTTTTCTTAATCAGAAATAAATAGAACCATCAAATTATAAAATTTGACGTTTAATTTTAAATTTTACCTCTTTATTGGGTTTCTCTCCCTCTCCTATTTAGTCTTATTTTTGTTGTTGTTGTTGTTTTATCCTTGTTGTTAGCTGTAATCCTTGGAGCCTTGTTTGTTTGGGAAGGTAATTTGAGTCTCTTCTATAAAGAGCAAGCTGGAGAAAAGAATGGAAGCTGTGCTTGGTTTAGAAGAGATTTTCTCAAGTGTGTTACACACTGGGAAATACTAGTTTTACATGATGTGCATAGATGTGCAACAAAGAGAGAAGATTCATTAGTTAAATAATCTTGGGCAACTGTGGGATGAAAAAGGGCAACCACTTTTCTACACCGCGGAGACTTCAGAGACTTTATATGCTAATGTGCTTGTGAGTATGCAACTGTATGCAGCACTTGTAAGATTTAGTTGATCATATAAATAATGAGGTTGTTGTGCTCCGTGGAATACTCTTGCCTCCTAAGCTAAATGCTCTAACCAGGCCATAGAGAGCCTTTGTTCAAAAGAGGGAGACAGTAGTAGCCCATTTGTTGACACCCAAGGAGACATCACAAAGGGAGAGTTCATTCTGGGTAGGCTGTCCATATCTCAGGCGGTGTTTAGTGGCAAAGCAGGGAGGGGCCAGGAAAGGCCAGAGTAGAAGCCTGCCCAGGGAAAAAGAAGTCATGAAGTCTGATGATCACAGCTTCTCTTAGCTGTGTAGGGCAGGGCTCCAACTGCACTAAGAAATTTGAGTGCCCATCTGGAAATGGGCTGAGAGATCTTGGTTGGGTATAGGTGTGGTATCCCTAATAAATGCCTTAAGGTCATGGTAAAAAACCCTGACTTCAGCATCAGATATATTTTTTTCTATTTCACATCCCACTTTGAGGGGCCATTTTGAAACACATTACACATTGTTTCACACAAATGGTTATACACACACACACACACACACACACACAGTTCTGATACTTTTTAACTTGGCACTCTATCTGTAAAATCATTCTATATAGAGCTACCTCATTTAAAAAATAACTGCACATAATTCTATTGTATAGGTGTGCTATAATTTACTTACTAGTCCCATATCAGTGGGCATGTATGTGGTTTGCTGTATTGAAATGATGCAACAAATATTGAACACATTACTTCACACACAAGAATATTTCTGCAGGATAAATATTTTAGGAATGGAATATCTGACTCAAAAATAATCATTTTTAATTTTGATAGATATTTCCAAGTTACCCTCCATAGAGATTGAAGCAATTTATGCACACTCCCATTATGTATGAGAGTTCATTCTTCATTTTAGTTATGTTTTTGTTTGACCTACACAGTGCTGTTAAAAACCTGAATTTTCAAAAACGAGAGCGTATTCATTTTCTAGAACTACCATACCAAAATGCCACAGACTGGGTAGCTCAAACAACAGAAATTTATTTTCTCACAGTTCTGGGGGCCAGAGGTGTGAAATCAAGGTGTCGGCAGGGTTGGTTTCTTCTGATTCCTCTGTCTTTGGCTTGCAGATGGCCACCTACTCGCTGTGTCCTCACATGGTCTTTTGTCTGTATGCATACATCCTTGGTGTGTCTCTTTGTGTCCCAAAAATTCTCTTATAAGGACACCAGTCAGATTGGAATAGAGCCCTCCCTACCAGCCTCATTTTACCTTAATTACCTCTTTAAAGGCCCTATCTCCAAATACAGTCATATTCTAAGATACTGGGGTTAGGATTTCAACATATGAATTTAGGGGAGACATAATTCAGACCATAACAAGGATATTTAAATTAAAAGTTCAGAAATTTTTTGTTTTCGTGAAAAACTTGACATTGGCCCTACAAACCGACGGGAATCAATGAGCTGGAGTGAACACTGACGCCATACTTTAGGTGCCATTTATCTTTATGTATATATAAATGCATGTGTGTGTATTCACACATATATACACATATAAATATATGTATTTATTCACATATAAGAGAATTAAGAGGGAAGTGTGGTACAGATGCATATATATATATACACACATATATATGAAAATTAAGAGAAGAGTGAAACATTTCTTCCCCACAGTGAAGAGGGAAATATTGCAGACATATTAGATACAGTGCTCAAACAGCTTTTTGCCCAGTACCCCAACATATAGGAAGCACTCAATAAAAATACACATATAATGTTTAGAGTCAGGATTAATTGGGCTTGGGCTAGAATCAACTCACCTCTTGGGATCCTTTAGTATCTACAAATGAATGGATTTGGGGACTTGACGGCTAACATTCAATACATGTTCTTAAATCAAACGTGTAAAATCTAATTTTACAAATGATTCTTAATCTCTAAAATCTTTTAGTTAAACATGCATATATTTAAAATTGTTTAATTTTACAATCTTGATTTAAGATTAACATCCTGTCCACAAAGACATAAAGAACCAGCAAAAGAGCTTCAGATATGTATAATGGAATGTAAGAGTTTCAATGCAAATGCCTTAGGTCTAATTTTTTGCATTCCTCTAAAATATCACAGAGAGCCAGGATTTTTTTCCCTCAGATCTTTATTTACACTGTATAGATTCCAAGGGCCAGGCAGTGACGGTCAAGGTGAGCAAGGGACCCTGGACTCTTGTTTGTCTCACAGCATACCGTAAGGCAAGTCGAGCAGCCTTAGCTTTACTTTTCCTTACCCTAAGCAGAAAGATCTGGACTTAATGTATTAATTTTAGTGGGGGAAGTGAGGAAACAGCAACTTAGAAGCATCAATTGAGGATCAGCTAAGTTGTAAGAGCAGTAATTTCCCTCCCCCTACCCATAACACCATCACGTGCTATAGTGGATCTGGCCTGTCAAAGGTTTGTGAGCTAAAGTTAAGGCTCTGCAGTATTTGCATGGCCCCAGGGACACAGTGAACATCTTATTGTTACTGCTGAAACCTGGTGTTAGGATTTTTAGCAACAGGAAAGCAGACCCACTGGGTGTTCTGAGAGAATAATGGTTTACTCTTATACTGTAACTTGTGCCATAACTGTTTGAGTAAGAAAAGAATGCCAAGTGGCAACCCCCAAAAGTGTTTCTCTGGCTGCTCTGCCTCCACTGCTCAAGTTGTCCCTCCATAGTCTTGGGGATATCCAGGGAATGTGCCCATGGTACTCTATGTGTCCTCCCCATGCTGTGGGAATGCACACCACCTGATATGGTTTGGTTCTGTGTCCCCACTCAAATCTCATGTTGAATTGTAATTCCTGATGTTGGAAGTGGGGCCTGGTGGAAGTTAATTGGATCACGGGGGTGGTTTCTAATGGCTTAGCACCGTCCCCCCTAGTTTTGTCTCATGATAGAGTTCTCACGAGATTTGGTTGTTTGAAAGTGCGTAGCATCTCCCCTTTTACTCTCTCTCTTTCCTGCTGCCATGTGAAGACCTGCTTGCTTCCCCTTTGCCCTTTCACCATGATTGTAATTTTTCTGAGGCCTCCCCAGCTGTGCCTCCTGTACAGCCTGTGGAACTGTGAGTCAATTAAACCTCTTTTCTTCATAAATTATCTAGTCTCAGGTAGTTCTTTACAGCAGTGTGAAAACGGACTAATATACCACCTCTTTCTTCCCCTCCTGTGAGTCTCTGTGGGGAGAAATTTGATTACTTCCATCTGCAATGGAAGGGAATACTTCCACTGCAGATGTCTCTCAACAGCATTGCTGCTACAGTTGCAACCAATGCGTTCTGTCAAGGTGAATAGAGGTGGATAGAGGCCACCATATCACCAACTTTGTTGTCAGAATAAAGTGGGCAGCCCTCATAAGCAAAGTCTCCACCAATGCCAGCTTCTCCCTCATAGTTATAAATCCAATAATATTTGTGCTTTCAGTGGCCCTTAGAAATTTTGCAGAAACAATTTTGGTTCTTAATAGGTATTTTTTAATGTTTCCTTGTCCAGAGATTCAGGGTGAATTCATGATGAGGCTTATGCTGTGCTTAGAATGACCCCTTTCTTTCAAAGGTTACCTGTTGTCCTTGAAACACTCTTTTCCTGTTGACTTTTTATTCTTCCAGGATAAGTTATTTTCTATGAGGCTCTTTAGTCTCTTATGTGCATAGGTTCCTGGTGAGATCACCCTACTGTATCTTCATGAGTCACAAGGTGAAAAAAGTTACACCTCAAGCCCTTGCCTGAGTATGTGATCACTGATGGATGGGAAATTTCAGTTCTTAGAAGGAGGTGGGATAGAAAGAAAAAATTACAAAAGGAAGGAAGATCAAGGAGCTCTGAAAAAGTCGGGCTGTGGGGAAAAGATCTAACCATCCACTTCCTTGCTCTATCTCTGTAATGTTCATTCCAGAGGTTACCTAGAGCAAGAAAATGGAAGAGAAGTGCTCTTTGTGAAGTGCCTATTACTTGCCAATCACTGGTGAGAAGTTCTTCATGTTCAATATCTTCTTTAGTCTTAGCAAATTCCTATGGAGCAATGTTAGGATCCCAGTCTTACAGATGAAAAAATTAAGACTGGGAAACATCAAGTAATTGCTGGAATCTTGATTCTGACTTTGAAACTTCCGACGTTTCGGCAACACAATTCTGACTTCTCATTTGTTCATCAACTTGAGTTAGAAGTCCTTCTGAAGCCCAGAGATGTCCTGCGTCTGACTCTGTCCAACTGTGTCCCTCTTAGCCATGTAATCTGGCTGCTCCTGCATCACCAAGCTGACCTTTAGGGTTGGCTTCTTTTAGTCCAGGGTTTCTCAGCCACAGTACTAGTGACATTTGGAGGCACATAATTCTTGGCTGTGGCGGCTGCCCTGTTCATTTTAGGATGTTAACAGTATCCCTGGCCTCTATTCACTAGAAGTCAGTAGCATCCTCCCTTACCCTGAGTAGTGACAACTAGAAATGTCTCCAGACATTGCTCAAGGTTGCCCAGGGATCAGAATTGCCCCTGGCTGAAAACCACAGATTACGGGATCCCAGTCCTAAGGCATCTCCTCTTAAGAAGGCTCCACTTGTCTGGTCATCTCCATGAATACTTCGTCATTACCTTCTATAGCCACATTCAACAGACCAGCACCTGACTTTTTTCAGAGAGGATGCAGAGACCCATGTACAAAGTGAGCGGAGTTGAGCAGGCCACCTGGGCTCTAGACAGAGCCTGGGTGAAAATGGTGGCCCTGAGGATGGATGGGAGGAGTTTATAGGCAGGTCTGGTTGATGCCCCTGTGCTCTTTTTCCTGCTTCCTTCGGAGTGGGAACGATGGTTAGAGTGGGAAGTATCTGAGGCCCCGCCAATACCTGCAACTCTCTAATTCCCATCCTCGATAGATTTTAACTTTTTGTCTCAGGTTGCTGTGTCTCCCCTGTTCTGGTTTCCTGTCTCCCTCATCTTTTCTCTGCTTTCCACTCCTTCCTTGGAGAGTTTGGGCATCCCAAGCAAAAGGAGAGACTCACTGGGATGAGATGAATTATCTTTATCAAAGGAAGCATTACACTCTTTTTGTTGGCTTCACTATCTCCCAGTGACACCAAGTCTCTTAGCTCAGCAAACTACTAAGCAACACTTTGCCAACTGTGATTAGATGCATCACGGCACACATGGATGCATATGTGTTTAACACAAACACAGATAAAGATACTTTTGCTCTAACTAAAATGGTATATTTTTGTTCCTCTACTCTGTTGTCTTATCTAGACACCTCTTAATATGGGACAGCTTCATAAGTCACCTTATCTTTGATCAGGTCCTCACCGAACTCTGCAGATAGCACCCCTGTGTCCGCTTGGCTGTCTTTAAAGAACACTAGAGAAGAATGACCCAGTCCTGATGACTGGACTTGGTAGAGGACAGATGGAAGGGCATTTGAATGCTCATTGGTTGGCCCAAAGAAAATAGATGGCCAATGTTTTATGGAACAGGCACGAAGCAGTTGGTGCTTCTTGCCATCTCTTCCTCCAAGAGAACTCCTGGTTTGCTGGTTTGGAATAGTGATGATCTTAGTGCATTTGCATTGTTATCAATGATAGTTTCATTTGTTTTATTTTTTAACTAAAAGTACAATTACTTAAACATTGATGGTCAAATGCACATGTTATGGTCACAGGCTTACGTGCATGATATGCATGATACATAACTGCTAGGAAAGAACGGAACATATGCAGATAGGTAACCATGTTAGTGATGAATTAAAGGGCTATTTCCTTGTTATGTTGTGTTATAACAACTTATGATAAATATTGACATTATTGGGTTCATTTTAGTGTGACTTGGTGTTGCTTTAGCATAAATAGGTTTAATTTGGGCATCGGAAATGTATAAAAACTTTGCCATTTGATATTAATGGTGATTTTGTTCTTTACTTATGAAAATTTACATTAGGAAAGGTTCTTTTCAGAAGGTAGTGACTCTCAAAAGGTAGGAAGAAGACTGTGTATGGTGTATGAGTGTATGTGTTCAGATTTAGAAACAGACGTGGATTTTTAAAAACTTAAAAATATATATGTTTATATAAAATACAATATATATTTTAAAATTAACTAATGTCGTTACATTTTTGTATTTGAAATCTAGAAGGTATAGACTCAGTGAAAAATGTTTCATACTTTGAATATATTAACTTAGCAGTAAGATAATGATGATTTTATAAAACAAAAATTTATCAACAAAGAATTCATGTTCTAGATGAGGGGGATTAAAGACAGGATGGTTAATGGGTACAAAAATACAGTTACATAGAAGGAATAAGATCTAGTGTTCAGTAGCACAATAGGGTGCTAATAGTTAACAATAACTTACTGTATATTTCAAAATAACTAAAAGAATGGAATTGGATATTCCTAACACAAATTCTTGAGATGATGGCTATCCCAATTACTCTGATCTGATTGTTATACATTATATGCTTGTATCAAAACTATTACATGTATGGTTATACATGTAACAATTTATGGGGTACAGGTACCCCATAAATATGTACAACTATTATGTATCCATAATTTTTTAAAAGTAAATAAAAAATAATTCATGTTATAAATAGTATTTTAGTTTCTGATTTTATGCTATATTTTTAGTCCTTGTTCTAACTTGTAATTTTGCAACAGATTATGACTCCCAATGAATTCGCTTGGAAAGGCTGTTTTTCTATAGTAGGAAACACAATGTCCTTAATATCAGATTATCATTATTTTACCTAAATTTATTCTTTCTTTGCAACTAATTATTTCAATCCAGTGACTCTGGGGACATTCTACAGGTAGCCAGTATACATTGTTTCCCTTGCAAGAGACATATTTTCTATCTTTTCGCTTTTTGTTTTTGACAAACGTAGTTTTAAATGCCTGCAAAAACTTGCAGCCCCTCCTTCTCAAATGGCATTGCTGTTTTGTGGTTATTATCTTATGTTGCCTTAAAACTTCTAAACATGGTAGAAATAAAGCATTGTTGTCCCACGTGAGCCTAAGAACATCAACTTTGAGGAGGTAATGCCAACCCCCTTTCATCCAATGTCAAGTGTCAGCTCGATGAAACAATTTCATGGTATTTGACTTAGTGAAAATTTCTGATCTTTGACAAACCTGAGAAAAACAAGAAATGGGGAAAGGATTCCCTATTTAATAAATGGTGCTGGGAAAACTGGCTAGCCATATGTAGAAAGCTGAAACTGGATCCCTTCCTTACACCTTATACAAAAATCAATTCAAGCTGGATTAAAGACTTAAACGTTAGACCTAAAACCATAAAAACCCTAGAAGAAAACCTAGGCAATACCATTCAGGACATAGGCATGGGCAAGGACTTCATGTCTAAAACACCAAAAGCAACGGCAACAAAAGACAAAATTGACAAATGGGATCTAATTAAACTAAAGAGCTTCTGTACAGCAAAAGAAACTACCATCAGAGTGAACAGGCAACCTACAAAATGGGAGAAAATTTTCGCAACCTACTCATCTGACAAAGGGCTAATATCCAGAATCTACAATGAACTCCAACAAATTTACAAGAAAAAAACAAACAACCCCATCAAAAAGTGGGCGAAGGACATGAACAGACACTTCTCAAAAGAAGACGTTTATGAAGCCAAAAAACACATGAAAAAATGCTCATCATCACTGGCCATCAGAGAAATGCAAATCAAAACCACAGTGAGATACCATCTCACACCAGTTACAATGGCGATCATTCAAAAGTCAGGAAACAACAGGTGCTGGAGAGGATGTGGAGAAATAGGAACACTTTTACACTGTTGGTGGGACTGTAAACTAGTTCAACCATTGTGGAAGTCAGTGTGGCGATTCCTCAGGGATCTAGAACTAGAAATACCATTTGACCCAGCCCTCCCATTACTGGGTATATACCCAAAGGACTATAAATCATGCTGCTATAAAGACACATGCACACGTATGTTTATTGCGGCACTATTCCCAATAGCAAAGACTTGGAACCAACCCAAATGTCCAACAATGATAGACTGGATTAAGAAAATGTGGCACATATACAGCATGGAATACTATGCAGCCATAAAAAATGATGAGTTCATGTCCTTTGTAGGGACATGGATGAAATTGGAAATCATCATTCTCAGTAAACTATCGCAAGAACAAAAAACCAAACACCGCATATTCTCATTCATAGGTGGGAATTGAACAATGAGATCACATGGACACAGGAAGGGGAACATCACACTCTGGGGACTGTTGTGGGGTGGGGGGAGGGGGGAGGGATAGCATTGGGAGATATACCTAATGCTAGATGACGAGTTAGTGGGTGCAGCACACCAGCATGGCACATGTATACTTATGTAACTAACCTGCACAATGTGCACATGTACCCTAAAACTTAAAGTATAATAATAAAAGAAAAAAAAAAGAAAATTTCAGGGGCTGTCGCCCTGGGCCTCTGGGATTCTCATCACACAGTAAGTCTAGTTGACTGAAGCATGAGGAAGAAAGATATTGCCAAATGTGTCTCAATCACTGATGTAATTTGCAGTTCACATCTTTTCAGTGAAATAACATAGAGTATATGTGGCTAGCTGAAACTTATTTTAAGTCACAACTGGAAAAGTAAATGAAAGAGAAGAGAGAACCTCATAAATTAATTGAGTGGCACTTTAGAAGCAGGTGCAACCAGGCTCTTGAAAGCATACATCTCAACCCTGGAAGTCTGCATTCCAGCTCTCAATCCTTGCAGGACAGCTTTATTGGCTTTGAGGTTTATGATTTATGACTTGCCATTCATGGAGTCTTTATAAAATTTCAGCGGAGAATATTCTGACCAATGCCATGATTAAAGGACAAAGGTTTAAACAAGTTGACCAAGGTCAAAAAGGGGGTTAATTCTGAAGTTGGCATTAGATGTCTGGCCTAGTTTCCATCTTCTCAGTCACAATTAGCGTGAATGGCCATAAGATCCAGTATTTTCAGCAAAGTCCAGGTTAAACAGTCCCTATATAAATATTGATCATGCCCCTTTCACTCAGAAAGTCTCCCAGTTTCATGAAAAATTCTATATTCACCTTACTGTCAGGTGTTCTATGTCTTCATCTGCCTTAATATATTTTCCTGATTAATTATTTAAAAGGTTTATCTATTTTCCCTTTGTGTAAAATAAATGGGAGAAGATTATTGTGTCCTTCAAGTCTTTATAGCAATATAAAAAATTCAATTTGATTATTAATATTTTCCATTTTTAGTATTAGAATTTTATTCTGAGTTATATACCCAAGATAAACAAGTGCATATATCCACACAAAGACTAGTACACCCCATTTTCTTTGCATTTTTATTCATAATAGTCCATATAGACACATACATATACACAGGCACAAATATCCATCAACAGGAGTCTGTGTTTTATTTGGATGGAGGAATACTACATAGCAACAAAAAAGAACAAACCATTGGCACATAAAACTGAATGAATGAACCTTAGAAACTCAACATGTTTCTCATGTTCTTCAACATGTGCCTCAAAAGGCACAAAGAGTACATACTGTACAATTTAATTTATGGGATAAAAAAACAGACAAAGCTATTCTTTCATTGGTAGAAATCACAATATTGCTTGCCCGGGAGGTAAGGGTGGATACTAACTAGATGGAAACAGGAGAAGCTTTCTATAATGAAAATGTTCTATATCTTCATCTGGGAAGCAGTTCCATGAATATATACATATGCAAAAATTTATAGAGCTTTACAGTTTAGATTTGAACAATTTATTGTGTGTAAATTATATCTCAAGCTGTAAAAGGCCAGAGAAGAAATTATGTAAGAACCACATCTATTATATATTTCTATTAAATTTCTACAGCATGTTTATAACGACATCTATTAGATATTTCTATTAAATTTCTACAACATGTTTATTACTGACATATTCAGAGAAGTAACACAGGCTATGAATAAAATAATACTATAACTCATTTTCATTAAGAATGGGTATTTATACTAGGTGATGGGTTGATAGGTGCAGCAAACTACCATGGCACACATTTACCTATGTAACAAACCTGCATATCCTGCACATGTACCCCGGAACTTAAAATAAAAACAAAAATAAAAATTGAAAAAAGGCATTATTCACAATAGCAAAGACTTGGAACCAACCCAAGTGTCCAACAATGATAGACTGGATTAAGAAAATGTGGCACATATACACCATGGAATACTATGCAGCCATAAAAAATGACGAGTTCATGTCCTTTGTAGGGACATGGATGAAATTGAAAATCATCATTCTCAGTAAACTATCGCAAGAACAAAAAACCAAACACCGCATATTCTCACTCATAGGTGGGAACTGAACAATGAGATCACATGGACACAGGAAGGGGAATATCACACTCTGGGGACTGTTGTGGGGTGGGGGGAGGGGGGAGGGATAGCATCGGGAGATATACCTAATGCTAGATGACGAGTTAGTGGGTGCAGCACACCAGCATGGCACATGTATACATATGTAACTAACCTGCACAATGTGCACATGTACCCTAAAACTTAAAGTATAATTAAAAAAAAAAGAATGGGTATTTATCATTGTATAGTATTAACTTGCTCCAGTGTAACCACATTCCAATTTACTTCGATGTATCTGCACTCAAAATAGCAAGAACAAATTGATTCTCATGGGTCTACTTGTCTTACCTCTCCCTTCCCTTTCTTCACCATCATTGAGTCCTGACTAACTCTTATCAAAGTTCTGTGGTTTTGGGTGAAAATGCTGAACAAATGAAGTTCAGTCAGAGACAAGGCCGTGTTGGAAGGTTTGATTGCCAGGTCCTGGAGACCTGAGAGGTTTATGCTGAGTGCAGGCATTAGGAGGTCAGAGCTGAGGATACCAGGCATTCTTCTCTCATTCCTTCCCCCTCTCTAAACTCCTGTCTAGGGAAGGGAGATGAAGAGGGAGAGAATTTGAGGTTGGAAGTGTACCAATTGGCGCTTTCTGAAATTTGCTGCAGAATAATATTATAATTACAAACAGGCAGGCTCTGTTTTCATGGCAACAAAAACAAACTTTAAGGCAAAAGTGTGGTGGGAGTGAGGAAAGGCATATGGTTGATTAAAACAACTTTCCTTTTTTTCCACCAAAACATTTAATTGGCTTTAGAGTCAAGGAAGGTTCATAGTCAAAGATGCCAGTAAGTTCCTTTGTATCCCACTTTTCATCTCTGCTTTGCTCCTATTTTGTGTCAAGGTTTATGTAAGTGCTAAAGGGTTTAGACCAATGATCCTCAATTTGAGGTGATTTTGTACCCCCACCCCAGGAGACTTCTGGCAATTTCTGGAGACATTTTTGGTTGTCACAATTTAGGGGTGGGGTGCTACTGGCATCTAGTAGGTAGAAGCCAGGGATGCTGCTAAGCACCTTGCAAGGCACAGGTTGATACTCACCTACAAAAATTATCTGACCCTAAAAGTCAATAGTGGTAAGGTTGAGAAACCCTGGTTTGGACTAAACCCTATGTCTAGGACTAAGAGGGAAGGCAGAATGTGTTAGGATTTAGAATCCTATCGTAGAACTAATATCTTAGAAATCTTTTCATTTCACAATTCTGTTACATGTGAAAATATCTATATCCAAGGGCTGGGATGGACCCAACCCTCACAGCATTTCTCAGTGACTTTGTGGGGCATTAAGACAAGTAGAGCCACAAGAGTCAATTTGTTTTTGCTATTTTGATTTAAGATACATCAAAGCAAATTGGAATGTGGTTATAATGGAGCAAGTTAATACTATATAATGATAAAATATAATCTTCTTGAGGAAAAGGACAAAGATAAATGAAAAGATCATTGGATGAGTCATCAGAAAACCAGGATCCTAGGCCTGAACTGTCATAGATCTGTGATTTTATGACACTGGTTGCTTGGGTACTCTTTCTTAGCCTGACTTTCCTCATTTATGAAATGAAAAGCTGAAGTAGATTACTTTTCTTTAAATCTCTTTTAACACAAATATTCAACGATTTCATGGGAACCAACATACTCTTCACTAAAAAAAAAATGGCAGCATTAGTTCTGGAATATTTCAGACAATAAAATGACTAGAGGAATGTAAAAATTGTTATACAGATTACTCTAAAAAAACTCTTATTATGCCTGTCACATAGAAGAAGTTTCTTTGTCTCTATAACATGAAGATATGTCTTTCTAAATTGTCAGTTAAACTGTTTGGCAAAATGTGTTCCAGGTAAAGATAAATAACTGTGCAGAGCTGTTTAACATTTGTTCCTAATGTTAACTTTTAAACTCTGCTAAGAAAAATAATTCTGTTCAGAAATTTGATCTGTCTGCCTTCCTTTTATATTGCTTTTGGCTCTTCCAGAACTTCAGAAATGTCAATTTGTTATTCATGTTGGCCTTCGCTAATCCTTCCAAAGAATGTGAAAATGCCCACAGTCTTTTATATTAGGAAATAACTGAGATTAAAACAGATTAAATCTAAGCTTCTTTCTTTGGCTCTGTTCTGATGTAATGAGTGTTACTGCAGCATTTACAAAGGCAGTGGGGTTTTTTACACTAAACCATAATTTATTTGTATGAGCATTCAGTAGGGCCATTGATACAGTTAAGCCTGGTGACTTTTCACAACTTAAATGCCAAGATCCTGGGGTGCTGCTCTGAAGTGTTGGGCAAGGTGGTAGTAGGGGAGGAGTTAGAGAGACATAAGTGTGTGTCATGCCAAAGTCATGGAAGGGGAAGAGGGGGATGGACAGACTGAGGGTTGTGGACTTGCAGAACCAGTGGGGGAACATGGCAGGGTAGCCAGCTCACGTACTAATGAATTGGAAATCGAATTGTATAGGTGAGTATCTTCTAGATAGCATCTATTCTGATCACCAAGAATAATATAATGTTCTCTTTTTCATGCAAGACGCTATAGGACTCACATCAGAAAGAGGGCGTCTTTATTTTCCAGTAGTTATACAAAGAATATGATGTTCTATCCACAACCCTTCATATAAACTGACTTAGGATGAGACACTGTGACACAGGGAGCTAACCAACTCACAGGGGCTGAAATGCACATGGCTTTGGGCTTCAGTTCTACCCCTAAAATGGTATGGCAGAGGCTTTGAAGAGAGTGAATGCATTATACTTGTTAGTTATTACTCAGCTACATTCTCTCCAACCCAAAGCTGAAAGAAAGCTGGAACTAAATTCACTTAAGGGTCTGAGAAAAGCTTTCTGTTTTTAAGAGACTGGATAAGAAGAATCCCTCCCAGAAATCTGAAGTCTATTATTGTTTCCTGTAGTTGCACTTGCCCAAAGGAAGTTCTCGTTTGATTGACTCTGTCTGCTGCTCCATAGCGACTTTCCAGCTCTCAGGCCTGATCCAAGGAGCCACAGAGCATGCCCATCAAGAGCTATGTGGGACCATGGGGGCGGGCCTGGGTTTTATGTGAAGTAATGGCTTTTCAAGCCTGGCATGACAGTTCGCAGTCCAGCATGGCAACCAGCAGCCCAGCATGAAGGAGGCAGACAGTTGAACAGATTATTTTTATGGCTTACTTAAAGAAATAGTTTTGATGTCAAATCCATTTTGGTTTCAAATGGGAAAATCAGAGTTAACCTCTCTATACTATTCAGAAAAAATCAGCTGAAAAGTGCAGAAACCAAATTGGTTTACCAACTGGTGGTCATCATGCCGAGAGCATTATAACCAATGCTCTCCTCTTTGCAGTCCCTTCACCCCAGTTGACTAATTGTTTAGATCCAATTAACTTTCATTTGTTGTATGTTGCATAAACTGGACTTTACAACTAGGTATAAGAAGAACAAGGAGGGAAGAAGAGTATCTTCTTTGTATTAAATTATGTCTCGTTTTTCACAAGATAGTTCATATCTCCCTTTAAATGTCATATATGATATATGCCTCTTTAAATGTTGTGATTGCTTGAAATTGTGAAAAAAATTAAAATTTTTATTGAAATGCTAATTATTTCAGAGGATAATTTTTAGCACAATGATATTTTTTATCCTGCCTGGTGGTGGTTTTGTCAGCATAACCACATTCTCCATCTTTTTCTGTCTTAAAAAGGCAATAGAACAAACAAAAATAAACAGAAATTAAAAAAAAAAAAGCATCTGTTCCGATTCCTTCAAGCCTTGAACTCTTCTCCAAAATTCACTGTTCACTTAAAGCTTATATTTTGGAGGTCACCCATAATATCCTAGTATGAAAGTCATGGTGTTTCCTTCGTGCTCATTCAACACTCCTGCTCCATAGCATTCAACCTTGCTGACCAAGTCTTCCTTAGAATTGTCTCCCTCCTTATTTTTGTGACACTCTGTTATCCTTATCTTCCTATTTCTCTGATCACTTGGTTTTTGCCTCTACTTTTTGGTCTCTCTTTCTGTTACTTTAATATAGTTTAATATAGACATTTGTCAAACCTCTTTCTCTCCCTATCCCTCTCCCTCTCTCACAACAATCCTGTACTAACATGGCTTTCATTAATTGTCCTAAATGGAGAACTCCATATCTTTATTCATTACTGACCCACCTCTCTAGATCCATCTAAACCAGAATTTTTCAAACTTGGCACTATTGTCATTTGGAAGCTGGACAATTATCTGTAGAAGGGGCTGTCCTGTGCGTTGTATGAAGTTCAGCAGCACCCCTGGCCTCTACGCACTAGATTGACTAGCACACCCCCAGTTGTGACAGTCAAAAACACCTCCAGTCATTGCCAAATGTGCCCTAGGAGGCAAAATCTCCCCTGGTTGAGAACTACTGAAATAAATATTGACAGCAGTGGGTAGCAAGAGGTGGATACAGGTCTTAGAAGAGGAGAGATGATGTTAAAAATAAGTAGATTTTACCCAACAGCTAGATTAATTCGTAGAGTTTTTCTCCATGGTCAAGTGGGCTTCATCCCTGGGATGCAAGGCTGGTTCAATATACGCAAATCAATAAATGTAATCCAGCATATAAACAGAACCAACGACAAAAACCACATGATTATCTCAATAGATGCAGAAAAGGCCTTTGACAAAATTCAACAACCCTTCATGCTAAAAACTCTCAATAAATTAGGTATTGATGGGACATATCTCAAAATAATAAGAGCTATCTATGACAAACCCACAGCCAATATCATACTGAATGGGCAAAAACTGGAAGCATTCCCTCTGAAAACTGGCACAAGACAGGGATGCCCTCTCTCACCACTCCTATTCAACATAGTGTTGGAAGTTCTGGCCACGGCAATTAGGCAGGAGAAGGAAATAAAGGGTATTCAGTTAGGAAAAGAGGAAACAAAATTGTCCCTGTTTGCAGATGACATGATTATATATCTAGAAAACCCCATTGTCTCAGCCCAAAATCCCCTTAAGCTGATAAGCAACTTCAGCAAAGTCTCAGGATACAAAATCAATGTACAAAAATCAGAAGCATTCTTATACACCAATAACAGACAAACAGCCAAATCATGAGTGAACTCCCATTCACAATTGCTTCAAAGAAAATAAAATACCTAGGAATCCAACTTACAAGGGACATGAAGGACCTCTTCAAGGAGAACTACAAACCACTGCTCAATGAAATAAAAGAGGATACAAACAAATGGAAGAACATTCCATGCTCATGGGTAGGAAGAATCAGTATCATGAAAATGGCCATACTGCCCAAGGTAATTTATAGATTCAATGCCATCACCATCAAGCTACCAATGACTTTCTTCACAGAATTGGAAAAAAAAAACTACTTTAAAGTTCATATAGAACCAAAAAAGAGCCCGCATGGCCAAGTCAATCCTAAGCCAAAAGAACAAAGCTGGAGGCATCACGCTACCTGACTTCAAACTATACTACAAGGCTACAGTAACCAAAACAGCATGGTACTGGTACCAAAACAGAAATATAGATCAATGGAACAGAACAGAGCCCTCAGAAATAACACCGCATATCTACAACTATCTGATCTTTGACAAACCTGAGAAAAACATGAAATGGGGAAAGGATTCCCCATTTAATAAATGGTGCTGGGAAAACTGGCTAGCCATATGTGGAAAGCTGAAACTGGATCCCTTCCTTACACCTTATACAAAAATTAATTCAAGCTGGATTAAAGACTTAAACGTTAGACCTAAAACCATAAAAACGCTAGAAGAAAACCTAGGCATTACCATTCAGGACATAGGCATGGGCAAGGACTTCATGTCTAAAACACCAAAAGCAATGGCAACAAAAGACAAAATTGACAAATGGGATCTAATTAAACTAAAGAGCTTCTGCACAGCAAAAGAAACTACCATCAGAGTGAACAGGCAACCTACAAAATGGGAGAAAATTTTCGCAACCTACTCATCTGACAAAGGGCTAATATCCAGAATCTACAATGAACTCCAACAAATTTACAAGAAAAAAACAAACAACCCCATCAAAAAGTGGGCGAAGGACATGAACAGACACTTCTCAAAAGAAGACATTTATGCAGCCAAAAAACACATGAAAAAATGCTCACCATCACTGGCCATCAGAGAAATGCAAATCAAAACCACAATGAGATACCATCTCACACCAGTTACAATGGCGATCATTCAAAAGTCAGGAAACAACAGGTGCTGGAGAGGATGTGGAGAAATAGGAACACTTACACTGTTGGTGGGACTGTAAACTAGTTCAACCATTGTGGAAGTCAGTGTGGCGATTCCTCAGGGATCTAGAACTAGAAATACCATTTGACCCAGCCCTCCCATTACTGGGTATATACCCAAAGGACTATAAATCATGCTGCTATAAAGACACATGCACACGTATGTTTATTGCGGCACTATTCCCAATAGCAAGGACTTGGAACCAACCCAAATGTCCAACAATGATAGACTGGATTAAGAAAATGTGGCCCATATGCACCATGGAATACTACGCAGCCATAAAAAACAATGAGTTCATGTCCTTTGTAGGGACATGGATGAAATTGGAAATCATCATTCTCAGTAAACTATCGCAAGAACAAAAAACCAAACACCGCATATTCTCACTCATAGGTGGGAATTGAACAATGAGAACACATGGACACAGGAAGGGGAACATCACACTCTGGGGACTGTTGTGGGGTGGGGGGAGAGGGGAGGGATAGCTTTAGGAGATATACCTAATGCTAAATGACAAGTTAATGGGTGCAGCACACCAGCATGGCACATGTATACATATGTAACTAACCTGTACATTGTGCACATGTACCCTAAAACTTAAAGTATAATAATAATAAAATAAAATAAAATAAATTAATTAAGCTTTTCCAACAAATTAGGTAGGAAAAATATTTCTGCTTTTTCTCATAGAATGTAGTCAATTTTGAACTGTTTTTGTTTTCACACAAAGTACTTAGCCATATAGAGCTAAATGATAATAAGAGAAATGGTGTTCTTAGAACTTTCATCTTAATTCTGTATTAAAGACCACTTATTTGACCATTTTCCCCATGTAATAACATTAAACTCCTTTAGAAAAGCTCTGGAACATACCCAATACCAAAAGGAAAAACTGTATGGTTAAAGGTTAGATAAAGTGCAGAGTTAACCTTTAGACATTTCAAATAGACAAGGCAAACATTCTCCTTTAAGCCAAGTGTCTGTCTCTTTAGAGTCTATCAATTTAATTTTTATCAGTTGTAACCAACTTCTTTTTTTTATTATTGTACTTTAAGTTTTAGGGTACATGTGCATAATGTGCAGGCTAGTCACATATGCATACATGTGCCATGTTGGTGTGCTGCACCCATTAACTCGTCATTTAACATTAGGTATATCTCCCAATGCTATCCCTCCCCCCTCCCCCCACCCCACAACAAAACCAAACACCGCATGTTCTCACTCATAGGTGGGAATTGAACAATGAGAACACATGGACACAGGAAGGGGAACATCACACACCGGGGCATGTTGTTAATCAACTTCTTAAGAATGAAAGAAACCATGTTTATATCCTGGAATTTTAGTATTAAGGGAAGGCTCTAGATTTAGGAGACAGAGAACATTGGGTTAATAAGCCTGCCATTCAAGTTTTACTAGAAAGATTTGCTTCCCTGGAGATTTTTGTCAAAATTACAATTTTCAGACTAAAATTATCAAGCGTAGGTGCGCAAAACAAAATTTAAAAACTATCATGACCTTTTGACTGGATAAGTTATGTCACTAGGAAACTAGCCTTACTCTCAATTATGTTAGCATAGTCTGTTTGGTTTTCCACTAGCTTTCAATCTTTATTTATAATAAGAAGACAAATAATACAGCTAGGTGCGTATTAGTTTCCTATTGCTGCTGCAACATATTACCACAAATATAGCAACTTAAAACAACACAAAATCTCACTGCTCTGTAAGTCAGAAGTCGAGTTGGCTTGGCTGATTTCTCTGCTCAGGGGCTCACAAGGCTGAAATCAATGTGTCAGCCAACTAGGCTCTCCTCAGGAGACTCTGAGAAAAATCCACTTCCAAGTTCTTTGGCGTTGTTAGCCAATTCAATTCCTTGCGGTTGTAGGCTTGAGGTCCCCGTTTCCTTGCTGGCTGTCAGTCAGACCACTCTGCTCCCAGCAGCTGCCTACATTCTTTCTCTTGCTTTCCCCTGGCCCCTGCCGACAGTGGTGGGTTGAGCCCCTCTTACCCTTGGAATCTCTTCAGTTTCCCCTTCCATCATTGCTATAAACTGAACATTTGTGTACCTCCAAAATTCATATATTTAAACTTAATACCAATGTGATGGTATTTGAAGGTGGGGACTTTGAGAAGTGATTAGGTCATGAGGGCGGAGCCTCATGAATGGGATTGGTGCTCTTATAAAAGAGACCCCAGGGAGCTCCCTCACCCCTTTCACCATATGAGGACAGAGCGAGAAGGCCCTGTCTATGAACCAGTAAGCAGGCCTTCACCAGACACCAATCAGCCAGTGCCTTGATCTTAGACTTCCCAACCTTCAGAATTGTGAGAAATAAATTTCTATTATTTATAAATTACCCAGTCTAAGGTATTTGGTTTTAGCAGCCCAAACGGACTAAAATATCTTTCTGTAGGTTCTTTATACATATATAAAATATATCCTAGTTTACTCCTTTCTTTTACAAAAACAATATGAAATTCCATTTATATAAAAAGTACAGAATAGGTAAATCCATACAGACAGAAAGTAGTGGTTGCCTAAGACTGAGGGTGGGGTGTTGTAAGGAGTAACTGCTAAAAGGTATGGGGTTTACTTTTAGAGGGATAAAAATGTTCTTAAATTAGACAGTGGTGATAGTTGCACAACATCATGAATGTACCAAAAACCACTGAACTGTATAGTTTAAAAGGGCAAGTTGTATGATATATGATGTATCTTAAGAAAAAGAAAACTAGGTCTAATCCTTCCTTTTTCTGTGACGTGGGCAAATGATTTATTGAAACTGGTTGAACCCCAAATGACTCTCTTCTGAAAATGAAGGAGGGTCTCCCAGCAGGAATGCTGGAAGGGTGAAAGTTGATGATGTTTGTGAAGCCCCTGCACATGGTCTGCCCTCCGTAAACTGGGATGTGCCAACTCTTTCACTCACTCCCCAAATCCTAGAGAGGGGCCCCGTAAGGATGCTAAAGGACTGGTTGGTACCTGCAGGGGAATGAGGAGCACCAAGGAGAAGAGGCAGGGACTGCCCAGGGTGATTAGAGTCTAACCACCCTTTCCTGATTGGGCTCTTTTTTCATGAGCTGGTTCTGGTCTTGGGAAAGCCACCTTGGAGTAAAATCAGGAATAGCTGTTGGGAGAAAAAACATGTTTATCAAAGGTCAAGTGTATAAAACCTTCTGAAGCAATACCATGGCTAAAATCATGTGTTTTCCTTTTCCTTAAATTTTGGCATCTCTTTTCTTTTTAGCCACTTGATTGCCGAGCCCCATAGAAGACATAATTTACAAGAAACTCATAGAGACTCAAAATGTAAGGTTCTCTGAAAGAAATTGAGGTGTAGTTCTTAGGTTAAGGGAAATGATTAACTTGATTTATCTATGAAGGTTTTTTCTCAGTGTGGAGGAAAATAGATAATGTGCATTGCCAAGTGATTTGCAAGACATTGATTGACTTAGTAAACATTTATTGAATATCTACTTTATTTAAAGCATTGTGTTGGGCACGCTTGGGGGTAAAATTAGATACAGTTCTTAAACAGAAGGAAGAAAAGAAATCCATGTTTTTGGAAAGGCTGTGACTCATTTAAGCTCCATAACATCGAGGAAGATGAGAATTACAATATTATTATATGTCATTTTTGGTATTAATGGGATTGAACTTATTAAATAATACATAGTGAGTGATAACGGTTCAAATCCAGGTTGGATTAGCTCAAACATGTACTTTCTTCTCAGTACTCCATATTGCTTTTCTTATTTAAATGTCTTCATAATTTCTTTAAGATATTTTCATAAATTGGGATTTAAAATGTATTCTGGTACTATCATTGAAATGGTTTATATATTTCATATATATGTAAATTCACAGATTGAAAATATAAATTTTGAGAAGGTTAGTATATATAATACACTTTTTAAATATAGGTCTGTGTGCTTTACATACAAATGCAATTAATTTAAGCAAAAAGAAAATAGCTATACGAAAAAATCTATACCTTTTTCAAAAGGATTATATTTCTGCAAGAGCTTGATTCTTTATTTATTTGGCTAGAATAATGTTAGACATTTTAAAATAAGCAATATTTTTCCCCAAAAATGTTGACATCTTTAACATCAACATAATGTCAGTTATTATGTATATATATATAGACACACATATATATATACACAACTGTTCCCTTTTATGCTTCTTTCTCTTTATCCATGGGCTTCAATTGCCAGCGAAAATTTTTGGAACTATTACATGACATTTTTGAAGCCTATAACAAGCATATATTAGTGTCAGCAGTAAAAAGCACCTAATTCTGTTTTCACAGTGGGAAGCCACATGGTAAAGGTTATACACTGATGAATATATTATTTTGTAACAAATTTATGGGGACAGAGATGGAGAGATTCTTACCTGAAGGCAAATCTAGCTGTTTGGGTTAAGAGTCCAATGCCCATGATGATGCAGCTCATGAAAAATGTCCATTTCAATGAGCTATTTTGAATATTTAATTCAATAATATTTAGTGAGTGTCTATTACCCAAAAGGCACAGTTCTTTAAGTATCATGGGAAGAGTGACTCTAATTTCCAAAACAAAACAAAACAAAACAAAACAAATGGGTCATTTTATATTTATGGAGACAGTGGTATAGAATATCTGCAATCCACATGATCTTAGAGAATTCCTATTAATGTCATTGTGTCTATTATTTTTCCTGTGTGTCTCCAAACGGCAGAACAATAGAATGCTCTCTTCAACTTGAGAAAGTCTTTATATTTAAGGCAAGAAAATATGGTAAAAAGAAACAAGCTATGGATCTAGCTTTGGGGATCTTAGGAAACAACATGAGAATGATTTTTATCTTGGATGGCTTAGGTAGTGCTTCCCTGAACCTGGGAGTGGAGCTCCCAGTGCACAAGACTCCTTCTTATGCACCCCAGTGATTGAAGCTAATAGATGGTGTGAGACCCAGGAAGATGCAGAATGGCATGGGATCTAGGGGATATGGAAAGGACGTACATAGAGCTGAGAAGGAAAAAGGGCACTGAATTTGAGACAAGAGGGAAGAAAAGAGGCAGTTAAAAGCAGAAGAGGTATATGTGATATTTTGATACATGTATACAATGTGTAATGATCAAATCAGGGTAATTGGAATATCTATACCTCAAACATTTATCTTTTCTTTGTGTTGGGAACATTCCAGTCTTCTCTTCTAACTATTTTGTGTACATCTATCAAAATATCATGTGTACCCTAAAAACATGTACAACTATTATATATCAATTAAAAAGAAAAAATAAATTATATTTTTAAAAACAGTTCTAAAAATAGATAGAAGAAAAGTTGAAAGGTTGTAGATTATCTCAGTTTTGTCAGAGAAGGTGGGTTCATTGAAGACTGAAGTGGGTGGAGGTGGATTTGGTAACCCAGACAGAGTAGAAATATTTTCAGCATCTACTACTGAGCCACTGGTGAGAAATCTTCAAGGAAAAAGATTTATATAATTCAGTAATTTATAAATGATCCTAATTAGTTTAAGGTCTGCTCTAACATCACTCAAAAACAGATGTGTAGGAATGAAAAGTTCCATAATTGTAATAGAAGTCAGTTGGGAATTGGCAAGAGGAATTCTAGGGTGAAGGGAAAAACAAATTATTGACCATTGGCTCTTTCAGAACTGAGTCAAGAGGCCACTCAGCTATGGTTGTATATTAGTTTCCTATGGCTGCTGTAACAAATTACCACCTACTTGATGGCTTATACAGCACTTACTATCTTAAGAGTTCTGAAGGCCAGAAATCCAACATGAGTTTCACTGGGTTGAAATCAAGGTGTCAGTGCTAGGTCTCCCCTACTTCCCCAGGGTGAATCTTTCTTGCTTTTCCCAGCTTTAAAGGCTGCTGACTTTCTTTGGTTCACAGCTGCATACTCCAGTCTTTGCTTCCATCCTCATATCACCTTGTGTGACTTTGATCCTCCTGCCTCCCTCTTATAAGAATCCTTGCGATTACTTTGGGCTCCTGGAAAATCACCTCATCTCAAGATCCTAAACTTAATAACATCTGCAAATCCCTTTTGCCATGTAAGGTAACATATTCACAGGTTCTAAGGATTAAGACGTGGAAACCTTTGGGAGGGTCACTATTCATTGGACCACAGTTGGCAATCCACTAGAAAAGTAGGGAGGGATCCAGGAAGTGGATGCCAGCATGAGGAAGGAGATGCAGCAGGAATTAGGATTTGAAAGCTTGGGAAGTTCAGGAGGTTGTAGTCTATTAGAGGGATCTCACGGTGTGAGATCTTAGTCACATGAAATGGTCAAGTATATTGTAATGCTTCCTTAGAGGGGAAGTACCAAAGAGATGAGTTTTTAGTGCACTGAAGGACAAGGATCTGTGAACTGTGGTGTCAGAAGGGGCATCAGTAGGGTTGTCAGTGCCTTGGAGGATGATGTCTTTGAAAAGAAGGATGGCAGTGGATGCCTAGTGTCTTAAAACACCTGGCAATGTGTCTCAAAATGGAACAACAATAAATGGGAAAGGAGAGATGTGTAAGTATATGACAAAAGTCTTAAAACCTGGGAACAGAGCCAGGCTCAGTGCTCATGCCTATAATCCCATTACTTTGGGAGGCCAAGACAGGAGGATCTCTTGAACCCAGGAGTTTGAGACCAACTTGGGTGATATAATGAGACCCCATCTCTACAAAAAAATTACAAAATTAGCTGGGCATGTTGGTATGCACCTGTGGTCCCGGCTACTCAGGAAGCTAAGATGGGAGGATCACTTGAGCCTGGGAGGTCAAGGCTGCAGTGACCCGTGATCACACCACTGTGCCCCAGTTTGGGTGACAGAGCAAGACCCTGTCTCGACAAAACAAAACAAAACAACCCTCCCCCCACACACACACAAACTAGGAACATTATAGCATGTTGATGTTGGGGCAGGAACCTAAAAGCTATAGAAGAAAGTAGGGACTATTCCATCTCCTCCTAGTCATTCTAATCCCATCCCCAAGTCATGGGAAGTGTGAGAAGGAGCAATCAAACTTCCTTCGGAAAGGCTGGCAAGGGAGGTAGAGCCTTGAGGATAAGGCAAAGGGCAGAGACATTAGAGAATATGAAGGCATATGGATATGTTATCAGTAGACTATGGGCTACAAAATAGTAGGAGTAGAGTTACCTTCTTGAGAGCAGGCCTGGGATAGTTCTGAAATGTGAGGAGAGTTTTCTGGAGTTCAGAGTGGGAAGACATTTGTAATTACAGCAGTGAGTGCTGATACCTGAGACAGTGCTCTTTCTTCCTAGTGGGAGAAGAAGAAAGCCAATGCATTCTTTTGCCAGATATTTTATGTCACAAAGATGCCTCTGAATAAAAATTACCTATGTGTAGCCTCCTGGCACTTACAAAGCTTCTTCACAAGCTTTGTACCATATTTTTGAATCCTCCACTTGTGTAGGTATTTATAACATTGTTTTATAGATGAGCCCACTAGGCTCAGAGTCATCACAGGACCAGCCACAGGTCACATGGCTAATAAATGACAGAGTTGAGGCCAATCCCAAATTTCCAATTCAAGTCCAGTTTTTGGTTTTTTTCTCCCTGCCCCCTGCATTTAGAAAGAAAAGTAGCCTGAAAAATACTAGCACAGTTGAAGAGAGTGTGGAAAAATAAGAGAAGTTTATTAAACCACCAGATAATTTAAAAATTGGTGTTCAACAGGAAAAGGGAGGAGGTGGTTAAGAGAATTTTTCAAACTTAGAAGTTAATATGAAAATGGTACCACGAAAACTTGAAGGAAAAATTTATTGCCTTGTAAACCACCATTGTGTTGACTTGTTGTTCATATTGTGGTGAATCCTGAAAGTGTTGGCCTACAAATTTTCCATGTGGTGTGGGCACTGCAATTTTGGCTTCTGAAATGACCATATCATTTTGAAATTTGAAGTGACAGAAAGGACAAACTCCCAAGCAAAACAAAGCTGAAGTCATCCTAACAAGTTCCTGAATGGGTTGAAGTACAGAGTGATTGAGTAGCATATGTGTGTGTGGGGATGGGGGGGTGGCAGGTGGGTGGTGTGTTCCTCAGGGCTATTTATTTATTTTTATTTCCAACTTTGATTTTAAGTTCAGGGGTACATGTACAGGATGTGCAGGTTTGTTACATAGGTAGCTATGTGCCATGGTGGTTTGCTGCATAGATCATCCCATCACCCAGGTGTTAAGCCAGCATCCAACAGCTATTCTTTCTGATGCTCTTCCTCCTCCCACCCTCCAACAGGCCCTAGTTTGTGTTGTTCCTCTCTGCCCCCCACCATGTGTCCATGTGTTCTCATCATTCAGCTACCACTTATAAGTGAGAACATACAGTATTTGGTTTTCTGTTCCTGCGTTAGTTTGCTAAGGATAATGGCTTCCAGGTCTATCCATGTCCCTACAAAGGACATGATCTCATTCCTTTTTATGGCTGCATAGTACTCCATTGTGTATATGTAACCATTTTTTTTTATCCAGTCTATCATTGATGGGCGTTTAGGTTGATTCCATGTCTTTGCTATTGTAAGTAGTGCTGCAATGGACATACACGTGCATGTATCTTTATAATAGAATGATTTATATTCCTTTGAGTATATACCCAGTAATGGGATTGCTGGGTCAAATGGTATTTCTGCCTCTAGGTCTTTGAGGAATTGCCACACTGTCTTCCAAAATGGTTGAACTAATTTACACTCCCATCAACAGTATAAAAGCATTCCTTTTTCTCCACAACCTCACCAGCATCTGTTGTTCTTGACTTTTAAGTAATAGCTATTCTGACTGGTGTGAGATGGTATCTCATGTGGTTTTGATTTGCATTTCTCTAATGATCTGTGATGTTGAGCTTTTTTCATATGATTGTTGGCTGCATATAGGTCTTCTTTTGAGAAGTGCCTGTTCATGTCCTTTGCCCACTTTTTAATGGGGTTGTTTGGTTTTCCTCTTGTTAATTTGTTTCAGTTCCGTATGGATGCTGGACATTGGACCTTTGTCAGATGGATAGTTTGCAAAAATTTTCTCCTATTGTGTAGGTTGTCTGTTTACTCTGTTGATAGTTTCTTTTTCTGTGCAGAAGCTCTTTAGTTAAATTATATCTCATCTGTCAATTTTTGCTTTTGTTTCAATTGCTTTTGTTGTCTTTGTCATGAAATCTTGCCTGTGCCTATGTCCTGAATGGTATTGCCTAGGTTTTCCTCTAGATGTTTTATAGTTGTGGGTTTTACATTTAAGACTTTAATCTATCTTCAGTTGATTTTTGTATATGGTGTAAGGAAGGGGTCCAGTTTTAATTTTATGCATGTGGCTAGCCAGTTCTCCCAGCACCATTTATTAAATAGGGGATCCTTTCCCCATTACTTGTTTTAGTCAGGTTTGTCAAAGATCAGATGGTTGTAGATATGCAGTCTTATTTCTGGGTTCTCTATTCTGTTCCATTGGTCTATGTGTCTGTTCTTATACCAGTGCCACACTGTTTTGGTTACTGTAGCCCTGTAATATAGTTTGAAGTCAGGTAGCATGATGTCTCTAGCTTTGCTCTTTTTGCTTAGGATTGCTTGAATATTTGGGCTCTCTTTTTTGTTCCATATAAATTTTAAAATAGTTTTTTCTAATTTTGTGAAGAATGTCAGTGTCAGTTTTATGGGAATAGCATTGAATCTATAAATTGCGTTGGGCAGTATGTACATTTTCACAATATTGATTCTTCCTGTCCATGAACGTGGAATGTTTTTCCATTTGTTTGTGTCATCTCTGATTTCTTTGAGCAGTGGTTTGTAGTTCTCCTTGAATAGGTCTTTCACTTCCCTTGTTAGCTATATTCCCAGGTATTTTATTCTTTTTGTGGCAATTGTAAATGGGAGTTCATTTGTGATTTGGTTCTCAGATTGCCTGTTAGTGTATAAGAATGCTAGCAATTTTTGCACATTGATTTTGTATTCTGAGAATTTGCTGAATTTGCTTATCAGCTTAAGAAGCTTTTGGGCTGAGACAATGGGGTTTTCTAGGTATAGGATCATGTCATCTGCAAACAAAGATAGTTTGACTTCCTCTCATCCTATTCGAATATGATTTATTTCCTTCTCTTGCATGATTGTCCTGGCCAGGACTTCAAATACTATGTTGAATAGGAATGATGAGAGTGGGCAACCTTGTCTTGTGCCAGTTTTCAAGGGGAATGATTCTGGTTTTTGCCCGTTCAGTATGATATCGTTTGTGGGTTTGTGATATATGGCTCTTATTATTTTGAGGTATGTTCCTTCAATACCTAGTTTATTGAGAGTTTTTAACATGAAGGGATGTTGAATTTTATCAAAGGCCTTTTTCTGCATCTATTGTGATAATCATGTGGTTTTTGTCTGCAGTTATGTGATGAATTACATTTATTGATTTACATATGTTGAACCAGCCTTGCATCCCAGGGATGAAGCCTACTTTATTGTGGTGGATAAGCTTTTTGATCTGCTGCTGGACTTGGTTTGTCAGCATTTTGTGCAGGATTTTTGTATCGATGTTTATCAAGGACATTGGCCTGAAGTTTTCTTTTTTTGTTGTATCTATGCCAGGTTTTGGCCTCATAGAATGAGTTAGGGAGCAGTTCCTTCTTTTCAATTTTTTTGAAATGGTTTCAGTAGGAATGGTACCAGCTCTTCTTTGTATCTCTATTAGAATTCAGCTGTGAATCCATTTGGTGGTGGCTTTTTTTTTCTTTTTTTTTTTTTGGTTGGTAGGCTATTTATTACTGCCTCAGTTTCAGAACTCGTTATTGGTCTATTCAGGGATTCAATTTCTTCCTAGTTCAGTCTTGAGAAAGTGTATGTGTCCAGGAATTTATCCATTCCTTCCTTGTAAATTTTCTAGTTTATGTGCACAGAAGTGTTTATAGTATTCTCTGATGGCAGTTTGTATTTCTGTGGAGTCAGAAATCAGTGATTTCTGATTGTGTTTATTTGAATCTTCTCTCTTTTCTTCTGTATTAGTCTAGCTAGTGGTCTATCTGTTTTATTAATTTTTTTCAAAAAGCCAGCTCCTGGATTCATTGATTTTTTTGGAAGGGTTTTTCATGTCTCTATCTCCTTCACTTCAGCTCTGATTTTGGTTATTTCTTGTCTTCTGCTAGCTTTGGGGTTTGTTTGCTGGCTCTCTAATTCTTTTAGTTGTGTTGTTAGGTTGCTAACTTGAGATCTTTCTAGCTTTTTGATGTAGATATTTAGTGCTATAAATTTCCCTCTTAACACTGTGTTAGCTGTGTCCCAGAGATTCTGGTATATTGTATCTTTTTTCTCATTAGTTTCAAATAACTTCTTGATTTTTGCCTTCATTTCATTATTTACCCAAAAGTCATTCAGGAGCAGGTTGTTCAGTTTCCGTATACTTGTGTGATTTTGAGTGAATTTCTTAATCTTGAGTTCTAATTTAATTGCGTTGTGGTCCAAGAGACTATTATGATTTCAGTTCTTTTGCATTTGCTGAGGAGTGTTTTACTTCCGACTATATGATCAATTTTAGAGTAAGTGCTGTGTGGTGATGAGAAGAATGTATATTCTGTTGTTTTTGGATGGAGAGTTCTGTAGATATTTATCAGGTCCACTTGATCCCGAGCTGAGTTCAGGTCCTGAATATTTTTGTTAATTTTTTGCCTTGATGATCTGTCTAATATTGTGGGATGTTAAAGTCTCCCACTATTATTGTGTGGGAGTCTAAGTCTCTTTGAAAATCTCTAAGAACTTGTTTTTTGAATCTGGGTGTTCCTATATTGGGTGCATATATATTTAGGATAGTTAGCTCTTCTTGTTGAATTGAACCCTTTACCATTATGTAATACCCTTCTTTGTCTTTTTTGATCTTTGTTGGTTTAAAGTCTGTTTTGTCAGAATATAGGATTGCAACCCCTGCTTTTTTCTGTTTTCCATTCGCTTGGTGAGTTTTCCTTGATCCCTTTATTTTGAGCCTGTGTGTATTTTTGCATGTGAGATGGGTCTCTTGAAGACAGCATACTGATGGGTCTTGGTTCTTTATCCAGCTTGCCATTCTGTGTCTTTTAATTGGGGCATTTAGTCCATTTACATTTAAGGTTAGTATTGTTATGTGTGAATTTGGTCCTCTCATCATGATGCTAGCTGGTTATTTTGCAGACTTGTTTATGTGGTTGCTTCATAGTGTCACTGGTCTGTGTACTTCAGTGTGTTTTTGTAGTGTCTGGTAAAGGTTTTTCCTTTTCATATTTAGTGCTTCCTTCAGGATCTCTTGTAAGGCAGATCTGGTGGTAACAGATTCCCTCAGCATTTATCTTATTTCTCCTTCACTTATGAAGCTTAGTTTGGCCAGATATGAAATTCTGGGTTGGAAATTCTTTCCTTTAAGAATGTTGAATATTGGCCCCCAATCTCTTCTGGCTAGTAGGGTTTCCACTGAGAGTTTCGCTGTAAGTCTGATAGGCTTCCCTTTGTAGGTGACCTGGCCTTTCTTTCTGACTGCCCTTAGCATTTTTTCTTCCATTTCGACACTGGAAAATCTGATGATTATGTGTCTTGATCTTCTTGTGGAGTATCTTACTGGAGTTCTTTGCATTTCCTGACTTTGAATGTTGGCCTATCTTGCTAGGTTGGGGAAATTCTCCTAGATGATATCCTGAAGTATGTTTTCCAAATTGGTTCCATTCTCCCTGTCTCTTTCAGGTACTCCAATCAGTCATAGATTTGGTCTCTTTACATAATCCCATATTTCTCAGAGGTTTTGTTCATTCCTTTTCATTCTTTTTTTCTCTATTCTTGTCTGACTGTCTTATTTCAGAAAGATAGTCTTCAAGCTCTGAGATTCTTTCCTCTGCTTGGTCTATTCTGCTATTAATACTTGTGAGTACATTATGAAGTTCTTGTAGTGTGTTTTTCAGCTCTATCATGTTGGTTATGCTCCTCTCTAAACTGGCTATTTGGCTCTCAGCTCCTGCACTGTTTTATCATGATTCTTAGCTTCTTTGCATTGGCTTACAGCATGCGTCTTTAGGTCAGTGAAGTTTGATTTATCCACATTCTGAAGCCTACTTCTGTCATTTCAGCCATCTCAGCCTCAGCCTGATTCTGAGCCCTTGCTGGAAAGGTGTTGTGGTCATTTGAAGGAAAAGGGGCACTCTGACTTTTTGAAGTTTCAGTGTTTTGGGGTTGATTCTTCCTCATCTTTGTGGGCTTATCTACCTTTTATCTTTGAGGTTGCTGACCTTTGGATGGGGTTTTTATGGGTTGTTGCTGTTGTTTTCCTGCTTGTTTGATTTTCTTTTAACAGTCTGGCCACTCTTCCATAGGGCTGCTGTGGTTTGCTGGGGGTCCACTGCAGACCCTAGTCACCTTGGTTTTTCCCATACCTTGGTTTTTCCCATACTTGGAAGTATCACTAGTGAAGTCTGCAAAACAGCAAACATGGCAGCCAGCCCCTTCCTCTGGAAGCTCCATCCCAGGGGTTCTGACCTGTTGCCAGCCCAAATGTACTTGTAGGAGGTGACTGGAGACCCGTTGGGAGGTCTCACCCAGTCAAGAGGAATGGGATCAGGGACCCACTTGAAGCAGTCTGGCTGCTTTTTTGGTAGAGCAGCTGTGCTGTGTTGGGGATCCCTTCAGCCCCTGATCAGTTTTGGCTCTCCAAGGCCCACAGGCTGGACTGGCTGAGACGCCCAAACAGCTGAGGTGGCAGCCTGCCCTACTGCTTGGGCACTCGGTCCCAGGGTGAAGTGAGAACTCTGTCTGCTTTAGAACATGGGCAGGGATGGCCGGAGGCCCTGGCTGGGAGGACCCACCTCAGAGGAGGAGTGGACCAGGGTCCCACTGAAAGAAGCAGTCTGGCTATGCTCGACAAAACAGCCATGTCATGCTGGGGAACTGCCTCTGCCTCTGTCAGCTTAGACTCTCCAAGACCCACAGGCTGGAATGGCTGAGTCTACCAAACAGCAGAGATGGTGGTCTGCCCCTCCCACTGAGGGAACTGTCACATCTCAGGCAGGCTTCACCCTGTTGCCAGTGGCAGGCTGGAATTCCAAGCCAGTGGGTCTTAGAGGGGCAGTGGAAGTGGAGTCTGCAGACTGATGCTGCTCAGCTCCTTGGATTCAGTCCCCTTCCTGGGGATGTGTATGGACCTCTTGCCTTGCCTGAGTTGCAGACATGTTTGTTGGGGATCCTGGGCCCAGACTATGTAAAGTTCCTTGATCTCTGTGCATTCCTGAGCAATTGCCCTGCTGAGACTCCATACAGCTCTTTGTGTTGGACCCAAGGCCTTAGTGGCAGGGGATCATGAGGGGATCTCCTGATCCACGGGTTGCAAACATCCGTGGGAGAAGTGGTGGTTTCCCAGGGTTGCACAATCACTCACTGCTTCCCTTGGCTGGGGGTGGGGTTTCCCTTGGCTCCGTGTCAGTCCTGGGAGGGCTGTCACCCTACCCTGCTTTTTCTTCGTTCTCTGTGGGTAGTTGTTTCCCTGATCAGTCCCAATGCGAGTGCACCTGGATATTTCAGTTGAAGGTGCTATATTCACTTGCCCCTTTCATTCTTCTCCATGAGTGCCTTACTCCACAGCTGCTTCTAATAGGCAATTTTTGGCCCTCTCCCTAGGGCTATTTAATTAGGAAACGAGAAATCACTATTCTCCCCAAATTAACATGCCCTGGTTACAAAGTCTTGAGGATAATCGAGTCTGTTCTTGGGTCAACTGAAAAGAAAACCCAGATGGACAAAACGGAAATGTAACACTCCCCCTTTCTAGAATTTAAACTTAGAAATTGTGAATACTGAGTATATGCATAATTTCTTTTAGCCAGATCTGGAGAGACTATCAGTTAGCTAAAAGTGTAAACATTTTTCTAATGTTTTTATTCCCAGTTTCTGGTAAAGACATAGAAAGAGAAGTGAGGTAAAGAATAGCTAAAAGAAAAGAGGATTTTACATGAAAGTGAATTTTTTGGTAATTATGAAGAAAATTAAACAACGTCAGAGATTAGGGAAACAAATTCCTTCAGGTGACATTTTTTGGCCTTTCAACAAAATATTTTACCTCAACTCAATTATGCTGCTGATGTTTATGTGAAGTACTGTGGAGGAATTTTAGATTTTCTTTCTGCCAGTAATTTAATTATATGTCATAAGAGTTAGTTTATTTTAGCTCAACTAGTGATGAATACTTTCAGCTTTGGAATAAATCAGAGTTAAAAGATTGTGGAATGGGGGGATTACTTGGTTAGAACATTTTCAGCTTTTTCCTGTGTCAAACTTAGAACATGTACCTCCAAAGGAGACCAAATGCACTAAGCACCTGTAGTGGATTTTAAGCATGAAGAAAAATAACTCTGTGTTGCTGGAGGAAATTAGGAACCCTGTGGAATGGTTGCAAATCATATTCATGTTGTATTTTCATGTTCAGACAAAAATTCTGCTTGACAAACAACCAGCGATTATTACCAAACACTTTAAACCTGCAATTCTTAGTGAATGCATGGATATTCTCTTTAATGGATAATGCACCAATTGCCAAGAGACTGGCTTCTAGAAATACATTTTCCAATTGCTAAAGGGATGAAATGGCATATATCATAGAAGACAAGCTGCTAGGAGGGAGGGAGGGATATCATGCTACACATTCCAAAAGGAATATGGAACTATTACATGGGGAATAACTTTTCAGGCTTGGAAATAAGAAGACTACATAAAACATTGTCAGACACTCAAACCAATCTGAATGATAATGCTATTCTCCAACGGAAAAAAAAAAAGAAAGAAAGAAGAAAGAAAGAAAAGAAAAGAGCTTCCTCAGTTCAGAGGGTAACTGCAATGAACCCAAAAGAACTGATACAAACCGACTGGTTCTCTTTTAGATTTGCAAATACAGATTACAATGTTGAATAGCTTTCAGTCTTGCAAACTCATCTTTTCTGCATTCTTCCTTACCTTCCCCTTGACGTCATCACCTTAGCTCAACAGTTACTGCAATTTGGAGAGCTGAGCTGTTCTCTTTCCTCCAATGACATAGCTGTAGTTCGAAAAGCCCAGGTTCTGAGGGCTCCTTTTCCATGCACTACGTGTGGGAGCTTTGGCATTGTACATAAACCACTTCAGTCTCAATTTCTTTTTTCTGAAAAGGCAGAAAACATTGACTTTGCAGAGTTGTCATGAGCAGAAAATGAGGTAAAGGAACATAAACTGCCAACCATAGAGGCTGGTTGATCAGTAATATCTGCTAATATTAAAATTTCAAATGTTGTCAAGAAAAACTTAGTCTTCCTTCTGCTTTTTTTTATGCTTGCTCTCCTTTAACATTTATGTTGAGGTTATTCCTAACAGACTAATCTGCCAGTTCCTCAATCTCCAGCACTTCCTGGGCCTCCATTTTCACCTCACCCCTGATACCTGTCCCTGCCACCACCATTAGTAATCAAAGCTTTCCAAGCTTCAAGATCTCCAGCTCGGAAAGACCATTTCCCTTCTTCCGCCTCTCCCATATACTACATATATTAACTCGCTTAATCCTCACAATGACACACAAGGCACTGTTGCTATTGCTGTTTTAGAAAGAAGGAAACTGAGGCACAGGAAAACGATGTGATTTGTCCAAGGTCACACGGCCCGGAAGTCACAGAGACAGAATTCCAAAACAGGTTAAATGGTGGCAGAGGCTGGGATCTTAACCATGGCATCGTATTTCCTCTCCTGGAGCAAGGCACTCTTGGGACATATTCTCCATTGTTTAATGTGAATCACGGACGTGTGGTTCCCAATCTATCCCCATTCCAGGTCTCTTTCTGTCCTGACTGTCTCATTCAATACCTTAATCTGGGCTTCACAGCCTCTTCCAAGACCTGAGAACCTCCAAGCACATTAGTTCTTCTGTGTGGTTGCTCCCTGTCTAGTCTCTTGCCCCTTACTTTGCTCTCCTTCCCATCTGCCTTACCCCCTCAGTGATCTCTCTAAATGTGGCATCACTGACCTCCGAATTTGTGTTTTCCATACCCCACTACTCCTCGAATCCAACAGAACCCCACCTAACTCCCAAAAGAAGCCAAGCCATCCTCCACATTTTTTACACAAATTATTACACTATTTGTTCAGTCACCTACTTTAAAGCCTTGACCATCTTTGCCTTCCAGTATTCAATGTGTTTCCAACCCAGTAGTGCTCTCATTTTCTCCTCAACTCTGCCCCAAACCTGTCCATTCTGTTGTTATCACCTGAGATCCAATTACCTCTCCATTTCCTCATTGTCCAGGCCTCCTGGTGATTCTGCTCCACAGCAGTACCCCTGCCTGCATTTGTCCTCTTCACTCCTCAGCCATTAATCTTCTAGAGCCAGCTAGAGCCACACACAGATTTTCCCAGCTCCTCTCCTTTGGGAGAGACAGAATGTTGTGCTTAGGAACCATGCAGGGTATGATAGGACCTGGAATCAATTCACAGAGGTGGGCACTCAGTTCTGCTCCAGAGACAAGTGCACCTCACAGCTTCAGAAAGAGCTCAAGAGTCAGAAATGACTCTCTCAGTGAACTATAAGCAACAGAAAGAAAAATGAATCTCCATGCACATACTATTTATATAACTGGAGGTTTACTTTTTCAGATATGTATTTTGAATGGTAACCTGAAAACCACTATTTAGAATAGATGAAAGAGGAAAACATGCATAGGATCAGATAAAATTATTTTGGTAGCATGTGCTCAAAAACAAGTTTGTAGATATCCTATTCAAACTGGCACATGAGTGCTTTTGTATTAACATAAAATATTTTGTATGTAACATAAAATGTCAAGTAGAAATCCTTCTGGATCAAATGTAGAGTAAGTGATTCAGGAAAGCTCCAATGTATACATAAAATGAATATGCTAATTTCATGACATACTAGAATATGCAAATATAATTCTTTAATGTCATAGAGACAGAAAGTGGATTCAGTGATTAACTTCTCTTTGTCCTTTAGGACTTGGTTTAACGGTCCGCTTTCCTTGGATATATTTTCTTATCCTGCCCTCTAGCCCCAGGCTGAATTACTTAGGCACTGTTCCCCTGGATTCCTACTTTTTAGAGCCAGGTGCATCTCTTTTTGTGGTACAGATAATAGTATATAATCACCTTTGATTTTCTTGTCTGCATTACCATCTAGACTGTACTGTCCAATATGGAAACCACGAGGTACATGTGACTATTTATATTTAAATTAATTAAAATTAAATTCCATTAAACATTCTGTTCTTAAGTTGCAATAGCAACATTTTAAGTAGTCTTTAGCCACAGGTGGCTAGGGCTACTGTACTGCACAGTACAGATATAGAACATTTCCATCATTGCAGAAAGGTTTACTGTACAGGACTCTGATAGCCTCTGATTCCCTTAAAGGACTGATTTTTGCCCTTTTTATTTCTATATTCCGTACACCTAGCACATAATAGGAGCTCAATAAGTATTTACGGGATGAATGAGTACAGGAAGTTCAAATGCTGAGCTAAGAGAAATAATTTATAACCTATATTATTTTGAAGCCGTAAATTTAAGTTTTTCTCATTTATTTGGTTGCTCTGGTGAACATTTTATTGTACTTTGAAATGATGAATTAAAACCAAAATTTTGAGTTGTGTACAAGATTGGCAAATATGTGTGCATTCAAGTGGTCTGAACTCCAAAGACATTGCTTTCCCTAAAGATTAATGGTATTACTTCTGGGTATATTGCCATCCAGCTGTGAGATTTGTCCGTAGAAATTTGTTAATAAAGAACATGTCTCTTCTAAAATCTTCAAAATGCCAGACTACTTGCATTCCTTATGAAGCCTCAGGTTACCAAATGTAGCAAATATGCTACTCCATGCTGTACTTTGGCTTCAGGAGCATGCTTTTGGAACCAAGATATTCTCAATCAAATTGACTTGAACCAGAAGGAGAGGTATTAACTCACATAAAGAAACATCCATAGATGGAGCATGTTCAGGGTGGTTGATTCCACGACATAATGATGTCAACAAAGATCCAAGTTCTTGATACCACTTGCCCCATGGCCACCTTTATTATCAGATTAACTTTAGGCAAGATGATGGATCTTGGCATCGCCTACAGAAACAATGCTTTCCAAAGAAAGAAGAGAGACCGTCTCTTCTGTTGCCCTCTCAAAAGAATTAGGAAACTTGTCCTAGAAGCCCTATGTGACTTCCTCTCATCTCTCATTGGCCAGAATAAGGTCACATACCCATTTTCTATCCAATCACAAGTGAGAAGACATACATTATTTCTACCTCAATCAGGCCCACAGGTAGAGCTGAGGATAGGTTCAGACTCCCTCACGTGAAACACATGATGGCCTAGGAGCAAGAAATCTTTGAATGATATAGGGATCCCTTAGCAAGCAAGGAAGGAAATGGATGTTGTACAGTCAACCAACAATTCCTGCTCATAGGAATTAGTATCCCAATCTTTTAGAATATGTGACATAGAAATCTTCTAAACCTCAGTGGAAAGATAGGTAGCTTGATGACCACCCTAGGGTATTTTAAAAAGTCACTAAATTCACAAATATCAGTATAAATCAATTTTGTCATGTCAACTAAATCCTGAAGTCACACTTTGACTAACATGTCTCCTATATTTAATGAAAAATAATGAATTACGGTATTTAGATTCATATTTAAGTCACCAAGCCTAGGAGGATGGAGTAAACAAACCCACACCACATTTCTCATATATCTGATTTAAAATATATATAATCTTTGCACTGTCTTCATCTCGTTTCAACTTCTGGGGTGCTGGAAGACTATTCAGACTCTAGGCTGGTGATTCTCAGTTGGTGGTAAGGTTGGGCATGGCCATCAGAATCTCTTTGGGGAGCTTCTTCACATATCTCCTTTACCCCTCTTTCGATCCCCTTTTCAATATGTTCCTTCTCCTCTCTGATTGTGAGAGTAAATTTTAGTAAAATATATATCTTTTCCTAAGACTTCAGTTTTTTCCAATATTTTACATGAAGTGTAAAAGAGCACATCTTAAAATAATAAAAGTCTGCACGTGGTGGAATCAGTATCAAGCAATTACCATGTGCCAACTGTGGTGCCAGGCCATTTCATCCTCATTTAACCCACACAGAAATTCTCTGCGGGGAATCTCATATCTGGGTTATTAATGAAGGCAGTCAGACACAGAGGGTTTGAGGGAACTGCTTCTGCTAATGAGTGGCAGGGCTGGGACTGAAAACCATGGCTGTCTCTGTCTAAAGGCAGCCCTCTTCCCATTAAATGATTGATATGTTATTCTGGAGCAATGTTTTAAGCTTGTTGAGAATAAAGCACAGCATGTCCAAGACACAGAGAGAGCTGGTAGTAGGACCACAGCAGGCCAGTGGGCAGAACAGCAGAATCCTGGCTTTGACTTTGTTATTGATGAATGATGAGGTCTTTAACATCTCCAGACGTCTCTTTCCATAGAAATCTTCTACTAGATCAGGGGTTGGTAAACCATGGCCCTTGGGCCAAATCTGGCCCATTGCCTGCTTTTGTAAATAAAATTTTATTGGAACACAGCCATGCCCATTTGTTTATATACTGTCTAAGGCTGCTTTTGCCATGGAACAGTACAGTTGAGTAGTTGTGGCAGAGACTGAATGGTAAGCAGACTAAAATATTTAATATCTGGCCCTTTGCAGAAAACATTTGCCAACCCTTGTACTAGATCAGTGATTCTCAACTTTGGTGGTACCTTGGCATATTTAAATATTGCTGATGTCTGAGCCCTACTCCCAGAAATTTTTATTTAATTGGTCTGGGTGAAGCTCAAGAATAGCTACATTTTTTTAAATGTACTTCAGGTATATCTCATGTCAAGCCAGAAATTTCCCAAGTGTAACATTGAGTCCATGAAGATGTAGGTGTTCAGAGAAAGTTCTGTCTTAAGTAGTAATAAGCCCAATGACTTAAGCTAGAATTTTACTCAGATCTACATGGCTCCAAAGCTTATGCCCTTTACCCAATTACTTACTAGCCAACCCAGTTCACCTCTCTGAACTTCTGTTCCTTCATCTACAAAACAGGGATAGTAAAATTTTTCTTGCCTGCCTCAATGATCAAATTGGAATGGAGTGTTCAAATGTACCTTAAAAACTGTGAAGTGCTAAATAAATGTAAATATATTCTTGGAAACATTTTCTAGAATCACTGGGAGAGACTTTAAAAGAAGAGATATTACTATTTTTTTCTAAACTCGGTGGGAAAATTTGGATCCAATATGTATCTCCAAATTTCATTCTATTTTATGTTTTCAAATCTTCAGATAGAATGAACAGCACATACCTCTTTCTGCAGCTTGTGCAGCATTCTTACATAAATGCTTTCACGTGTCCCCTGTAGTCTTCCTTTATTCCACCCTGTTTCATAGCCTGTGGCCTTTTTAATCATTCTGCAATTGTTCGCTTCCCAAGCTGCCTTTCTGGCTGCATGCTTCTGAATGCACTCCAGCGACTAGGAAGGCTTTCCAAAGTTTTTGGACATTTTTTTCCATTTTCTCCTTAATGAAGTGCCTGGACCTGTCTACATTTTTCCAAGTATGATCTCATCAGCATATTCTAGAGAGAGGATCATCTTTTCACAGCCATGGAGTGAAGCTCGGGAGTGTGGCCTAAACCAGGATATGGACATTGGCATTGCTGCTATTTGGTTTTTTTTATTATTCTTATTATTGTTTCATTTTTTATACATATGAATTTTTGCTCCAGTGTTCTGGATTCTTTTTAACATTGATTTTTTTGTTGTTATTTGTTTTTACTTTTAACAGCAACTCTGATTTTCTTGGTACTAACTATGATCTACATGCTATATTAGCATTTGGTAAACTGTGGCCTAAGGGCCAAATCCAATGGCTGCTTATTTTTTAAAATAAAGTTTTATTGATACAGGCACACCCATTTGTTTATGTATTATGTATTGCTACTTTTGTGCTACAAGCACAGAGATGAGTAATTGAGACAGAGACCATATGGCCCACAAAGCCTAAAATATTTATTTAGTGGTCCTTTACAGAAAAATAATTGCCAACCCCTGTATTAAGTGAATTCACTGATGTAGACATTAACCAGATAGTTTGGGAAAGGAAATAACTATGATATATTTGTATTTCTCTTTCATTTTATACATTTTAATAATAAAATCCATTTATAATATATCTTTCATTAATGATTTCTTCATCACCACCACACGTCATGCACAACTTCTCTTGTGGGTTTACATGCTAGTGATGACACAGACAAACAAGCAAATGGAGACAGGCATCAAGATCACTTCAGGTGCTAAGTGTGGTGAAGAAAATAAGACCCAGTAATGTGATAAAATGTGATGTTCAGACTGGTTTTGTGGTCATCAGGAAAGCACCTCTCGAGAATTTAACATTTGCATTATTTCTGAATGCATGAAAAAGCAAACCATGTGAAAATCTAGGGAAGAGCTTTTGAGGCAGAGGGAGGAGCAAGTGCTAAGACCCAGAGGAGTAAATAAGCCTGGTGTATTCCAGAAATAGATGACCACAGTGCTTAAAGTAGAATTGAGAGAGGGAAAGGGAGTTGGAAGCTGAGGCAGTGTTCAGATCTTGTAGGGTCATGTGGGTTAGAGCAGGGGTCCCCAGTCCCTGGGCCATGGACCAGTACTGGTTCCTGGCCTGTTAGGAACCCGGCCACACAGCAGGAGGTGAATGGTGGGCGGGCGAGTGAGGGAAGCTTCATCTGTATTTACAGCCATTCCCCATCGCTTGCATTACTGCCTGAGCTCTGCCTCCTGTCAGATCAGTGGCTGGATCAGATTCTAATAGGAATGTGAACCCTGTTGTGAACTGTGCATGCGAAGGATCTGGGTTGCATGCTCCGTATGAGAATCTAATGCCTGATGATTTGTCACTGTCTCCTGTCACCCCCAGCTGGGACCATTTAGTTGCAGAAAAACAAGCTCAGGGCGCTCACTGATTCTACATTATGGTGAGTTGTATAATTATTTCATTATGTATTATAATGTTATAATAATAGAAATAAAGTGCACAATAAATGTAATGCGCAAGAATCCTACCCCCTCCCTGGTCCATGGAAAAATGGTCTTCCATGAAACTGGTCCCTGGTGCCAAAAAGGTTGGAGACCTCTGGGTTAGGCATAGGAGTCTGAGTCTGGACTTATGCTAAGTGTGATGGAAAGTCTTGGGAGGATGGTGGATATGTGACAGACCTGCTCTGATGTCTGTTTGTGAGAGATCACTCTAACTGTTCTCTGAAGAATGGATTACCAGGGTCAGGAGAAAAGGCAGCCATCCCAGTTATTAGCTATAAACACAATACTGTCTTCGATTACAGAGGAAACTTGGTAAAACTTAATGGAGCCCAAACTTCCACTTGGAAAGGAAGATCCAGTTTAGCAAACTGAGAGGTAAAGATGAGGAAACTACCATCTAATCTCCAACTGAGGAGGTTAGCCAAGGAGAACATTCATATGTGTTGTCCATTCTGCTAATGATATCTCAGTTACTGGTCATTTTTCTCTTTTTGCCCTTGCCAGCAAGAAGCTCAGAGTTAAACTTGTTTAGTGCCATCAAATGTGCCAGTGTACATTTTCTTTCTACTTCATTCCATGACCTCAATTTCCCATTTTTATTTGGAATTTATATACTAACTTGTAAGCTGTATCAAATCCTACTTTGAAAGAACTGGCCAACCCATAAAATAGTGATGGAATCTGTAATTTACAAAGTCTACTAAAAGTTTTTTTCCCTTTGCTCCAACGTTAGCGTATTGGTTTATGCTGGCTGTGGAAAGACATCTTCATAAGAGTTTGTTATATAAATGATGAACTGACAGTTACAGTTAGCACCAAGCACTCAAACAATTGTCCCCAATTACTCAAGGATGCCATGGACACTTCTCACTCCCACTGAACTCAGAGTATTTTGTAAAATTAACTCACTCCCATATATGAATGTAAATATAAACATAAATAAGAAGGTCTAAAAGTTTGTTAGTGGAAAAGAACTCTGGCTGTATCAGATTTCCTTACTATTGTTACTACCCTGAGCTACATAATTAATTAAGAGAAGAATTCAGGGAGAAATAGAATGTTTAAACAACACTTTCGTTCATTGGTTCATGGAATGCTGGGCTCATGTGAGAGATACTTCTTTCTCAAAAGAAGCGCCATTCTGTTTGAAGTGCAGTTAGCTGTTAGATACTAAATGCAAGGCTGAAATGCTGAATTTCTTTCTGATAAATTTACAGTCTCAGGCTACACTAGAGAGGCAGTAGAATAAACAGCCTCAGTAAACTGAGGTCTGCAGTCAGATTTGCTGGACTGGACACAGCAACACTATTCACTCATACATGTGATATAGCAAAGACAGCAGCTGCTTGCACAAGATGGCACTCTTAAGGCAGAATTTATTTCTTCTCACTCCCTTTGTTTTCAGGGCCCAGAATGGCATGGTAACAATGCTGAAAGGTTATTTGTTGAATCAGTGAATGAATGAATGATTCTGTAACGATGGAGAATGTATACCTAGATAACTATGATTTAGGCTAGGATTTGTTGAATTCCCTAAGAGAGTTTTAAACAACAACCTAAGGTAACAGACAAGGCCTTATGGGTCAGTGGGTAGGGGAGGGGAATGGCATACTAACTGGGACTTGGAGGGTGGACAGGATTTGGCAAATTGGAGATACTGGAAAGAGTCATCCTATGCTGGGAGTAAAGAATGGACAAATGCAGGGTCTGCACCCCACATGTAGTTCTACTTAGTCAGACCTACAAACCACAACAATTAGGAAATAACAGAATCGTTTCATGGCCATATATGGCTTTTCACATGCCCATAGGAATTTTAGAAATTACATAATTTTTCATAGTATAAATTAATTAATTTTAAGTAGAATTATTTAACTTTACATACATATTTATTTTAAGATTTTGATGGTTAATAACTTTTAAAATTATATATAAAGACAAATTTTGTCTTTTCCCACTTAATACATTCTTGTTTAGCAGTCATTAACAACTTACTTAAAAAAATACCTAAGGTCACTTTAAAGTTCATATGGAACCAAAAAAGAGCCCCCATTGCCAAGACAATCCTAAGCCAAAAGAACAAAGCTGGAGGCATCATGCTACCTGACTTCAAACTATACTACAAGGCTACAGTAACCAAAACAGCATGGTACTGGTACCAAAACAGAGATATAGACCAATGGAACAGAACAGGGCCCTCAGAAATAATACCACACATCTACAACCATCTGATCTTTGACAAACCTGACAAAAACAAGAAATAGGGAAAGGATTCCCTACTTAATAAATGGTGCTGGGAAAACTGGCTAGCCATATGGAGAAAGCTGAAACTGGATCCCTTCCTTACACCTTATACAAAAATTAATTCAAGATGGATTAAAGACTTAAATTTTAGACCTAAAACCATAAAAACCCTAGAAGAAAACCTAGGCAATACCATTCAGGACATAGGCATGGGCAAGGACTTCATATCTAAACACCAAAAACAATGGCAACAGAAGCCAAAATTGACAAATGGGATCTAATTAAACTAAAGAGCTTCTGCACAGCAAAAGAAACTACCATCAGAGTGAATGGGCAACCTACAGAATGGGAGAAAATTTTTGCAGTCTACTCATCTGACAAAGGGCTAATATCCAGAATCTACAATGAACTCAAACAAATTTACAAGAAAAAAACAAACCACCCCATCAAAAAGTGGGTGAAGGATATGAACAGACGCTTCTCAAAAGAAGTCATTTATGCAGCCAACAGACATGAAAAAATGCTCATCATCACTGGCCATCAGAGAAATGCAAATCAAAACCACAATGAGATACCATCTCACGCCAGTTAGAATGGCGATCATTCAAAAGTCAGGAAACAACAGGTGCTGGAGAGGATGTGGAGAAATAGGAACACTTTTACACTGTTGGTGGGACTGTAAACTAGTTCAACCATTGTGGAAGACAGTGTGGTGATTCCTCAAGGATCTAGAACTAGAAATACCATTTGACCCAGCCATCCCATTACTGGGTATATGCCCAAAGGATTAGAAATCATGCTGCTATAAAGACACATGCACATGTATATTTATTGAAGCACTATTCCCAATAGCAAAGACTTGGAACCAACCAGATGTCCATCAGTGATAGACTGGATTAAGAAAATGGGGCACATATACACCATGGAATACTATGCAGCTATAAAAAACGATGAGTTCATGTCCTTTGTAGGGACATGGATGAAGCTGGAAACCATCATTCTCAGCAAACTATCACAAGGACAAAAAAACCAAACACCGCATGTTCTCACTCATAGGTGGGAATTAAACAATGAGAACACTTGGACACAGGAAGGGGAACATCACACACTGGGGCCTGTTGTGGGGTGGGGGGAGGGGGGAGGGATAGCATTAGGAGATATACCTAATGTAAATGACGAGTTAATGGGTGCAGCACACCAACATGGCACATGTATACATATGGAACAAACCTGCACGTTGTGCACATGTACCCTAGAACTTAAAGTATAATAAAAAAAAATACCTAAGGTCTATGGGGAAAAAAGAGGAGGAGAAAAGAGGTGATTTGTTGACACATAAATTAATAGTGGTGGGACACTGAGCTAATTGTTTACTGTTCACCACTACCTCATCTGCACACAGAGGCCATACTGCCTAGTCCACAGAATTGTCATATGCATAAAATAATATATTAGAAGACATTTTAGCAGTTATAAGTTGCTATACAAATACAATACTGGATGGGGAGTTTGGAAACATCTCTCTACCAGTTTGAAGCCTACTGCATAGTCTAAATGAAAGAGAAAGAAGGCTGAACTAGTAGTAGTAATTTGGAGATGATCCAATGGGCACGAACATCATTTCAGAAGCAGTATAAACCCAATTCAGTAGTTAATTAAATAAGCAAAGTTCACAGAAGGAGGAGGATATGAAAATGGCTAAAATCTTGAACCTACATGATTAGCCAAGTGATGATATTAGCACACATACTCACATATAAATACACTCTCATACACACAGATATATGCATGTGTGTATATGTGTATGTGTGTGTGTATTTTTTAAAAGGTGGGAATGGAAATTAGATTCCAGAGAACGTCCTTCATCTGATCATGCATCAAGAAAAATATTGTTCTTTGGTGCTTTTGACAAAGGGTTATGGTTGGACTTGATACATCCAGGGAAATGGCCACCATCCCTCCAGTGCCTTTTGAATGCTTACATAAGATAGAAGGTGCGATTGAGATTGAGTTTCCTAGTAGTGAGTGTAATTCAACTCAAACAAGGTAATAAGGAAGATTTGAAGCCTCTTTTACTGGGGTTTGTAAAGATAGGGGAGCTGTCATTCATCTAATAGATGTAGCTTTCAGACTGATGACAAATAGCAGACTAGATGTCCTCTCTGGTTTCCGTATCTACAGATTCCCATGATCATATGTGAAAAGGTGATTGGAATTGTAGAGAAGATAGAAAGATAAAAACTGAGCTGAATGACCAAATCTGGTGATCACTGCTTCAATGAGTCATTCTGCAAATATTTATGGAGTGCACACATGTGCCAGACCCTGTACATAGTCGAGCCTAGGGCAACATCAAGGAACAACCTGATCTCCATACTTAAGGTAATCATTGTGTAGTGGAGGATGAAAGGATTGCTACTATTTGTAATTCATAAACCCTGAAAAGTGCAGTTAAAATTTCTGTCTACTTTCTGCATTGCTCTTGTGTAGTTCATTATCCCTGAAATCATTGCTGTCACTCCTAGATGTGTGACAATGTGACTATGTCACAGGGAACTCTATTATCAGACGGAAACTGGCAACCACTTGTGTGGTGGTCCCTGATATGTGCCAATAGCTCCACTTATTTAAAAATAGCTTCCCCTGCAGCCTGCCTGTCCTACTTGAGACCCATGCCACTGGGATATAGTGTTAGATCTTGAAAAGTTCCTTTATGCCATTAACATTAGCAGTATTTCCCAAAATGAGTTCTATGGTCTATTCTTTCTGTAGGACACTCGGGGAAAAATATGAAAATATTTAAACATTTTTTAAAAATCTGTACTTTGCTATCCCATCTAATATATTTATAATGAACAATAACATGGAAAGTCCTGGGCATAAAAGGTTTTGATAAGTTCTGACTTCCTATGCTTTTAACCATGGAACCCATCTTTTCATGGGACTCTTGCTAACAGCTTGTAAAACACACATCTTTGGGAAATGCTGGTTCATCAGACTGGGTGGCATCAATGAGAGCAGAGAGTTGAGCCTCAAGGGAATGGAACACAAGACAAGCAAATTTAGATGGAAGAGGAGGAGGAGAAGATTCTGGACCATGTGTTCTCTCACCAGCTGTCTGCCTGCAGTGTTGGCCTTGTTCGTGCTACAAGAAATGGAGCAAAATCTCATTCGCAGTTGCCTTGTTGCTCAAGGAATTTTTAAGAGACAAGGGTGAAGGGTTCCAACTGCAAACATATATACATGTGGGTGTAAGAAACATAAACAGAAGAGAGCACTTATGGGTAACAGAAGTGCCAGCTGGGACTTTAGAGCTGGGTGGTTTGTGTTTGCAAAGTTTTTTTTTTTTTTTTTTTTTTAGTCGAGAGTAGTTCTTAGAGTACATAATCCATATGGTGTGTTTAAAATAGACCACATAGTCCGAAAATGGAGCTCCTGAGAAATTCACAGATAACAATCTCAACTGCTATTTTCATATGTTAAAGCCGAAATCATCTCGTAAAGATAATTCAGGATGAAATATTTTCATTTCCATTTAAATGCAGAATTATTTAGTTTTCATTGCAAAAAGCTCCAGCCAGAGCCTCCTAATAAAGTCCCATGCCTGACTCCAGGCATTTTTGAAGTGTCTGTTACAATACCGTGGTATCTAGCTTGTAGGAAAAGATAAAAAGAGAAGATATACAAAGAGAATAAAAGATCTGGAATCAAATGTTTTAATAATTAATTCTACTAGGGAACAGGGAGCGGCAACCTGTAGAGTTATAACTGTGGAGAGTGCTTGAGTACTTGGCTTTATGATAAAAATCCCAAATCACTTTCAGCTTTATTCTTTGCTTAAAAACAGTAATTCATTACTGAAAACCATGAAATAAAAAAGTTCACTAATTAGATTAAATGGATACTAAATAGATAAATACATAAGTAGATTTTGTACCTATAAATATAAATGTTGTGAAGATTTGTTGAGTCATTTTTTTGTGACTCATTTTCTTTCCCAACTTCCCAATCTTTTGGGGCTCATGGTTGCATTATATTCAGAATACACTTACAAATAGTGCAGAAAGAAATATATACCAAGGGGGCAACATTAAGGTGTGTCTCAAAAATGAGGAAATGGCACATGTGGCCAACAGCCATCAACCAGTTTATCCTTCTTCCTTAGCTTAAAAACCAAGCAAAACCCTTTGAGTTCGTTCAAGCATGGTAGACATAAAACTTGTTTCATATTACTATATTCTCTTACTAAAAATTGTTGTGTCAAGTAAATTGATGAAGATATCTTTGTCTAAATTAATAATGTTGACATATCACTTCTTTTAGTTCATTTAGTGTGTTTTGGGGTGAAAAAATTGATATTCTGGGAAGAAAGTAGTGTTCTAAAAGTGGTATAATACCTCAGAAGCCATTATGAGAAAAAAATCATTAACTGTACCATATTATATATTAAGTATTATGTATCACACATTGCACTTATAAAGCCTGAATTATATAATACTTTTCAGCTCACCTCAGAGAAGACAGCATTGTGCTGTGTGCCTAGTGGAAGATTTTCACTTCAGACAAAAGGATGGGAATAAGTAACTTGCTCAGGGACTTATACCAAGTTTATAGACACAATAAATTAGCCAACACAACTTTATGCAGCAGTTGTGGAAAGTTTGATTCCAAATAAGTTAAGCAAAGAAAGATTAGCTTGTTGGAATAATCCCAGAATATTTTAACAGAAGAGGAGCTCTTGTCCAGGATTGGCCAATAACCAGCTCTTTGGCCTTGGAAAAGTCTCATATCCTCTGGGATCCTCTCTTTCCTCATTTGTAATAAAAAGGAGTGGTTGCACTAGATCTTCATTAAAGTCCATTAAGTATCCACATTCTGGGAAGCTAATGTTTTAGTTAACCTCTTAAAGTAGAGAACACAATAGATGTGAGATTTTTAATTTAATGTGGCCCCAGTGGTTACAGGGTTATACCTATACCTATACCTATGTTTATACATGTAATAGGGAGAGATTGATTTGAATGTTTTGAAATAAAAGCATTCTAAGTCATCTCACACCACATTCATTTATAGAAATTGTGGGACCCTATTAGACCCAAAAAGGATTTGAATACTATATCAGGTTGATAAATGTAGACACTAACAAACCATCCAGAAACTTGTATTTCAAACACATCCTGCACATCCTGAACTGGAGTCGAGATATCACCAGATCTTTCCCACACACACTGTATACAATGGACTATGCTTCATGCTTCTCTGTTCATCTCCAGGGTATCTGTTTGGTGCCAGATCAGTGTTTCAGGAAATTAGTAGTTACTGAGTTTTTCTCATAGTAGTTCCAAAAGTCAGTTTCGTGCTACATGGGTGACTTTAAAGATGACATATGTTAATTTATATAACATTATCCGAGATGAAAATGTAAAAGCTGTGCCTTCAATGAAAGGCATCAAAAGTCTGAAAACCAGAAGTTTACTTATAAAATGTAAATCTTTTAAAACTGGACTTATCTCCCATGGCCCCATGGAGTAATGAGTGTTGTAACTTCAAAGCTAAGTTTCTAAAACTTGACACTTGTGATATTTTGGGCCAGGTAGTTCTTTGTGATGGGAGACTGCCCTCTGCACTGTAGGATGTTTAGAAGCATCCCTGGCCTCTACCCACTAGATGCCATTAGCAATCCTCCATCACCATGCAACAACCAAAAACGTGTCCAGCTATTGCAAGATGTGCCCTGGGAGACAAAATAGCCCCAAGATGAAAATCACTGCCTTATGGAAAGATAAGTTGGCAGTGATATTATATCACAATTTTCTTTTCTTGAAAATAATAGTGGTGTAATTATACATTTGACAAGAAAAAAATAGTTTGTGGCTAATTGAACTCTGATGTAAGTTTTTGGTGCTGCTATGCTGACTTCTGTGAGTATGTTCAGTAGAGTTAATTTACTGTCCTTTTAAATACTTAGGCAACATGGAGTTAATTCACATACATGGAATAGAAGCTGGACAGGGGGTTAGAAGTTAGTCCATATATTAAAATGGATGGAGGAAGATTACTATCGAAATTGCAAAAAGAAGAATTTGTTCCTTTCCCTTGGAGCGGACCTAAGGAACTTAATTTATGTTGATTTTTTTTTCCTTAAGAATTGGAAACAAGGAAAATAAAGCCAGAAAACAAGCACATTTGAGAGTAAATAAAGTCATTTCTTCCATATTTATTTCATCTGAGCGTATTCTTGCCAGCTGATAATGGATACATTTCAACTTCTCCTGGAAGGTCATAATGCTTTTGCCTAAGAAATCTTTTATAATCAGAAGCAGGCTAACAGTTTGTGAAAACATCCAAAAAGACAGAGTCCTGAGGAGTTGATATTGGGGTCTGTGTGTGTGTGTGTGTCTTTTTGTGTTTTATAACCCAACCTTGGCAGAAGCAGAGAAACCAGTCAGGGGACCATTGTGATAATCCAGAAAAGAGTAACGGCAGTGTGGACCTGGGTGGTCCAAGTGGAGGTGATGAGAGCGGGTGATAGGATTTGCTAATGGATCAAATGTGAATACAGGACGAATCAAGGGTGTCTCTAAGTACTTTGGCCAAAGCATGCAAGTGGATGGAGTTGTCATTAACTGAGATGGGGAAGACTGGGAGAAGCAGGATTGGTAGTAAAGGGTAGGTGGGAGAATATAAAAAGTATCATTTTGGACATGTTGCATTTGACATGCTTATTAAACACCCAACAATGGATGCTGAGCAGGCAGTTAAATATAAGAGTATATTTAACTGGGAGAGAGGTCTGAGCTGGAGATATACAGCATTCAGATATCACATAAAATCATGCAACTGGAATAGATCCACTGAAGACTGATATGGAAAGGAAAACAGAGAGAAGAGGTGGGAGGACTAAGCCCCAGAGCATGCTGATATTAACAAGTCAGGGGCAAAATAGCACAAAAGTAAACAACCCAGATGTCTATCAACAGATGAAACAAGTTATGGTCTATCTATACAGTAGAATAGTCTTCATTCATAAAGGAATGAAGTACTGACACATAGGACAACATGGATGTACCTTGAAAAGCTTGTGCTAAGTGAAAGAAGCCAGACACAAAAGACATATGAAATCTTTTATAATCAGAAGCAGGCTAACAGTTTGTGAAAACATCCAAAAAGACAGAGTCCTGAGGAGTTGATGTTGGGGTGTGTGTGTGTGTGTGTGTGTGTGTGTCTTTTTGTGTTTTATAACCCAACCTTGGCAGAAGCAGAGAAACCAGTCAGGGGACCATTGTGATAATCCAGAAAAGAGTAACAGTAGTGTGGACCTGGGTGGTCCATATTCTATTATAGGAATATGTATTCATATAAATACATATTCTATTTATATGAATAACCAGAATAATAAAATCCATAGAAACAGAAAGCAGATTAGTGGTTACCAGGGGTTAGGTGGAGGGGAGAATGTTGAGTGACCTTTTTATGGATACAGGATCTCGTCTTGGAGTGATAACATTGTTTTGAAACTAGATAGAGGTGGGTGGCTGGACAACATTGTGGATGTACTAAATGCCATATAATTGTTCACTTTGAAATGGTTTCTTTTGTGTTATGTGAATTTCACCTTAATTTGAAAAAAAAAAGGGAACAAGAAAGGAAGAGGAGAAGGGATCAGTGAAGCAGGCTCAGGAGAAACAGAGGAGCAGAACAAAAACCAAGATGGTTTTCCTGTGCCTATCCTGACAGTCAAGAATAGGAAATGTTTCTTCTTTTTCTTTCTTCCCTGTTTGTTTGTTTGTTTGTTTGTTTGTTTGTTTGTTTTAGACAATCTTGCTCTGTCACTCAGGCTGGTGTGCAGTGGTGTGATCTCAGCTCAATTCAGTCTTGTCCTCCCAGGCTCAAGCAATTCTCATACCTCAGCCTCTCAAGTAGCTGGGATTACAGGCACATGCCACCACGTCTGGCTAATTTTTGTGTATTTAGTAGAGACAGGGTTTCACCATGTTGGCCAGACTGGTCTCAAACTCCTGGCCTCAAGTGATCCTCCTGCATCAGCCTCCCAAAGTGCTGGGATTACAGGTGTGAGCCACCACGCCCAGCCTAGAAAGTGTTTCAGGGATAGTGATGAGCTTTGTAAAATGCTGCCCATGAGCCACACCTGATATGGACTGAGAACTAATGTTAGATGTAGTAATGTTGAAGTAACTAGTGATCCTTCATTAGAACAGCTTTGGTGGCTGCAATGGCTTGAAAAGAGGAGGTTCACAAGACTGGGAGGCAGGAAAGTGGAAAGAGGAAATAGAAACAACACTTGGAAGGAGTCTCCTTGTAAAAGGAAGTTGAGAAATGTGTCACTATCTGGAGAAAAATTGGGAGATAGGAGAAATAACTGCATGTTTTGAAGGTGATTTTAAAGCTTTGACTTATTCCCTCCCTTACCCCATAATTACTCAAAAGTTGCTTGCAGGGTTTACTACTGGAGAGTGAATACACTTGCAAATCAATCAATCACCCTAGCCTACAGTTATTATTAAGGAAGCAACACATTCAGTGAGCACAATTATAGAAGTGCAAGATGACTAAGTGACATTTGTATACTTAAAGGGTACACAGCACACATATGTACACATACTCTATTTATGGGCCCTGACTAAAATGGGTGGAAACACAGTATTTTAATTGTGTGTCATGATGAGTTTTTTGGCATCGTACCAGATTTGGACAGATTTGTTGATACTAGAAAATACTGCTGCCTGCAAATAATAACTGACAATAGATTAATATTTGTGCTGCAGAATGAAGTTGTAGACAGTGCTTTTACTATGATTTTATTGGCCTGTTTAAGGACCCACCAAGGAAGAGCATTGCAATGAGCTAGTACAGGAAGCCAGCTTGCACTGATGCACAAGCCTGATTACAGCGTGGTCCTAAAATTAGAGAGTGGAGGACTGGAAAGAAAATGAAATTAGCTGAAAAACAGAGCTGATTTGCTTTGTGTTTGGGAGGTTTTCATGTAAATGAGTTTTATAGTGAGGTAAATAAATTGAAGCAGTATAAAATGCATGGGAAAAGAAAAATTGGCTTCAGGGAGTCCAGATAGTTTTTCAAAAGTTTTGTTATAAATGACAGGAAATAAAGGATGGACTAACTTGAGAGGGACAGGAATAAATATGTTTTTATTTTAAGATAGAAGACTTAGTAGGATATTTGTAAAGGTGAGATTTAAAAGTTTAACTTATTCCTATTTCCGCTCATAATTTTTCAAAAATTACTATTAATTGATGGCTGCACTAACAAGTCAATATCCGTGATCCTCACTTAATAGCACCATGTTGGGGAAACAACCTTCACCCTTTCATTTCCCCTTCGTATGACAGGTTAAAATAATTGGCATTTATTTCCCAAAAGAGTAAATAAGAACATAGCTTTATAGCTTTAAAATCTGCATTGCATTTCACAAATTCGTAAGCTTTTTCATAATTCCTCAAATAAGAAGGGGCATACTGCTGTGTTCATTGGCTGGGACGATGGTTGAGAGAAGGGATAACCAATATGGTGGTGCCCAATGGATTCACTGGATGACCAATTAGTTTCAGAGGTTTCTATAACAGCAAACTGCATGGATGTGTTGATGAGTACGTAGGCCCAGCATGTCAGGGATGTCCTGAATCTGCTCCCATCTCTCTAAGAGGAAACACACAAAGAGTGGGATGCATGGGGAGGCGACCCGCCAAACATCTGTGTTTAATTTTTCAACAGCAATGACCACCCAGGGGGCAGCGGCTTCTTCCCAGGGAAACTCGATTACACCAGCATGAGGTGCCTTCACTTCCTGGAGGAAAAATTATACCTTTGGTCAAGCAGAAAAATCTGCTTTGGAAAGAGTTTCCTAAAGTGTTGTCCCTGCTTCGGTTTAAAAAGGAACTTTGGAAAGATTTTTAAGAAAAAATGTTCTGAGCCCAGTAGTTTCCTCTCTCCTGTCACTGGCAAGTTTTGAAAGAGATAGGGGAGGTGAGTGGAGGTGTGGGGGTTCACATTGGGGCAAGTCAGTCAGTCAGGAGCTGATGGGTCATGTGTTTTGTGCCCAGTCTGCCAAAGTCATTAAGGCCAGAGGGTATGAATTGGGTATGTTCGTGGAAGAATTTGTAACTATCTTCCTTTAGTTCTTCTCTTGGTCAGCCAGAGAGCTTTTTGAGGCTGGCTTCCAGGTACAACTATGTGCTGGCAACATCCTTGAACATTCCAAGAGAAGTCTTGATGTATTTTGTGGGCTCTTGTTTTTGTGTTTTTAGAGACAAGGTCTTGCTCTATCACCCAGGCTGGAGTGCAGTGGCATAATCATAGCTTGCTGCAGCCTCCAACTCCTGGGTTTAAGTGATCTTCCCACCTCAGCCTCTCAAGTAGCTAGGACTACAGATATGCACCAACACATCTGGCTAATTTTTTTATTTTTTGTAGAGTTGGGGTCTCTATATTGCCCAGGCTGGCCTTGAACTCCTGGGCTCGAACAATCCTCCCGCCTCTGCCTCCCAAAGTGTTGGGATTACAGGCGCCTGGACCCTGAAGGATTTTGATAGAGAACCAAGTCATGTTCATGGTGCCTCCAGGTGGCATTTGCCAGCCCTGTAAGCTTGTCCTGCCTCTGCTCCATTTCACTTTTCATATCAAGTTGCATTCCCTTTCAATTGGTATCAGCTATCTCCAACTTTCTCCCATTTGCGTAATAACCTATTATTTACCAATCTTTGCTCACTTACTCATTTTGAGATTAATTTTTGTTAGGTTCAATGCTCAGTCTAAATTTTCTTTCCATAATATTGAACGAATTTTTTTAATGGAATGTTTCCTGTTCTTACAGCATTCTCTCTTGTTAGACCTTGAGCACCCAAAAGGCAGGGCCCATGTCTTATTATTCCATTTGTATCTTAGTCAAACGGCAGCCCACCCACTGCTCTGCCCACACCGTTGCCTTAAGGATAGAATTCAAGGGCCTTGTCTGTTTTATCCTCAAGTCTATTACCATCCTTGCCATATAGTAGCATTCCATGAATATGTGCTGAATGAATGAATGAACAAGTGAATGAATGAATGGAATGAACTGGCAAAGTCAGTCATGATCTCATGCATGCTCTGCATACCTGCCTGGTAGAATTAAACTGTGTACTCTGGCTCCAGGCTGCCTGGGCTTGCATCCTAGCTTTATACCTTACTGGGCACTCTGACCTCTCTCTGCCTTCATTTCCTCATCTCTAAATAGTAGTACCTATATCCCAGGAGTTGTGAGGATTAACAAGCAGTTATTAAGCAGGAAAAACTATGAGTGGCATATGGTAAGACTATATATGGATTAGCCATTTTATATCTCTTCATTCCATGTCCCACAGTCTGTGGTCAGATCACATCTACTTTCACAGATGTTGCTTTGGGGATGCCTCCCACCTCCTGGGATGCAGTTGTCCCTGTTTACTCATCATGGCCCACAGCCTCCTAAAAAATATATTCCTTGGCCTCCACAGTCTGTGCAAGCTTCCTCAATCATGAGTTTGGGCAGCACCACATACCATACCTCTATTGGAATGCCTATATTATTTTTTAACTGGCTGTTGTCTGTTCGTCCCACAAAAATGTGAGCTCCTGTAGGGTAGGGACACTCTTTCATCTGTAGATCCTCAGTGGGGGGTGTGCACAAAAAATGGACCTCCCAAAATGTTGGACATTGAGGAGTTCCTGGACCACAGAGACATTTTGGGGTAAGAATATATATCCCCATGTTTGACTATGTTTTTGAGGCATTAAATGGATAAAACACTAAAGCAGTTTTTCTCTAGGAGTAACGAGAAGATTCGAAGAATTGAAAGCTGAAAGATAATACGTGAATTACTAGGATGAAAAAGAATGTGAAAGCTAGCCAGGAACTTATCAAATTCCAAATGCAGTAAATTAAATAAAACCAGAGGCTACTGAGAGAGATGGTTTTGAAACTGATATGGTTTGGTCGGTGGAAGGAGATGGCAGCTTAGGCTGCACTGTGCTGGTAAACTTTTAGTAAGCTTTTCAATCTTCAGAAGTCCTCCCAGACTCAGAACAATGTAACTGTATATGGTGCATTATCAGATTCCCCATTCTCAGACCAGAAAAGAATCATTAAATATATCCATCATGGGGACAAGGAAAATATATCTTGTGCTCTAGGGTCAGGTTCCCAACATAAGTTTGGAAGACAGAACATCTGAAATTTTCTGATATCAGTACTTATTTTCTTAATGCCTTTAGCCAGATTTCAAAGTCTTTGGTTCATTTCTCACCAGAGTGTTTCATTTTGGTTTTGGTCATATAGAGTACTATGTTTGGTGATTATTTTTTCAGTAATTAAGATGAATAAAGTTAAAGTTGTTTATTAGAAGAGAGTCAATATCACAGATTTTGTTAAAGTTGTTTATTAGAATAGAGTCAATATCACAGATCAGTTATGACTGAGGACTCTGGAGTTGGATGCCTGCGGTTTGAATTCCAGCTCCACCACTTGAGGACCTCAGGCAAGGGGTTCAAACTCTCCAAGCTTTAGCATTTTCATCTACAAAATGGAGATCATGACAATCACTATCTCAGAGGGTTATCGCAAGGTTCACAGACAATAATGTTATCCCAGACGTCAGGAAAAGTAATGGGCCCTTACCTTCATGGATGCACACTAGGCACCAAGGGGCCTGCCGGCCTACCATAGCCTCACCATGCTTCAAAGGCAAATCTAATGCTCAAAGACATATGCATCTTTACTCTGTTAAAATATGATGTGGCCAAGAAAGGGGCAACACCTTCCCAGAGTGGTTTAGCCTGTTATTTCCCTTTATCAACAGTAGGGAGACTGACCTCAGCTGAAAGGTCCATAGATCTGGAATGCATAAAGTGGAATGCTATGATTCTCCACCTTGACTTCCCAGTAGGAACAAACACCAGTGTCTAAGCCCCACCTTAGACCAATTAAATCAGAATCGCTTGCATAGGGGACACCTGGGCTTCAGAGTATTTTCAAAGGTCTCCAAGTGCTTAGAATGTGCAACAAAGATTGAGCGAAGTTGTGATAACTGCTTGATGTGGTGGAAAGAACATAGACGTATTTTGGTTCAAAACTAGGTCTGTCGGAAGTTCTCCAAAAAGTTAAACACAGAGTTACCATATGACCCAGCAATTCAACTCCTAAGGTATATAGCCAAGGGAAAGGAAAACATATGTCAGTACAAAAACTTGTACATGAATGTTCATAACAGCATTATTCATAAAAGCCAAAATGGTGGAAACAACCCAAATGTTTATCAATTGATAAATGGATAATTAAAAGTGGTATATCCATACAATGGAATATTATTAAGCCATAAACAGGAATGAAGTAGGGATTCATGCTGCAACATAGATGACCCTTGAAAATGTTTATGTTAAGTGAAAGAAGCCAGATAACAAAAAACATGTATGACTCCATTTATATGAAATGTCTAAAATAGGCAAGTCCATGGAAACAGAAGGTAAATAAGTGGTTGCCAGGAGCCAAGGAAAGGGAAGAATGAGGAGTGACTGCTAAAGGGTATGGGATTTCTTTTAGGGGTGATATAAATGTTCTGAAATTCGATAGGGGTGATGGTTGCATGTTATGAATATACTAAAAACTGCTGAACTGTATAATTTGAAAGGGTGAATTCTCTAATATCTGAATTGTATCTTTAAGAAAAGACTAGCTCTAGTCCTTACTTTTTCTGTGACATGGGCATATGAATTATTGAAACTGGTTCAACCCCAAATGTCTCTCTTCTGAAAATGGAAGAGGTGCTCCCAGCAGGGATGCTGGAAGGGTGAAAGTTGATGATGTTTGTGAAGCCCCTGCACATGGTCTGCCCTCTGTACGTGGGAATGTGCTGCCCCCTTCAGTTGCTCCCCAAATCCCAGAGAGAGGCCCCCCATGAGGACCCTAAGGGACTGGTTCCTGGGGGAATAAGGAGCACCAAGGAGAAGTGGTAGGAACTGCCCAGTTATGCTTACCTGATTGGACTCTTTTCATGAGCTGGTTCTGGTCTCAAGAAAGCCATGTCAGATGTTATGAACCAAATGTTTGTGTCCTCCACCCCAGGTTCTCATGTTGAAGCCCTACAACCCAACAGGATGGTATTTAAGATGGCGTCCTTGGGAGATAATTAGGGTTAGGTGAGGCCATGAGAGTAGGGCCCTCATGATGAAATTAGTGATGTTATAAGAAAGGACCTCAGAGAGACACCAGGAACCCTACTGGCCAGTGCCTTGATGTTGAACTCCCCAACCTCTAGAGCTGTGAGAAATAGACTTATGTTGTTTAAGCCACTTAGTCCATGGTATTTTGTTATGGCAGCCTGTGCAGACTAAGACACTGGAGTAAAATTGAGAATAGCTCTTTAGAGAGATGACATGTTAATCAGAGGTCAAGTATATGAAAATTTCTGCAGCAATAGCATGGCTATAGTGGTGTGTTTTTCTTTTTAGTTGTAATATCGCTTTTATTTTTAGCCATGTTGTTGCCAAGCCCTATAGAGGACAAATATTTAAAACTATTGATCTTTTCCTAAGTTGGGAAAATTCACAATTGAAATTTGCATGGTGTAATTATTTTCCTTATTCTGAAGAAGCAGTTAAATTAGGCTCACAGCACTGAGATTAAAGTTTAGATTGGCTAAGAGGATTGAGTTCTGATTGGATAAAAGCGAAAACAGCAGTCTCATTTTAGTCATCATCATTTCTCTAATCAATCCTGGAGAATTCCCAAGCTTTATCTCACAGTATTTCTAGTCTTCAAGACTTGGAATGAGATACTGGAATTCTTGGAAATTTCACAAATTATTCTAAGTCATATGTTATTCTTTAAATACTTCCACCATTCTTCATATCTTATTATTATGGACATTAAAATGATGTAATAAAAAGGAATTTTCAGTTTACTATTTTTTTTTACCAAGAATTATGTTTTATAACAAATATTCAAACACTGAAAAATGCTGACAAATATTATTGGGTAATATACGAATAACCTCACATTCAGATCTCCTAATAAAATTAACATCACTTCCCAGAGTCATATGTGGAAACTGCCAGTTAAAGGACTTATTTTGCTTAAAAAACTTGTTATTTTTTTTGGAAGAGCAATCATATGATTTCTATAAAGCATACTATGCATATAAACTTATTAATATTTACTTTATCTGCAACAAACACACACATATAACATGGCAACAGCTGCAAGAAAGGCTGACTGATTAGCTCATGACCACTGTTCTGTACTCCTGTCATGGTTCTGGAAATTCCAGCCTTGATCTTTGACTCCATGTCAGAGTTTCCTGCTCTTTTGACTTTTTGTCAGTGGCTTCCATCAAACCAGTTATGTCTTTGTGTTGATTGTTCAGTTTTAACTTTTCAAGGAGAATTGTAACATTTTTTCTCATTCCCTCAATGTTTCAATGAATTTTTCTTGGAATTCGGGTTTTAGAAGTCCATATAAATTTCTGGAGAAATGCCAGGAAGGAATTCACACTTGAAAACGCTGCTCATGATAAGGCCCGACCTGGCTGTCTGTTGATTCCAGCTGGATAAAGCAGGCTAGGAGAGACTGGGACCTGAAGGTAAAACAGCATGTTTGTAGAGTGAGACTAGCACCTTGGGGTACAGACCCAGCTTCGGGTGCTGGAAGAAAGTCCAAACTGACAAGTTGTGAAGGTCATGAGCATGCACCTGGCACACCTGTGACTCCAGGGGATGTAATTGACTGAAACTCCATCTAGTGCACTCTGAAATCTATCAGTGGGTATGTGCCAAGGCCCCTTTCCCACAGGCTGTTCTCTACCAATGGCTAAATGTGATTGGGGCTGAGGGGATTCTAAGGCAGGTCCTTTCCTAAGAGACACAGTACCTTTTTGATGGGTGACTTTGGCTAAGATGCCCTTGGTGGCTTTCCCAAACCTTCCTAAGCCAGAAGGACAGTCTAGGAGCTTCCATCTTTTCCTCCTCTCTCCTTCACTGGAAGTCAATTTGCATCACAAACTGAATGCTCTCCTGGCCTACTCCATTTTCCTCCTAGTTCCTTTCATGTAGGCATGTCCCCTAATGAAATACTTGCACACTTCATCTTGTCTTGGTATCGGCTTCTTGGAGAATATGAACTAATACACAGATAGATCATGGTATCCAGCCACTGTGGCTACAGAAAACAGGGGCTAGAATGTCCCAGTGGAGTGTCTAACAACTGGAAGGAGCATGTTGGCAAGCAATCCCAGTAGCGGGCAGGCAAAAGATTTCAGGAAGGTTCTTCCCTGAGCTGGTGGGGAGCAAGAAAATACAGCCCTCCACCATTGTAGGAAAATTAGAAGGGATGAAGATGGTACAGCCCTAAGGAGGCTGAGCTGATTCTGATTTACTGAGATTCAGATTGAACTCAAGAGATGAGCCAGTACGCTACAATTTGAGGTGGCTGTCCTGGGAACAAAGAAGAACTCCAGTTATATGACCCAGGGGCAAGAACAGAGCCAAAATGGCAGCCAGGAGGGCATGAGAGGATATTCTGGGTATTAAACCAGAATTCCTTAAATCCCCCCAACAAAGATAAAGGTTGGGTCTGGAAACTGGCACAAGATTGAACCTTCAGTCATGAAGAAAGACTTTTTCTAGAAAGTACAATGGCTCAGCCGCGGGAGAAAATGGAGCTATTGAGGGCCCTGCAGCGTGGGGTAAACATTCATATGGCCTGGAAAACAGGGCCACTGATATGGTTGGCCTTTATGCCCCCACCCAAATCTCATCTCGAACTGTAATCCCCACGTCTTGAGGGAGGGACCTGGTGGGAGGTGATTGGATCATGGGGGCAGTTTCCCCCATCCTGTTTTCGTGATAGTGAATGAGTTCTCATGTGATCTGATGGTTTAAAGGTGTACTACTTCCTCTCTCTTTCTCCTGCCACCATGTAAAACGTGCCTTGCTTCCCCTTCCATCATGACTGTAAGTTTCCTGAGGCCTCCCAGCCACGTGAACTATGAGTCAATTGAACCTGCTTTTCTTTATAAATGACCCAGTCTCAGGTGTTTCTTAAAGCAGTGTGAAAACAGCCACCACTGAAGTCACCCTGGCACAGTCACTTTACTTTAATCTCATGCTAGTTTCTAGACCCAACCTTTATCTTTGTTGGGGGGATTTAAGGAATTCTGGTTTAATACCCAGAATATCCTCTCATGCCCTCCTGGCTGCCATTTTGGCTCTGATCTTGCCCCTGGGTCATATAACTGGAGTTCTTCTTTGTTCCCAGGACAGCCACCTCAAATTGTAGCGTACTGGCTCATCTCTTGAGTTCAATCTGAATCTCAGTAAATTAGAATCAGCTCAGCCTCCCTAGGGCTGTACCATCTTCATCCCTTCTAGTTTTCCTACACTGGTGGAGGGCTATATTTTTTTGCTCCCCACCAGCTCAGGGAAGAACCTTCCTGAAATTTCTTGTCTGCCTGCTCCTGGGATTGCTTGTCAACATGCTCCTTCCAGTTGTTAGACATTCCACTGGGATATTCTAGCCCCTGTTTTCTGTAGCCACAGTCGCTGAATACTGTGATCAACCTGACTATTCCTAGGAGCTGGGCTGGCCTATGAGAACATAGACCTGTGGACCAGAGAGATGCCAAAAGACTGAAAATGATGAGTGGTTTGAACTGCATTTTACAATTGGAAGTATGCTGTTTTAAAATTATCTAGGTGACAGTCTGGCCTTAACATATTTTGGCTGATGGATATAGAGAAATATTTATAGAACTGTTCATTCTTTTCAAAAAATTCACTGGACAGCTATGCGCAAAGCAAATATAGAAAGATGCTCAATTATGAAGATACTTATATCAATGTTGTAACATATCAATTATTTGTACCTGAAAAGTATATTTGTTTTTTTGAAAGCCTCAAGAAACTGTGAAAAATTAAGTGTTGAAATAGCCCAGTGTAATCCAAGATCATCAGAATTTAAAGTATTGAGACTATACAGTAAATGTAAACCTCTTAAATGGGCAAGTTTATTCATTTCTTTGAGTATTCCTATAAGTGAAACCAAAGATTTTCACATATTTCTCCCAAGAAATATGGGGTATTGGCAGCATTAAATCTGAATTTGTTCTCCAAAGAAATTTGGAGCCCAATATTTCTATGACTTATGACACTGTCATCATGGATGACCAAATTTGGCATAGCTATTCTGGAACCAGAGCTTGTGAGAAATTAAAGCGGTGCAAAAGCCAGGAGAAAATTGGAAGTAAAATCTCCTAAATACAAACTGAAAATATCGGCCGAATTATGAAAGCCCACATTTTTTAGGTCACTCATCCTCACTGCTGCTGGCAACATTGTCACTAATAAGAGAAAGGAGTAGTGTAATTGAAAGGTCAATGAGCATTTTTGCAATCAGACTTCTTAAAAATTTTTAAGCTGAGTGAAATAACTTAAGAAATTTCCCCACTGTCATTGCAAACTTATCAGTGGAGATGCAAAGATATTTTATGAGCTTTGAGAAAAGTCACTCCCCTGGTGTCAAGGCAAAGGTTAATCTTGTTAATGGGTTACTGGCTGGTAGTCTCTATGGTCTTCACCATATGAGGTAAAACAACAACAACAACAACAGAAAACTGCATGCCATCGTCATGTTCTGGCTTCAACATAAAGCTGCCCTTAGAACTGCAGATATATGTGGGTTATGGTGATCACCTTCAGTGTCTCAATGATATTACCAAATGTTATGCCCAAACCAATGGCCTAATGTTGCATTCTGGAAGGCAAGCCTGATTTACTGCCCTGTCTGAAACTTTTATTGGAATAGGATACTGTGTTTTCTTTCCAATGACTGCACAAGAACTATATGCTCTCTCAGAGGTGTCTTAGCCCAAGATACCTATAAAGCTACTTTCAAGTGTTTATAAGATTGGAATCAAAACATGAGATCATGGATCTTTGGCTGCACATATCATTGTTTGTTTAAATGTCCTTTTCTGTCATATTACAATATCAGGATGTGTTCACTAACAACACAATTGAAATCAGAAAAACCAGGCTCAAAATCTTCCCAGCTTACATGTCTATGTTGGTTTCACTTAATTGAAAGGTTGGAAAAAGGAAAAAAGAATCCCAATTCCTTATCTTATGCTGATTTATCTTGTTAGATGATGGTTTAATTATTTTCTATCAATATTTATTGGACACCTGCCACATGCAAAGATAGCATAAAGGACATCGGAAAGTAAGACATACTCTCTTCTTAATGAGCTCCCACAGTTGAGTGGGGAGTAAAGTACCCCATTTACTTTGGAGCAAAACATAAGATTACATACAAGTGTCACCAAGCAGGTGCAAAGTACAGTTGTCCATGTGACTGCCTAGAGATAACATCTTCTCCAAGCATGATCCATGGCTTGGCTCTGCCATGAGCACTAATACAGCAAGCACATTTGGCTCCAATAAAACTGGCATCAGGAAGTAGCTGATGACTCAGCACATCACACATCATTTAGTTCTTTTCATGCATAATAGTCTTTCTGGAATGTTCCCTCCTCAGCATCCCCTTCCCCCTCTCCATTCCAATCATATTACTCATTTGGCTTATCTAATTCCTGTTTATTTCTAATATTTCACAACAATGTCAATTGCTTTAGGAATCTCCCCTTACCCATTCCCAAAGAGGCTCCCTTCTCTGTGCTCCATGTCACCCTATAATTCTTATAGTACCTAACTTGCTTTCATCATGAATGCTTCCTTAATTCTTTGACCCTCCTAATGTCATATTAACTCCATGAGGACAGAGACTTCATTACTTTAGCTCACCAGGATCTAGCACAGAGCCTGACATATGATCAGCACCCAATAAACACTTAATTACATGAACAAATAGCCTATGATAATTATATAGAAATCTTACTGTTATGTCTGTCATGAGCAGCTGAGCAGGTTGTACACTGTACAACTCCAGGGAACACTATTCACATCAAAGACTTTATGAATGACTTTTCCTGTAGTTGTGCAATGTACAACCAGTATGGTCTTATATGATGGTCTTGCCTCTTATCTGCTATGTATTGCACCCCAATTTTCCTTTGATGATTTATTTGAAAGACAGACTTTTGGTGTGTAATAAAAGCCAGAAATTGCATTTTAGCCTGCATGTCCAATGAAACTCGATTAAAAATTCCTTAGAAAACTGCTTATGACTTACAAAATCTAACATTTGCATGGCCATTCACAAGGATTAAAGTCTTGAAATATGGTGTAGCAGGAAATTGTTTGTCATTAGAGAAGGCATTCTGGTGGTGGTGAAGAAATATGTTAAAATGAAGGAAATTAGGACAACTTCGAGTGAGCCAATATTCTTGTTCTTTATCTGCTATATCCAGTTAAGAAACAGCAAACCCCTTCATCTCCAATCTTGAAGGAGGAGGAGGAGGAGGAGAAGAGGAGAAATAAAAGGAGGGAGGAAGGAAGTATTTGCAATATCCTAGAATAGATGGACAAGAAAGAAACCAAGGATGAGGATGAAAAAGTTAAAATTTAAATACTTATGTACTTTTTAGGCTACAATGTGATTGAAGTCAACCACAAACTTAATATTGATTTTTCTGGTTTTGCCCAGCCACAGGAGAGGTGTCCATCACACTGGCCCAAGTCAATCAGCCATTGATGTGAAAGCCATTACTGCCAAGGAATGGGCTAGAAGTTATCTATGGGCAATGTGTGGTCAGAAAGTTGCTCATTTGTCACCTAATAAATGCAGCATCTTTGTACATAATTTTACCAGCTACTCTCAGCTTTATGTATTGTATCCCAAGGAATGCTTCCCTGTATTCCAAATGTGTTCTATTTATCTATAAAGAGTGTGCTCTTCCCTTAAGGATTGCTGATCTACCTATATTAATTAATAACTTGATAAGTATCATAGGTGACTCATCTGTCCCCAAAGGATTGTCTATATTGTCTTCTGGTTTGGCTTAAGTCCCTTGAGTAATTCTGGTGACTTCAGGACTTGGTTTCCCTTTTATTCCATTCAGATCTCACTAATTCCTGAGTTCATTTTCCTACTCAAGAATTTAAATTGTTCTTTTGACATTTGAAGATTCAAACATGAATCATAATCAGCCATTTTGACCATAGTCACTAGTTAAGTTGCTGAAGTGGTTTGATCAACAGCACACAAATATCTGTGCCAAAGCCAGTTTATAAATCGTTTTTCTGTTGACTTCCACACCAATGTGCATTCCCTTGTACTGCCCCGCCTCCTTAAAGTCACCAGCCATCTTACAGATATCTGCATCCATAAAGAAGGTACATGCTTGATGCTGGAAGCTTCTCTCAGAGCCAACAAATAGACCTGTCTAGGGATGATGCTGAAACATCTGTATTTTTAACAAGGCAATTATATGCACAGCAAGACTAAAGACCCACACCTTTTTTTATACCCCTCCCAATGTACCTATTTTTCTTATCTTGTATTATAATTATGTCCTAGTCTTACGTGCTCTGTCAAATATGTCCCTGGAAAACAGGGACTATATTCTATGTATCTTTACTCTTCAGGTGGTGCTCAGGGTAGTGTCTTGCCCAGAAGGGGCATCCAAGTTAACATTTGGTGTGTTGAATTGTGTTGAATATATGCTTGAGAGATGTGTAGACAAACAAACCAGACCATGTTTGCACTGAATTTCAGGGAAAATTCTAATTCATCAACAAAGCAAAATTACTTGCATCCCTGGACCTTAACCTTTTAGTTTTCCATATTCTGTGGATTTAGATACCCCTGGAAGGACAGGGAAAAGTACAAGTTTGATCTTAAAGTAAGTTCTATAGGAGCACTGTCCAATCCAACTTTCTATGATGATGGGAGTGTTCTAATCTGTGCTGTTCAATATGGTAACGACATGTGACTATAGAACAATTGAAATGTGTCTTGTGTAATGGAGAAACTGAATTTTTAATTGTATGTAATTTTAATTGATTTTAATATAAGTAGCTTCATATGACTAGCAGTTTCCTTCTTGGACAGAGCAATTCTAAAGAATAAGTAGACAGCCATTAGCACCTAAGATGGCTGGCATTTTTATTCTTCTCTTTTTTTTCCTTCTCTACATAGTGTCTGGCATTTTTCATTTGTTTATTATTTGTTTTTTGTTAACCCTAATTAACAAATCTTCACTCTTTTTTTCTTTCTTTGTGCTCTTCTTGGTTTTTTGTTTTTGCTGTTGTCATTTTACTACATTTAAAAATGTATTTTCCTTCCTATGTCTTAGGTCTTTCCCATTGGTCCTATTGGTGATCCTCATGGATAAAATAGAATCTAACCCAGGATACAAGACTTCCTGTCTGCCTGAACTTGAAAGGGATTTAATAATATACAGCTTCCTCAGGTGAAGGAATCAGTAAATACCCACTGAAGGTTCTGGATGATTTCTATATGGCTCTTCACTGTCCTTATCCAACAGGAGGCTTTGATCTTAAGTCCCATATGGAATGGTCATACATTTTAAATGTCACTTCCTCTCCCCTTGGCCAAACCTGAGGCTTAACACCTTTGCTAATTCAACTCTCCCACAAAGTAAATTGTCATGCCAAGATAGGTACAGAGATCAGCCCATCTGATTAAAAATCCAGCCATGAAGTTTAAAATGTCAGACTGTTAAAATGCAGAACTAAATGAAGCAAGTAATCCAGTGATTTCCTAGCCAGTCATGCCAGATGCACACACCTGGAGACCGTTTGTAGATATTGACAGTAGTGCTCATTTGTAATCCTTTCCAGCTGAGTCCTCTTGTAATGGACTGTGTTGGACAGTCTTTAGTTTGGATGGTTAACTTGAATGACATCAAGGAGAAGGAGAATATACAGATCTCAACTTTCAGGGATGTTTAATAGACACACCATCTCCTTTAAAATATGACTTAAGCTCTTTGCAGGGAGGGGCATTTCAAATATTAGGGCAGTGGTTCTCAAACTTGAGCATGCTCCAGAGGGCTTATTAAACACAGATGCTGGGCCCCTCTCCCAGAGTTTCTGAGTTGAGAGTGAGGTAGGGTGGGTTTCCCTGCTGATAATTTGCATTTCTAACAAGCTCCCAGGTGATGCTGCTGGTCCAGAGACAACACTTTGAGAAACACTCTCTTATGAGATATATACTCACTATATATAGCCAATATAAATCCTGAATTTTCAAGGATAGTTCCTATATCTTTTCATTTTATTATTTATAGTAAAGCTTATTTTTTAAAATCTGTGGCTTGATTTATATACATTTATCAGACGTTTTATGTAAATACACAAATTAATTCATTTGACATTAATTTCCCACTGTATGCCAGACACTATACTAACTTCTGGGGATGAAGGCAAGAGCCAGACAGACCATCTCTTACAGAGATTGTGATAGTGGGTATGGGCAAGGAGTACACCACAAAGTGAACAAGTAAATATAGTAGCGATAAGGTGCTAGGAGAGATGGAGCACAGGGAGTGCCTTGAACTTGGGTACTTGAAGGTCTTCCTGAAGGAGGCGAAATTTGAGATCTAGTGAATAGTAAGTTAGGTGAGCATAAGAGAAAACAGAGGAGGTGGGAGAGTGGAGAGAGAACAACAATGTGGAGGACAGGGGAGGAACTACACGTTGATACTCTGCCAGAAGTGAAGGGTTCTCCCTGTGGCTGAAGCATAGAATTTGAAGAAGAGAGTGTTACATGACTAGGAGGGATAAGCAGGCTCAGGACCACACTGAGCCTTATGAGCAGTGGTAAGGAATTTGGATTCATTCTCATAGCCTCAAGCCAAGCTTTCTGCCTGCCGTATCCTTCATCACCTTTTTCATTTTGGAAAATATGGTCTACCCTGGAAAATAAGAAAAGATACATGTAGGTAAAATAAGCACAGCCAATGCTACAATCAAAATGTAACTTTATTTCTTATCTGCTACATTCCTGATAAAACTTTTATTTAGAAGGGTTGAATGTATCCTACCCCAAGATGAAAAAATTTCTGTTCTTTCTTAGGTAACGTGTAGTTTTTATGGTTATAGACAGTTGCAAATAGTCTCAGCTCTCAGATCATTGTCCAATCCAAGATACAGATGAAAACAGAAAGCTTGATTTAAAGGCAGCACTTTATCCTTTTCCCAGACTTGAATCCTCCAGTGAAGAAATGGGCATGAACTTGAGTTTCTCCTCTTCCCCAACCCCCTGGCATGTTGGGCAGACCAGTCAAGAGTTTGGGCATAAGGAGGAGTGGGAAACGGAAGGAAAAGGGAACAGAGTTGGTCCCTTCTGAGTTGCCTTCATTTTCTTTATGCTTGGCAGATGTATAAAGCTGGTCTTTTGTCCTGTGAGCCTTTTTTGAGGGCCCCTTGGAGGATCTCTGCTTGAACTCTCTGACTTTGACCCCCTTGAACTAGGCAGGTGCTTTTCTCTTCTGTTTAGTCACTTGTGTCACCTCCTTCCACCACTCTGTGTAGCAGATACTCGTGGTATCTTTCACTATGTGCTCTTACCTAACTGATCTTCCTGCATCTGGGATGGACATTCCATGCATACTGCCAACATGTCATATCTCAGTCTTGGCATCTCGTTGCTTTGTTGCTCAGGACTTTCTCCAAAGCAGAGGGAGACCCTTTAGGCCTTGAACAGTCACTCCCCTGAAGTATGAGGGGGATGCTGATGCCCCAAGAGTAACCAATGAGAGACGCAATGAGAGTCAATAGATAAATGACTTTACTTCCATTTAGTTTGATGTAACACTTCTGAGATCTATTCTACTAGTTCCCCAGATGGCACTCATCGAGCTTGAGCCCCAGTTGCCCACACTATTTACCAACTTAATAACTCACTATTTTGTGGCTTTTTCTCCTTTCCCTGTCTCACTGTCCTCAGTCACTCACTTCTGTTTCTGGGTATGATTTTGCAAATCAACTCCAAAGTCAGATACCCTGGCAATCCAGGTTATCTCTCGTTTCTTGTTACTGGGGTCCTTCTACCCTATAAAAAAGCCAATTAGCTAGAACCTCAAACCATACTCCACTTACTATTTCTCCTGTGTTGCCCACATCTTGGCTAAAGGAATTACTAAGACACCACTTGACTTATAAAACTCTGGGAGTGTGGAAGATCCCAATCAACCAATCTTGCTCTGCCTCCATAACCCAACCTTAGTTTTCATATCCGGCAATTGTTTCTTCCCAGTCCTTGTAATAAGGCTAGAAGTCTTACTCCATGCATACATTGAACTAGAGAGACTTGGAACTAGGGGTGATACCTGGCACATGTTAAGGTGAAGGTAAGGGTGAAGTGCAAGTATACATAGAAAATGATGGGAACCCCACTCTCCACTCCCACCCAATCTCCTGTCCCTGTATTGTTCTCGGAAAATCAGGGCCAAGTGGAGAATTCATGACTCATAATTGGAGCTCATCCAGTGAAGAAGCCAGTGGCCCATGCAACTGTTTTACAGGAAGCTCACTAGTTGCTCCCTGACCCACATGGAGCTTTCAGTCAGACTTCTAGTGCTTCAATCTAAAGAAGTATGGCAGCCCTGTATCATTAAGACATTGTGAAATAGCTTCCCATACACATACAAAAAGGAAATAAATGATATAAAAATCAGGAAATAATTTAAAGCTATAATTGTTATCCTCAGAGATAAGAAGAATATTGAGTTAATCGAACCTGAACTATATACTATGAAATATACTATAAAAGAGGAATCAAAGAAAATATTCTTGGAAATTAAAAAAAAATATGATAGCTCTCTCCCTCTCCATCCCCCCTCCAAAGTTTTTCAATAAAATAGTTGAAAGAAGTTAACAAATCAAACTCACTGAAAGTGGGGAAAAAAGGCCAAAGAGATGGATAGGATGTGAGAAAATGTAAGAAATTAGAAGATTAATCTAAGAAGTCAAATATCTCACTGATCAACATTGCAGAAATTTGGGAACAGAGAAAGCAGTTGGTAGGATATTTCAAAAAAATATATCAATCAGGGAACACTGACTACTACAACAAACCTTTAAACATCAGTGGCTTCACAAATTAAAGTACTTTTCTCACTCACATAACAGATGAATGCCCATGGTTACTTGTCTCCTTGTGATGACTAAGGGACCCATGATCCTTCTGCCTTGTGGCTCTACCATCCTAGCACCTTGACATTTGCTGCATCCATCTGGCAAATGGGAAGAAAGAGAGTAGAGTAAGCCACCTACCTCTGCAATGCCTTAGCCCAGATGTCACTTCTCCTATTATTGGTGAGAACTTATCATCTGGCCTACCTGGATGTAAGGAGAACAGGGGTTGGGGGTGGACTCTGGAAGGAGACAAACTAAATTCCAATGAGAAGTTTAGCTGTTCTGCCACATAATTCAAGAGGGATTTCCAGAACTCAAGTACCTGAGTCTCAAGATTGAAAAGACCTCCTGAGACCATAATTCGAAGAATTTAAAAAACCCACATTATGGCACACAATTGTGAAACTGCAGAATACAGATGATTAGGAGAATATCATAAAATATTCCAGAGATAAAAATCAGGTCCCATATGAAAGATCAGGAATAAAAAAAGTATTTGACCTACCAACTCTAGTAGCTAGAAGAAAATAGATCAATGACTTCCAAAAATTCTAGGTGAAAATAATTTTCAACCTAGAATGCTATATCAGCCAACCTACTCATTGAGAGTGAAAGTAAAACAAAGAGTTTTTTAAAAGGTATCTCTCATGTATCTTTTCTTAGGAAGTCTCTAGAGCATGAGCCACACCATAGTAAATCCAGAAAGAAGTAGTGAGGTCCTTAGAAAGGAGATCTGACACAGGAAAGAGGAAAAGGGAATCCCCAGATTGATGGCAAAGAGAAGTTTCCAGAAGACAACTGTCAGAAGGAAGTCCAAGAAAGTAATTGGCCTTAATGGACATGAAGTTGGAGAGTATTGGGAAGAAAGTCAGAAAGGAGAAAAAGGTAACTGATAAATGAACTGAGATATTTGACTGCATGGAAATCTCTATTACCCATAATCAGATATGGGAAGAATTAGCCATAGATAAAAAGATAACTATGCCCAGGAAAATGAGACAGTTATCAGCACTAGGGGAATAGAAGGTTAGAAGAAAATTTAGTGATAGTATACATTTGGCTTATATTCACCCAATAATACTGAATAACAATTTAACACAAAGTTACTTGGATGATGGGTTGATGTGAAGGGGGATGTAAGAAAACGACATAATTATATGTCCAAATTGCTAATAAATAGATGATGTTAACTGAAAACTGGTTCTTTAATGAAATTAACCTAATCTGAGCTAATGTGGGGTTTTGCAGTTTGTTATCTTATATAAACTACTCCCCCCAAGTGTCTCCAAAGGTGTTTAAGTAAAATTTAGATTTTCCATTAAGATAGCCCAGCAAGTTCATGTTTTGGTGCACAGTTTCTGCTCCCAACACATAGTAATGAGATATCAAAAATATTTTAAAAGCTTGTGATAGGCCAGGCGTGGTGGCTCACGCCTGTAATCCCAACACTTAGGGAGGCGAAGGCGGGCGGATCATGAGGTGAAGAGATCGAGATCATCCTGGCCAACATATTGCTGTGGCCCAAAAAAAGAATAACAGAAGTGCAAAACCCAGCAGCCTCTCAGAACCTGAGTCTAACAGAAGACAGTTGCGCTTCAAAGTAAGGGAGACTAACATGCCCTCTGGTTCTTCATCTCCACTTCGGATGCACCGGGCCAAAGTCATTGCTTAAAGCTAGGGCTGAAGTGGGGCTTCCTCTTTCCCCACCAGTGAAAACAGACTGAAAAATCTGCTACCACTCACTGAGTTCACAGTTACCTACAGGCCAAACCAGTGGAAGAACTCAGAGATAGCTGATCCACTAGGAACTTAGTTAGGTCACCAAATGCCTTGGGGTTCAGATCTGTGATAACTGTAGCTCACCGAAAAAAAGCCAGGAACCTGAATTACATTTTAAACCTGGTTCTAGAATTGAAGTCTAGTGTCTTGAGAAAGAAATAATGAAATGACTAGAAAAAGACAAGGGATCATTGAAAGAGAGAGAGAGAAAAATAAAGCAAAACCTCTTTCTCAAAAGGTGCTTCTAAACCAAAATGCAAAAACAGGCAAAGAAATCTAACGTGAGAAACATAGCAAAAATATTGATAATTAAATCATTATTTAAGTTCTTCCTACTTAAAAACTAATTTATAGAGGAGTCTGACAAATACTTTAAAATACATAGGCTTTGCTTCTAGGAAGATGGAGTAGACATGCTTTTTCCTATTTTTCCAGCTAAGTACCACGAAAAATCCTGAACATTAAACATAAAACAAATATAACAAGCCTCTGAAAGGTGGAGAAAAGAAGGTAGACCAGCTAGGGACCTTGGGACCTGAGGTTTTCTTTTTGCAACATATATTCCAAACTGCATACCTGGAAATGCCAATAGGTACAGACAAAAACAAAAACAAAACAAAACAAAAAAACAAAAAACCTGAGAAAAGCCAGATCTCTCTAGCCAAAAACCAGGAAAAGGGCAACTGGCAATATAAAGAACGTTTAGACACTAACCACTCTACTCCAGCCAAACTGCACAAAAAAAAAAAAAAAAAAAAAAAAAAAAGACCAAATTGCAGCTGTACCTCTACCCCAGCCAGCAAAGGCAGAGTGCAGAGCTTAGACTTCCATCCTGGCCAGGCTGTAATGAGATGCCCCAAACCACCACTTTGACTGTGTTGGAGTGGCATCAGAGAAGTGGGGCACCAAGAATGGAGGAAATGACTGTTATTATAGCTGGAAAATATCTAAATTGGAGAAAGACATGAGTCTTCAATTTAAAAGAATGCCCCAAGTACCAAGGAGGATAAATGGAAATAAATCCACACCTAGACACTTGTAATGAAACTACAGAACATTAAGGGTAACATACAAAATATCTTAAGAGCTGCCAGAGAGAAAAGACAGAGAACTGAACCCTGTTGGTTATATTCCCAGTGCATTTCTTTGTAATTGGAAATGAATGCCAGAATATAATGGATTAATAACCTCAAAATGTTGATGGTAAATGCCAACACAGGATTTTATACCCAGTTAACTATCATTCTAAAGCAAAAGCAAAGACAAGACATTTTCAGTTACTCAAAGCCAGAGACACTCAATAAAGTTACAAGGAGTGAGGGGCTTCTGAATGAAGAAATGGAAACCCAGAAGAAAATGTGGGGTACAAGAAGCAATTGGGAGCCTAAAATTAATAAAATATGTAAATAAACATAAATAACTGATAAAAAATGTTTTTTTGAAAGAGATAAGAGTAAAATTATAGAAATGAATAACGAGAATCGGAAGTTTCTATGGCTATTTAAAGCATTATAGCTCTTGCTATGTCCTGGAGGAGGGTGAGACTACCAAATAAACTTAAAGCTGTTAGATAAATTTAAACTCGCTGTGTATGCTAACATGTATGAATAACCACTAAAGTAATACAAATGCAAACCTTATCTTATTAAAAGAAGAATAGATTAAAAAGTTATTCATCCCACAGATGTTAGAAAAGGAAAATAAAAATAGTAGCAAATCAAAAGATAATAAAGAAAAAGGAAAAAAGACAGCATGAATAACTTTATCATGTCAGTAAAAATATACACAAAAAGATTAATAAAACCATTAAACATGGAGATTATCAGATTGGATTAAAAATTAAATGTACCCATATGCTGCCCACAAGAGAAACACATAAAACAAGGTGACACAAACTATTTTTAAATAGTTTGAGAGAGTAAAAAATATATATCCAGAGAAAGGCCAATTACCAAAACAAAACAGGTATATAGAGAAGAATTTATGAAAAATATATTTAAATAGAAAAAAAGAGATACTAAAAGATTGGGTAAGAAAAAAAGTAATGATCTTGTAAGATTATTAAAAGGTTTTGGTATTGGTAAAATGTGTTTGACTAGGAGATGATTGCATCAAGAATCTCTAGGATTTCTGTATATTTCAAGTATTTCATTAGCAAAAGAATTTTAAAAAGAAAAAGGATCGATATCCAGATTAAGAGGCACTATTTATTTAAAAAGAGATAGTGTAGTCACTAATTAACAAAGGATGAAGAGCATGTTTTTGTCTATTTTACAATTTCCTGATTATCACAAAACAAGGCGATTAGGCTTGATAGTAATAATGCAGTCAGGTTTATTAAGCTGTTAGTTTCCATTTTTAGTGTCTACAGATAAATACAAGCCTTCTAGAAGAAAAAATCAATTTTCTAATTTTCTCTGAAAAAAATTAGAATGTGTAAATATTAGAATATGGAAAAGTATTTAAGAGGCTACTTACTATGTAATTGATGAGGAAATAAATGCTTATCTTGTACAAATATTGAAGATTTTGATATAGATATAATTAGTTTGACCTGGAGGTTGGAAATATCAAGAGTCACATTTTCAAGGGTAAGTTGCAGAAAAGATATGGCAGCAAATTGACTCCATGGGTATGGATGATTGTATTAGTGATACTTTTTTTTTTAAGAATGCTGATACTCATTCTTAAGTATTATCATACATATGCTCACTTTCCAAATCTACAGTTGTAAGTATGTCTTGAAAATAACCAAGGAGAGTTGTTCTTGTTGAGTTATTTGTCACGAAGTTTTTATAACTTATCATTTTCATATCCAAAGACTCACACATTATTAGGTTTTACGTATTAATTTTGTGCAGGTTTGATTGCTTTACAAAACTCCTGTCAGTGTTAATACAGCCTTAAAAGCAGATATTTTCAATCCAAATGTCCCACTGAGAAAAGGATGGTTAAGTAAATTGAGGCAATGTCACTCAGTGGAATAAGCAACCTAATTATTACAAAGCAGAATTAGTGAACATGAAATCACATTGATAGGATAATATGGGGTGAAAGACATTTGGAGCAGAATTCTATGCACACTCTGTCACTATGGAAAATACAACACATATTAAAAGAGAATAAATCAAGAGCTATTGCAATTGGACAGTAAAATTATAAATGATTTTCTCATCTTTTCCAAAAATAGATTATTACTTTTATAATTAAATTATTTTGTATAAATCTAATATGATTGTAGCTTAAATTTTTGAATAAGAGTGGAAAAAAACATAAACTTTAAGAAGCTGAAAAATATATCAAAGAAAAGAGAATGAGCACAGCATTAAAAAGGATGTTCACAGTCGCCCATTTGGTGATAAAAAGAGGGAGGGAGTTTAGGCCAAGAAACAAATCAAATACCAATGCCCAGAAGAAAAGCAACACTTGAGAGTTAAGCACTTCAGATTTTTTATTAGCTCTTAGCAAATAAAGTAAGATTAAAGGAAAGCATCGGAGACAGCCAAGAAATCTTCACTCCTCACTCTCCTCTTAGTCTTGGTGGTAAGCACTAAATAACTAAATAAAGACCATATGTTTTCTTACTTTACCTGGCCAGCAGGCTGTAGGGTTTTGAAGGAAAATAAAATAAGGATACCTTCCCAGAGTATTCAGGTACACAGTTCAGTTTGGGAGGCTGAACTTTGCATTCACTGGAAGTAGCCACTTAATGCAACCAAGAGTAGTCAGTGCTGGAACAGAATCATGCACAGCTTGATTTTTCACGGGGTGTAAGAATTCTATTCATGACTGCCTGCAGCCCTGGCTTGGCCTTTTTGTCTCTTCAAAGAATGCTATGGATACCCACTATTTACCTAACCAAATCTCCATTCTGCCTCTGAAGTTGATTTCAGATATAGAGGAGACTGAGGCAGACCAGCAGGTATGTTTCCTAAATTTGAAATGGGAGTGGAATCAGAATAGGATTTTCTAGGTAACATCCCTGACCAAGGGTTGTGTTTAGTAATGGGTTCCTCAAAAGCTCTGATCTGCTCTTTGGGTTTTTTAAATATCTAGGTGACATATAAGTGAAAAATAAGTGCTTTGTCAAGAATGCTGTGTAGAGCCTACTAACTTTCCGTGTGCCACATTTCCCCAGCCCCAGGGTGGAGAGAGAGGTTCATCCCAGCAATAGAGGCACTGACATTCACTCTCTAGCCTGCACAGGGCACGGTGAGATGGCTCATCCATCTGTTTCCAGTCCTAAGTCTCAGCTTCCTGGACTTTTCCTTTCGAGCAGGTATCCAAGAGAAGACCTTGTCATTCAACTGGAATGAATAATCACATCACTTTTATTACTTAACATGGAGTCCACCCAGAGTCCAGAGGGGAAGCAACACAGTAGCAGCCAGTTAAAAGTAACTTTTAATATTGTTCTATTTAATGACATCAAATCCAAGTTGCTGTTCAAGACTTTATCAAGGTGGAGCCAACCAGATGATGTACTGCTCCACCCCCAATTACACATGAATTTACAAATTAGCACATGAATTTCTCTATAATGTTATTGAAATAAGGCAGAGGTCTTAGTTCCTGGGCAACCAGGAGTGCAAAATGTGCAGAGCAGTTGTGGCATCAACGTTTACAATATCTAGTCAATTTCCCATGATTCTCTTGATTCCTTGAATGCTTATGTTTAAAGAATGCAAATCATGTCACAGCTTTGCCTGTTTTTTCTCCCTGTATTGTCTTTCTCTTGCCCAAAGGTTTGGCTGGCCTATACAGTGTCCATTGAATTTAACGGTTTAACTTTTGTAGCTGATCTTGAGTCTTTCCCCCTCATCCTACACAACAGAGGCCTCTTTTTTTTTTTAAGATGGAGTCTCATTTTGTCGCCCAGGCTGGAGTGCAGTGGCACAATTTGGGCTCACTGCATCCTTCACCTCCTGCATTCAAGCGATTTTCCTGCCTCAGCCTCTCGAGTAGATGAGATTACAGGCACACATAAACACGCCAGGCTAATTTTCCTTTTTTGTATTTTTTTTAGTAGAGACGGGGTTTCACCATGTTGGCCAGGCTGGTCTTGAACTCCTGACCTCAAGTGATCCACCCTCATTGGCCTCCCAAAGTGCTGGGATTACAGGCATGAGCCACCACGCCCAACCACAACAGAGACCTCTTGATCATTTTCACTAAACTATATTTTTAAATAAAGATTGGAATTATTTATTTAATTCTGGGCTAAAGCTTGCAATTTTAAGGACCCTTAAATATATCATTTGCCTCCGGCTCATTACCACAGATTTAGGAATGGCATTAGAATTTCTCTAAAACTGCTAACCTTCTTGGTTTCAATAAGAAATTTTCTTAGTTCCAATTGATAATTATCAGATTTCAATAAGCAAGATAGCTATGATCTAAAATGGGGTTGATACTTGTCATGAACTGTTCATCTCTTTCTCCTCAGTGATTTCCTTGCAATCTGCGGCACTCATCACAGAAAAGCAATAAAATTACCTTTGGCAATTCTGATCACATCCAAGAAAATCCAAAGCAAAAGTGCCAGCCAAATTTGCCTGTCAGATAGTTTAGCATTTCAAAGATCTTTGCTGAGAAAGCAGCTAGAGCCAAAGAAAACTCAACATCATTATACTGTAAATTCATCATTGCTAAGTTTTTTAGCTGGGAACCACAGACCCCATGGTCTATGGAAATATTCTTTTGAGTCTGCAAGTCCTTCTATGAAATTTTAAAATTTATTTGTTTTCTTGTCAGTGATAATCTAAAAATAATATAAACTTATTCTAGATCACAAGGATGATAATATAACCAAGAATTTCTTATCCCAAATCCCTGAGATAAGATGTATTTCAGAATTCACAGTTTTTCAAATTTTAAGAATATTATATGCTACATATACTGTGTGTCACCCACATTAAAGACTAGGGAAGCCCCAAGAAATAAATCATATGAATATTTCTGTAGTGAAACATATGAATATTCACTAAGTATGATGAACATTGAATTTAAATAGACCATATTCTGGGCCATAAAATAAACCTCAGCAAACTGAAAAGAACTGAAAATATGCACAAATACTAGTAAACCAAATTCAACAGCACATCAAAAAGATTATATACCATGATCAAGTGAGATTTGTCTCTGGGATGCAAGGAGAGTTTGACATGTAAATCAATAAATGTGATATACCACATTTGCAAAATGAAATATAAAAATCATATGAGCATCTCAACAGAGGCAGAAAAAGCATTTAACAAAATTCAACATTTTTTCATAATAAAAGCTGTCAACAAGTTGGGTATAGATGTATACCTCAACATAATAAAGGTCATATATAACAAGCCCACCTCTAACATTATACTCAATAGTGGGAAGCTGAATTCTTTTTCTCTAAGATCAGGAACAACACAAGGATGCCCACTCTCACCACTTCTATTCAACATACTACTAGAAGTCCTAGACAGAGCAATTAAGCAAGAAAAAAATAAAAGACATCCCAATCAGAAAAAGTAACATTTTCTCTGTTTGAAGATGACACAATCTTATATCAAGAGAACCCTAAAGACTCCACCAGAAAAACTGTTAGAACTAATAAATGAATTCAATAAAGTTGCAGAATACAAAATCAACGTACAAAAAATTAGTTGCATTTTTATTCATTAACAATGAATTATCTAAAAGAGAAAGAAAACAATCCTATTTATAATAGCATCAAAGACAATAAAATACTTAGGAATAAATTTAACCAAAGAGATGAAAGATCTGTACACTGAAAACTATAACACATTGATGAAAGAAACTAAAGGCACACAAAAAATGGAAAGATATCCTGTGCTCACAGATCAGAAGAATTAGTATTGTTAAAATAACCATAGTACCCAAAGTGATGTTTAGACTCATTGCAACCTCTAAAAACATTCCATTGGCATTTTTCACAGAAATAGAAAAAAAAAAATCCTGAAATTCCTATGGAACCACAAAAGACCCAGAATAGCCAAGGCAATCTTGAGAAAGAAGAAGAAAGCAGGAGGCATCACACTTCTTAATTCAAACTATATTACAAAGCTTTAATAATCGAAACAGTATGGTACTGTCATGAAAACAGACCCATAGACCACTAGAAAGGAATATAGCCCAGAAATAAGTCTGCACGTACATGGTCAATTAATATTTGGCAAGAGTGCCAAGAATACACAATGGGAAAAGGATAGTCTTTCTAATAAATGGTGGTGGGTAACTAAATATTCACATGCAAAAGAACAAAATTGGGTTCCTATTTTTCACCATTCATAAAAATTGTTTACTTCAATGTAAAACCTGAAACCATAAAATTCCTAGAAAACGAAACAGGGGAAAAGCTCCCTAACATTGATTTTAGCAATTAGTTTTTTGGGTAGGACACCAAAAGCACAAGCAACAAAAGCAAAAATAAACAAGTGGGACTACATCAAACTAAAAAGCTTCTGCACAGCAAAGGAAACAGTCAACAAAATTAAAAGGCAGTTTACATAATGGGAGAAAATATTTGCAAACCTCGTATCTGACAAAAAGTTAAAATATGAAATATATAAGGAAAAAACCAAATGACTGTTCTAATCCTTTTGATATTTAAAAATATGAATAAATACTCCTAAAATTGTCAAATTAATGTCATCCTTTAAAATCTCCCCTGATTTGTCATAGCAGCAAACCTAATCTCCATAGACAATACAATGATAATAACTAAAAACAGTTTGTGAGAAGATAGAGATGCCCAGTGGGAGACTTAAATGGAGAAACGTGTCATTTGAATTGTTAAGAGCATATTATGGAAATGAAAATGTATTAAAGGTGACCAAATCACTTAGTTCTTCAGACATGTTCCCTTTAGGGAGAGCTGGGAGTGTTGAATGGAAGCAGTTACTCATTCTGTTTTCATAGTAGCTGTGCTTCAGCAGATGAAGAGAGATATATTATTACAGCAAGATCTTCATATTCTACCACTTTCTAAAGTGAACTCCTCTTATGGATAACAAAGGGTAGTATTTTCTAATGAAGCTCATTTGTTAAAAGTAGAGAAAAATGAAAAATGTTTTAGGAAAAGCTTGAACAAGATCAGAGATCTCAGTTGTGAAAGGATGATCTTGGCAATGATTTTTTATACATATATACATATATATGTATATATACATGTATTTTATACATATATATACATATATATGTATATATGTGTGTGTGTGTATATATATAAAAGGCTCCGAGGGCAATGAGCTGCTCATCAGAAATCCCTTGGCATTCCCCATGGAGGCTTTCTAAATGATTAGGAGCGATGCTTAAAAGCACAGTATTGGCAAAGACCAAGACATAAACCAATTTCTGTGAAAGAGAATTTAAAATATAGAAAATATAGAAAATTTAAAATATAGAACTTGGTTGGATTGCTTTAAAATGTGGCTGTTATGCTTTTCTTTTAATATTTAATTTTTAAATATTTTCCATTTGAAAAAAAGACCTTTCTTTAGCCCCATTTCCGCCTCCAACTTGCAGGACTATATCTCTGTCTCTTTTATACTCACTGTGTCCACTTCACCCTCTCCCAATCTCTCCTGCACCCATTCTAATCAGGCTTTTGTCCCCATCACTCCACAGAAATGTCTCTTGTCAGACTATGAATAACCTCAGTGTTTTCAAATCCACTGGTTAATTATCTGCCCATAATTGATCTGACAGTACCATTCAATACAGTTGATCACTTATTCCTTGAAACACTCTCCTGGTTTGGCTTCTAGGATATCACAATTTCCTGGTTCTCATTCCTGTCACTACATGATTCTTTTCAGTCTCCTTACCGGACATCCAAGTGTTGGGATGCCTAAGAGCTCGTCCCACTAAATGTTCTTCTCTCCCCACGTGGCCTTATCAAACACCCTAACTGTAAATTCCGTCTATATGCCAGTGGCTTCTTGAGGCAGATAGAGAGCAAGTTGACTTATTCAACACTCATTCCAAACTGTTCTAGTTCACCTTCCAATATTACAGAAACTGCAAAGCTAAAACTGTACGTTTTTCTAATAGCTAGAGTGGAGACATGTGACATCAAATGTCCAGGTGCAAGATTTGGGCCAATTGTAACTAAGAGAGATAGGATTATCTAGCATGAAGGCTAAGACACCTGCTTGGTCTGAGGCAAATTGAGTACATCTCCAATTTCCAGTCCCTAAAGTCATAGTGGATAGTAGCAACAGTGGTGTTTTTTACCAGAACTTTCCTATGGTGTGGTTGGATGTATACCCTGACTGTATTGTTTCTGACCAAATAGCATCAGGTCTTGTTCCATCCTACCCAGAGATTATTGGAACTATGTAACATCCCCTTTTGATTTAAACTGGCTAGAATGGATTCTCTTGTCTGCAATTAAGAATCCTTTGCAATACCACTCTCAACTTTATCTTTGCAGCCAAACATGTAACTTTAGATTCACGTTTCTAAGATTTATATTTATAGATGGCTACTTGAGATCTACACTTAGATAGCTAACAAGTTCTCAAGGTTAACATGTTCAAAAATGAATTGTTGATATCTTCCCAAACTGGCTACTCTCCCTAAATTCCTCAACTCAGTAGTTCATGCCAGAAAACTTGGAGTCATTCTTGAGTCATCTCTTATACTAAATTTATCTACAAATTCTATTAATGTGGTCTTCACAGTGTATCCCCAATCTGACCACTTTCCAGTCTCTACCCCTGACACCTGAGTCTAATGCAGTTGACTCCTACTTTTACCCCGCTTTTACCCTGGCCCCACCACAGTCTGTTCTCTTCACGATGGTAGAGATATCTTGTAAACAGGCACTGTTGACATTTTGGCCCAGAAAATTCTTTGCTGTGTGTGTTGGTGGTGGGAATGGGCAGTGGTAAGGGAAAGGGGTTGTCCTTTGCATTGTAGGATGTTTAACAACATCACTAATCTCTGCTCACTTGAGACGAGGAGCACATCTCCCCAGCTGTGATAACCAAAATGTCTCCAGACATTCATTCCCCAATGTACCCTGGGTGCAAAAATTATTCCTGGTTGAGAACCACTGCTGGAAACTGAATCAGATTATGTCATCGTCTACTCAAAACACTCTCAATTTCTTCCCATCACATTTGGGGAGAAAATCCTGAAGTCCTTTCCATGGTCTACAAAGCCCTTAATAAACTGGCTCTTACTCCCTTTTGACTTCCTCTCCTTCCCCTGTCACTCATTCTGCTCCAGCCACCTGGCCTCACTGATGTTTCCCTAAGGGGCCAAGCACTCCTCCTTTCCAGGACCATTGCACCTGCTGTTTCCTTTGCTCAGAATAGTCTTCTCTAGTACATTGCATACCCTGCTTCCTGCTTTCCTTCTAGTCTCCTCACATGTCACTTCACTGATCAAAAATAACACCTCAATCACTTTCAATCCTATTATAGTGCCATAGTTGTCTTCATTGGACTTACTACCACATGATTTATTACATATTTATTTCTTTATATGTTTATTGTCTGTCTCCCCTATTAGAATGTAAACTCCAAGAGGAAAAGAACAAGGACTTTATTTTATAAACCCCTTTATTCTCAGTGCCCAGAAAAGTGATCTGACATATATGAGACACTCAATATTCATTTACTTTAAAATTAGTGCTTGAGATGATTCTGCACATTATGTAACTACTTGGAGATTACTAATAAGGAGGATATCATTAATATAATTGGCATTTCTAAAAATACTACAATTTAAGGAAATCTTCACTTGTCAGCCACTTTTTTCACATGGAGGAAAAAGAAATGTGGTGAGGTGAACTGAGTGGTGAATAATGCCATGTGAGGCTTCACTTAGGTCATCTGGGGAGCCCAGATTTATTGATTCTGATTTCAGGCCTCTTGTATCCATATTGCATTGCTTTTTACAGAATTGTTTACATGTGATATTGTTCAAAAAGTGAATCATCCTACCTCCTGTTTGGTTGCTCTTAGTTTACAGCTGGACTTAATGTAAGAATAGAAAATTCATAAGAATATTACTTTCAAATGAGGAAAGTTACATGAAGAATGATGGCCTCGGTATATCAGGATATCCTTTATTCATCTTAACACCTATATTTGTATTTAATGGAGAAACCACATTTTCATATCTACACACACTGAACTTGAGTCCTTTGACTCAATTTCTCTGTAATGATCATTTTCTCTTCCAAAATCTTATTTATTTTTTCTTTGAAATGGCTCTCCTTTTTGCTCCTTTGTTCCTCATTGACATTGCTGCTCTTCTGCTACTGTACTTTACTGATCATAGGAGGAATATAAAATCATTTTATTATCTCTTTGGCTTCATGTTTTCCCCTCTCCAAATCTTCCCAGCACCATGACATGTGGATATTACTAAGTAATCAGTCATGTCATTCCCATACTAAAAGAAATTGTCTCCAAACTCTTTAGTTTGGCTGCCAAGATGCTCCAAAATAATCAACCGAACCATTCATCCAGGCAGCCAGCCAAATCCATCTTACAGAGGGTACTAATCATTAAAAATAAGAAAATGATGAACTGTACACAATGTCTATAAACTGGGCAGTAGATAATCAATGACACAAATCTAATACCCTGGAAGAGTTCAAAAGAGAATGGAATCACCCTGTTTGAGTGCCCACTGAGGCTACACAGGTGCTCTGGTTTGGGGATTCAGGGTCAAATAGGCAGGTCATGAGCCAATGCAAGGTGTAAGTTTACAAATGGGCCCTATCCTATACTGACCCGATTCATGACTCTTGCCAGGGAGATGTTAAGAATGAGGTTAGATTGTGAGCTTCCTAGGCTGACTCATAAGCTCTGTGAAAACAAGCCTTGTGCAAGGATCATATCCAATAGTCCCTCATGTCTAGCACTACCCCTTACACAGGAGCCAACTGTGGAATGTATTAATTAATAAATAATTCAAAAGACTGTAGATGAATACCTGTCTTGCTGTTTATAAAACTCGTTCTCAACAGGGGGCAGTTTTGCTCCCCATGGCATAGTTGGCAATGTTTGAAAACATGTGGTTGTCGTGACTTGAGAGGGGGTTTCTACTGGAACAGTGGGTAGAGGTCAGGGATGCTGGTAAGCATTCTACAATGCACAAGACAGTCCCCACTCCCAACAAAGAATTGCCTAACCCTAAATGTTCATAGTAGCAAGTCACTTGGTTATAAAAGATCACTTCAAGTATCTTTGTTTCTCTCATCTGGCATTAAAAACAACAAATTTAATAGGTGGAAGGAAGTGATTACTTTGCCAACATGTATGATCTAAGGAATTTGGTAAGTAACATGATAATCTCATTGGCTTTGGCATATAGGTCCATTATGCTAATGAAATACCTGGCATTTTCCTTCCATTGGTAAAGGTCTAAAAAGACATTCTAAATCTCAAAAGAAGAATTTGGCAGAAACCAAATGTGACCATGAAAGAAATGCCCTGGGAGAAACCTACCATGAGCACAGACAACTAAGTAGAAACTTAGATCTTCAGGTTCTAATGGTGATTAAGTGAATCCATAAGAGGCTGGTTGTGTATGCATCTCAAGTCCCCTAGTGCTTAAAATACTGTCTTCTAGAGTTGCCTTGAAAGTGAAACTACAGAATTCTTTGAAGTTGGAAGCAATATAGTGGTCTAATTTTATGAAATAGAACATAAATACGAATGTTTACTTTTTAGCTACCATGAAAGGCAAATATGTGGACTGCCAAATTGCACTATGGTTCAATAGGAGAGATGAATATTCTCCATAATGCCAACCCGTTGTTGACTTCATGAAGGGGACATTCCCCATGATGACTCAGTGTTCTTAAGTACTCTGACAATTGATGGAATACATTCCAGTGTAATACACAGTCCTTTCAAGCCTCCCTTGGGTTTTCCAAGTTTTCTTTATGTCAACTTTGCCCCCGGAAATAAAACCCACATACCTTGGCTCAGGTCACTCCATGAAGGCAAAACAAAAAAAACAAACCAAAAACCCTTTTTGGAAAGGTTCCTCCTGGATCCCAAAAGCAAGGGTTGTAGAGTGAATTGGATTCAAAACCAATGCATTTTTCAGAGACAGATTTAAAAGTGTACCTTTGTTCCTGCCACATAAAAGAAAAGCAAAGCTTTGTTTAATGGTTAACAATTTTTGGCAGCTACTATCTTTTAAACCACTCCAGGGCCAAGATGACTATCTGAAGAGGCGAATTACAGATCATTTATACAGGAGATTATGCCATGTTGACCTGTTCTGAAGTTTGATTTTAAACAGTGATTATATTCTTATTGTGCAGGTTACATTTACTTGAACCTTCTTATCTGTACTAAACGGTAACAGAGCAAGCAAATACATTTGTGCAAATGTTGAAAAAGAGCTCAAGGCTGTAGGAATCCATATAGGTTTGGATTGAAGAAAAAGCCTGTTCCAATCTGGAATTTAAAATGAACCATATACTTAAAAAAATCAAAACAGAAATCACCAAGATGCTGATCTTCAAATCTAAATATTAATTACTTTTATATGACTTGGCTGTGAGCTAAACCACATTTTAAAAAGATAAAAGCAATAATGGAACAAATTCACAATAAAGTCTTGTCTACTTACTAACTAAAGTGAATGAAAGAAAAAATTCTTGTAAACAAAATAAAGCCAAAATTGTATTTGGATGAAACCTCTGGGACAACACACACACACACACACACACACACACACACACACACCCCTCTTTTTTTTTAACCCCAATATTTTGGATTTGTTTTTTTTTTTATTATTATACTTTAAGTTTTAGGGTACATGTGCACAACGTGCAGGTTTGTTACATATGTATACATGTGCCATGTTGGTGTGCTGCACCCATTAACTCGTCATTTAGCATTAGGTATATCTCCTAATGCTATCCCTCCCCCCTCCCCCCACCCCACAACAGGCCCTGGTGACACACACACCTCTTGATAGTGTTTTATCAATTCCATAGTTGTGCTAGGGGCCCACTATGAACAAACCTTATTTGTAACAATGCCAGGTGAGAGAAGTGATCCCTTCTGTCTGTTGGCCAAATAAAGAATCCCTTCCCATTCCCCTACTACCCATTTGTCCTCTCCCCACTACCCTGGACTGGTAATGCCAACTCATATATTCACTGCCAACAGAACCAATTGGCTGTACTGTCCATTAGTGGCAGGCATCTTTTAACTGTTTTGATCTGTCAGTTAAATGATATGCCAATTCAATGTTCTTAATATCTGCCTTATAATTCCCAATTGCTGTTGTATAACAAAAATATAATTTGAATAGATAAACTATAGCTCAGTAAAATCTGAACTGACTTCAAACTATTTCTGAAAATTGAGTGGAACCACAATCATTTGAAAAAAAAGTAGGACCTTGGATTTTATAGCTTCCACTTCATATCATAAGCAAATTAAATTTAAACAAAGCAGTTTTTTAAAAGACATGCTTGAGGCAATTGAGGATATTTGAAAATAGACTGATTATTAGGGGATATTAAAGAATTATTGCTAATTTTGTTATATGTGATTACCTTTGCTTTATTTTTGAAGTTCCTCCAGGGATTCGTATTGAAATATTAACTAATGAAATAAAGTATGAAATTTGCTTTAAAGGACTCCAGAAACAAAATTGATGGTGGTGACTGATGAAAAGAAATGGCAAATACTGACAACCATTGAAGCTAGGTGATCAGTTCACACAGATTTATTATACTCTTCTGTCTAATTCTGTACAAGTTTTTTTTAATGCTGGGAAAAAAAACAATAACAACAAAACAGGTTACCTGCTAGATTTTAAAAAACAAGGTTAAAAAAATACAGTTGAGGATAATTTAGGGCATCAAAACTTAAAAGGACCGCAATGAGATATCACTACACAGAATGGCTAAAACTAAAAGAAACAAACCAGAAAGCCTGGCAGTATTAAATGTTGACAAGTATGCAAAACAACTGGAACTCTCATATATTGCTGATGAGAAGCCAAAACACTGGGGTCTGTTTGAAAAGAGCATAGCGGTTTCTTATAAAGTTAAACACAAAATTGTCATACAATGCTACAGTCCTACTCCTAGGTAATAACCCAAGAGAAACTAAAATGTATATTTGCACAAAAACCTGTATGTGAATGTTTATAGTGGCTTTATTTATAATTGCCAAAAACTAGAAACTACCCAAACATCGACTGGTGTGAAACTACACAAACATATAATTGGTGCGTGAATAAACAAACAGTGGCATTTCCATTCAATGGGATAGTATTCAACAATAAAAGGAACAGACTACAGATACATGAAACAACATGGATGAATCTGAAATTCATTATGCTATGTGAAAAAAGCCAGAATCAATATTCCACTTATTTGACATCCTGAAAAGGCAAAATTGTAGAGACAGAAAAGTGGTCAGTGGTTGTCTTCAGGTGGAAAGAAGAGCTAACTACAGAGTCAGCACGAGTGAAATTTTTGGGAGTGAAGGAATTGCTGTGCCTTGATTGCCGTGGTGGTTACACAAGCTTATGGGTTTGTCAAAATTCAGAACAATACACTAAAAGGATTAATTTCCCTGTATGTAAATGATACCCCAACAGAATTTTTTAAAACTTAACTGGGAAATTTTTTATATGCTCCAATAAAAATTGTTGCAATTGATTCAAACTATAAGGTTCTTATGTAGCATATTATAACACTTTTTTCTTCTCTTATATCTCCTTCCCTCCCTCCCTCCTTGCTTCCCTCCTTTCCTTTCCTTTTTCCTTTCTCCTTCCTTTTCCTTTTCCCCTTTCCTTTTCCCTTCCTTTTTTCTTTTCCTTCTCTTCTCACTCGCTTTCTCCCTTCTCCCTTCCCTTTCCCCTTCCTCCTTCCCTTCCCTTTTCCCTTTTTGAAAATAGTGGGACTAAAGGATTAAGTATATGAAATTTTATGTCTGTATTGCAGTGGGAGAGGCTGTGTGACAACGTAGTATTCTTCTTGGACTCACCTCCTAGCCTTACCTTAGAGCAGGGATCCCCAACCCCCAGGCGGCAGGCCGGTACAGGGCCGCACAGCAGGAGGTGAGTGGCAGGCTTACCTCCTGAGCTCAGCCGACTGTCAGATCAGCGGCATTAGATTCTTATAGGAGCGCAAACACTATTGTGAACTGAGCATGTGAGGGATCTAGGTTGCGCACCCCTTATGAGAATCTAGTGCCTGGTGATCTGAGATGGAACAGTTTCATCTTGAAACCCATCCCCGAATCCGTGGAAAAAAATTGTCTTCCAGGAAACTGGTTCTTCTTGCCAAAAAGGTTGGGGACTGCTGCCGGAGAGGGATCACGACTTCCTAGGTGTCTTAACCCTGGCTGCACATTAAACCCACCTGGGACCTAAAATAATCTAATGAAATACTGATGCCCAACCTCCAACTCCTAAGAGATTCTGCTTTAATTGGCCTGGGGTGGGACACAGGGATCATATTTCTTAAAAGCACTCTAGGTAAAATCTAATGTGCAACTAGGGTTGGGAATCTTATATTAATTCACTTACGATATTTTCCTATGTTAATTCACTTAGGATAATGGCCTCCAGCTGCATCCATGTTGCTGCAAACGACATGATTTCATTCTTTTTTATGGCTGCATAGTATTTTATGGTATATATGAACTACATTTTCTTTATCCAGTCCACCACTGATGGGCACTTAGGTTGTCGATTCCATGTCTTTGCTATTGTGAATAGTGCCAAAGTGAACATAAAAGTACATGTGTCTTTTTGGTAGAATGATTTATTTTCCTTTGAGTATATACCCAGTAATGGGATTGCTGGGTCAAATGGTAGTTCTGTGTTGAGTTCTCTGAGAAGTCTCCAAACTGCTTTCCATGGTAGCTGAACTAATTTACATTCCCACCAACAGTGTATAAATGTCCCCTTTTCTCTACAGCCTTGCCAGTGTCTGTTGTGTTTTTACTTTTTACACATAGCCATTGTGACTGGTGTGAGATGGTATCTCATTGTGGTTTTGATTTACATTTCTCTGTTGATGTGTGATGTGGAGCATTTTTTCATGTTCGTTGGACGCTTGTATGTCTTCTTTTCAGAAGTGTCTGTTCATGTATTTTGCCCATTTTTTGATGGGGTTATTTATTTTTTACTCTTTCAATTGTTTAAGTTCCTTATAGGTTCTGGATATTAGACCTTTGTCACATGCACAGTTTGCAAATATTTTCTCCCATTTTGTAGGTTGTCTATCTACTCTGTTGATAGTTTCTTTTGCTGTGCAGCTCTTCAGTTTAATTAGGTCCCACTTGGCAATTTTTGTTTTTGTTGCAACTGTTTTTGAGGACTTAGTTATAAATTCATTCCCAAGGCCCATGTCCAGAATGGTATTTTCCAGGGTTCTTATAGTTTTAGGTCTTATATTTAAGTTTTTAATCTATCTTGAGCTAATTTTTGTGTATGGTGAAAAGTAGTGGTCCAGTTTCGTTCACCTGCTTATGGCTAGCCAGCTATCCCAGCACCATTTATTGAATAAGGAGTCCTTTCACCTGGGGATCTTGTTAAAATGAGATTCTGATTCAGTAGGTTTGGAGTGGGGCTTGAGACTCTCCATTTCTAACAAGCTTCCAGGAGATGCAGTGCTAGAGATTCTCAGGAATCAACTTTGAGTTGCAAAGACTAAACCAGTGTTCCCTGAACTTGGCTAATGATTAGAATCACTTGGGAGGCTTGTTTAAATATAGAGATTTTCACCCTCCTTCCCTGGAAATTCAAATTTAGTATGCCTGGTTTGGGGCCCATGAATATGTCCTGTAGCAAAGGACATAGTGACTTATCTTCGGAATAATTAGGGAATATTAGAATCCTGATTTGTGGATTTATAATAGGCCATTTGCTGTCTTTGGCACAGTGTTAGCTGCCTTTTTCACTCTTACTTTTCTTTTTTCTAAGTTAATCCTATCAAAGGAACATGTTCACACAAAAAGTTGTACACAAATGTTCATATTAACATTATTTATAATAGCCAAAAATATAAACGATGCAGATGTCCATCAACTGATGAATGATTAAAATGTAGTCCATCCACCCAATGACATATTTTTCAACTATAAAGAGGGAAGAAGTACTGATTCCTGCTACAACATAGATGAAACTCAAAGCATTATGCTAAGTAAAAGGAGTCCATCACAAAAGACTACATATTGTATGATTACATTGATATGAAATGTCCAGAATAGACAAATCCATAGAGACCAAGAGCAGATGTGTGGTTCCCAGGGACTAGGGGAAGGAGGGAACAGCTAATGACAGCTTAGAGGGTACAGAGTTTCTAATTAAAGTGATGAAAATTGAATTAGATAGTTGTGACAATTGCACAACTCTGTAAGTATACTAAAAGGCACTGAATCATTCACTTGAAAATGGCAAATTTTATGGTGCATGAATTATATCTTGATTTAAGTAAAAAGACTGAAGTTTCACCGATTAAAAAAAGGAATACTCTCTTTTGATTCACATATTCTATAGACCAAGTACCAGGTTTTTGTCTTCAAGGTGGCTTGTATATGCAGTTGATCTCAGCCTTATGTGTTGATATTATTGTTCTAATTGCTGGGGTTCTGAATATTTGCTCTCACTTATATGAATTGCCTTTAGAAAGTCATTTGCCATTTTTTATGAAGATATGAAATTATTGATCTTTTATGTTATGGGTAGGATCAATGTTAATGAACTTTGTATCCTGATGCCTGGCATGTAGCAAGGATTTTATATTCATTAATGTTTATTGAATGAAACATTATTTTAGATGAAAGCAAGTTCTGTTTAGTTTGAAGAGATGGTCAGACTTCCTTTTCTGAGTTATTCAATTCTTTTATTAAAAATTTTTTACCTCTATATTCCTCCACTTTGGACTAGAAAGCCTACATTACAACTTTTAAACCTTAAAACGATTTTCGAGTTGCATGCAGCTCTGTGAATTCCTTCCAGCTAAATATTCCATCACTCTTTTGTTCATTAAAAGAAATGTATTCCGGCAGCTCAACTTTGTAAACAACTTTGCAATAAAAAACAAGTGTTCACATACGATGAATGAAAACAATTTTAGACAGGAAATAAGCTTCAGGTTCCAAACTCAGTGCCTATGTTCCAACTAGGAATGTGATTAGGAAAATATTGGATTGGGGATTGGGAAGTCTTTTCCCTAAATAATTAACTGAAGACTTTTCTGTTCCTTCAAAGTTGAAAGGAATAATGGATTTCAAAACCCTTCCTTTTCTGTGGTCAAGAAAGGATTCTTATATTAGGTATTTATATTTTTAAAAATCTAGTTATTATCCTTTATTTTGTGGAATGAGAAAAGATTTTGAAACTACTACTGTCCATTGAATACTTTCTCAGGCAGCTGATGGGGAGTGGAAATAATAAATCTGGACTAAGAAACCCTGAGTTCTCATGCCAGTTATTTTGCTTTCCTATGATGTTACCTTGGAACTTCAGCAATTTAGGATAATATTGCCTAACTGGAAAAGTCACTGTGAAGTTTAATTGATAATAAGTAGAGGAAACACACTGTGTAGGGGCTAATAACCCCAGATGTAATCAATCAAACTAAAATAGTTTATTGAGCTCCTATATTATGTACAAACTACCATACTAGTGTTGATGACACCCTGAGGATAAATGCTTAATGTCCCTACCCTCACAGAGATTATAATCTAGTGAGAGAAAACAGACAACTTCATAGGCAATTGAAACAGTACTTTTATTCTTCCTGGTCTTCATTTATCTATATGAGTGACTTCAGTGAGGTTTTGTGTGGTCATTTTCAAGGACACTACAAGTAAACAGGGACATGTGATTGGGAAACCAAAGAGTTCTGACTAATAAAACCGTAAGTGATACTCTGAATATTCCATGGGAAAGTAAGTGAGAAACTGGAACAGCTTAAAAGGCTCTGAGGGGCCGGGCGCAGTGGCTTACGCCTGTAATCCCAGCACTTCGGGAGGCCGAAGTGGGCGGATCAAGAGGTCAGGAGATAGAGACCATCCTGGCTAACACAGTGAAACCCTGCCTCTACTAAAAATACAAAAAATTAGCCAGGCATGGTGGCGGGCACCTGTAGTCCCAGCTACTCGGGAGGCTGAGGCAGGAGAATGGCGTGAACCCAGGAGACAGAGCTTGCAGTGAGCAGAGATCACGCCACTGCACTCTAGCCTGGGCAACAGAGCGAGACTCCATCTCAAAAAAAAAAAAGGTTCTGAGGACTAAGTATTCCACTATTCCACCAACTAGGAATTATCCCCCAGGTGGAGAAACAGCACTCATTGAGGATCAGTACTGCAATCCTGCCTTATTGTAGAGGTAGGTTTCCCTTGCAACTTTTTAGCATGTTAATTTCATCAGCCTTTCCTGTTTTATGGAAATGTTAGATTGTAACTCAACGAGTTTCGTAATGAGTTTCACAAGTTCTAAAACCATTGAGGAAGTATGTCAGCATTTTTCAGATTTTCTTTTATTTTACAAAGAAAAATCTGGAAATACACTTTCCTCTCACAGTCAAGGAATTAGAGTGGGAAGTTTTGATCTAGATGAAAGTAGTACTGCTGGTCTGACTCAATTTTTTATTAACTCAAACCTTTGAAGCATGAGTTTGACTAATGTGTTTCTGAAGCTCCATTGTCTCTGTTCTCATGGATGTCTAGGTACTTACTTGGTTCCTGTGCATTTCAGGATTTTATGAAATTTCTCAATGTACATATGGATAATGTTATTCAAATCCACAGCCCAGGAAATGATTGTAGCTATGATATTTCCTCTAAAATCTTAGAACACTTCAATAATACCACATTTACTCGAAAATGCACATATTTTACTAATCAGAGAATACACTGTTCAAATAATTTTCTTAAATATTGAGGTAATCTTTCAAAGTGAATGCCTCCATGAAGGCTTCTAATTTATACACCAAGAAAAGCCCCAGAATATCTTGAGGTCAACAAAAAGAAACTGAAATAGGAGTCATTGCATGTGCTGAACACCTTTCTCAGCTCATGACTTGCAGATTTGTAAAAATATTGCAATTTGAAATACTCCTGATTCACATTGTTGCTTATGTGACACAACTGAATATTTCTGTATCTGAAGACCAATATGATGGTAAATCTACCCATTTTCAACTGGAAATTCCTGGTTTTTAAATCAAAACCTCAGAATGGAGTCCTCAAATTGCTTAGTGGTGAATATTTTTCAGTGAACCCATATCTTACAACCACATCTGCTGAACCATAAGGTTTGTAAAGCTGTGGTCATTCTACAAAACTGTCCCATGGCCTACTTAATTTATACCCAAAGGAAAGCATGAATATAATAATTGGAATTTCTATAGCCCTAAAACCCAAGTGATTCTATAGTCTGTCTACTGGTTTGGGGGTGTGAAACTATTATTTTTTTCACAAGGTAAAAGCAAATTGCTGAAAAATTCTTAGATGAAAAATAATTTGCATAATATTTCAATTCCAATGTTACAAAATAGTAGATTGTGACATGAATCCTGTATGTCTTATACCAATATTCAGTCTAATGAAATTTAAAATGTGAAAACATCTTTTTGATATTTCACTGAAATTTATTCCTTTACTTCACATTAAATCTGTAAAGTGTGACATGTGTTTGAAATTAAATTTCCAGGGAACTAATAGAACATTATGGAAATTGAAAATATTGAAAGGTAATTTTTCTTTTTATTCATCTCCCAGATGAATGGTCATGCATTTTGTCTATCTTGCATTATATTTGTGTCTATTTAAGTTCCAAGGCTGTCAAAATTGTAAAATATCATAAAATTAAGTTAACAAAGAATTCTAAAGTGTTTTTATGCTACTTGAGAATAAATATACAGAAATATTTTCACAGAGATTCCAGTTATAGGGAAAGGATTTCAAAGATTCAAGAAAAGCCCAGAGGGTACAAGGAAAATGGAATTGATATCTCACTCCCAAAAGGATTAGTTTAACATTTTCTATATATTTTAACCCTCCTAGAGTGAAATGATTTGAAGTTCTCCCCTGGTTCATCCTCCTCTATTTAGTCACTATTATGTTTTAAAAGCTTATATTTCAAAGGTATAATGTTTAAGGAGAACATTAAACAAAACACCAGGCCAGAGATGAATCAAAGGATGGAGAGAATGTTAGCATTTCCTTTATTTCAACTTACTGAAATAATTTAAGGCAAGAACTTGGTTCAAATTACTCATATCATAAAATTTCAAGTTAAGAGGTCATTTAATAATAACAGTGACTTGTATTCAATTTTGGTTCAAAAAAATTTCAAGAAACTTCAACATAATGTACTTCTGAACTCTAACTACCAAATAAAAGTGTGTAATGTATCTAATTTGGGGAAACGTACTATAAATAACTAACTTGATTAAGTTCCAAAGTAATGCTTACCCCTCTGTCTAGATAAAAACAATAACTAAAGTAACTCAAAGACCCTATCATTAGCAAGAATTCGTAAAATTGTTATGCCTCATTTTAAGTGACTATAGTCATTTTTTTAGTTCTCTGCCCCTTGGGAAGTTTTCAAGTTGAGACAGGACTGATCAAGAGGTAAATTATACAGTGCTCAAATTGTGCTCTGGCTACTACTGCAAGTCAAATTTTGCCATGGCCATTCCTTTACATAATGTATATGGTCATGTTCATGTAATAGCAGCAGAGTTGAGTTGTTGAACAGAGACTATACAGACTATAAAGCCTAAAACATTTTCTTTCTGGCCATTCACAGAGAACAATTCTGATGATACCAGCTGATCTTTTTGTTTTCTGGGTCTATTACGTTTGCCTGGATTCCCTGCTGTCATACAAAGTCCTCTGTGTTCAGTCTTAAGCCCCATAAGATTTTGGCCTATTTTCCTTATGGAATTTTGTCACTGGCCTGCCACCTTTTGCTTAGATTCTTTTGATATTGACTGGTTTCATAACCAAGCATCAATTGCCACTCACCTGTTCAGCCTTTTCTGCCTTTATACTCTCTGAACCTCAGAAATACTTTTGTTCCTGGCTAGTGTTTCATCTTCTTCATCTTCAGATGGACACCACCAGGAACAACCCCCTCCTCACATCATCTCCACCCTGCTGCATCCTAAACCTGGAGTTTAGGTGGAAACTCCAGAACTTTTCACGCCCTGTGAATGGTTTTTTTTGTTGATTTTTTTTTTCTTTGAGACAGAGTCTCACTCTTTCACCCAGGCTGGAGTGCAGTGCACGATCTCAGCTCACTGCAACCTCCACCTCCTGGGTTCAAGCAATTCTCCTGCCTCAGCCTCCCAAGTAGCTGGGATTACAGCTGCATGCCACGATGCCTGGCTAATTTTGTTTTTAGTGGAGACACAGTTTCACCATGTTGGGCACGCTAGTCTCGAAATTCTGACCTCAAGTGATCCACCTGCCTCGGCCTCCCAAAGTGCTGGGATTACAGGCGTGAGCAACTGTGCCCAGCCCTGTGCATGTTTTGCTTGTCTTTATAGTAGAATACTCTCAGTGGATGGTGGTCTAGTATCATATTGCTGGGATTACAGGCGTGAGCAACTGTGCCCAGCCCTGTGCATGTTTTGCTTGTCTTTATAGTAGAATACTATCAGTGGATGGTGGTCCAGTATCATATTCTGAAGATCCAATCAACTATGCATGCTGTTCTACCAGTCTACCTCAAATTATATACCCTGTTTCTATCCTTTCAATATTTTGTCTTAAATGGAGGAGAAACAACAACTGTACCTTACAGAATAATTCCAATGAATAAAAGTAAAAAGAATGATGGAAATTAAAAAATAGAACTTCTAAATTGAGTAGTTCAAAAATAGAATTAGTAAACTATAGTGGTAATTGTCTCAGGAAAAATCCACGAATGAACGTTAAAGTGAGTGGGTGATAGTCTAGGCAATAACAGGATATTTGTTTGGATAGTATCTCTCCCAACATATTTAATAATTACAAAGAGAAAATAGTAAGTTTATTGTAGAGAATTCTGGCAGACACCAGCTTAGCTAGGTGATCTAGGAGTATTATTTCCCCAAATGTGAAACCTCATTCTAAATCATGAGAAAACATCAGACAAACCCAAATTGAACGACATTCTACAAAAGAAGTAACCAGTACTCCTCAAAAGTGTCAAAGTCCTGAAAGACAAGGAAAGAAAGAGAAACTCACAGAACAGAGGAGACTAAGGAAATGTGACAAGTTAATGCAATGTGGAATCCTCACTGGATGCCTGCAACAACAACAACAAAAGACATGTCTTGATTTAAAAACCTCTCAAGGGACAGGATTTCTTTTTCATCAGTGGGGAAACTGATGAAATATGAATAAATCCTGTACTTTGGATTTATTTAAATGGTATTAATACCATTTAAAATGGTATTAAGCTAAAGTCAATTTCTTAGTTTTAATAAAATTTTGATGGTTATATAAGATGTGAAGGATAGGGAAAGCTAGATGAAGGATATATGAGAACTCTTTGTACTATCTTTGAAACTCTTCTGTAAGTCTAAAATTTATCGCCCAGGAAAGATGAACTGTTAAAAAGAAATTGCGTCTTAAGGGGGTGAGGGATAAGAGACAACAAATTGGGTTCAGTGTATACTGCTTGGGTGATGGGTGCACCAAAATCTCACAAATCACCACTAAAGAACTTACTCATGTAACCTAACACCACCTGTTTCCCCAAAAACCTATGGAAATATAAAAAAATTTTTTACAAAAGAAATTGCATCTTGATCCCTGAGGGGTGTCTTGTTGTAGGAATCATGTTAACAAAATTAGTTCCAGAAGTTCTCTTTTAATTCTTTTTCACTTCCTTCTACCATTTGTGCTAATTCTTCAAATAAGAGTTTCTCAGGGCTGACAGTATGATTAGCTAGTTTTGTAACTGTGTTGAGATTGCCTCTTCTTTCTAGCATGAGGTTTCTAGAGTCTAATAGCTGATGATGAGTCTCCTCCTTTACAGCAGGGCTCACACATTTCCCACTCAGGAGGCCATGTCTCCCCGTGGAGAGCTTGTTCTATATATATTCAGGCTCATGGTTGGGGGGACAAAACAGAAATGAAAATACATTGGGAAAACATATCACTAGTCAGAAAACTGCCTGATAATGTTTGGGGAGGTATCTCATGTCCTGAAGAAAACCTATGGAGCTGTTTTCCACTGTAGAAAATACTGGAAGGTAAAGTGGAATGATCACATCTTCTCAAGAAGAGCCTATTGGCCAAACCACATGGGGAAATTTTGGATGAATTCCCTTCTCTCAACTCAGCCTATTTTCAGAGAAAAGTATTTATTTTCAGGTATTACTTTTGACATTCCTTCCTTACTCGTTCAGTATGTATTTGGGCTCCTCCCGTTTAGGGTGCCATGCTGGTCAGTACCTCATGACCAATATTAAGTGGTCCAATAAAAGAAACCTGAGACTTCAAATTGGAGAAGCTGGTTTCCAATTTCATCCCTAGCTGTCAGTACATCTCTGGCGTATGGTATAGAGCTGTGGCTCCCCTCAAAGACTGACTGATTTCTTAGACATTTAAAAATACAGATACCCATTCCACCTTTGGAGATTCTGATGCAGTGGGTTTTGTTTAGAATTCTGGTATTTGGAAAAAAAAATAAAACATGTAATATGTAGCCAAGTTTGAATTTCCAAAAGATGCTTGATCATAAGCCTCACTAGGAGAGCATTTCAAAACATATGACCTCCCAACTGGAGACTGCAGGGCTGGTGGAACTCAAGAATCATGATTTTTCCCAAGTTCCACTGGTGATTATTATGATCCTAAAGTTTAGGAAACGCTAATCAAGAAACTAAATTGCAATGCAGGCTTAAATGACTATGGAAAGCACAGTACAAATGAAGGTTGTGTTATCTTGCAGTATCCACTGATGATGTGTTCAGCATAACGCACAGCCAGAATAAGTGATGCCCTTGACCGAAACCAGTACTACATTCATCTTTTTAAGAATTTGATATTTCTGAGCTTATAGGTGCAGGAGGAACCTACACAGGGAGTAGTGCAAGTGAAAAAAAACACCATTCCATCCAGTAAAATCATCAGAATCAGCCCTGGGGATCAGGATACTGATGTTTTGTAGCTATCATTGCTTTATATGCAGACCACCTGAGCAGAAAAGTGACTGTGTTCTCATGAGATGGTGACCCCCACTTTCCAGGATAAAATCAGTAGACTTCAGGTCATCCCTTGAACATAGAATGTCCCAAAGTGCCTACCACAGAGCATTACTGCTGTATGAGGGTTATAGCTCTGTGAGAGAGGTAATTCCATGAAAAAGGAATTGTGTGGACAAGTAACCTGTTGGAACACAGCATTTCATTTTATATTCATCTCTTGGAGATCCACAGCACACATTAGCACTTTTATGACTGGTAAGTCCTGCATGCCTGATTAACATTGTTTAATTCAGCATTTTTAAATTAACTTTAATATGGTATTTTTAAAAATAGGGACATGTGAAGAATATGCTTCTTGG